>NC_000023.11:101837542-102462542 GCF_000001405.40 Homo sapiens
TACCACATGTCCACCAGGATGGAGGTGAAGTCATGCTGAGTTTCAGGCAATGCACTGAGGGAGTCCACGTTTCGTGGACATTTTGTGTGCTTTAGCAGCTTCCTCTGCAGGTCTATAGAGAAGAAGAGAAGCAAGGAAGGTGTGGGGTTGGGGGAGCTGCCATACCCTGGTCCTTGGCCCCTGTGATTGTTCCTGTCACACTCCTTTACCCTGCCCAATCTTCTCCATCACACACTTACAGGGGTCTTTGAGAATTTTTATATTCCTGCTATCCTTGAAGTACTTGCACAAGTTGCTCCTAGGAGAAAAAGAGGAGCAGGAGTGGGTGGTCCGGCCAGTGTGGGCATTTCCAGGAGTTGGCCTGTGTCTGCTGGGGAGACACACAGCCCCAGAGCAGGGTCTGAGCCGTGATACTCATGGGGCTGAGTCCTTGGGGTCGAAGGGAATAGCCAAGGAGAAGCAGGCCTCATCGTGGTAAGCACCGAGGAGACCCTGTCGATCTCCAGAGTCATAGATCGAGTAATACCTGTGGGGAAAGCAGTGAGGATAGGCTATCTCTGTGGCCTGGGCCCCAGATGAGACTTGAAAACTCCCAGGCTGCACGGGTGCCCAGCCTGTCTCAGCCCTCCCCTTCCTCATGGTCCCAGGGATACTCACTGCTGCAGGAATTGCAGGACTAAATGCTTTAGGGTCTCAGATCCAGTAAAGTTTTCCTGAAATCAAAAGACAATTTGGATCTATGCGGTGGACAAAGCCTCCCTTACAGCAACCCAAATCTTGCTTGGTCCTTCTTCCTCACCTTGCAGGGTTTCATTGTCTCAGAGCTGTCAATGTCAACAATCACTGGTGCGGATAACTCTCGGCCGTCCTGGAGAAGGAAAGAGGAAGTCAGCAGTGGAGACCAAGGAGGTGGAGCTGGATGATCGATAAGATGAACATGCCCAGGGAGACAAGCATCAGAGGCTAGGTGGGAAATGGCCCTGGAAATTCCAGTGGGTGGCTTTCTCATGGGGTGCTGGACATCTCTACTATCACATGCAAATGTGTGTGTGGGGGGGGGTGGCGGTGGGGGGACACATTTTCCAGGGAGAATATTCTTGTCTTTTTCAGGAATCCATGCCTGTAAAATGGATGAGGGTCTGATACAAGCATGTAATCTAGGCAAGACCCAAAGGACTTGAGGGCAGGCGTGGAGGTCCTTTTCTTGAGTAAGAGGAGACAATGATGACGGTATTATACATACTTACCAGGCGTAACAACTTGGGGAAACAATCCCGGATGGCACTGTCCAAAACCAAAAATTGAATGAAGTGACTGACAGTTCAGGGTTGCACAGTCTCTCTCCCACTCCCTCTCACACTCCTCCCTCTCCTTCCTCCTGGTTAGCTTCCATCTAGACTGTCCTGACTCCCTTTTCTCCAGTGCCACAAGAAGCAGCACTGGGAGCCCAGGCTCCAGGGCTTTCTTCCTCTCCCTCCCTCCCCTTTGCCCAAGTCACCATGGAAGGCTCTGCAGGGAGCAGGAAATGGGGTGGGAGCCCAGGGCTCTGCCACCTCACTGGCTGTCCATCAACCTGCCTGACCAGGCCCTGGCCAAGACCAGGTCAGCCCTTAGGGATGGCCCAGGATGCTGGGACACGGAGGTGAGTGAGGCCGGACTCAGGAGGCAGGAAGCGGAAGGCAGGGGGGACAACAACAGAAACGGGGTGAAGGTAGGGGAGGGACGGATGGGTGAGACATAGGAGAGGAGAGACAAGGGAGAAACAGGATGCAATGCAAAGGGAAGGGAAAGACTCTCTACTGCGGAGGTGGAGTTCAGGGAGGAGAAGAGGAGAAAAGGGCTCCCCTGCTGCAGCCCTTTCCCTCACTGCTCCCTGGCTGGCCCCGGGGACCGAGGCAGGAAAGGAAAACATGCGCCTGTTGGGCTGGGGCCCACTGGTTGCAGCTGGAGCCTTCCTCACCTGTGTGAGCTCAGTCTGAGCTGGGCATGGGAAACAGAGCAGCCACGGGGACAGGAGACCTTCTCCCGGGAGGAGTGAAGAGTCAGGCCCCAGCTCAGCATGGGGTTCAGAGTCTGGGGACCCCCTCTCCAGACCACTGCATTCTCTTCTGATGGTCCCTGACTCCTGTGCCCCTCTGTGCTGACGCCTTGACCGAGGAATGCTACCCATCTCGGGCTACCCAGGGCTCCTCTGAGGGCCCAGGCAGGACGATGTGAGGTGGAGAAGGAGGGAAGGTGGGGCAGTGCCCTGAGAGGCCTGTCCTTCTGTCTTCTCAACCTCCTCTGCCCTCTGCCTTCCACTCCTGCCTCAGGAACGTGGCCCGCTTCTGGACCCTTGACGTAGGAAACCCAGGTTTCTCCCCAAGGAGGGCCCAGCTCCTGGCATTGGGCCAGAGGAAGAGATGGCATGACAGCAGCCACCCGGGGCCCCAGCCCTCAGTATGGGGCAGGGAAGCCCCCATGCCAGCCCAGGACAGGTGGGGGGACCTTTTTGGAGCAAGAGAAGGAGAACCCCTCTCGGGACAGGGGAGGGAAGCCCCATCTCAGCATGGAGGCAGGAAGGCCTGTCTCAGCATGAAGCCCCGGACTAAAGGACTCTTCTCGGTCCAGGGCACCAGCATCTGAATACTGCTGGTCCTGGGGAGGTGGGGGAGCCCCACTTCCTGGAGCACACTCACAGAGGGCACACTGGAGGAGGCTTGGTGGAGACAGGCGGGAAACACACCCCAGAGCAGGTGAAAAGGGGACCATGTCAGAGGAAGGAAAGGAGACCTCTAAGCACAGATGAGTGAGTGACAGAGAGAGAGGAGAGAGAGAGAGAGAGAGTAGGAAGGGAGGTCTGTGGTCCTCCCAGAGGACCAAGGCTGCTTCTTCCTGCAGAAGGGCACCTTCAGACACAGCTCAGTCACCCAGGGAGCAAAGGTGCCCAGGAAGGGTGACAGGGGTTGCCACTGACCTTACATAGGCAGACTGGTCCGAGAAGGTGCTGCACAACGGGTTCCCTTCTAGCCATAGCTCTTCGAGCTTCAGCCCTTTCACCTTGCCCAACTCCCACGCCGACTCCAGCTAAGAAAGATGGGGAGGAAACTGGAGAAGGAGGGCCAGGGAAAGAGAGACACCCAGGACCCTGGGCCCTGAATTCCCCCGGCCCTCATAGTCACCCACAGGTGCCACTGCCTGGCTGTTGCCATTATCCTGATGTGTCCTGCCCTCCACCCAAAGTTGATCTGGCTCCCCCTTCTCACCTTATTTTTGGAGAGATTCAGGGTCTTGACTTTGGGAGCCTTCTCTGTAATGTCAGAAAGGCCATCCAGCTGGTACAGTTTGTTGTTGCACAAGTTCAAAGACAACAGCTTTGGGTCAAGAAGAGTTAGAGTGGCGGCTACTATCTTGGGCCTCAGAGACAAATCTGCCCTCCACCTTATCCCTTCCACCCCTCTAACTAAATACCAGCACTGAGCCTAAGGCTTCACCTCAGGGAAATTTCTTTCAGTGATCTTCAGGGTGGCAGCCATGCAGTTTCTTCGATTCAGGATTATATCAATGTCACGGCCCATCAAGTCTTGAAGAAGCCAAGAGAAGGGAATCGGAAGGCTGGGAGGGCCCTGGCTGGACCAGAGCCAGCCCCAACCCCTCTGTAAATTGCCATTCCTAAGTCTCCCTCCCAGGCAGACCTCTCTGCCCCCGCTTGTCTTAGAATTGCTGCTGTCAGCCTTACCTGGGTCAAAGCGGAGATTCTGGAGATCAAGAGCTTGCTGGGAGACATTGTACCGTTTGTTCATGGTCAGCTGCAGAGATAGAGATGAAGACAGAGGCTCTGGGGCTCTGGTGATGGTGGTGGTGGTGGTGGTGGTGGTGACAGGGAAAGAGGGGGCCAGGGGAAGAAGAGGTGGGTCCAGGAAGTGGACATACAATGATCCTTGAGTCTGTATTACCTTTAGCATCTCCATTTGGCCTGGCTTCAACTTATTCTTCACAGAGTAGGGCGCAGTAAAATGACTGACAAATATACATATCTGCAGGAAGGCAGGGTGGTAAGTACCAGGACCTCCAATCCCAAAGACAATGACCAGTCCCCTGGCCTGTCCTCCTGCCCAAAGACTAAGTACAGGGAATGCCCTCAGCACACACCTTTTGGTTCTCATCATCATAAATCTTATAACTGACATCCTTCAATGCAGAGGCAGCACTAGCAACCTGGACAAAGAAGCATGCCCGATTTCGGATGTAGTGGAACTACAGGGAGTGAAGGCAAGAGCAACAGCGTCAGAGGCCAATGGCCCCTGCTGAGCCAGGTCTCTCTCCATCCCCTGTGTCCACTCATCTGGCTTCACCATCCTCTCTTACATCAACCGGAGTGAAGGGGACACTGCAATTGCTCTGGATTGAATTCATTAGCCATGCCTTGTCATACTTTATCCCATAAGGAATCTAAGCATAAAAAGAAGAAATAGCAGAGAAGGGAGAGACAACATGGAACTAAGTTTGGAGAACAGAAACAACCAGCTGTTTATTTTTCCAGCTTTCTACTTAGCTTGGACTTCTAAAGAAGGGACCACTGACATGATTTCTTATTTTTGTGCCAAATATGGATTCCCTAAGCTACCTTTCTCTCCATTCTGAAGCTCTCTTTCAAATAATCAACTTAGGGTGTTTTATGTGGTCTTCTTTCTATCAGGTTCCAGAATATTCTCTCTCTCTCTTTCTTTCTTTCTTTCTTCCATTTCTTTCTTCTCCTTCCTTCCTTCTGTCTCTCTCTTTCCTTCCTTCCTTCCTTCCTTCCTCCCTCCCTCCCTTTCTTCCTTCCTTCCCTCCCTCCCTCCCTCCCTCCCTCCTTCCTTCCTTCCTTCTTTCTCTCTCTCTTTCTTTCTTTTTGGAGACAGAGTCTTGCTCTGTTGCCCAAGCTGGAGTGCAGTGGCATGATCCCAGCTCACAGCAACCTCCGCCTCCCAGGTTCAAGCGATTCTCCTGCCTCAGCCTTCCGAGTAGCTGGATTTACAGGTGACTGCCACCATGCCCGGCTAGTTAGTGTATTTTTAGTAGACGTGGGGTTTCACCATGTTGCTCAGGCTCGTCTCAAATTTCTAACCTCAAGTGATCTGCTTGCCTCGGCCTCCCAAAGTGTTGGGATTACAGGTGTGAGCCACCGTGCCTGGCCCAGAATATTCTACCTAATGCAGACCTCAACGAGATACTCACTGTGACCTTGAACCATTTCCTCATGTTTTCATCTTGTGTGTTCCGCCTCATTTTTCTCTCTGGAGGTTTTCTATTTCTCCAAATGGTAATATGGATTTGATCTTCACTATGTCATTTCACTAGCTTCCTGTTGCATTGGATTCTATAAGGAGTGCTGTGGGGAAAGGGAGAGAAGGTGGATATTCATTAAAGCTAAGAAAGTCTTCTATACACACTCCCCTCACTGACACCAAGGCTTCAATTGGGATTGCTCAGCCATTATTCCACTTCCAGCATTCTTCAGTTCTCTAATGAGAGAAGAAAAGGAAGACCACAGAGAATGAAAGGGTTGCACAGTCCCGGAGGCTGCTACGTGCAAACCAGGCTGCCTGGTCACTTACTGTCTTAGTTGGCGGTCCTTGTGGACATCCCTCATCTCCATGCTTCCATCATTCTCCTGGCAGCGTGAAGGCAGAAGTTCATACCCACCATGTTCATAATGACAGTTCCTCTTGTCAAAATTACCCTGGAAATGACTCCCACCTTTCTTCCTTCTTTGAAAAGTGCTACTACATATACGGCATTCTGCAATTGGGAACAAAACACAAGTTTGAAGACACATCAATGGTCCACTTACCATGTCTCATGTTGTGGGCTAACTCCATGGTAGGACAAGCAAAGTGTCAACCTGCCCCAAGGGACCGATCACACAAGCCCCAGAAAACAAACTCCTCTGCCTGTCCAGATACAAGAGCCTTATCTCACAGGTGGCACAATCAGGGGAGAAATCCTGGAAGAGGAAGCAACTGTGTTGAACCTCTTAAAAAATGGAGCAGGAATTATAAAGAACAGAGGTGCATGTGTCCATGGGTTAGACTAGACACCAGCTACACACCTGGAAAGGGTCCTAATCTTGCCTTCTCTCAGGCTTCTCTAATCAAACAACAGCACCAACACTTGGGAGACAACCTCTCTCGCACCTCCGAAATCGCACCTCCAGTCCCCAAATGCATTCTGTGAACAATCAGCAAGCTGTACTTCTTTGCCGGTGTAGTACAAGCTTTAATGACAGGTGGGACTGATGTAACAGCTTCCCAAGCTGCCCTCCTGTCTACAGCCTTGCCCTCAACAATACTCAGTTTGAAATATCCAGAGCAAGCTTTCTTTTTGCCCAGCCCGAAATGCTTTCAGCCCAAGAGACAACTCTTCCTAAGCAAGTGACAGAATTACTAGAAAGAAAGAAAATCGGCAAGGATATTAAAAACCACTACAGTAACAGGATCTAAATGACATGAATAAAACACTGTACCCAACAACGAAAGCAGGGCATGCTTTTTCCACTCCCCCCCTACTGTCTTGCAGCATTCACGAAGGTAGACCATCTCCTGGGCCATCAAACAGACCTCAACCAATTTCAAAATGTACACCTTGTCTCAGGGCACCCTTATGAATAAAATTTCAGTCACTGCTGACCTCTCTGCAATGTACTGATTATGGCCAGGCCTCAGATTAACTTCTGTTGCGGGGGGGGGGGGTCGTTGCTTTCACTGTGTGTGACCCACTGTCAGGACAGTCCTGCTACTCTCGAGTGTTGGGACTTTCCCTGTGTGCCATTAGAAGTGAAATTAAATGTGGGCAGAGCATCTGACCTAGACATTCCTGATGCTTGGTCCCCACAACTTGGAAGTGGGCCTGGAATGCTCTCTTTCTCTCACACTCTACATCCAACCGATCAGAATGGATGTATCTTCTCTTGTCTCTACCTTTAAAATATATCCAGAGTCTGGCAACTTCTCACCCCCTCCATTGCTACCTACCCTGGCCAGGTCACCAACATCTATCTCCTGGATTATGCTGCTTTCCAACTTGTCCTTCTGCTTTTGCCCTTGGCTCCCTTACCATCTATTTTCAACACAGCAGGCAGAGTGATTTTTTAAAGCATAAGTCAAATCTTGTCATTCCTCTACTCAAAATCCTTTAACTGGTATGTTAAAAAGCTATGAGTCCATAACAATACTCAACAACAACAACAAAGGTCCATATTGGTGACATTTGGAGGATGTCCAGGAACCAACTCATTTTCATGAAAGTCCATAAATGAAAGGGACAAAAATCAAAGATTAAAGTGAGGGTTAAGGGCACATGGTCAATATATGGAGCATAGGAAGAGTCAATGTTATTTTTGAGAACCAGCATTACTTCAGAAATAATGTCACTGAGGGGCAGAAGGTGTAAAAGTTAGCTAGCCAACAGGTACAGCTACATCCTCAGGCAAGGCCTTGTGTTTGAAGAGAGCACATGTAATAAAAAGCCACAGAGGGACCCGACAGAGAGAGATGCTGAAGATAAGACACACACAGGTGCACATCTACTTACTGAACTCTGGCATCTCTGCACAATCCCTGTCTTGCAGTTGTGCTGCCAGAATTACAGGTGTTCTCAACATAAAGCAGCTTGTGCTTCTCACCCAGACCACCTGGGTTTCCCATCAGGCCCCACCATATGTTGGTTGGTCCTCCCACACAGACATAGTAGTGAGTATCGTTTATGACATCATGTGCGTTCCTACTGGAACTTCCTGTGTCATTTTGGAATTCTGCCTACATCACTGCCATGCCACTGAGTGCATGGCATCAGCATCCCTGCTACGGCAGGGAAAGAATGGGATAAGAAGAAAACCAACCCTTGCCCAGTGGCAACCAACATCTGCTCAGTGTTGGGCAGACTCACTAGGTTTCTCTTGACCTCCTCACAGAAATCCCATGAGAATTCTATCCACAGTCCCTTTTCAGATCGTGAATATTAGGCTCACAGATGTCATGTACATTTCCCAGTCAAGTAAGTGGCAGAACAGGAATTATGTCCTCACGTATATTGGTCTGCCTCTACACCCTGAGTGCTCCTCCAGAGACTGCACTGGTTCTCCCTTAAATGGAAAGCTTTCCGGTCTCATGGACAGATTTTTCCGAGCAGGCCAGGGATGATGTTTTATGCTAGTCACTCCTGTTGGGGTGGGAACCAGGTTTCTTGGATAAAGTGGAGATCTCTGTCTTGGACCAGATGGGTGAAATCTCTTTGGGCCACGGGTTTTCAGATTTGGAGTCACTTTAGGCTGGTAGTGGTCTGGCATAGAATAAGGGCCTAATTAATATTTGTGAAAAGAATGCACGTGATGTAGTTTTGGGATCATCGACAAAAGCACTTTTGAGAATACATCCATCTGAACCATTTCTACCAACCTCTATTTATTTATTCCAGACCTATTCATGCTGCAGAACTATTTCATAACCTGCTTGCAAAACTAAAATGAATTACATTTTTCTTCTGCAAAATTAATATTTTTTTCATTGATGTATCATTAGAAATAAGTACCTCCCTGTAGACTAAGTACCTCCCTGTAGACTAAGGCTAGAACTGCAGCTTTGAGGATCTCAGAGAAGGGGACTTTTGCAAATAGTGGTGACAAAAATGAGGAGAGGCATTCCCTGAATCCAGTAGATAGAGCTTTCTGGACATCTGGTCTCCGTAGGAAGAATGTTTTGGACCTACAGGCATGCTGTGTTCACTCAGCCTTGTGACAGACAGGAAGTACCATCCCTGTCTCAGAGAAAGGAAAGAGTGTGTGTCTGTGTGTCCGCGTTGCCCATGCAAGCAAGATTAGTGTTTTGTATTACATACTTTTAGAATTAGGTTACTGATACATGTACTCCAAATCATGTTGGTAAACACATTGCCAGACAACACTGGATCCCACTACACATTTCGTTTACTGTGTTATGTATTATATATGGCCAAATTTTGTTTCTTGTTCAGAATATGCTTTTTAGTGGTTTTTTTTTCTTTACCTCTTGGTGTTTTAATATTTGAGTTGATTGTTTTAAAATAAGAAAGTAGTACAGTTCTCTGTACAATAATGTAATGGAACAATATCCATGAGTTGACCAGGGTTACAGAGCACCCCCAGTGGGGGAGGCCAAAAAACCCAGTGGAACACAGCTTGGGCTTTGAAGTGGGGCTAAGATTTTGAGTCCCTGCTCTACACTTTCCCAGGAAAAGCACATGAATACTTTTAAGCATAAAGTGATATTTTCCTAAGGATTTTCAGTGATATTTACACCAATATACACTTGCACTAACCATGTGTGAGTCTAATTTTCTGCAATATGCCTAACCATTCAGAAGTCATTCTTACAATGATCTGGATATTTCACTTTTTGAATTTATTACATAAATCACTCTCTGCCTAAATATATACATATGTTTATATGGCTGTGCTTTACAGGTTGTTTGGGACAGAAGGATGACGGGACCAGAGAGTGGCTAATATTGTTAAGGGAGAAGTAGAAATGATTGTCCTTGGAATCAAGTAGGCATGGCAAGGAAAGGGCATGAGTACCTGACATACAGACTAAAAAGGCCAAGGAATGGATGTGTGGGTCAGAAAGAAGAGGGTGAGTACAGAGAAGACAACAAAACACACATTGAAAAAGCCTCCAGGGAAATGAATTCATCCTGGTGATACATCCCCCTCTGGAAACCTTCCTTCCTTCCTTTCCATGTATGTCTTATCTGTCCCTGTTACTTCACTTCCAGTTGAACACCAGAGAAACAGTTCCCACACAGTCTCAAAAAGGAGAGATGGTACCGGGCAACAGTGTGCATTGATAAGTCTCTTGCACAGAAGGCTGGAGTCAGGGGTCATTGGTTTCAGACACAACACCCATCGTTGGCCACCAGACTTTGAGTGGGCTCTGTCGCACCGCTCATTTCAGCCTTGACACAGAGTCGCACATTATTGGTTATGGGCCTAGGATTTGAGGTCAGATCCACCAGGATTTCAATCCTGGTGCTAAATTCTGTGATCCAAGGCAAATAATTGACCTCATTGTGACTCAAGTTCTTGTTTGTTTTCCCCCTAACTCAAAGATAGTAACAGTTTCTACCTCCTGGGTTAGTGTAAAAATTAAATGAGTTAACACATGGAAATACATAAAAAGCACCTGAAGAAATGCCTGTGACCTAACAAGCACTATAAATAAGTTTTCTATTGCTATGTCAAGAACTTAGTACAACATCTGGCATTTATTGAGGAAGAAATATGTCTTAGTTGCATTTGTTGTTATTAATCCTCCTGGAAATGAGGAGGAATACAGATGAGTGTATAGGGACAAATTGCTGTGTTGGCTACTAATGTGTTTTATTAAGTGGCAATATTAAAACAAGAAAACCATGTTGGAAAATAATCTGACATACTGATTAAGGAAATCAAAATAAGAAGCTCAGAGACTGAAATATGTATATGGAAAGCTTCAATGGTGGTGGGGGGGATTTAAGTTTCTAATTTCCAACTTCATTATTCAAGAAATTGTTCTGGTTTAAGTGGTAGACTTGGAAAATAAAGCTAGAGTATTCCTCATACTACATGACACAATGTGGAAAAAAGTCCAGGATATAAAATTGAATATTCTAGACTGACATCAGCATGATCTCAAGCTAGAAAGCTACAAGTTGTCCTTCCATATACATCTTGAGTTAACAATACATGGATCAGAATACCTCTGACAATTCTAGAGACAAGTTGGGAAGCTATAGCACTTAGGCTATTGTAAAACCCAGAGGAATACTGCAAACGGGGTAGGAAAATTTGTGGTATTTAGGGCATCCATTAATGTTTCTCCTATGTGGCATAGCACGGAATGACCATGAGAAACTTCTGTACACAGGCTCCTTCCTCATAATGGAAAAAATAGTGGGCTATATGTCCAACGTTCTGGTTCATCTGAAAGCTTCCCAAGGGGCTAGTTTCTGTCTTGCCTGACTCAAGAGCTGATGGGACCCATGCAATATTTTGGACACTGCTGAAAACAGAAGTAAGAAGCATGTTAGAGTTTCCATTCCACAGGCAGATGTCAGGGGGAACAATAGATTAGAAAATGCTTGAGAGATCCTAGAATCTCCAGCTGGACTGGTTTTTTATTTTTTATTTTTTTGAGATGGAGTCTCACTCTTTCACCCAGGGCGGACTGCAGTGGTGCTATCTCTGCTCACTGCAAGCTCTGCCTCCCGGGTTCACGCCATTCTCCTGCCTCAGCCTCCCGAGTAGCTGGGACTACAGGCGTCCGCCACTGCGCCTGGCTAAGTTTTTGTATTTTTAGTAGAGATGGGGTTTCACCATGTTAGCCAAGATGGTCTTGATCTCCTGACTTCGTGATCCGCCCGCCTCGGCTTCCCAAAGTGCTGAGATTACAGGCGTGAGCCACCACACCCGGCCTGGACTGATTATTGATAGTCTTCTCTTGCACGATGCTAGTATACAAAGACTGCGTGAGGTGGCTTGTTTTTCAAATACTCAAATTCTAACAAAAAATAGGAAGGCATACAGAGGAACATGGCCCAATCAAAAGAAGAAATTAAACTCTAGAAACCAACCTAAAGAAACACAGATCTATGAGCTGCCTGACAAAGAATTTAAAATAACTGCCATAAAGATACTCAGTGAACTAAAAGAGAACATAGATATACAGATAAGTAACATGAATAAAAGAATGGATTAACAAAATGAGAATATCAATGAAAAACAGAAACTATTAAAAAAGAAATTTTAGAGCTAAAAAATACAATAATGAAACTAATATTTATTAAAGGGATTTAACAGCACAACTGATCTGGCAGAAGAAATAATCAGCAAACGTAAATATAGGTCATTTGAAAAACCAAGTTAGAGAAGGAAAAAGAAAAAGCAATGAAGAAAAGTAAAGAGAACACTTGGGACATGATCAAGCAGGCAAGACATGCATTATGGAAATTCCAGAAGGAAAAGAGAGATAGAAAGAAGCAAATAGCTTATTTGAAGAAATAATGGCCAAAAACTTTCCAAATCTGGAAAAGGAAATGGATATATAGATTTTAAAAGCTCAAATATCTTCAACTCGGAAAATAAAAATAAAATGAGACACATTATAATGAAACTGTCTGAAGTCAAAAATAGAATCTTAAAAGCAGCAAGAGAAAAGTGATTTGTTGCAATGGAGCTTCCATAAGATTATCAGTGTATTTCTCAGCAGAAAATTTGCAGGCAAGAAGACAGTGGGATGACACATTCAAACTGCTTTAAGAAAAATAACTGTCAATCAAGAATAATGTATTAAGAAAAGCTATACTTCAAAATTGAAGGGGAAACAAGACTTTCCCAGATAAACAAAAGCTGAGGAAGTTCATTACTGCCAGACCTGCTCTAAAGACATGCTAAAAAGAGTCCTTCAAATTGAAGTAGGACAGTAGACACAAAGCTGTACAAAAATATAAGGTTCATCAGTAAAGGTACACAAATGGATGAATAAAATAACTGGCACTATTGTAATTTTATGCACAGAATTTAAATGACAAAAACATTTTTTAAAAATATAAACCTATTTTAATGAGTACATAATATATGAAGATGTAATTTGCCACATCAATAACATAAAATGGGAAGTGTGGAGTTGTAAAGGAGAATTTTGTATGCAATTTGCAGTTAAGTTGTTATCAATTTAAAATATAATGCTATACCTTTAATTTAATATGTTTTATGTAATTGCAGTGGTAAACCACAGAGAAAATATCTACAGGATACACATAAGAGCAAACAAGAAGGGAATCAAAGCATACCATTACAAAAAAAAATTGATGAAACACAAAGGAAGTCAGTAAGAGAGGAAAAGAGGCACAAAAAAGCTGCAAGACATATAGAAAACAATTAACAAAATGATAATTACTATCAGTAAGTACTTTAAATGGAATTGGATTAAACTCCCCAATCAAAATACCTAGATATGCTGAGTGGGTTAAAAAAAAAGACAATTAATTAAAAAAAAATTTTATTTTAAGTTCCGGGATACATGGGCAGAACATGCAGGTTTGTTACATAGGTATATGTGTGCCACCTTGGCTTGCTGCACCTATTGATTGACCCTTCATCTAGGTTCCCTCCCCTCGCACCCCACTCCCCAACAGGCCCCAGTGTGTGTTGTTTCCCTCTCCGTGTCCATGTGTTCTCATTGTTCAACTCCCACTTATGAGTGAGAACATGTTGTGTTTGGTTTTCTGTTTCTGTGTTAGTTTGCTGAGGATGATGGCTTCCAGCTTCATTCATGTCCCTGCATAGGACATGATCTCACTCCTTTTTATGGCTGCATAGTATTCCATGGTGTATATGTACCATATTTTCTTTGTCCAGTCTATCATTGATGGGCATTTGGGTTGGCTCCATGTGAAACAGACAAATTTTAAATTAAGAAAAGACTGTTACAAGAGACAAAAAGGACATTATATAATGATAAACGGTTGATTCACCAAGAAGATATAATAAGTATAAGTATTTAGGCACCAAACCTCAGAGCTATTAAGTACATGAATCAAATTTTGAAAGAATTAAAGTGAGAAAAAGATAGCCACATAATAGCAGGATACTTAGATACCTAACTTTCAACAATAGACAAAACAACCAGATAGAAGATCAATAAGAAATCAGAGGATTGAACAACACTAGTTTAACTGCACCTAACATATGTATACAAAACACTGCACCCAACAACAGCAGAATATACACACTTATCAAGTGCACATGGAACATTCTATAGGATAGATGATATTAGGCCACAAAACAAGTCTTAACAAATTCAAGAAGATTGCAGTCAAACAAAGTATCTTTTCCTATCACAATGGAATAAAACTAGAAATCAATAGTATAAGGAAAACTAAAAGTCTACAAATATGTGGAAATTAAACTACATACTCCAATAAATTGGCCAAAGAAGAAGTCACAGAGGAAACTAGAAAATACTTTGAGACGAATGAAAATGAAAACACAACATACGAAAAATTATGGGATAGAGCAAAAGCAATGCTAAGAGGTAAATGCATGGGTGTAAATGTGTATATTAAAAAGAAGAGGCCGGGCGCGGTGGCTCACGCCTGTAATTCCAGCACTTTGGGAGGCCAAGGCGGGCGGATCACGAGGTCAGGAGATCGAGACCATCCTGGCTAACACGGTGAAACCCCGTCTCTACTAAAAATACAAAAAATTAGCCACGCGCGGTGGTAGGCGCCTGTAGTCCCAGCTACTCGGGAGGCTGAGGCAGGAGAATGGCGTGAACTCAGGAGGCGGAGCTTGCAGTGGGCCGAAATAGCGCCACTGCACTCTGGCCTGGGTGAAAGAGCGAGACTCCATCTCAAAAAAAAAAAAAAAAGAAGAAAGATCTCAATCAACAATCTATCTTTATACCTCAAGGAAATTTTTAGTTCAAGGAACAAACAAACCAAACCCACAGATAGCAGAAGGAAGAAAATAATGAAGATAAGAGCAAAAATCCATTAATTAGAGAATTAAAAAATCTCAGAAAAAAATCAACAAAATGAAGAGTTGGTCTGTTGAGAAGATAAACAAAATTGACAAAACCTCAGCTTGATAATCTAATAAAAAAGATGGAAGACTCAAATAAAATTAAAAGAGGGCACACTGCAACCAATGATACAGAAATAAAAAGGATTATGATAGAATACTATGAACAATTTTGCAGGAACAAATTTGGAAAACCTGAAAGAAAGGGATAAATTCCTAAAAACACGCAACCTACCAAGACTGAATCATAAAGAAACAGAAAATTTGAACAGACCAATAACAAATGAAGAGGTTGATTCAGTAATCAAAAACTTCCCAATAAAGAAAAGCTGGGGCCAGATGGCTTCACTGGAGAATTATACCAAAACTTAAGAATTAACACCAATTCTCCTTAAACACTTCCAAAAAATTGAAGAAGAGGGAATACTTCCAAGCTCTTTCTATGAGGAAAGTATTGCCCTGATACCAAAGCCAGACAAAGACACTAAAAGAAAAGAAAACTACACAATATCCCTAATGAATATTGATACAAAGGTCCTCAACAAAATACTTGCAAACTGAATTCAGCAACACATTGAAAAGATTATAGGCCAGGTGTGGTGGCTCACACCTGTAATCCCAGCACTTTGGGAGGCTAAGCAGGAGGATCACTTTAGGCCAGGTGTTCAAAACCAGCCCAGCTACTCAGAAAGCTGAAGCAGGAGGATTGCTCGAGTCCAGGAGTTTGAGGTTATGGAGAGCCGTGATTGTGCCACTGCACTCCAGCTGGAGTGACAGAGTGAGACCCTGTCTCAAAAAAAAAAAAGGTTTATTCACCATGACCAAGTGGGATTTATTCCTGGGATGCAAGGATGGTTCAACATATGAAAATCAATGTAACATAAAACATTAACAAGATGAAGTATAGAAACCACATGATCATCACAACTGATGCAGAAAAAGCATTGAATAAGATTCAATATCATTTCATGAGAAAAATACTCACCAAACTAAGACTAAAAAGAAACTACCTCAACATAATAAAGGCTATTTATGAAAAGCCCACAGCTAACATTATACTCAATTGTGAAAGATTGAAAGACACACACACATGCACACACACATACGTATACACACAGACACACTCACATGGCCATCCTTTTTTGTTTTTACCTTTTTAGTCTCTATAGTAAAGGAAAGCATAGCACATAAGAGTGTGAGTGCTGGAATAGTTGCCAAGTGAGCCAATTCATAGTATATTTTACAAAATCTTTTTTTCTATTGTAATTGGTATATTCCCAATGAAAATGGTGTTTTCTCTATTTTGCAAGTATTTTATATTATTCTTATACCCAGTAAGTTTAATTTCTATTATTAATTATAATTTTCTATAGATTCCATAGTTTTATATAAAGATGATTATATTAAGACTTGTTTTCTTTTTTATCCCTTTTATACATTTATATATGTGTGTGTGTGTGTGTGTGTGTGTGTGTGTGTGTGTGTGTGCATGTATTTATATTGGCTTACTTTACTGCCTGGAAAACAGTAAGAATCTGAACAGAAGTGGTTATATGAGTCATACTTGTCTCTTTTCTGATTTAAAAATGGAAAGCCATTAATGTTTCACTATTATGTATGGTATTTGCTGCTTTTTAAAAAATACCCATTATCAATTTAAAGAAATGTATTTCTATTCCTGGTTAGCTGGGAGTGATTGCTATTGTTGCTGTTTAGTCTTGATTGGTTGTTGAATTGCATTGTATACTTTTTTTCTGGATCTTTTGTGATAATTGTCCTTTTCTCCCTCCTTTATTCTATTGAAGTGTTGAATTATATTATGGATCTCCTTATGTTAGGCCAATATTCCAAGCTTAGGTTAAACACAATTTTCTCATGCTGTATTATCTCTTTTAGCCACTACAGAATTTAGTTTGCTGTCATCTTATTTCTATATTTACATTTACATAATTAATTGAGATGGAGTAGTAATTTTGAATTCCATGTCAAGAAAACATTTAATATTTTCTATTTCTTTAACATAAAAATTATATATTTTTTTCTGGAAATTAATCTAAATTTTCAAATTATCAGCATATCTTTTTAATAACATTATCTTTTTTTTCTCTAGCCACCTTTACTTTTATTTTTATTTTTTATTATACTTTAAGTTTTAGGGTACATGTGCACAACGTGCAGGTTTGTTACATATGTATACATGCGCCATGTTGGTGTGCTGCACCCATTAACTCGTCATTTAACATTAGGTATATCTCCTAATGCTATCCCTCCCCCCTACCCCCACCCCACAACAGGCCCTGGTGTGTGATATTCCCCTTCCTGTGTCCGTGTGTTCTCATTGTTCAATTCCCACCTATGAGTGAGAACATGCGGTGTTTGGTTTTTTGTCCTTGCGATAGTTTGCTCAGAATGATGGTTTCCAGCTTCATCCATGTCCCTGCAAAGGACATGAACTCATCCTTTTTTATGGCTGCATAGTATTCCATGGTTTATATGTGCCACATTTTCTTAATCCAATCTATTATTGTTGGACATTTGGCTTGGTCCCAAGTCTTTGCTATTGTGAATAGTGCTGCAATAAACATACATGTGCATGTGTCTTTATAACAGCACGATTTATAATCCTTTGGGTATATACCCAGTAATGGGATGGCTGGGTAAAATGGTATTTCTAGTTCTAGATCCCTGAGGAATCGCCACACTGACTTCCACAATGGTTGAACTAGTTTACAGTCCCACCAACAGTGTAAAAGTGTTCCTATTTCTCCACATCCTCTCCAGCACCTGTTGTTTCCTGACTTTTAAATGATCACCATTCTAACTGGTGTGCGATGGTATCTCATTGTGGTTTTGATGTTCATTTCTCTGATGGCCAGTGATGATGAGCATTTTTTCATGTGTCTTTTGGCTGCATAAATGTCTTCTTTTGAGAAGTGTGTTCATATCCTTCACCCACGTGTTGATGGGGTTGTTTGTATTTTTCTTGTAAATTTGTTTGAGTTCATTGTAGATTCTGGATATTAGCCCTTTGTCAGATGAGTAGATTGCAAAAATGTTCTCCCATTCTGTAGGTTGCCTGTTCACTCTGATGGTAGTTTCTTTTGCTGTGCAGAAGCTCTTTAGTTTAATTAGATCCCATTTGTCAATGTTGGCTTTTGTTGCCATTGCTTTTGGTGTTTTAGACATGAAGTCCATGCCCATGCCTATGTCCTGAATGGTATTGCCTAGGTTTTCTTCTAGGGTTTTTATGGTTTTAGGTCTAACATTTAAGTCTTTAATCCATCTTGAATTAATTTTTGTATAAGGTGTAAGGAAGAGATCCAGTTTCAGCTTTCTACATATGGCTAGCCAGTTTTCCCAGCACCATTTATTAAATAGGGAATCCTTTCCCCATTTCTTGTTTTTGTCAGGTTTGTCAAACATCAGATGGTTGTAGATATGTGGCATTATTTCTGAGGGCTCTGTTCGGTTCCATTCGTCTATATCCCTTTTTTGGTACCAGTACCATGCTGTTTTGGTTACTGTAGCCTTGTAGTATAGCTTGAAGTCAGGTAGTGTGATGCCTCCAGCTTTGTTCTTTTGGCTTAGGATTGTCTTGGCAATGAGGGCTCTTTTTTGGTTCCATATGAACTTTAAAGTAGTTTTTTCCAATTCTGTGAAGAAAGTCATTGGTAGCTTGATGGGGATGGCATTGAATCTATAAATTACCTTGGGCAGTATGGCCATTTTCATGATATTGATTCTTCCTACCCATGAACATGGAATGTTCTTCCATTTGTTTGTATCCTCTTTTATTTCATTGAGCAGTGGTTTGTAGTTCTCCTTGAAGAGGTCCTTCACGTCCCTTGTAAGTTGGATTCCTAGGTATTTTATTCTCTTTGAAGCAATTGTGAATGGGAGTTCACTCATGATTTGGCTCTCTGTTTGTCTGTTATTGGTGCATAAGAATGCTTGTGATTTTTGCACATTGATTTTGTATCCTGAGACTTTGCTGAAGTTGCTTATCAGCTTAAGGAGATTTTGGGCTGAGATGATGGGGTTTTCTAGATATACAATCATGTCATCTGCAAACAGGGACAATTTGACCTTCTCTTTTCCTAATTGAATACCCTTTATTTCCTTCTCCTGCCTGATTGCCCTGGCCAGAACTTCCAACACTATGTTGAATTAACTCTCTGCTGTAGCTGCAAGTGTGACAGCTTTTCATTCCAAAAGTGGTTTATTTGTGCCATAGCTCTAATTTTCTTGATTCATATTGCCAGAAGATTTTTTATTACCTTATCTTTTGAAAGCATTGACATCTACCATTTTTATTTAACTCTTTCATATATCTTATTATTTTCATTAAATTTGTTGTTATTTACATTATTTGTTCCTTGACAATAATGGAAAGATGAGATAGTTTTATTAGACATATCATAAATGAACAGTCTTTTCATCTACCATTAGGTTTTACCTTATAATGATTATCTGTGAATAGACATACCAATATTCAATACATTTATTTACTTGGAAAAGACTTGTGGCTTACCAATCCTTGAGATTTTTAACCAATTCCATCATGTCTATTTAATTCCATTACTGGAATATCAGCCACTGAGGTTTAGGGGTTGCTGATAAGCACAGCATTACCTAGCCTCTCCTGACTTATATATCTCATCTGTAAATTTAAATGACACCCTCTTTGGATTTTTCTGTGAGTTAAATGCAATAACTTTCATGATGAGGTTATCATAGTGCTTGACACACAACAGGGACTCAAAAATGGCAGCTATGATTATTAAATAATAACATTATTTTTAGAAAATGTAGAAAATTTGTATAAAATGAACAAATTTGCATCTGTTCATCCTGACAGGTAAGTTGTAACCTGCTTTCAAGGGTGAGGTACTTTATTTATTGGTATAGACAACACTTCCTAATGAAATGTTAGGCTCTTATTTCTTGAAGTACTTATGCACTTATTTCTTGCCATCATGATATTAGAAATATGCTTATAAGTTAGGGGTACTTATAAAGAATGAAAATTGGAAAGAGTCAAGCAAGAGAGAGATTGGCTAATGAAATAAAATGAGCTAAAGAGCAATAAGTAACTCCTTACTGAGAAGAATAGATTATAATTATTATTTTTATAATATAATTACTAGTAAACATACATTCCATTGTTCTTTGTAAACAAAGGTATAAGATATTAATGTGGCAGAAGATACTTAGTTTGAACAGGATTTCCCACAGTGTTTTGTGACTAACACTAGTACCTCAACTACTCATTGGAAAAATACTCAATTTCCATATAAGTTGGGGAAACTACCCCTCCTTTTGAAATTCATGTTTCATATCAGCATATTATCTAAAAAATTGCTATTATATGGAAATCCTTTTACCCTCAGTTTTGTGTGTCTTACATTTCTTTAATGGTAGAGTATACTTTTGTTGTTGCTGTCTCTCAGACCTAGTGTTTTCCAGAACAAACCTGGAAATGCTGAAATGAGAGAAAAATAAAATGGATTATTTAAGCTACATGTAATATAAAATATCTCAAGTTTAACCTTATTTCAAACAACAGTTAAATCTACCATAAATGTAAACGCAATCCTTTATTTGAAGAACTTTATTCATTTAGTACCATCTTCATGAATTTTTAAAAATGAGAATATCGCCTATAATTTTGCTTAAATCTTTTTTTAAAATGATTCACTATTTTTTTCCACATGGAGGAAAAGTGAGAGTTTTCAAGAAGGAGTCTAAAAAGCAATTGTTAGAAAAATTGGAGCGAGGGGTTGTGGTGCAGAA
This sequence comes from Homo sapiens, assembly GCF_000001405.40. NCBI lineage: Eukaryota > Metazoa > Chordata > Mammalia > Primates > Hominidae > Homo > Homo sapiens. Next base: position 101,857,893 of record NC_000023.11, read on the forward strand.
GAAAATAGTGTCTGGCTGGACTAGTTTAAGCTATTTAGAGATCCCAAGCACAACAAGATTATGGCATCCTATTCCATATGTACTTTGAAAACAAACGGACTTCCAAGTAAACATAAGAACAAATTTCGAGTCTTCACCTGATGGCTACTTTCACATTTTTATCAATATATCAAATTCTTTTTTAAAAGTCTTTCTCCCTCCCTCTTTACAAAATCAAATAAGACATAGAAATTAATATTGTATTGGGAATCATCTATACAAACTGGCGTCTAGGGAGTCTCAAGTGTCCTTAATAACAGCATGGTCAGAGGAAGAGCAAAGGACATCATGCTGATTCATCCAGCATTGAATCAGGAAGGCCTTTAGTGTGTGTTGCGGGAGGGGGTTTCCCACCTAGGCTCTACAGCCCTGTGGCTGAGATGACTTAGAAGTCCATGAATCCACAATGGTTGAACTAGTTTACAGTCCCACCAACAGTGTAAAAGTGTTCCTATTTCTCCACATCCTCTCAGTAAACTATCGCAAGAACAAAAAACCAAACACCGCATATTCTCACTCATAGGTGGGAATTGAACAATGAGATCACATGGACACAGGAAGGGGAATATCACACTCTGGGGACTGTGGTGGGGTCGGGGGAGGGGGGAGGGATAGCATTGGGAGATATACCTAATGCTAGATGACACGTTAGTGGGTGCAGCGCACCAGCATGGCACATGTATACATATGTAACTAACCTGCACAATGTGCACATGTACCCTAAAACTTAGAGTATAATAAAAAAAAAAAAAAAAAAAAAGAAGTCCATGAATCCATGCTGTCTTCCCTAACCCACCTCACCGCCAACTCCCTTAGCCGCACCTTCTGCCCCAGTGCTTTCTACTCCTCCACTTCACTTTCTACCAACAATAGCTCCTATGAGTTCAGGATCAAGACAGATACACACACACACACACACACACACACTGCCAGGCATACAAAAGTTTGGCCAGATTCAGAAAGCCCTCTGTCTCCACTTAACCCCCTCTCAGGCTCTCTGCTATTTGGAGGCCACTTGGCCACCCCTTAAAGTTCAATTCTATGAGTAATCATCTAGTACTAGCCAGAATACCAAAATACCACCTAGTGTGGCAGAATATAGGAGTTGGTGGAAAAGTTGGGATTGCAGCCAGAGTCTGATCAACTATCAGCCTTAGCGAGAGCTCTGATCATAATTCTAAAGATCTTCTGCACCTGTAGCTCAGACTCTTCAGAAGGCCAAACATGGCTACAATACTTAATCGGCAGGGTCTGGTGCATGACCACAGGGAAGGTCACATGACTCCAGGATCCGTGTAACGCGTAAGTGTGGGGCCCTACCTGGCTGCTAGGTGCTTGCCTGGCAGGAGCTACATGATTGTAAGAATCAAGTGACCTCAGGGTTCAGGAGTCTTCAATTTTTATGTGACTAAAAGGGTTGAGCCACATGGTGATAGTGTGGCACGTGACCATAGGATTCACATGTACAATAGCCATAGTATAGCTCTGGTGCTCACATGACTGCAAGGGCTTTGCCTGCTGCGTGATGGTAGGAGCCATATGGCTGCCGACACATGGATCTGCAGAGTTCAGCTGCTCACAATCTTCACGTGAGAGAGCTGAGCCTGACACTGTGTTTGTTATGGGGAGGGATGTACTTGACCATAGCATTTACATGACCCTAAATAGTAGGCCATATATAGGACTTTGGGGGCTGAGACTTCCACATGCTGGTAGTTAGTGATGACCACCTGACAGCATTCAAGTGAACGGCAGGTTTCAGGACTCTAGTGACTAGAACAGCTGGAGCCACAACATGATCATACTGGCAACATGACCAGAAAGATCACTTGACCTCAGAGTTTAAAAGTCCATGGTGCTGCCATGACCAGTAGGGCTGTAGTTGTAGGGCTCCTAATCATATTGTCCTCATGATGGCAACTTCCAAGTGATCTGCAGCCTTAGGGACTGACAAGGCTCCAGTGCCCAGGAGGGATGTGTCAGCTTGGGTTATCTTCCTGACAGTAGGGTCCCGTGACAGTAGGGTTCTTCTGATCTGCAGGCTTTAGGGCACCATTCTGTTCATAAGACCTGGAGCTCTGAGATTGCCCACATTACTGAGATGGTGGTGCCTCCAGGTGATCTGCCACAGCATACAAGCTTGGGCTTTAGCTACCTTCACCCCTCCTTGATGTGTTAATTTTACGTGGTTTTTTTTTCTAATAACACATAAAATATAAGGGAACTCAATTTGGTCAGGGTACCACTTGTGCTCTGGGAGGGCAATTTCCCTTATGACAACTACCCAAAGGAGGTGTTGATGCTGGCACAGGCCAACCTATGGGATCTATCTGGGTCTACTATCCATTTTCCACCACTGACTTGTTTAATTGGAAAAACAACAAGCTCACTTATCAGGAGGATCCAAAGCAGATGGAGAAGATGTTTTCCTCCATATTTGCTACTCATAACCCCACCTGGGCAGACATCCAAAATTTATTTAACATACTAACCTCAGAGGATGGGAGAATGGTTTTAGATAAAGCTTGGGAGGAAGCTGATTGAATGCATACCGACTCTCCTGGCAATCTGGTAAGAGCAGCTGCCCAAAGAAGTGCCCACCATTGACCCAAGATGGAACATAAACACATTCCATAATGTAATGTAATGTAAACACATACACACAAGCTTATAGACTACCAGGATTGCATTTTGGCTGGTCTCTGCCAGGGAGTGCCCAAGCAAAGAAGCCTCAGTAAGGTACAGGAAGTTAGACAGAAACCTGAGAGCCCCTAGAGGCCTTAGAGTGGGTTTTCAAGGCCTTCAGACAGTACAAACATACTGACCCAGAAGTCGCAGACAATTAAAAAATGGTAGACATGATGTTTATTAACCAAAGTGCCCCAGATATTCAGAAAAAGCTGCAAAAGCTGGATGAAACTTTAGGAATGTCTTTGTCATGATTGGTGGAGAAAGTATTTACTGATCAAGATGAAGAAATGGAAAAAAAAGCAGAAAATGAAGAAGCAGGCTGATTTACTGGCTGCAGCTTTAACTCAAGGAGTCTCTGGGCCATGATGGGGGGCCCCAGCAGGCTTACCATCCAAGGTAGGAGCACCCAGGCCCCAAACTGTCAATAAAAAGAGACATCCCACTGCAGGTCCCAAACAGTATGCCTATTGCAAACAGGAAGTTCACTGGAAACCAAAAAACAACCATTGCCCATGCTTCAAAAAGCCCAATGCTGGGAAAAGTCAGCCTTCAGTCAACCTAATGCCCAGGATGGCTGAAGCGCTTGAGGCAGATCAGGAATTACAGGGCCCAGGGGTTCCACTCAACCCAGACCACACCCTCCTATATTTCCCACATGGAGCCCTGGGTTGCAATGATGGTGGGAAATCAGCTTTTGGACTTCTTAGTAGATTCTGGTGCCTCTTATTCAATATTGAACACCTGGTTGTCCAAACTTTCTTCACGGACTATGAAAGTGACTGAGGTCTTGGGAAAGATACTGACAAGATCATTCCTCCAACCATTGGACTTTCAACTAGGACAAGCTCAATTAAAACACAGTTTCCTATATATGCTTGAATGCCTGATCCCTTTGTTGGGGTAAGACCTGACCAAATTAAATGCTAATGTTATCTTTTCCCTGGGACAGCTGAACATCTAGGTGCCTCTGGAACAACTCTGTAGGCTGTTTTGTTACAACTAGAAGTTCCTGAAAACACCTCCATCTCTGAGGAGATACTCCAAAAGGTGAGTCTGGAAGCCTGGGTGGATAGGAGGCCAGGCAAGATGAAAACTGCACCCCCAGTGTGAGTCAATGTTTGTTCAGAATTAACACTGCCAAATCTAAAATGGTACTCTCTGAGAGAATAGGCACGATTGGATATTCAGTTTCTGTTGAGGCAAAATTCTGATGAATTTTTCTGGTTTTCAGACTTAGACCTAAAAGATGCCTTTTTCTGTATTCTTCTGGATCCATAGTCCCAAGAGCTGTTTGCCTTTGAATAGGAAGATCCAGATTCTAAAGTCTGACAGCATGTACTGTTGGACAGTGCTTTCTAAAAGTTCAAAAACTCTTCAACAACCTTTGGGGAAATACTTGCCAAGGACCTCCAGTATCTCCAATTAAAAGATGGGACTTTGTTACAATATGTAAATGATATGTTAATAGCCAGCACTATTAAGACAGACTCTGAACAGAACACTATACTGACTTTAAATTTCCTGGCAGAATAGGCAGACCAGGTATCCAAGGAAAAGGTACAGATCTCACAGCCCATGGTCAAATATCTTGTGTTTGAACTTTCCCAGGGGCAGAAAAATCTGCTCCCAGACTAGAGGGAAGCTCTTGCCAGGGAGGCCAGACCCATCACATGGTGGCAGCTATGAGGTTCTTTGTGTATGGCTGGGTTTTGCCACATCTGGATTCTTAATCTTGGACTTACGGCCAAAACTCTATATGAAGCTTTAAAAGGAATAGACACTGAGCCTCTAGAAAAGACTGGAGAATGTCAAAAAGGCTTTCAAACCATTAAACGAAGATTGTTAACAGTTCCAGCCTTGGGACTCCCAGACATAAGAAAGCCATTAGATTTGTTCATGCATGAGAAACAAGGGATGGGTTTAGGAGTGCTAATCCAAGACCTGGGAAATTAAGAGGCCTGTAGCTTAATATTCAAAACAGCTGGACATTGTCACAAGGGCTTGGCCCTTTTGCCTGTGATCAGTTTCTGCCACCTATGACCTCCAGGAGGCAGAAAAGTTTACTTTGGGGCAAGCTGCCACGGTGCACACCCCTCACTGTGTGCTCTCTCTATTAGAACAGAAAAGGGACTACTGGCTGACTTCTGGAAGCTTGGGTAGATATCAGGCCATACTTCTATATAACCCAAATGTGACTTTGAAAGCTGTCTCCACTCTAAATCCTACCACCTTGCTTCCTCAAACCACAGCTGAACCTGTACATGAGTGCTTACAAGTTATTGAGCAAGTTTAGTGTAGTCAACTAGACTTGACTGATATTCTTCTGGAGAATCCACACTTAAAAATGTTCAATGACGGGAACAGGTTTATGGATCAAGGGAAACAGAAGGCTGAGTATGCTGTGGTAACACTCTGATGGGTTCTGGAAGCAGAGGTACTTCCTCCTGGTGTGTTAGCACAGAAGGCAGAATTCATAGCACTATGTAGCACACTCCAACTAGGTAAAGATTTCCAGGTGATCATTTACACAGATTCCAAGTATGCCTTTTCCATTGTTCACACTCACAGGACTATCTGTAGAGAAAGGGGACTCCTAACCTCCAGTAACGAAGAAATTAAACATGGTAGAAAAACCCTAGCCTTACTAGAAGCAGTCTTAGAGCCCAAGAAAGTAGCTATAATACATTGTTTTGGGCATCAACGGACAGATAACTTGGTGGCAAAAGGTAACAGTTGAGCAGACTAGGCCACTAGAGAAGCAGCAAAGAAAAAGACCTCCAAAGCTCTGCTAATGCCATTAATACTTGAAACAGACCTCAGTATAAAACCGCGTAATTATTCAGAAGACTTAAAAAGAGCACTTGAGTGGGGTTTTGGCCCTGATCAAAGAACCCAGGACCGATGGATCTACAATGAAGAAGAAAAAGTCCTAGTACCTAAATATTGTATGATAGATATTATCAAACATACACATGACACCACACACTATGGCAGAGAGACCAATCTCCAATGGATTCAAAATTACATTGTTGAGACATACTTAAAGAGGACTATGCAAAAGGCATTTCTGGACCTACCCTGGTCCAGAGGGGAGCCGCCCACTGCTTTGAAGGGTGAGTTCCAGTCTGGGCAGCATTCACCACAAGCTGACTTAAGAGCCCTTGGCTCTTAAGGGAACATTAGCAGTAGTCGGACAGTACTTCTTGTGGTCTGAGGCAATGGTAGCTATTAGGTGAGGCTCCTCTGTATTTCCAAAGGGGAGAAAACAGTGAGAAGGACTACATCTTGTGGTTTGAGTGCCAGCTCAGGTACCATACCATAGAACACCAGGTAGATTTCTAAAGTTTCTGACTCTAGTCCCTGACTCATCAATGGCACCTCTGGACCCACCCAAGGGCCTGGGGGACCTTGCTTCCCTGAAGGGAAGAACACAGGCCTGGCTGGTTTTACCACCTGCTGATTGTAGAGCGACAGGGCCTTGAGTGGCAGTAGCCAGGGAGTGGTTACAACAGGTCTTGGTGTGAAGCACACCTGACCTGTGCTTCAGGTGTGACCCAGCACAGTCATAGTGGTGGCTACAGGGGTGCATGTGTCACTCCACTGCCAGATTTAGGTGGCTCAGAAGAGAGAGAGACATTCAGTTTGGGAGACAGTACAGGAGGAGAAGAAGAGTCTATTCCTGTTAAACCAGAAAATTATCGTGGGTCTTGTCCAAGATAAATAAGGCAGTACCTATCCACAAGAACCACAGAGTTACTGGGCTTGGGGTGCCCCCTAAAGAAGATATAGCTTAGATTACAACACCCAAGTCCTTTAAAATATCTGGAAAGCCTTTCCAAGGACAGCTACAAATAAGCCTAGACAATGAAGACTACAATAAATAACTAACTCTTCAATGCCAGACACTGAAGAACATCTACTAGCATCAACACCATTCAGGAAAACATGACCACAGTAAATGAACTAAATAAGGCACCCAGGACCAATCCTGGAGAAACAGAGATATGTGATATTTCAGACACAGAATTCAAAACAGTAGTGTTGAGAATAAACTCAAAGAAATTCAAGATAATACAGAGAAGGAACTCAGATACATTTAACAAAGAGATGGAAATAATTTAAAAGAAGAAAGCAGAAATTCTGGAGCTGAAAAATGCAATTGGCATACTAAAGAATGTATCAGAGTCCTTTAATAGCAGAATTGATCAAGCTCAGAAGAATTAGTGAGCTTGAAGACAGGCTATTTCAAAAGACACAGCCAGAGGAGGCAAAAGAAAAGAGAATTAAAACAATAAAGCATGTGTATGGAATCTATAAAACAGCCACAAAAGGGCATATCTGAGAGTTATTGGCCTTAAACATGAGGTAGACAAAGAGATTGGAGTAGACTTTATTCATGGGATAATAACAGAAAACTTCCTAAGCCTAGAGAAACATATCAATATCCAAGTACAAGAAGGTTATAGAACACCAAGCAGATTTAACTCAAAGAAGACTACCCCAAGGCATTTAATATATCCAGTGAAAACATCCTTCAACATGAAGGAGAAATAAAGACTTTCCAAGACAAACAAAAGATGAGGGATTTCATCAACACCGGATGGGTCCTACAAGAAATGCTAAAGAAAGTACTTCAATCAGAAAGAAAAGGACATTAATGAGCAAGAAATAATCATTAGTAAATAAATAATCAAGGTACAAAACTCACTAGTAATTAGTAAGGAAACAGAAAAACACAGTATATTATAACACTGTAACTGTGGCGTGTAAACTACTCTTATCCTAAGTAGAAAGACTAAATGATGAACCAATCATAAATAATAACCACAAGAACTTTTCAAGACATATTCAGTACAGTAAGATATATAGAAACAACAGAAAGATCAAATGAAGGGGGACAAAGTTAAAGCATAGAGTTTGTATTAGTTTTGTTTTTGTTTTTGGTTTGTTTATGCAAACAGTGTTAGGTTGTTATCAGGTTAAAATAATGGGTTATAAGAAGGTATTTTTGCCAGGCATGGTGGCTTCTGCCTGTAATCCCAGCACTTTGGGAGGCCAAGGTGGGCAGATCATGAGGTCAGGAGATTGAGACAAGCCTGACCAACATGGTGAAACCCCATCTCTACTAAAAATACAAAAATTAGCCAGGCATGGTGGTGCATGCCTGTAATCCCAGCTACTTAGGAGGCTGAGGCAGGAGAACTGCTTGAACCCGGGAGGTGGAGGTTGCAGTGAGCCAAGATGGCACCACTGCACTTCAGGCTGGGTGATAGAGTGAGACTCTGTCTCAAAAAAAAAGGCATTTTCAAACCTCATGGGATCCTCAAACTAAAAAACATACAATGAATACACTAAAAATGAAAAGCAAGAAACTAAATCACATCACCAGTGAAAATCACATTCACTAAAGGAAGACAGGAAGGAAAGAAAGAAGGAAGAGACGACCACAAAACAGACCAGAAAACAATTAACTAAATAGCAGGAGTAGGCCCACACTTATCAATCATAACATTGAATGTAAATGGAATAAATTACCCAATCAAAACACATAGAGCAGCTGAATGGATAAAAAAAACAAGACCCATTGATCTGTTGCCTAGAAGAAATACAATTCACCTACAACACATACATAGGCTGAAAACAAAAGGATGGAAATAGATATTCCATGCCAATGGAAACTGAAATAGAGCAGGAGTTGCTGTACTTATATCAGACAAAATAAATTTTAAGACAAAAAGTATAAGGAGAGACAAAGAAGGTTACTATATAATGATAAAAGGGTCAATTCAGTAAGAAGATATAACAATTTTAAATATACATGCACCCAACACTAGAGAACCCAGATATATAAGTAAATATTAGAGCTACAGAAAAAGATAAGCTTCAATGCAAAAATAACTAGAGACTTCAACACTCCACTTTCAGCATTGGATAGATCTTCCAGACAGAGAGTCAACAAAGAAAGAGCAGACTTAATATGCATTATAGATAAAATGGACCTAAGAGATATTTACTGAACTTTTTATCCAATGGCTGCAGAATACATATTCTTTTCCTCAGCATATGGATCATTCTTAAGGATAGACCATATGTTAGGTCACAAAAAAACTCTTAAAACTTTGAGAAAAATGAAATAAAATCCCAGTAATGGGATGGCTGGGTCAAATGGTATTTCTAGTTCTAGATCCCTGAGGAATCGCCACACTGACTTCCACAATGGTTGAACTAGTTTACAGTCCCACCAACAGTGTAAAAGTGTTCCTATTTGTCCACATCCTCTCCAGCAGCTGTTGTTTCCTGACTTTTTAATGATCGCCATTCTAACTGGTGTGAGATGGTATCTCATTGTGGTTTTGATTTGCATTTCTCTGATGGCCAGTGATGATGAGCATTTTTTCACGTGTTTTTTGGCTGCATAAATGTCTTCTTTTGAGAAGTGTCTGTTCATATCCTTTGCCCACTTTTTGATGGGGTTGTTTGTTTTTTTCTTGTAAATTTGTTTGAGTTCATTGCAGATTCTGGATATTAGCCCTTTGTCAGATGAGTAGGTTGCAATAATTTTCTCCCATTCTGTAGGTTGCCTGTTCACTCTGATGGTAGTTTCTTTTGCTATGTAGAAGCTCTTTAGTTTAATTAGATCCCATTTGTCAATTTTGGCTTTTGTTGCCATTGCTTTTGGTGTTTTAGACATGAAGTCCTTGCCCATGCCTATGTCCTGAATGGCATTGCCTAGGTTTTCTTCTATGGTTTTTATGGTTTTAGGTCTAACATTTAAGTCTTTAATCCATCTTGAATTAATTTTTGTATAAGATGTAAGGAAGGGATCCAGTTTCAGCTTTCTACATATGGCTAGCCAGTTTTCCCAGCACCATTTATTAAATAGGGAATCCTTTCCCCATTTCTTGTTTTTCTCAGGTTTGTCAAAGATCAGATAGTTGTAGATATGTGGCGTTATTTCTGAGGGCTCTGTTCTGTTCCATTAATCTATACCTCTGTTTTGGTACCAGTACCATGCTGTTTTGGTTACTGTAGCCTTGTAGTATAGTTTGAAGTCAGGTAGCGTGATGCCTCCAGCTTTGTTCTTTTGGCTTAGGATTGACTTGGTGATGCAGGCTCTGGAAACCATCATTCTCAGAAAACTATGGCAAGGACAAAAAACCAAACACCACATGTTCTCACTCATAGGTGGGAATTGAACAATGAGAACACATGGACACAGGAAGGGGAACATCAGGCACCAGGGACTGTTGTGGGGTGGGGGGAGGGGGGAGAGATAGCATTAGGAGATATACCTAATGCTAAATGACGAGTTAATGGGTGCAGCACACCAACATGGCACATGTATACATATGTAACAAACCTGCACGTAGTGCACACATACCCTAAAACTTAAAGTATAATAATAATAAAATTTAAAAAAGCAAAAATTAACAGACACAAATCCCGCAGTATTAGTAAAAACACTGAATGTAAATGAATAAAAAATGTAATCAAAAGACAGCTATTGTAAGACTGGATTTAAAATTCTAAGTGTATACTATCTACAGCACCTTGATATAAAATATAAATTTATTGAAAGTGAAAAGATGAATAAAGATATATTATACAAGCAGCAACCAAAGAATTAGTGGCTATAATAATTCTAGGCAGATAATGAAACAAAATATGTTATTGAGCTAATAACTTTTTTTTTTTTGAGACAGAGTTTCTCTCTTGTTGCCCATGCTGGAGTGCCATGGCACCATTTCGGCTCACTATAACCTTCACCTCCCAGGTTCAAGTGAGTCTCCTGTCTCAGCCTCCCAAGGAACTGGGATTACAGTGCCTGCCACCATGCCCAGCTAATTTTCTGGGGTTTCACCTTGTTGGCCAGGCTGGTCTTGAACTGATGACCACAGGTGATCCACCCGCCTTGGTCTCTCAAAGTCATGGGATTACAGCTGTGAGCCACCACGCCTGGCCCATAATTTTTATCATTATAAAATGATATATAATTTTATCATTATAAAAATGTATTCTATAATTTTATTATATTAAGAGAAACATTTTATAATTATAAAAACATGTAACGATAAAATGTTATTTCATCAAGAAGATACAATAGTTATAAATACATATGTATCAATAGTAACAGAGCACCAATTTACATGAAAAAAATCTGATGAAAGTAGAAAAAGACAAGGTGAAAAAATGGTTGCATACATAAATGCACCACTTTCTGTAATGGATAGAACAATCAGACAAAAAATAAAGGCAATAAACGATTTAGCACTATAAGCCAACTAGACCTGGAAGACATCTATAAAATGCATCACGATAATAGAATGTACACTTTCCTCAAGTGCACATAGAACACCTCCATGATAGACCATATCCTGGCCATAAAGCAAATGTTAATAAATGTAAAAGGATAGAAATAATGTGAAAAAAAGAGGAAATAGTTAAAGAAGAGGAAAAACTTCAAATAAACAATCTGGTGATGCATCTTAAAGAGCTAGAAAGAACAAAGCTGGAGGCATCACGCTACCTGACTTCAAACTATACTACAAGGCTACAGTAACCAAAACAGCATGGTACTGGTACCAAAACAGAGATATAGATCAATGGAACAGAACAGAGCCCTCAGAAATAACGCCACATATCTACAACTATCTGATCTTTGACAAACCTGAGAAAAACAAGAAATGGGGAAAGGATTCCCTATTTAATAAATGGTGCTGGGAAAACTGGCTAGCCATATGTAGAAAGCTGAAACTGGATCTCTTCCTTACACCTTATACAAAAATTAATTCAAGATGGATTAAAGACTTAAATGTTAGACCTAAAACCATAAAAACCCTAGAAGAAAACCTAGGCATTACCATTCAGGATATAGGCATGGGCAAGGACTTCATGTCTAAAACACCAAAAGCAATGGCAACAAAAGCCAAAATTGACAAATGGGATCTAATTAAACTAAAGAGCTTCTACATAGCAAAAGAAACTACCATCAGAGTGAACAGGCAACCTACAAAATGGGGGAAAATTTTTGCAACCTACTCATCTGACAAAGAGCTAATATCCAGAATCTACAATGAACTCAAACAAATTTACAAGAAAAAAACAACCCCATCAAAAAGTGGGTGAAGGATATGAACAGACACTTCTCAAAAGAAGACATTTATGCAGCCAAAAAACACATCAAAAAATGCTCATCATCACTGGCCATCAGAGAAATGCAAATCAAAACCACAATGAGATACCATCTCACACCAGTTAGAATGGCGATCATTAAAAAGTCAGGAAACAGCAGGTGCTGGAGAGGATGTGGAGAAATAGGAACACTTTTACACTGTTGGTGGGACTGTAAACTAGTTCAACCATTGTGGAAGTCAGTGTGGCGATTCCTCAGGGATCTAGAACTAGAAATACCATTTTACCCAGCCATCCCATTACTGGGTATATACCCAAAGGACTATAAATCATGCTGTTATAAAGACACATGCACACGTATGTTTATTGCGGCACTATTCACAATAGCAAAGACTTGGAACCAACCCAAATGTCCAACAATGATAGACTGGATTAAGATAATGTGGCACATATACACCATGGAATACTATGCAGCCATAAAAAGGATGAGTTCATGTCCTTTGTAGGGACATGGATGAAATTGGAAATCATCATTCTCAGTAAACTATCCCAAGGACAAAAAACCAAACACCGCATATTCTCACTCATAGATGGGAATTGAAAAATGAGAACACATGGACACAGGAAGGTGAACATCACACTCTGGGGACTGTTGTGGGGTGGGGGGAGGGGGGAGGGTTAGCATTAGGAGATATACCTAATGCTAAATGACGAGTTAATGGGTGCAGCAGACCAGCAGGGCACATGTATACATAGGTAACTAACCTGCACATTGTGCACATGTAACCTAAAACTTAAAGTATAATAATATTAAAAAAAAACAAAAAACAAAACAAAAAAAAGAGCTAGGAAAGAAAGAGCAAACCAAACCCCAAATTAGTAGAACAAAAGAAATAATAAATATTAGCGAGGAAATAAATAAAATTGAAATAAGAAAACAAAGATAAATGAGACTAAAGTGGGTGTTTTGAAAAGTTAAACCAAATAGACACACCTTTGGCAAGACTAACAAAAAAAAAGAGAGAAGATCCAAATATATAAAATCAGAAATAAAAAAGGAGACATTACAACTGATACTGCAGAAATTCAAAGGATCATTAGTGGCTACTATGGGCAACTATATGCTAATAAATTGGAAAATCTAGAAAAAATTGACAAACTTCTAGACACATACAACCTACAAAGATTGAATCAGGAAGAAATAAAAAACCTGAACAGAACAATAATAATAAGTAATGAGATTGAGGCTGTAATAAGATGTCTCCCAGAAAAGAAAAGCCTGAGACCTGATGGCTTTACTGCTGAATTCTACCAAACATTTAAAGAATCAATACCAATCCTACACAAGCTATTCTGAAAAATAAAGGAGAAGGGAATACTTCCAAACTCATTCTAAGAGGCCATATCACCCTGATACCAAACTCAGACAAAGACACAACAAAAAAACAAAAACTATAGGCCAATATCTCTGATGAATATTGATGCAAAAATCCTCAACAAAATACTAGCAAACTCAATTCAACACTTTAGAAGATCATTCATAATGACCAAGTGGGATTTATCCCTGGGATGCAAAGATTTAACATATGCAAATCAATCAATGTGATACATCATATTAACAGAATGAAGGATAAAAATCATATATTTATTTCAATTGATGTTGAAAAGCCATTTTGATAAAATTCAGCATCCCTTTATGATAAAAACCTTCAAAATACTGGGTATAGAGGGAACATATCTCAACATAATAAAAACCATATATGACAGACCCACTGCCAGTATCATACTGAAAGATCTTCCCTGTAAGATGTGGAACACAGCAAGGATTCCCAGTGTCAATGCTGTTATTCAACATAGTACTGGAAGTCCTAGCTAGAGCCATCTGACAATATAAATACGTAAAGGGCATCCAAACTGGAAAGGAAGAAGTCAGATTTTGTTTTTTTTGGGTTGGGGTTATATCATTTATTTATTTATTTATTTTTCTTCATTTCTTCTAAACACAAAAATGGGATACATGTGCAGAACATGCAGGTGTGTTACATAGGTATACGTGTGCCATGGTGGTTTGCTGCTCCTATTGACCCATCCTCTAAGTCCCTCCCCTCACCCCCCACCCCCCACCCCCCAAAAGGCCCTGGTGTGTGTTGTTCCCCTCTCTGTGTCCATATGTTCTCGATGTTCAACTCCCACTTATGACTGAGAATATGTGGTGTTTGGTTTTCTGTTCCTGTGTTAGTTTGCTGAGGATGATGGCTTCCAGCTTCATCCATGTCCCTGCAAAGGACATGATCTCATTCCTTTTTACGGCTGCATAGAATTCCATGGTGTATATGTATCACATTTTCTTTGTCCAGTCTATCATTGTTGGGCATTTGGGTTGGTTCCATGTCTTTGCTATTGTAAATAGTGTCACAATCAACATACATGTGCACGTGTCTTTATATTCCCTTGGGTATATACCCAGTAATGGGATTTCTGGGTCAAATGGTATTTCTGGTTCTAGATCCTTAAGGAATCGCCATACTGTCTTCCACAATGGTTGAATCAGCTTACACTCCCGCCAACAGTGTAAAAGCGTTCCTATTTCTCCACAGCCTCACCAGCATCTATTGTTTCCTGACTTTTTAATAATTGCCATTCTGACTGGCATAAGATGGTATCTCATTGTGGTTTTGATTTGCATTTCTCTGATGGTCAGTGATGTTGAGCCTTTTTTCATATGTTTCTTGGCCATGTAAATGTCTTCTTTTGAGAAGTGTCTGTTCATAAACTTTGCCCACTTTTTGATGTCTTTTTTTTCTTGTAAATTTGTTTAAGTTCCTTGTAAATTATGGATATTAGACTTTTGTCAGATGGGTAAATTGCAAAAATTTTCTCCCATTCTGTAGGTTGCCTGTTCACTCCGATGATAGTTTCTTTTGCTATACAGAAGCTCTTTAGTTTAATTAGATTCCATTTCTCAATTTTGGCTTTTGTTGCGATTGCTTTTGGAATTTTTGTCATGAAGTCTTTGCCTATGCCTATGTCCTGAATGGTTTTAGGAAGAAGTCAAATTATCTTTGTTTGCAGATGATATGGTCTTATACTTGGAAAACCTGAAAGATTCCACAACAAAACTATTAGAACTGATAACAAATTTGGTAAAGTTGCAAGATACAAAATCAACATACAAAAAGCAGTAGCATACTGCATGTCTATATGCCAACAGTGAATGATCTGAAAAAGAAATGTAAAAAGTAATCCAACCCCATCAAGTTATCAATGACTTTCTTCACAGAATTGGAAAAAAACTACTTTAAAGTTCATATGAGACCAAGAAAGAGCCCGCATTGCCAAGTCAATCCTAAGCCAAAAGAACAAAGCTGGAGGCATCATGCTACCTGACTTCAAACTATACTAGAAGGCTACAGTAACCAAAACAGCATGGTACTGGTACCAAAACAGAGATATAGACCAATGGAACAGAACAGAACAGAGCCCTCAGAAATAATACCACACATCTACAACCATCTGATCTTTGACAAACCTGACAAAAACAAGAAATGGGGAAAGGATTCCCTATTTAATAAATGGTGCTGGGAAAACTGGCTAGCCATATGTAGAAAGCTGAAACTGGATCCCTTCCTTACATCTTATACAAAAATTAATTCAAGCTGGATTAAAGACTTAAATGTCAGACCTAAAACCATAAAAACCCTAGAAGAAAACCTGGGCAATGCCATTCAGGAGACATAGGCATGGGCAAGGACTTCATGTCTAAAACACCAAAAGCAATGGCAACAAAAACCAAAATTGAGAAATGGGATCTAGTTAAACTAAAGAACTTCTGCACAGCAAAAGAAACTACCATCAGAGTGAACAGGCAACCTACAGAATGGGAGAAAATTTTTGCAATCTACCCATCTGACAAAGGGCTAATATCCAGAATCTACAAAGAACTTAAACAAATTTATAAGAAAAAATCAAACAACCCCATCAAAAAGTGGGCGAAGCATATGAACAGACACTTCTCAAAAGAAGACATTTATGCTGCCAACAGACACATGAAAAAATGCTCATCATCACTGGCCATCAGAGAAATGAAAATCAAAACCACAATGAGATAACATCTCATGCCAGTTAGAATGGCGATCATTAAAAAGTCAGGAAACAACAGGTGCTGGAGAGGATGTGGACAAATAGGAACACTTTTACACTGTTGGTGGGACTTTAAACTAGTTCAAACATTGTGGAAGACAGTGTGGCGATTCCTCAGGGATCTAGAACTAGAAATACCATTTGACCCAGCCATCCCATTACTGGGTATATACCCAAAGGATTTTAAATCATGCTACTATAAAGACACATGCACACGTATTTTTATTGCAGCACTATTCACAACAGTAAAGACTTGGAACCAATCCAAATGTCCAACAATGATAGACTGGATTAAGAAAATGTGGCACATATACACCATGGAATACTATGCAGCCATAAAAAAGGATGAGTTCATATCCTTTGTAGGGCATGGATGAAGCTGGAAACCATCATTCTGAGCAAACTATCACAAGGACAGAAGACCAAACACTGCATGTTCTCACTCATAGGTGGGAATTGAACAATGAGAACACATGGACACAGGATGGGGAATATCACACACTGGGGCCTGTCGTGCGGTTGGGGGATGGGGGAGAGATAACATTAGGAGATATACCTAATGTTAAATGACGAGTTAATGGGTGCAGCACACCAACATGGCACATGTGTACATATGTAACAAACCTGCACATTGTGCACATGTATCCTGGAACTTAAAGTATAATAATAAAAAAAGTAATCTCATTTACAATAGCCACACATAAAATTAAATACCTGGAAATTAACCAAAGAAGGAAAAGATCTGTATAATGAAAACTACAAAACGCTGATGGAAGACATTGACGAGGACACCAAAAAATGAAAGTTTCCATGTTCATGGATTGGAGGAATCAATATTGTAAAAATGTCCATACCACCCAAAGCAATCTAGAGATTCAATGCAATCCCTATCAAATTACCAATGACATTCTTCACAGAAGTAGAAAATCCTAAAATTCATGTGGATCCACAAAGTACATAGAGTATCTGAAGCTATCCTAAGCAAAAAGAATAAAACTGGAAGAATCACATTACCTAACTTCAAATTATCCTACAGAGCTATAGTAACCCAAACAGCATGGTACTGGCATAAAACCAGACACATGGATCAATGGAATGGAATACAGAACCAATAAACAAGTCCACACACCTATGGTGAACTCATTTTTGACAAAGGTGACCAGGACATACTCTGAGGATAAGACCATCTCTTCAATAAATGGTGCTGGGAAAACTGGATATCCATATGCAGAAGAAAGAAACTAGACCCCCATATACATATCTTTCCATATACAAAAATCAAATCAAAATGGATTAAATACATAAATCTAAGACCTCAAACTCTGAAAGTACTACAAGAAAACATTGAGGGAAAATCTCCAGGACATTGGTCTTGGCAAAAATTGCTTGAGCAATACCCCAAAAACATAGACAACCAGAGCATAAATGGACAAATGGGATCATATCAAGTTAAAAAGCTTCTACACAGCAAAGGAAACAGTCAACAAAGTGAAGAAACAATCCACAGAACGGGAGAAAATATTTGCAAACTACCCATCTGACAAGGGGTTAATCACCAGAAGATATAAGAAGCTCAAACAACTCTGCAGGAAAAAATTTAATAATCCAATAAAAAATGGGCACAAGATTTGAATAGACATTTTTCTAAAGATATATAAGTGGCAAACATGCATATGAAAAGGTGCCGAACATCACTGATCATCAGATAATTCAAATAAAAACTACAATGAGGCATCATCTTAACCCAGTTAAAATGGCTTATATCCAAGAGACAGGCAATAACAAATGCTGGTGAAGATGTGGAGAAAAGGACACCCTGTACCATGTTTGTGGGAATTTAAATTAGTACAGCCGCTATCGAGAACAATTTAGAGGTTCCTCAAAAAACTGAAAATTGAGTTTCCATATGACCCAGCAATCTCACTGCTGGGTATGTATCCCAAAGAAAGGAAATCAGTATATTGAAGAGATATTCCTGTTTGTTGCAGCACTGTTTACAATAGCTAAGATTTGGAAGCAACCTCACTGTCCATCAACAGATGAATGGGTGAATAAAATGTAGTACATATACACAATGGAATACTATTCAGCCATAAAAAGTATGAGAACCTGTCATTTGCAACAACATGGATGGAACTGGACATTGTTAAATGAAATAAGCCAAACATCACATGTTCTCAGTTATTTGTGGGATCTAAAAGTTAAAACAATTGAACTCATGAACATAAAAAGCAGAAGGATGGTTACCAGTGGCTGAGAAGGGTAATGGGGGGTGCCGAGGAGGGGCAGGAATTGTTAATAAGTAAAAAAAAACGTAGTTAGAAAGAATGAATATAAGACCTAGTATTCGATAGCACAACAGGGTGACTATAGCCAATAATAACTTAATTGTACATTTGTAAATAACTTAAAGAGTATAATTTGTTTGTAACTCAAAAGGATAAATGCTTGAGAGGATGGAATAAATAAATAAATAGGTTTTGTGAAAGTTCCCTCCTAAATATTGCAAGTCTATACCTAAGAATTATATCAATATACTCATAAAAAACAGAGATCGAAATATAAACGGGCCAAACCTTTAGTGAGTCTGTGCTAATGATTTTGTTTATAGAATAGCAGATCTGTGGGGAATCATTTTTGACCTTTCTGGAATATGATTAGTCATTCCTACTCCCAAACATGTTTTTCAAGTGCCTAACTTAAATTGAAGCTCAGAGAGAAACTTTATTGTCCCCAGGTTATACAGGTCAATTATTAAATACTTACAGTTTTTTATTCTCTTTGGTCTCAAAAGATCCCAGGAAACTTGGGTTTTTAATGAAATTATTAGGTTTCTTTTCATCTGAAGACTATCAGTTTCCTTTAATGACATCATGATCTTAGTTTGCCTTTCTTAATTTTGGACATCGTGGAAATGAAACAGGGCTTTGCTTTTCCCATGATCCAGCCTCTCAGTTTGAATTTTTCCAGGCATCCATGACCAAGCCTAGCATTTCAGAGTCTGGTCAAGAGAACTTCATAGTCTCTTCCATCTGTCTGTTACTTCCAGTTCTCTCTGACACCCTCCTAGTCCCTAGTGTCACATTTGGATTCCAATACAGATCCTGTGTCTGGTCACCTTTTCTGCCCACCCTTCCAGCTTCACACTAACTTTTTAAATGAGCACATTACAGTCATTAAGACTACCAGAGACAATTCAGTTCAACTCTCTCTCATTTTTTCCTGCTCATAAATTCTCAGCGACTCCAGTCTTAGCCTGCTTTGTGCTGCTATAGCAGAATACCTTAGACTGGGTAATTTATAAAGAGTGGAAATTCATTTCTTACAGTTCTGGAGTCTGGGAAGTCCAAGATTAAGGCACTGGAAGATTTGGTGTTTGGTAAGGGCTCAATCTCTGCTTCCAAGAGGGTGCTTTGAATGCTGCATCCTCCAAATGGGATGAACAATACTCCTCTCACGGCAGAAGAGCAGAATAGAGCAAACCCACTCCCATAAGCCCTTTTTATTTTGAACATAATCCATTCCTGAGGACACAGCCCTCATAACCTAAGCACCTCCTATTAGGCCCCACCTCCCAACTCTATTGCATTGGGGATTAAGTTTCAACATGAGTTCTGGAAGGGACAAAAATAGTCAAGCCATAGCAACCCGTTTCCAAACAGGTCAAGACTACAACCCTCTTTGTCAGTCTTCCAGGTCTACCCTATCCTCCCTTTGCATATTCTGTTATACACTCAGATGGGCTGTTCTCTCTACAGAAAATCCATTTTTGCTCCCTGTTTCCTTGTTTCCGCCCTCCCTCAACACACACACACACACACACACACACACACACACACACACACACACAATGGAGCTCCTCCTGGAAACTCTTACTGCTCTTAGAGTTTGGCCACAAATTATCTAACCTTTGAGCCCAATCACACCAAGCCTCTTCCTACCTTTTTCCTTCCGTTAGAATGGACATAGTCCTCTTTTCCCTTATGATACTAGTACTTATCAGGTCAGGTGAAGTTGTGATTTGATCATAGTTAGTGGTTTAGTGGCCAGCAGGAGAGATGGGGACAGAAGCTAGGGGAGCAAACTTGTCTTGTAAGGCAGATGACAAAATACTAACCTCATATAAGAAGTGAATGCTAGTCCTTAATTGGGAGAAACGGGTTGGGTTGCCAGTTTAGCAAAAAGATAAAAGAAATACAAAGATACTCAGTTAAATTTAATTTCAGATAATGAATTTTTAAAGTATAAGTTTGACTAAAGTATTACATGTAACATTACAATTAGCTCTTTATCTGAAACGCACTTTTAACTGGGCATTCTGTATCTTATTTGACAATCCTAGAGCTCAGAGGGTTCAGGTGAATGTGGGATGAAGATGAAGAGATGAAAGTCTCTTTATATGTTACCAAGGATGCCTTCTTTCATATTTTGCCCTAAATCGTCATTCATTTTCTCAGCTTTTTTCTTTCTATAATGCATCAATGGCATCTAAAAAGTCAGCAAATTCTATATAATTGCCATTTCCCCTAATCTTCTCAATTACTTGAGATATTACACTTGCATGTACATTCATTTCTACTAGTATCACTTGGAAGTTTAAACAACTGTACTGCCATAGCATGCCAGGGACTACCTATTATCAGTATTTTATCTATTACCAATGACAGAATCCTCATTGCCTGCTCTGAAAATCCCATTTTGGGGTCTGTTCCCTAGGATCACTTCTGTTATCCCCCGTTTTAGTTAAGGTTCTATGGGAAAATGACTATGAGATAAAAATTCGATTGTAGACAATTTATAGGGGTATGCTCAAAAGAACCTTTGTGAATTGGTGAGGGAGGAAAGAATAGCAGAGAAAGAATTGAACTGATACAGTCACAACGAAGGCCTCAGCTGATCCTGTGGTGAGTTTGGTAACTGAGATGACCTTTCAAAGTTGCCCAAAATTGAACCAGGAGGTCTGGCTTTTGTCTACCTACATCATTCCATCAGTGGATGCGGGCTGCATAACCTTAGAAGAGGCAGTTGCCTTCAGATAAGGGCAATTCTCCAGAATTTGGAGAAGTCAGTGCCCCTGACCTGAGAAGGTATGGCAAGGGGTGGGGAGTGGTTCCGGGCAGCAAAACACAGCCTCCATTTCAACAAATGTAATTGTATCTCTGTTGGCTATCTTTTATCTATTACTTTTATCGATCTTTAGTATATATATTTTTAAAATTGTTTATCTTCATTTCTCTCGTTACCAGTTTCTAGTGTCGTGTATTCCTTCCAAGTTAATCTTCATTTGTTTTTTTTTATTATTATTTCCTTAGTCCTGTCAGTTTTTGTTTCATAGCCTTCTGTTATTTCCGTGTTCTTTTTCTGATTTATACTGTTTCAAAGGTTTAAATGTTTTCTTTCAGCTCATTTAGAAATACTAGGTCAGAGTTTTTATCTGCTTTGTGTATGCATGTTTCTGTGCGTTCACATCCTATTGGTCTTGTCTCTCAAGGTGTTACACTCACCTTTTGATGTTTATTTTGCTATCATACTTTCTGGGATTTGATTTCTCTGGATTCTTCCTCCATCTGCTACTATCTGAACTTTCCTTTTCCCTTACCCACAATCTCTCTTCCCTGTTCAATTTGATTTCTGAAATAAGCAGTTTTCTTTCTGTATGTGGAATTTTTTCTTCTGGAAGAAAACATATGGTGGATAGTTGTGAAATCCTTAAGGGACAAGTTCACCACAGCTCTCTCTGATCTCTTGATGATTCTGTGCAGTTTTCTTATCTGTAATTCAGAACCTGTGATCACTTCTTCCAATGTTTCAATTGCTCTCAAACCTATTTTCCCAGTTTGGTCAAGAAATAATGATATCTCAGAGTAGGGTGATGACAGTAAAGATGAAGAGAACTGAACATTAAGAGAAACATTTTGGTGATATAATCAAGGGGAATTGCTTATGGTCTAATGTAGGAGAGAAGAGATGCTCAAAAATGGTTTTTGGCTTAGGCAATTAGATGGTTTTACAGAAATAAGGGAAACTAGATGAACAATTGGTAATGACAGAAGGCAGCATTCTATTTGGCTATATTAAGTTTGCAGCGCCTATTAGATAACCATGTATATATATCAAATAAATAAATCTTTGAACTGAGAGAAAATGGTCTGCTTAGATGTCCTTCGGGAAGCCTTTTCTGAATGCCCTCTTCCCATCCCATTAAGCTCACTACCTTTGCTACCCACAGCGTCCTTCATCACTTTGATTGAAGCCTTTATAAAACTTATTTTGTAACTGTCTATTTATTGGTCCATTTCCTCTGTTGGACTGTGAGCTTTTTGAAAAACAATGTGTGTTCATTCTTTTTTCAGGTTCCTTCCTGGCACAATGCTGACAGTCAGCTCTTATTTGTTCAATGCATGCACACAAGACAGTAAATTCTATTTTTCTACAGCTCCAGTTTTTGAAAACTATTTTCCAGATTTGCCCAGTACTTGCCTCCCTGTATCTTCTACCCAGTTCAGGATTTATCTCTGAAGTTAGATACTTTTAACTTATTCCAAATATTCTCTTATATATTTGACTTAGACCATATGTGATTTTCATGTCTGGGTGAGCATATTAGTCTTTCAAACCAAGCACGTAATAAAATCCTCAACACTGTTTTCACATATAATATCTTAAATTATGCTTCCTCAAATATGTTTTTGTATTGAAATACCCAAATGTAGGATTTACTATTTATATCATTAAATTTCATCTTAGTGAGTTCAACACTTAATTCCAGAAGTGGAGATAATTTGGGATCCTACACATAAACATCTTGACTTACATATACTCTTACCTCTAAATGCTCAGAGGCAGAAGTTGGGAGCATAACAAATGTGCCAAAGTTGGGCTCCAGACCCTTTCCCCACCTTCAACCAGAACATTATGTATTTAGGTTAATGTAAAATTTGTTTTATGGTGAGGTTAACGTAAAATTTATTTTTGGCAAAAAATTGTCTTAAAATTTTTGAAAACCACTTTTCTAGAGCAAGTCACTGGTGCATGTCCCAAGACCGTAATCAATACTACATCCTTTTTGGTCTACTCAACACATCACCAATTTAAATGGTTTTGGTTTTTAAAGTTTGCATGACTTATCCACTATAGATTAAATATGGGTGGATAATTTTTATGAATCATTGTATCTATTTTTAAAAGATGAGAGTAATTTTGTATCTTAGGGAATATTTTTATAATATATAGTTTTGAGTCCTCTCCAACTTTAAATACAAGCTTCTATGAAAGAATTCGTCAATTTAACAGATGCTGGCAATTCAATTGATCTTATCTTGCACTTTGTGAAAAGGTGCTGCAGTTCTTGGTGTGCTCAAAAAAGATAACTGACCAATTTGTGCTTGGTGATTCGCAGTCTATGTATTCTACTCTAGTTCTTCTTTCCCCTCTCCTTTCACCAATACACCAAATGTATTTAAAATGGGGGATGATATTGTAGCATAAAATAATCTTACAACAACAGTCTCATGGAAGAAAAGTGGATTTGGGAAGCATCTAATTCCATTTAGGACTATTTACTCAACTAGGTATAAACCCAATCAATCATATTATGCTTCAGCTTACATTTACTATTTTATTTAAATTGCAAAGAACAGCTATTAAATGCCTTGCCCAAATGCAGACATGTCACCTATTAAATGCTTTGCCTAAATGTAGATATGTCACCATCTAAATTTATTTTGTTATCTTTAAAAAATAGAGACAGGATCTCACTATGTTGCCCAGGCAGTTCTTGAACTCATGGACTCAAGTGATTCTCCTGCCCCAGCCACCCAAAGTGCTGGGATTACAGGCATGAGCCACTGTGTGGAGCATACATTTGTTTTTTGATAGGATTAACACATGAAGAGAACACAAAGCCTACTTTTCATATTCCTAGTGATTCCAAGTTGGATTCTAATGGTATTCTCACAAGGTCACAGAGCAACTTGATGGTGCAACTGAGACCAGAATCCTGGAATTTAGATTCACAGGCCATTATTACACTGTCTACTATCCCATTGTGATCCTCAAATACTTAGTGGTACTGCTCATAAATAAAGGGAGCACCAGCGTAAAAAATTTGTCAAAATCAAACAATTCAAAGGTAACACCCTCTGGTCCTCTACCACTTACCAATTCTTCCTTCTTCGGTTTCAACCATTTAATTGGTCATATTTTCCTAACCTTAAACTGAGTTTGAGACTCAGTATCAGCCTCTGTGAGATAAGATATAGAAAATATAAAATTATTACAACTTCATAGTGTGATCTCCTCAGAGGTATTAAGTGCCAACTGTTTAATTATTGCCCCTCCAACTCCCAAAATAATAATTTTGGATGGGAAATGATCATTTACATAAAACAATATGTAGAAATTAAAACACTTTAATATAAACATTTCCAGAATATAGACTGACCTTATATCAGTACTTTTTGAGACCGTTTTAAAACTATATATCATCTAAGTTTATTATAGACTGTTTCATTTTCCACTTTCAGAACTAGAAAATGCAAAAATACACTGCAAATTAGATTTAACAAAGAAAAAATCAGTTTAAGTTATTTCATACATATTCCTTGGAGAAAGCTGAGACACATAAACACAGAAAAACAACAATAAAATACCACCAACACTAACACAAAACCAAGGAAAGAACTGATTTTGTAACGCTTGGTAATTCTGTCCTTTAAAATAAATTATCTCCCATGAATAAATAATTCACTATCACAGCAATTTGATGAGCAGAAGTAGAGACAACTTCATTTAGGGAAATTACATTATATGTGAGATATGTGAGAAACATTTAATAATTTTTTTTCTTTTTTAAGAAAATGAAGGAAAGTAACTTGAGGAAAAGGCATACTGAATACTTTTACTTCACTTGGCTTTTTTAGAGATTAAAGTAGCCATCCACCTAGAAAAATTACAATAACATGAATTTTATAAAACCAAACTTTTTTTCCTTCAACTTTGAAGGAACAAAACTAAAAAGTTGAAAATCCTAGAGTAGACTCATCCCAAATCACTGTCTCTTCTGTCTTTTCTTGAGTAGGTTTCTTTTTCTCTTAAGTTCTTGTGTTCTCATGTTAGTGTTGTTCAGAGGCTAGGTTTAGGCTTTTTTGTTGTTGTTTCTTCTTTCAATTAAATTTCAAGTTTTTTTAAATAGCTTTCCTGAAGTGACACTGACTGTATCTACCTCTCCTTTTCTTCATCTGATCCTCTTGCTTTTGTCTAAAGTCCATTTTCTTAGCTGATTTCCTCAATTAATCCTTGGGCAAACAAAACTAAAAGTTCAATACCCAAGAATAGACTCATTCCAAAACACAGATTCTTGTCTTTTCTGTAACAGGTTTCCTTTTCTCTTATGTTCTCCTTGAGTTCTTATGTTCTTTTCTCAGAGGTTAAGTTTGGGCTTTTTTTTTCCTTCTTTTAATTCAATTTAAATTTTTATACAAAAAAAACCTAAGTGTCCTGAAGTGACACTGACTGTATCTACCTCTCCTTTTCTTCATCAGGTGTTCCTTTTTCTAAATCCATATTGACTGTTTTTTTTTTTCAATTCAACCTTGGGTAAACAAAACTAAACATTCAAAATCCAAGAATAGACTCATCCCAAAGCATTTCCTCTTCTGTCCTTTCTTCAACAGATTTCTTTTTCTCTTTCCTGTGCTTACGTTCTTCTTTCTCGGAGGGTACATCATGGCTTTTTTTCTTTTTTCGATGCTTAAGCTTTCCTGAACTGACCTTGACTCTATCCTCCTCTCTTTTCCTTTGTCTGATGCTCTTGTCTTTGTCTAAATCTGTATCTTCATAACTCTTTTTCCTTTTATGCTTGGACTGCTCTTTCTCTGGCCTTTCTTTGCCTTCTTCTAGGTGTCGTTTTCTCTTCTGATGTTTCCGTTTATGACCTGCTTGATGGTCAGCAGTATTGTTTTCTGAAGAGAGGTGCTTGTAAACTTCAGATTCTACACTGTATGAGCCAGAGTTATTTTCTTGCTGATTAAGGCTCAAGGGTACTGGTTTTTCTGGGAAACAGTCTCTGGTGAGTTGACAGTAGCTAATAGAATCTAGTCTCTGTTTGCTATCATGAGCTGGTAAGCAATGAGGTAACTGGTTTTCCACTACTTGTGAAATACTATATGGTCCTGAATAGGTCTGGAAAGTCTCACATGGGAGCTTTTGCTCCAACATTCTATGTCTGGGTCTGACATCAACCATTTCTCTGTTCCTGTGTGTTTCTACAGAGCTATCTCCTATCTTTCTGAAACAAGTTTTTGGCTCTAGTCCTCTGGCTTTCTGCACTTTTATGTAATCTTCAAGTTCATCTTGGAAAGAATCATATGTCCTCTTTGAATGGGTTGGTAGCCACTGAGGTAACTGGCTTTCCACTGGTGAAATATGGTATGGTCGTTGGTAGGTCTGGGAAGCCTCATGTGAAAATCTTTGCTCACACATTCTTGATCTGGGTCCAGAATCAACCATTTCTCTGTACCCATGAGTATCCACAGAGTTCTCTCTCATCTTTCTGAAACAAGTCTTTGGATCTAGTCCTCTGGCTTTCTGTACTTTGATGTAATCTTCAAGTTCATCTTGGAAAGAGTCATATGTCTTCTTTGAATGAGGTAACTGCTTTTCCATTGCTTGTGAAATATTGTATGGTGCTGCGTATGTCCGGAAAGTCTCAAATGGGAGTCTTTGTTCAAACATTCTATGTCTGGGTCTGGAATCGACCACTTCTCTGTATCTACGGGTTTCCAAAGAACTCTCTTCCATCTTTCTGAAACAAGTCTTGGCCTCTAGTCCTCTGGCTTTCTGCACATTGATGTAATCTGCACACTCATTTTGGTAAGAGTCTTGTGTCTTCCTTGAATTCTTCACTAGATTGATAACAATGGATTCTCTGTAAAGAAGACAGTAGAAAATTGTTATTAGATTATTTTATTCTAAATATTTTATTTGTTCTTAAAAGTATTAGTCTGAAAAAACAAAAACAACAAATTTAAAAACCCAAACAGATTTTAAAAACCTACTTTATTATAAAAGCTATAAATTGTGAATTTTTATGTCAAAAAAGCACATTGGACAGTGAGAACCTACCTCATTATAAAGCCATAAATCATGACTTTCTATGCCCCCCAAAAAGGAGCATGGAAAATGATATATCTCCTAGGCACCTCACAATTTTTATGCAAAAAAGAAAAGGAAATTTCCTTTGGCCCGGGATGAAAGGGAAGACGGGTATAAAGTAGCAGATATATCTGATGTTGTTGTAGCACTAAAAATGTTAAGGCATGTTGGAATGTATGGGTGGGGACTAATAATATTTAATGTCCTGACAGATGCTCTGATTTGAATGTCATATCATTTTTAAAGTTTTCATTAGTTCCTTATATACATCTTATAAATGTGATATGTGTTTATTCTGTAATCTTGAGATTTTTAAAAATCTAAATTATAAATCTAGCCAGGTGTGGTGTGTGTGCCTGTATTCCCAGCTACTGAGGCTGAAGCAGGAGGATCTCTTGAGCCCAGGAGTTAGAGGCTGTACTGCACTATGACGGAACCTGTGAATAGCCACTGGACTCCACCCTGGGCCAGAGAGCAAGAACCCATCTCTGAAAAAAAGGAATGTAAATGTAGGTTAATTGGGTAAGTCAGACAATTTAGCTTCTAAGTATTCGGATACAAATAATATAAATATTTTCTACTAGAATAAAACAATGTAACAGAAAGAATATGTCTTGATTTTATTTTATTCATTTTATTTTATTTATTTTCTTGAGACAGGGTCTCACTCTGTTGCCCAGGTTAGAGTGCAGTGGTGTGATCATGGTTCACTGCAGCCTCAACACCCTGGACTCAAGTGATCCTCCTACCTTAGCTACCCAAGTAGCTGTGACCATGGGTACATGCCACTAAACCTGGCTAATTTTTCTTTTTTCTCAGGTAGAGATAAGGTCTCACTACGTTGCCCAGGCTTGACCTCAAACTCCTTGGCTCTTCCTCCCACAGTGCTGGGATTACAGGCATAAGCCACCAGGCCTGGCTCTATGTCTTGACTTTAAAAGCATCAATACAAAGATAAATAGTCAAATACCCTTTGCTACCTGAACTAACCAATCTCCAACTGTCCATTCAATTCTCCTCTCCTTGAAATAACAGAATAAAATGGACTAAATATTTATTGAACTCCTACTATGTGCCAGGGCAGGCAC
The DNA here is from genome assembly GCF_000001405.40 of Homo sapiens. NCBI lineage: Eukaryota > Metazoa > Chordata > Mammalia > Primates > Hominidae > Homo > Homo sapiens. The sequence continues at coordinate 101,886,137 of NC_000023.11, forward strand.
CTTACACATATTATATTTCATCATAACAATCTTATGTAAGAACTGACCAAAGTTATACACTTGGTAGAAAAATGGATCTGGTATTCTAATCCAGGTCCATCTAATAGCAAGACCTCTGTTCTTAACCACTATACATCACTGGAAAAATGGTGACTGGGTCACTGAATCCCTGGAACCAAGCAAACCTTCCAGAAATTCTCTGCATTTGTATGGTTAGTGTGAGAGTGATCCTTTAGCATCTCTCCAAAGAACACTGCTCTCTAGTCAGGAGGGGTGCCAGTTAGCCAGGTTTGCCAGTACACTATCATTACTAGAACTAAAACTAGAACCCCTGAGGGACACTAGTATGCAATATGTTACAAATATTGCCAACCATACCCAGGTTAAACCCATAGGGACATGAATGCCTAAGAAGTTTGTAAAATACATCAAAGAGTGCTTGACTAGAAGCTCTGGTCTTTGGTATCATAGGAAAATTTTGGCAAAAATACTTACTTAATTTGATGTTCACTTCCTTGCATGTGGGACCGGAACATATCTAAAGATGTAAAAGCAATACTACAAATATGGCAAACATAGGTTCTCATACTAAATGCTGAAAAAACAAAGAGTTCAAGTTAAGAAGGTCAGTATAAATACATTTAGAATCACATAATGTTAGAACTGGACCAAAAATTTATTAGAGACCATCTACTTGACATTTTCCAATAAAGATGGGGCCCAGAGAGGTCAAATGACTTGGTCAAAGTCACAGAGCAAGTTAGTAGTAGTGTTAGCCTCTCAGAGCCCACACCTCTTAATTGAATGCCCAGAATTCTTTACACCACACCACACTGCTTCTCTAGCTTAACTTCTTCCCTAAGAATCTGCTATCTGTCTACTTACTGTTGCTACATGGAGGTGCAACAGGCACCTGAAATTTAGCATGGCCAACCAACCTTTGCCTCTGAATCTCTTAACCAGCCTCTTTTTGTTTGCCCCAACTCTGTTTCCACCCAACCAAAACCTGAAACGTCCCAAAACATTAAAAACAAATAAAGGCAAATTTTTTACTCTCTTACCTGAGATCACTGCAGTGCCTTAGTTACCAAAAGTAATTTCCACAGATTTTAGAAAGGAGAGAGGTTCAGTGAGCCCCACTCTCAGGATAAAAGCTGAAAGCAAAATTCTAAAACAAAACTACTAGTTACCACTTCAAAAGAGTCAAAAGCTATACACTGGGAACTATATAGTAACTAGCACACTATTCCACTTTGTAGGTAGAATTAGAAGCAAGGGATACATTAATTTTTTAAAAATCTCATCATCCTTCCACTTTATCTTTGACCAGAAGAAGCAAATTAATACATTTCATAAGCCAAATATAAAATCATTCTGACCCTAGGGAGGAGGAAATAAATTGGTACATGCAAAGATTTTGGGGACAACCATGGTAATCTTTTAAACCAAAAAGTGACCTAATCATTTCAAAGAAGCTAAATTAATTATTACCAAGTATATTGGCCTTGTCTGAGCAAAGACTATTCATAGAAACAGGAGACTGCTTGCAAGGGGAAAGAAAGATGCTGACTCTGAAGAAAATGAGGCTGCACACTACTGGCTATTGCGGGCCCAGGAAAACTCAGCAGGTTATGTCAAAATATGAATGAAATGTTCCCTCAAAACTATCCTTTTCTATGCTCTAATTTCATGCATACTAAGTCACTTTCTGATTATAATTGGTTTTTCATATTCTTTGATACCAAGAAAAGGATACCCTGGATGACAGACATCAAGAAAAACTAGGAAATGGAAATATGTATCTCCTCTTACCATAAATCAATACCAGAATGACAATACAATAACTTAAAGTACAATGTTTCCCAGACTTCTTTGATAAAAATCAACTGGGGTGTCAGTTAAAAATATAGATTCCCAGGCTCTCCCCTGGAGAACATGATTCAATGTTTCTAGGGCAGGGACAAGAAATTTCTATGATCACAAATATGGCAAATGATTATCACAGGCTTTGTGAGAAACATATTAAAGTAATATCTTTCCAGTTAGTTATCAGCCACTTTCAAGTTTGTTTGCGGTTAGTGAGTCCCTGATTTGAGGCTGATCATCTTGAAGATTTTGGACTTCTTGCAAAGCTAAGGACTAAACCCAGGAGAGTACATATTCACAACAACCTCTTTTAGGAAATTCGTACCATCTTTTACAGGTGCTGGAACTTAGGCTCAGATTAACTTTGCCAATACCATATATTTTGAGGGTACCCAAGTTGTGCAAGATAAGCAGGAGTCCTGGTTTCCTCTGGATTAGTGGTTCTCAATGCTGGTTACACATTAGAATCATATGGAAAAATTCAAAAATATTGATGTTACAACTCCATGTCAGACCAATTAAATCAGAATCTCTAGGAGTGGAATTAGGCACCCTTACTTTTTGAAAGCTTTACACACGATTTAACTGTGCAGCCACTGTTGAGCACTTGCCCTAGATCAAGCTTGTCCAACTTGCAGCCCACAGGCCACATGTGGCCCAAGGTGTCTTTGAATGTGACTCAACACAAATTCACAAATGTTCTTAAAACATTATGAGATTTTTATGTGATTTTTTTTAACTCATCAGTTATTGTTAGTGTTAGTGTATTTTATGTGTGGCCCAAGGTAATTCTTCTTCCAACGTGGCCCATGGAAGCCGAAAGATTGGACACCTCTACCCTAGATTATTGAGCTAATAATCTTCATTATGACTATAAACTCAGATTATATTTCAGAGTTTTTACATATTTATTTAGTGCTTATAAAGTATACTGTATACAGTGTTCTCCTCCATTCCTGCTTTGTTTCTCCACAAACTACATCAGAAATAATATTCTAATAGAGGTAACATAGAGGTTTAGAAGAGCTGCCAGTCATGTATTAAAGATCCAGAGGCATTTCTAGAACTGTAGTCTGATTACCATTACCTTAGCCCTTGGCTTTTTCACATACTGATGTTCTTTATCTTTTTCTAGGATTCAGACATCTCAGAAAATGATATACAAAAGTTGTGTAAACCCTTTCTGTGAAGATATGAAACCTATTTATGGCCCCAAGGTCAGAATTCCTGATTGAATCCTCCTGGGGCCTGCCTCCATTCTGTTTCTTATACTCTCCACTCTTTTATTTCAGAGACTATTCCGAGGTTCTGTTCTGCTCTCAGCCCTTCTAGGATTCCTTGTTTCTGAGTTCACCCAGAAACTCAGGCTCCTTTATCGCTTGTACCCTTCAGAATCTTCACTACCCTGAAACTTGTGGGGCCTACTCTTCCCCTAATCATAACCCTATCTCATAAGTCTCTGAACTAAGGTCTTTGTTTTCAAAGCATAAATTGGGAAAGTGTGTGTCTAACACTGTTTTCAATCTTGGCTCCATATAAAAATCACTTAGGGAGTCAAAAAAGAGAAAACAAAACACAAATGTGTAAGTCCCAGAGATGGTAATTTAATTGATTGGAGGGTTGGCCTGAGCAATGGGAGTTCTAAAAGCTCCTCACATGATTCTAATTAGTCAAGGCTGAGAACCACTGGTCTAACATCTTAAACGGGGAAAAGCCAATTGAGAGCTGCACATAATCAAAACTGCAGCTGTCAGGAAGAATTGCTAATGAACGCTGGGCTTAATACCTAGGTGATGGGATGATCTGTGCAGCAAAACCACCATGGCACACATTTACTTATATAACGAACCTTCACATCTGCACATGCACCCATGAACTTAAAATAAAAGTTGGAAAAAAACTGCATGTGAATATCGGATTTATGTTATAAAGAAAAACAGAAAATGTCCAATTTACCTATTTTAAAATTATGACAGGACAAAACATTTTTACAAACCTAACATTTGTTACAAACCTATTCTGTGATGGGTACTATATATACTACTTCAGTTAATTATTATTCAATCCTGTAGAGTCACATTATTTTCATTTTATACCAGAGGAATCTGCGGTGCAACTTGGCAAGTGACTGTATCTCCAAATCTATGTTTATCCCTCTATACAACACTGACTCTCAATAAACAATTTGCAAATATGAATTGAGAAAAAATTATGCCCTCATTACCATATAAAGCACTAAGAAGGATACTGCAGAATAAAATATAATCCTTTGTCTCAGAGAAGCTAATTCCCTTGAGGGGCTATAATTGTATCAATTGTCAATGAACAGTAAAGCCTATGAGAAATCAGAGAAAGGGAGAACACAAAGAACTAGAACAGTAAGAGAAGTTGTGATGGATCTTTGAGGACAGAAAAGATTTGAATTTGTAAGAAAGCAGGTAAGGGCATTCCAGGGGATGAAAATAATATCAAGTATGGCAGAGACAGAAATCAGCACAATGTGTTGAATCCAAATAATTGGTTTAACAAATACTGAATACCTATGTGGCACCAAGCATCAGGTTAGATGCCAGGGATACAAGATGAATGAAACAGCCAAGTTGTTCACAAATCCAGTGTGAGAAAGATACATGAACAAAAAATTTCAGTCTCACTTGGTAAAAGTAAGAGAGGTATGTTTAAGAGGTATGCGAGCACAAAGAAGCAGGGGCACTCAGCATAATACGGGGGTCTGAAAAAGGCTACTGGAAGAGATAATGTCTTAGCTAAACTTGGAGGGATGATGAATAGTTAACCTGAAAAGAGTTGAGAAGAGTGTTTTAGGTACAAAAATTCATGAAAAAAGCATAGACGTGCTTACAGGAACTTCTTAAAATTTGGAATTGTTGTAGAGTAAAACATAAGAGAAAGAGATGGGAAGAGGCAAAATGGGTCAGATCAAAGAAAGACTTATATGTTATGCTAAGGAGCCTAAATTTTTTATTCTGTGCTTTGGGAAACCTTGAAGTGGTTTATGTATTAAGTGACGTGGTTGGTCAATTGTGTGTTTTAGATGAGTCTCTTCTGTGGCTGCAATACAAAGGATTAATTAAAGAAGAGTAAGCCTAGAAGTAAGGAGATCAAGCAAGACATAATGAGGACATGGACTAGATGGGTCTCAGTAGGGGTAGAAAGAAGCAGGGAGATTGGTGTAACATTTAACTTTAAAACTGGCAAAAGTTAGCGACAGAATGACTGTGACGGATTGGGGAGAGGAAAGAATCTAGAGAAGTCTAAAATAATTCCCAGAAACCTAATTTGGTAAGTGGTTGGGTGGTGATCCCATTAACTGAAATTGGAACTTCAGATGTATGTGTTGTTTTAATGGGTGGGAGAGTAGGCAATGGTGAATAGTGTAAGTTTGAACACAGGGTCTAAGATAGCTACAAAACTTTCATGTAAAGGTGTCCAACAGGCAGTTATATACAGGAGTATGAAAGGCAGAAGATAGGTCAGAGAGATTTTGGAGATGTCAGAACACGGGGGTGGATAGTCAAAATAATCAGAGTGGATGAAATCTCCTGAAGATAATGTATGGGTGGGCACAGGAATAGCAACATACTGATAAAACCCTGGAGAATGCCATTCTTTAAAGAAAGATGGTAGAGAAAGATGAGCCTATGAAAAGTCCACCAAAGCAAAGGACAGCAAATTATAAGAATGAACAGGAGAGAGTGATGTCAAAGGAGCTAAATAAAGATGTTCATTGGACTTACAAATTTAGAAGTCACTTTGCCACTGTGAGTAGTAGTTACAGTGAGGTGGTAGACTGGTGGTGTGAAGGCTGAGGGAATAAGCACCAAAGAACGGCAGTGAGTTGAGTAAATAATAAGTGGAGACAGTAAGAGTGTACTACATTTTAAAAATAACTTGGTTAAGAAGGGAAGGGGAGAATGTAGGAGTTAAAGGAGAACTCAGGGTTACAGGAGGATTTAGTTAAACCAAGATACTTGGTAGTAATCCACATCTGATGGCCAAATTTTTCTTGATGAAATCACAAAGGAGCTTGTCTGAGAAGTGTGAAGAGAAGGAGTGTAGCGGGGGAAGAGAGTCTTGAAGAATGATATAGGTTTAAAATTGTCGCTAAGGGGAAAGTGAAGGAAAAGGAAACAGATTAAGTAGGACTAAAGGTCCAAAGAGGTTAGGTACCAAGACTCTGAAAACATACCCAATCTCTATAGTTTATAATTTTCCACAGCATCACTCAGTAGGCTTTATGCAGAAGTAGAAAATGTATAGGGTGGAACTGATCCAGGGTTGAAATCCTGCTACTAGGGAGTGAGAGAATAACAATGAGGTACAAGTAAGCTTTCCAGAAGGTTGTTACAGCATTAAGGTGTGAGGTGATGGTAGTAGAAATGTAATGAATGGCTACAGAAAGGAGAAATAGTTCTAAGATTTGATAAGATTTGCTAATGGATAGGATATAGATAATTAAGTAGTCAAAGACAGCCTCAAAGATTCAAGTGTAGGTGACTAATAAACATTGGAACTACTAGCAAAGACAGAAAACTTGGGAAATTCAAGTTGACTGTAGAGATTATTAATTCCGTTTTAGGTATGTTGAGTTATAGGTGAAGGTGAGGCATCTGAGTGCAATAATGGGGCCAAAAATTAGTAAGATAAACAAAACAAATATAATAAATAAAAAATACATACATACTTTAGTTCCATATCGTTATGGTAGCCATTCCTGTGCTAATAAGATCTGAGCTGGATGAGGGACATGAAGAAAGCAGTGAGAATGATGAAGAAAAAGAGAAAGATTAGATATGGGAGAAACATATATAAACAATAGCAGATGGAGAGGAAGGCAGACAGAAGAAAATGGGTGATGAGTGAAACAGTTAAGGTGGCATATGTTAAATTATTACCACTTACTCACTTGTAATGAGGGCATCTGCTGTTACTGTTCTTTGAAATTGTCATTAGCTAGTTAAAATTCTCCAGGTATTTTTTAATGTTCAAATGTTTACTGCTCTCAAAATGAAAGAGCCAAGGTAGGGTTGAAAAATCTATTGAGCTCTAGCTTCAGAGGCTAATGTAAAGTGATTCCAATGACTGGATTAAATTATGCTGATGATCATGCCCTCTCCTCCACCATCAGATGATAATTTCACCAAAATCCTTCTTTCATCATTCTAATAACATTAAAACTTCAGGGTGCCAAAATGGCCCCCCAATTTAGAAGTGACAGGAGTGCACACACTTCTCATAGTTAACTCAGTTCAAATTTACCTAATGCTAGAAAATTAGAAGCCCCTTATTTCAGATACACTCAACCTAGCAACAGGAAAAATACCTTAACAAGTGAAAGTTGTCATTTCTCTGAACATATACTCCTACTTTCAGAAGCCCTAGCACTTGTATTTCTACACTTGCCTAAATCAACATTCTTCATAATCCTAGATAAAAACACGTATCTCTATGTAACTTTCTGGGATATGCTGAATCACACTAAGTAGAAACCTGAAAGAGTAGAAAACAGGATAAGCACTCAACAAATAAAGATAATTAATAGTTATCTGATGCATGTATTAAGCTAATCTCTATTGAAGTGGTCCTATTTCTGTGCGAGTTTCTATCTATAGCACTGGAAATATAGATGAATTAGATGAAGTCCCTTGCCTCAAAGACCTTACATTCTAATTGGAGACAGACACATGCAGAGATACTTAGAAATGCAGGTTAAGGAAGCACATAAGATTAACCCTGAAGTAATTGAATGAGGGGGAGTTAGCCAGGGGAAGTGTTATAGGGATATTCCAGACAAAGTGGCAGCATGAACGAGGGCACAGACACAAAAAACAGGGTAATAGTTTCTGGCAACCATATGTAGTTTGCAGGTACTGACCCACATAGATCATGCCAGGAAGTAGCAGGGGATAAGCCTGGAGAAGGCAGGCAGAAACAAGATGGTGGAGAGCTATGAAGCTTAGATTTTATATTTAGAAGATGAAGGAATAATGAAGGGTTTTAAAGAAGGGGAATGACATGGAAATACTTACACTTTAAGTCAAACACTCTAGTGGTTAAATTGGGGGTGGGTTTGGGGAAACAAAACTGGAGGCAGAAAGAGTAGTTAGGAGGTTGTGGCAATCACTTCTCAAAACTTATTCAGTACAAATCACCTACAGATCTTGTTAAAATGCAGATTCTGATTCCGTAGGTCTGCAGTGGGGCCTGAGAGTCCTTGTTCTAACAAGTTCCCAGGTGATGCCAATGGTGTTGATCCACAACCCACACACTGAGTAGCAAACCTCTAGGAAAGATCTTGAGGACCTGAACTAATGTGGGAAGCGCAGGGCTGGAGATAAGGGGAGAGTAGTATTCAGGAGGTAGAAGAGTCACAGCTTGGTGCTTCATTAAATATATGAAGTTAAGAAGGTGGTGTTTGGGGGTTCATAGTTACCTGTGGGTTTCTACTTTGAATGACTAGGTGGATTTGAAATGGCTATGAGGCATCCAGGTGAAGCAGTAGCTGCCATTTGGATATGTGAATCTAATACTTGACAGAAAGGTCATAAGCATACAGATGAGAAATGAAATCAGGGAAATAGAAATCGTGTTTGTAGAGTAAGGTCAAGGATGAAACCATGGGAATACCTACATTTAGGTAATGAATAAAAAAAGAGCCCATAGAGAAAACAAAAAAGAAACAGAAATAGAGAAGAACCAGAGCATAAAGAGTTACATATGACAAAGAATAGAGCTTCAAGGAGGAGAGAAGAATGAACATTTTCACATGAAGGAGAAAGGCTGGGTAAAGAAAGAACTGAAAAATAATAGTGAGTGGAGGAAAAGAAGTGGGTGGAAGAGAGAATATGAAAGGGGAATAAAATACACTAGTAGTGAGAAGGTGCCTGTGGGGGGAAAAATGAAAAAAAAATATGGTTAGAAGAGCAAGTGGATCACTCCAGTCAGGATCAGTCTCTTTACTGTGCCTGAATTCTTGCCACTCTTAGCTCCAAGCCCTTTGGTTCATCCTTTCTTCTTCCCACTTCTATCCACTGAAAATCATCTAAATATATGAAGATTTTTCTGGACCATTATGCTTCACTTATCTAGTTACCAAAAATATGTACACAAAAATGCGCCTGTCGGCTCTTGCAATGAAGTATTATTATTAACCTAACTAGTTTACACGCTCGCTCCTTTAGGGAACTGTATTCCCAAGAGTGACTAGCCTAGCACCAAAGAGACACTTAAAACATACTTAGTAAGAATGATATAACCACATGATATTAATTTAAAATGCTTCCTTATGTATATACCTAAGGATCCTTATTTACCTAAAATAACATGAAACCATGAGAATTCCTATGTTTGATTCTAAAATTAAGAGGGGTCATCTAAACCATTCAGGTTCTCATTTCCTAGGAAATGAACAGATCAAGTTAGATGGACTTGTAAGTCCTTATAAAATTCTATGATTCCATGAATACTATCAACCTCTCACTCAAGAAGAGTAAAATGGTATGTAAATAAGCTAGTATGTTTTATAAAACACAAACTTCCTATGAAAAAGTTTTGGGATAATTTTATGTTTACCATTTGCATTTGATTTTGCTGGAAGAGATTTCTCTCTTATTTTGTCTAAAAATGTCTCCCTGGCTTCATTTCTTTTGTGTTTTTTTTTTTCCCAACATAATGTTGTTGAGTCATTACTGGACTATTAAAGGAAGCAGGATAGAGCTTGCAAAATTTGTTCGGATTATTCAAACCCAAATCACTGCTGGGAGAGGAAGGCATAGTCTTGTCTTTAATCCCACCTGTAGGAGGCTTGACAGGAAGGGGCTTCAGGAATGTTGACTCTGCAGAAGTAGTAAGAGGCACTCCTGCTGAAATAGTTGTAATAAGAAGTGATAAACACATTTTCAGATATTAGAACTGCATTTATTGTAAACTACTAGGGAAATTTATAATTCTCTAAAAACCCACTCCCTGGACTTTTTTTTTCAACAGACAGCTGCTGGATAAAGCTTCTAAAGTAAAAAAGAATTTCCTTCTGTGAGAATGGAAGTGTGAATATGAATTTGTCACCAAGTTTGATATGAGAAGGAAGTAGTATTCTGTATTAGGCATTGCCTGATTATATTCATATAAAAATCAATGAAAGTATGATAGCCATCTTATGATTCTTTAAAATTAGTGAGGATAAAACATATGATATTAACTTCTAAGTCTTTCTTGAGTAACAAAGTAAGGCGTCTATTCATTCTACATTTGTGATGTCTGCATCAGAATAAAATCTATGCAGTTGTTTAAGACTATAAAACTATACATGTTCCTACAATTCCAGTATTTCATAGCTCTTTTATTTATCCTCCTCTCTGAGCCCAAGTTGATAAATTTTGGGACTGAAGATAAAGCTTTTATAAGATGTTTTTTCTTTTAGGGCACACTGATTCTGTCTATCTTTTGAATGACAGGCAGAAAAAATGTATAAAAATTAGAGACTAAATTTAAAAAAATAATTCTGGCTTCATTTATTAAGAAAATAAAAGTTTTAATAACATATCTTGTGGCATTGACTTTGCTGGGTGACTATGAGTTCAAAATTGATGAGTTCAAATTATACTATGAGTTCAAAATTGATGTTGGTGAATTTTCCATGGCAGGCATGCCTTAGTCCTAAAGTGTTGAAGCTACAAAGAATGTGGTAAATTATTTACTACAGAGGATTAATCATCTTTTCTTGTTCTAGCACATCCATTTACAAAAATACAAGTTGGGTTTTCCAGGGTATACTCTGCCATCTTGGGCAACTTTGAGTCAGTTTTCTCATATGTGCTGGTGACCCAACATCACCAGGAGAAGGAAAGATGCAATGTTTTTATAATTCCCCCTGTATTTTCAGGATTTAACATAAAATAAGTACTCAGTAACTAACTGATGATGCTGGTAGTACTTCTTATTTATAGGAAGAAAGAAATAGGCTATCATAATAGAAAGAGAGTCAGTAACTTTTTTTTTGCCTACAGTTAGTAGGAAACACATAACTACATTATGGTGAAGACATTGATTTGAACACTCATATGAGATAATGTTTTGGAAAATACTAACGCAAAAAAGACGCCAAGGGGAAGAAGTAAAAAGTGAAGATTTTATTATTTGATTAAAAAATGATGAGTTCATGTCCTTTGTAGGACATGGATGAAATTGGAAATCATCATTGTCAGTAAACTATCGCAAGAACAAAAAACCAAACACCGCATATTCTCACTCATAGGTGGGAATTGAACAATGAGATCACATGGACACAGGAAGGGGAATATCACACTCTGGGGACTGTTGTGGGGTGGGGGGAGGGGGGAGGGATAGTATTGGGAGATATACCTAATGCTAGATGACGAGTTAGTGGGTGCAGCGCACCAGCATGGCACATGTATACATATGTAACTAACCTGCACAATGTGCACATGTACCCTAGAACTTAAAGTATAATAATAAAAAAAAGACATTATAAAAAAAAGAGTAAAGGTGGAACAAAGTGTCTATCTAAAAAAAAAAAAAAAAAAGAAACTGACAAAGCTCCAGCTGCTTACTGTTGTTTCTTTATAGCAGTATAGCAAATCACTTGCTTTTGTTTGAATTTGGTGAACTGAAAAGGAGAGGTCACAACATTTCTTAAAAATCAACTAGCAATTAAAATCTCCATATTAAATGACAAAGACAGACACAGAGATTAACTGGGAAGAAGAATAATAATCAAGTTATTTCAACTGGGGTGAAAGTCTCCCCCACTAAAAAGGATATGGCAGAGTTAGACAAAACATGATAGGTAGATCCTGCATTGAAGATCAAGAGGTGAATGGAACCTTACCCATCTCTGGTTGAAATCCTGATGGAGATGCCTGATCATGTTCCTCCATTAATTGCTTCAGTTTTTTAGCATGGACCTTTCCCACATAGTGAGACTGAGCAATAAGTGGAGAGCTAAACATCATGTTGCAGAGATCACAAAATTTGTTTTTGTCCACTCCTTCATACCTATGCACCTGAAATAGGCACAATCTTGTTAGAAAGATTCAATAACTCAAAGTTTGGATTACAATACCAACACACATCACTCACCTGAAAATTCTCAACATGCATCTTCATTTTCTTACCAGGCACTTCATTTTGTTCCCCATGCATTTGAAAATAAAAACTAACATTTTGAGCATGTTTTTCACCCTGAAAAAAGATATAATATGACTTTGTTTATTCAATAAAAGAGTCATTCAAAATTTACACCTTTCTGAATTTGAGGATGGCATTCATGTGTGTTAATATATTTAGTCAAACTTGGTACAGACTCACATGATTTCAAATCTCTAAATGTCAGTTAAAATGAAAATAATGCTAAATTTAGAAGCCAATAACTTTTAGATTCTTGTTTTTGAAATGGATTCCTAATTGCTGCCCAATATCAAATATCTTCTTTTTACTTAGTTACAGATCTTGAGCAATGTACCCAGTTAAAAGACTATGTTTTTCAGCCTTCCTTTCAGCAAGATGTATCCATGTAACTAGATTCTGGTCAATAAGATATAATTTGAAGTGTTATGTAGAACCTCTGGGAAGCCTCCTTAAATGACTGGGCCATAAGCCCTTATTCTACCCTTCTTCCTTACTGATTTTGGAATTAAGATACAAAGGATGGAGTTTCAACAGTCATCTTTGGACCATGGTGACATTGAGGAGGAAAACCAGTTCATCAGAGCAGAAAGACAGAAAATGCCCGCCAGACGTGGTGGCTCACGCCTGTAATCCCAGCACTTTGCGAGGCTGAGGTGGGCGGATCACAAGGTCAGGAGTTCGAGACCAGCCTGACCAACATGTGAAACCCTGTCTCTACTAAAAATACAAAAATTAGCTGGGCGTGGTGGTGTGCGCCTGTAATCTCAGCTACTCAGGAGGCTGAGGCAGGAGAATCACTTGAACCCGGGAGGTGGAGGTTGCAGCGAGCCGAGATTGCGCCACTGCACTCCAGCCTAGGCGACAGAGACTCTGTCTCAAAAAAAAAATGCCTAGGTCCCTGATAATGTTATAAAGCTGTCATATCAGCCCTCTACTACCTCCCTTGCAAATTCTTTTATGTGAGAAAAGAAATCCTTCTGGGCTTAAGAGACATTAGAAATAATCACTAACAAATATATAACCAAATATGTAAGAATAACTAAGATGTTGGTGTAGGGGGAAGGGAAACTAACATTTCCTGAGCACATAATGTGAGATAATCACTCTCTCTACAGAATTTTATTTATTTTTAAAATTTAATTTAATTATACTTTTCCATAAGTTATTAGGGTACAGGTGGCATTTGGTTACATGAGTAAGTTCTTTAGTGGTGATTTGTGAGGTTTTAGTGCACCCAGCACCCGAGCAGTATACACTGTGCCATATTTGTAGTCTTTTATTCCTCGCCTCCCTTCCACTCTTCCCCCCAAGTCCCCAAAGTCCATTGCATCATTCTTATGCCTTGCATCCTCGTAGCTTAGCTCCCACATATCAGAGAGAACATACGATGTTTGATTTTCCATTCCTGAGTTAGTTCACTTAGAATAATGGTCTCCAATCTCATCCAGATAACTGAAAATGCTGCTAATTCATTCCTTTTTATGGCTGAGTGGTATTCCAGTGTATATATACCACAGTTTCTTTATCCACTCAGTGATTGATGGGCATTTGCGTTGGTTCCACGATTTTGCAATTGTGAATTGTGCTGCTATAAATATGCGTGTGCAAGCATCTTTTTTGAATAATAACTTCTTTTTCTCTGGGTAGATAGCCAGTAGTGGGATTGCTGGATGAAATGATAGTTCTACTCTTAGTTATTTAAGGAATCTCCACAATGTTTTCCATAGTGGCCGTACTAGTTTATATTACCACCAGCAGTGTAGAAGTGTTCCCTGTTCACCACATCCACGCCAACACTACTGTTATTTGATTTTTTTGATTATGGCCATTCTTGCAGGAGTAAGGTGGTATCGCATTGTGGTTTTGATTTGCATTTCCTTGATCATTAGTGACGTGGAGCATTTTTTCTTGTGTTTGTTGGCCATTTGCATATCTTCTTTTGAGAATCATCTATTCATGTCCTTAGCCCACTTTTTGATGGGATTGCTTGTTTCTTACTGATTTGTTTGAGTTTGTTGTAGATTCTGGATATCAGTCCTTTGTCAGATGTATAGATTGTGAAGATCTTCTCCCACTCTGTAGGTTGTCTGTTTGCTCTGCTGACTGTTCCTTTTGGTGTGCAAAAGCTCTTTAGTTTAATTAGGTCTCAGCTATTTATCTTTGTTCTTATTGCATTTGCTTTTGGGTTCTTGGTCATGAAATCCTTGCCTAAGCCAGTATCTAGAAGGGTTTTTCCATTGTTATCATCCAGAATTTTTATAATTTCAAGTCTTAGGTTTAAGTGTTTAATCCATGTTGAGTTGATTTTTGTATAAGGTGAGAGATGAAGATCCGGTTTCATTCTCCTACATGTGGCTAGCCAATTTTCCCAGCACCATTTGTTGAATAGGGTGTCCTTTCCCCAACTGATATTTTTGTTTGCTTTGTTGAAGATCAGTTGGCTTTAAGTATTAGGGTTTATTTCTGAGTTATCTATTATGTTCCATTGGTCTATGTGCCTATTTTTAAACCAGTACCATTCTATTTTGGTGACTATGGCCTTATAGTATAGTTTGAAATCAGGTAGTGTGATGCCTCTAGATTTGTTCTTTTTGCTTAGTCTTGCTTTGGCTATGTGGGCTCTTTTTTGGTTCCATATGAAGTTTAGAATTGTTTTTTATAATTCCGTGAAGAATGATGGTGGTATTTTGATGGGGATTGCACTGAATTTGTAGATTGCTTTTGGCACAGAATTTGTAGATTGCATTTTCACAGTATTGATTCTACCCATCCATGAGCATGGAATATGTTTCCATTTGTTTGTGTCATCTATGATTTCTTTCAGCAGTGTTTTGTAGTTTTCCTTACAGAGATCTTTCGACTCCTTGGTTAGGTATATTCCTAATTTTTTTTTCTTTGCAGCTATTGTAAAAGGGGTTGGGTTCTTGATTTGATTCTCTGCTTGGTCGCTGTTGGTGTATAGAAGAGCTACTGATTTGTGTACATTAATCTTGTATCCAGAAACTTTGCTGAATTCTTTTATCAGTTCTAGGGGCTTTCTGGAGGAGTCTTTAGGGTTTTCAAGGTAAACGATCATATCATCGGCAAACAGTGACAGTTTGACTTCCTCTTTACAGATTTGGATGCCCTTTATTTCTTTCTTTGTCTGATTGCTCTGGTTAGGAATTCCAGTACTATGTTGAAGAGGAGTGGTGAGAGTGGGCATCCTTGTCTTGTTCCATTCCTCAGAGGGAATGCCTTTCAACTTTTCCCTATTCAGTATTATATTAGCTGTGGGTTTGTCATAGATGGTCTACATAATTTTAAAATGTGAAATATACCCATTGTATAGGAAAGAACAGGAAACAATATAATCGAAACCCATACCCACTATTCAGTTTTAACACTTTGTTGCATTTCTCTCAAATTTCCTTTAAAAGAGGTAAAATTTTACAGATATAATCCTATACCCTCATGCTCACAATCCTTTCTTCCTCTCTCTCTCTTAAAGTTGGTGTACCTGATTTCCTTTCATGCTTTTATTCCTTTACTACACATACATATCCATAAATAGTTTTATATATTACTATCTTGTAAAAATTGATTATAAAAAGTGGAATCATTTGATACATATTCTTTCCAAATTGCTTTTTAAAACTCAGTATTTTATTTATGAGATTTATTGATATTGATACATATAGCTCTAGTTCATTCATGCTATAATATTCTACTCCATATGCTACCTATCCAGTTCCCTGTTTAGGACAATTATGTTTCAGTTTATTTTGCTAACACAAGCATTGCTGCAATTAACATATATAAATAGATCTCCCAATATACATGTTCAAAAGTTCCTTTAGAATAGATACCTAGAAGTGGAATTCTTGGCCTATAAGGAGTGTGGATTTTCAACTTTACCAGGTATAAAATTTTGAAGCAGTTTACATCTCCAAATGCAGCAATGAGAGTGTTTCCCTATATTATCTTGAAGTGTTAAGTGTTATTAGATTTTAATTTTTGCCAGTATTATGGTTCTTATATGATAGTTTATTATTTTAACTTGCATGTCCTGTGTGATCACTAGTGAAGCTGAGTATCTATTCTATGGACTGTTCACATCACTTTCCCATTTTTCTATTTGCTTCTTGTTCTAATTGATTTGTAGTCCTTTCTGTATTCTAGACACGAATCCTTCGTTAGTTATATAGGTTATAGATATCAACTAATGTGTGGCATATATTTTTAATTTAGTTTATGATTTAAAAATTTTTAATGTCATATAAATTTCTTCTACAGATATTGTGACTCATTTGAAAGCTGTGACTTATTTTAAAGGTGAAATTGTTGTAGATATAGGAAACCAGGCTAATACAATAAAACAGGATAAAAGCCTCAAAACAAACCAATATATATGTGGAAATTAGCATACAATAGAGGTGCCACTACAAATCAATGAGGTAAGGGTGGACTATACAATAAATAGTGCTGGAACAACTGGCTATCCATATGAAAAACCTGTTGTCACCCTCCATACACGAAAATCAATACCAGATGAATTATAACATAAGAAGTAAATCTTCAAAGTTTTAGAAGAAAATAGAGGAAAGTATATGACAAAAGTGTATAGAATGGTTTATTAAACACATAAGCACAGACACAAAAGAAATATTAATAAATACAACCTCATTAAAATTCAAAACTTCTGCAATACTGTTATATTTTACAATACTATACTGAGAGTCTGTATATCTTTTTTGTAAAAATGCATGTGTATATGTGTGTGTGTGTGTTCAGAAATCATATTGGAATCACAGAAGCAAAAGAGAAATTCAATAATGGTTAACTACAAGTGATAGAATTATAATTTATATCTATTTTCTTGTATTTTTGCCTATTTTCTAGACTGAATAGTGCTTTATGATTCCATAAAAAGCTGTTTTTCCAATATAAATTAAAATGGTCCAAATGGATAAATTGTAGTTATCACAGAGCCCCTTGACTGTCTGTCTCTGTTACTAATTCTAAATCTTTGATCTATGGAGTCTAAAGATGTGCTAGGCACTCTCACACATTTGATTTCACTTAATTCTCACAAGTATAGTAAGAGGTTTTTACCACTCTCACTTTACAGGTCCAAGAAACATGCTCAGAAAGGTAAAGTGACTTGCCAAAGCTTATGTAACTAGTCAATGGTGGAATTAAGACTTAACCCTACCTCCTCTCAATCCACAGTCACACAATTTCCCTATCTGTAATTATAGTAAATTAATTTCAACCAACATTAGGATTAAAATATAATTACCAATAAGATTAGCAATGGGAAGAACAAGATGAGATGTTTAAAAAAGTAGAACTGGCATTACATTAGTTTTAAATGAATGTATCTAGTATTTTTGGTAACCTAGATACCAGATATGAAAGAAATCCAACAGCTCATCAGATAATGTAGAAACATGAAGCAACACCAAATGAAGGGAAAGAACACTGGATATGAAATAAGAAGAAATCATTTTTAGGCTTAGTCATACCAGTGATTAGCCATGGAGAAGTATTAATCCTCTTGGTCTCAGTTTTCTAATCTATAAACTAAGAGAGTAAGGACATTAAACATTCTCTATTTTAGCTCTAGGATTCTACATTCCTGTGTCTAAAAACATGTGGTTCAATCAAGTGCAAGACTGGTTCGTTTTGTTTTTATAGTCTTCATTTGCTGTTAAGGAAGACTCTGGGAGTTCTACATAATATCCCTTGATTCACATTAATAGTTTCCTATGCAAGCTTCATAATGCCTCACTTATATTTAATACAAGGGTGGATGGCTTGATGGATGCAAAGGGAGTGGTGTGAAGAGAAGAAAACAAGCTTTGGAGTAAAAGACTGAGTTTAAATCTGAATTCCCCAAACTTAAAGTAGTATATTACCATCCCTTTCTGAGCCAATCTCCTCATCCATCAAAGGAAAATACTACTACCTTTTTCACAGGATTCTCATAAGAATCAAGTAAGATGACTTACAGGAAGTTTACTTGCTACATTTAAAAACCTGCTTTAGACCCTACTTCCATTATTTTTAACCTACCTCATAATGTGAAATTCTTTGTGATTCAAACTGTAGCATCACTCCACATACTTGACAAAACTTATCTGTAAAAAGTTCAGCCTTTTCCTGTTCATTCCAAATGGCGTCTGTGAATAAAAAAGGGAAGACAAATATATCACATTAATAAATATTTAGAGGTATCATTTTTCATTCCTCAACTATATATGATTTCATATGATACTTCAAATTTGAGTGCTTGTGAGGCTACAGTAACAGCTTTTTGTTCGAGTGTGCAATTTAATATGCACATACTAAGTATCCCTCTAATGTCAGATATGGCAAGAGTTATTTTAGTATGATAAGTCTAGGCAATGGCATTCTAAAGGAATCATTATGGGGGCACCAGTAACTTCATGAGCTTCATGGAATGACTTGGGACACCAGTAATTAAAGGCTGGATTTAAAAACCCAGCCTTGGCCAGGTGCGGTGGCTCATGCCTGTAATCCCAGCACTTTGGGAGGCTGAGGTAGGAGGACCACTTGAGGTCAGGAGTTTGAGAACAGCCTGGGCAACATAGCAAGACACAATCTCTAAAAAAAAAATTAGAAATAAAAATTAGCTGGGCATGGTGGCATGCGCCTGTGGTCCTAGCTACTCCGGAGGCTGAGATGATCACTTGAGCCCAGGAGGTCGAGGCTGCAGTGAGCTATGATTGTGCCTTCCAGCCTGAGCTACAGCAAGACACTGTTTCAAACAAACAAACAAAAAACAAACCTGAAAACCAACCAAACAAACAAAAAACAGCCTTGATATTTTATGTTTAACAGCAGACAATCCTAAGAAATGCTTTGTTTTAGGACTGTCATTTGTCACAGGATTCTCGTTAAGAATCAAGAGATTTTTACCACTCTCATTTTACAGGTCCAAGAAACATGAAGCTATGCCTTCAATGTTATCTAGAAATCACAAGGAACCACAAACTATCTTTGCCCATAGTGGGCAAACATCCTTCATCATTGTACAAACACTAGCCTACTAATGTGGCCAAACAAGTCTCACACAAGCCTCTCAAAGCTATAATGTAATGTTCATATACATATCTAGAAATGTATGCTATAGTGTTTCTCACTGTAATAAATAAGGGGACATGCCAAAACTTTCTGCATTTACACTTGAGGTCTATAGTGTCATCTAAAATTCTTAAGAATTACAATGTATTCTGCCAAAGTTTATCCATTTTTTATACAGTATGAGTCACAAACATCAAAATTCTCATTGCTATTTGGCTATCAAAGTGAATAAGTTGGTACACATGCTTTCACAGAGAGATGCCAATTGCTTATTAAATGAATAAAAAGCTGTAGAACAAATACAATACATCCAATTCCCAATACTAACAAAAATTAAATATATGCACATATATGCACAGAAAAATCTGGAATAAAATAAACCGAATTTAAAAATGGTTAACTCTGGTAGGTAGGCCTAGAAAAGGAACAAGGAGAGACAACTTAATGTTTAACTTTCTGTACAACTGTCTTAATTTTTGCAGAAAAGAATGCAGGACTTTCTAATTAAAAAACTATTAGGACGGACATCATCAAGATGGTAGAATAGGACTCTTCAGCACTCATCTCTCTACAGAAACATCAATTAAAATAACTATCCACAAATGAAAATATCTTCACAAGAGCCAAAAAACTAAAAAAAAAAAAAAAAACAAATATGTAGGAGATTATATCAGCACCTGGGTGTAGCACAGAAATAAGGTGCATTCAAGAAGGTAGGAAAGAGAGTTTTACACTATCAGCATCAGCCCCCTACCAAGCCCAGCATAGAGTGGAGAGAGATACCCTCTGTGTGAGAGAAGGAGAGGGAAGTGAGCACTGAACTTTAATTCCAACTCCAAAACTGGACCCACCCCAGTAATATCCAGTGCTAGGAAGGCCCCCACAGCCCCAGACTTCAGGACAGTACCAGTGGACTCAGCCTCCAGGCCTGCTCCAGTGCCAAGCCGAATCATTCAACCCCAAGCTCCAGGCCTGCACAGTGGACTTGGTCTCCAGGTTACTCCAACATCAGGCCAACCTCAGCAGTACCATGTCCTCGACCATCTCCAGCATTGGACTAGCTCCCAAGGCTCCTGGCTTCAGGCCAGGGTCAGCTCCAGCACCCGGCCAACTCCCACAGCCCTAGTCATAAGGCTGGCACCTGCAGACTCAGCCTCCAGGCCAGCCCCTGGAGGGAGCTAATATAGGCCCCAAGAGGCTGGTACCCACAGACTGAGCCTCCAGTCCCACCCCAGAACCAGGCAGGATCCCACAGCCCTGCCCTCCAGGCTGGCACCTGTAGCTCTTGCTGGAGCTCCTGCATCTCAGTGTTCCAGCAGACCCAGGGCCCACCCAGGCCAGTTCCAGTAGACCACAGTGCTCGGCTTGCCCCCGTGGACCCAGGTGCCAGGACCATCCCTGTGTGCCCAGGTCCCAGGCTGGCCCTGTGGCTCCAAGACCCACATTAGCCCCCAGGGACCTAGCCTCTAAGCTAGCCCTTGCACACCCAGCCTCCAGGCTTGCTTCTGCAGACTCAGGCTCCAGGCCAGCCCAAGTAGCTCCAGGCATTGGGCTAGCATCCACAATCCTGGACTCCAGATGAGACTCTGGTTACAAGTTCCACACTGGTCTCAGCACCAGGCCCCAGGCTCCAGAGGACCCAGGCTCCAGGCTTATTCTAGAAGACCCAGGGTCCATGCCCACTCCTGTAGACCCCAGTACCAGGCAGGACCCCTTGGACTGAGGCTCCAAGACCACCCCTGCAGACTCAGGCTCCAGGTCTATCTCAGTGATCCCAGGAACCAGGCACCTCAGTGATCATTTCAATAATCCAAGACACCCCAGTGCTAGGCTAGCCTCCATGGACTCAAGCTCCAGGCCCATGCCAGTGGACCTAGGTGTCAGGCCCATCCAGTGTTCAGCCATCTCCTATAGACTCAGGTTCAAGGCCTACCCCAGCACCAGGTGAGCCCCTGTGGACCAGGCTTCAGGTTGGCAGGTTGGCTCCTGTGGATACAGGCTCCAGGCCTGCCCTCGTCAACACAGGCTGTAGGTCCATTCCTCAAGACCCAATCAACAGGTCCATCCCAGTGGATTCAGGCTTCAGGCCCAACCCTGAAGACCCAGATACCAGGGCCAGCAAGCGTATCAGGGATCATACCAGATGGCCTGCCCGGGAATCTCTGGATGGGCTGACTGGTGAAGGGCTTTCCCAGAAAAATTAAGTCTGCAAAAATTGGAATAAGTCCTTACGTTTCTTTAAATGTGCAGACATTAATGTAAGGCAATGAGAAACATGAAAAACCAAGAGACATAGCACCACCACAAGAACACAGTTTCTTAGTAGCTAACCTCTATACAAACGGTCTGACAAAGATTCAAAATAACTGTTTTTAGAAATCTCAATGAACTTCAAAAAAATAGAGAATTTAATGAAATCAAGAAAACAATAAATGATCAAATTAGACATTTAACAGAGGGACTGAAATTATATTTTAAAAGTATCAAATAAATTCTGGAGCTTAAAAATACAATGAATGAAATGAAAAATGTAATAGCATCAACCTCAGAATTGATCAGGCAAAAGAAATAATCTATGAACTCAAAGATAAGCTATTTGAAAATATACCGTAAGAGGAAAAAAAAAGAAAAGAATGAAAAGGAAAAACTAAAACAGAGCAGGAGTACCTATACCTATACCTATATTAGATAGAAACCGTTGAAGATATTTATTTTAAAAGTTATGTTAGATATCTTCACCTAAGTTAATTTTCAATATCATTACATGGACTAAAAAGGCTTACTTTTAAAAGTGCATACTCAAGAATAAATGTAACTAGAAACGTGTAAAAAATAACAATGAATAGTTACAAATTTATCTCTACTACATATAGTATCACCTCAATTATTTTTGAGATTGTTTTAGAATATGTGATTTATCTAACTTCGATTCTAACATCAGCAGTGTAAATAAGTTAATTAAAATGCATTTCATGACTTCCCTTTTTCAGGATTAACTACTACGTGCAAATTGAGCATAGTGGTATAATCTTGAACTTCCCATCCATTAAAATCTTTAATACGAATAAGTAAATATAGAAGGCAAAGCAAGATGGCAGAACAGAAAGCTCTACTGATTGTCCCCCAACCCCACAAGGACACCAAGTTAACAACTATCTACACAGAAAAAAATACCTTCACAAGAACCAAAAATCAGGTGAGAGCTCAAAGCACCCAATTTTAACTTCAGATCACTGAAAGAGGCACTTAAGAGATAGAAAAAAAAAGGTCCTGAATAGCTGATGCCACCCCTCCCCCATCCCTGCAGCTGCAGCCTGGTGCAGAGAGCATTTCTGGATGCTGGAAGGGAGAACACAGCAATTCTTAGGCAGTGAACTCGGTGCTATCCTGTTAGAGCAGAAAGGAAAAGCAGACCAAACTCAGCTGGTACCCAACCAGGGAAGGATCATTTAAACCAGCCCTAGCCAGAGAGGAGTTGTTCATCCCAGTGGTTCAAAGTTGAGTGTCTGCAAACCTTACCTCTGAGGGCCAAAGTGCTCTCAGTCTCTAAGTAAACCTGAAAGGCAGTCTAGGCAATAGGTACCGCAATTCGTAGGCGAGTCCTAGGGCTGAACTAGGCCCAGAGACAGTGGACTGGGGTGAGGGGGCAGGGCACATGACATACTGAGACACCAGCTGGGGCAGCCAAGGAAGGACTGAAATCACCCCTCCCTTAATCCCAGGCTACATGGTTTGAGGCTCCAAAAGAGACCTCTTCCTTCTGCTTGAGGAGAGGAGAGGTAAGAGAGGAGAGGACTTTGCCTTGCATCTTGGTTACCAGCTCAGCCACACAAGGATAGAGCACCAGTCAGAGCTGTGAGGACCCTGTTCCAGGCCATAGCTCCCAGATGACATTTCAAGACACACCCTGAGCCAGAAAGGTATTCCCTGACTTGAAGGAAAGGACCCAATCCTTACAGCGTTCATCATCTGCTAACTGAAGAGCCCTTGGGACCTGAATAACCAGCAGTGATACCCAGGAACTACCTTGAGGGCCTTGTTGAGCCTCTGACACTTGCTGGCTTCAGGTGGGGCTCAGCAAATTACCAGCTGTGGTGCTATGGGGCAAAACTCCTTCTCCTTTAGAAAAGCAGAGGGAAAAGTAAAGAGGACTTTGTCTTACCCCTTAGGTACCAACACCACCACAGTGGGGTAGGGCATCAAGCGGGCTCCTGGGGTCCCTGATTCTAGAGTTGACTGTTGGACAGCATTTCTGGGACTGCCCTGGGCCAGAGGCGAGCTCACAGCGCTGAAATGTGAGTCCCAAGCCAGGCAGCATTCACAAGTGCACTTAAGAGCCCCTGTGCCTTAAGGGAACACCAGTGGTAATCTGGCAGTACACCTTGCCTTGTGGCCAGGGGTGGCCGTGGCTATGGGGTGAGGCTACTCTGCCTTTGGAAAGTGAAGGAAGGATAAGAAAGACTGAGTCTTGTGGTTTGAGTACCAGCTCAGCTGCAATACAATAGAATACCAGGTAGACTTCTAAGGTTTTTTTAACTCTAGTCGCTGACTCCCAAACAACACTTCTAGACTCACCCAGAGATTAGGGGACCTCGCCACCCTGAAAGGAAAGGCACAGGCCTGGCTGGCTTTGCTACTTGTGGATTGTAGAGCCCCAGGGCCTTGAGAAAACATAGGCAGTAGTAAGGGAGTGGTTACAATGGGCCTTAGGCAAGACTCAGCTCTGTGCTGGCTTCAGGTGTGACCCAGCATAGTCACAGTGGTGGTGGCCACAGGGATGCTTCTGTCAATCCATCCCCTGATTTAGGTGACTCAGAACAGACAGAGACTCTGTAAGTTTGGGAGAAAGTAAGGTAAGAGAAAAAGAGTATCTGCCTGGTCATATAGAGAATTCTCCCAGATCATGTTCAAGACCATCAGGGCAGCACCTCTATGAGTCTGCGAGAACCACAGTGTTACAGGGCCTGGGTGCCCCAGAAAGAAGACACAGCTTAGATCACAACACCCAGGTCCTTTCAAATATCTGGTAAGCCTTCACAAGAAGGACAGCTACAAATAAGCCCAGACAGTGAAGACTACATTAAATGCCTAACTCTTTGATGCCCAGACACCAAAGAACATCTACTAGCATCAACACCATTCCGAAAAACATGACCTCACCAAATAAACTTAAAAAGGCACCAGGGACCAATCCTGGAGAAACAGAAACATGTGGACTTTCACAGAGAGAATTCAAAGTAGCTGTGTTGAGGAAACTCAAAGAAATTCAAGATAACAGAGAGAAGGAATTCAGAATTGTATCAGATAAATTTAACAAAGAGATTGAAATAATTAAAAAGAATCAGGCAGAAATACTGGAGCTGAAAAATCAACTGGCATACTGAAGAATGAATCAGAGTCCTTTAATAGCAGAACAGATAAAGCAGAAGAAAGAATTAGTGAGCTTGAAGATAGGCTACTTGAAAATACACAGAGGAGACAAAAGAAAAAAGAATAAAAAACAATGACACACACCTACAGGAACTAGAAAATAGATTGAAAAAGGCAAATCTATGAGTTGTTGGCCTGAAAGAGGAGGTAGAGAAAGAAATTAGGTAGAAAGCTTATTCAAAGGGATAATAATGAGAACTTCTGAAATCTAGATAAAGATATCAATATCCAAGTACAAGAACATTATAGAACACCAAGCAGATTTAATTCAAAGACGACTACCCCAAGGCATTTAATAATCAAGTACCCAAAGGTCAAGAATAAAGAAAGGATCCTAAAAACAGCAAGAGAAAAGAAAAAAATAACATACAATGGAGCTCCAATATGTCAGGCAGCAGACTTTTCAATGGAAACCTTACAGGATAGAAGAGAGTGGCATCACATATTTAAATGCTAAAGAAAAAAAAAGCCCTTTTACCCTAGAATAGTATATTCAGTGAAAATATCCCTTAAACATGAAGGAGAAGTACTTTCCAAGACAAACAAATGCTGACGGATTTCATCAATACCAGACCTGTGCTAAAAGAAATGCTAAAGGAAGTACTTCAACCAGAAAGAAAGGGACATTAATGAGCAATAAATAATCACCTGAAGGTACAAAACTCACTAGTAATAGTAAATACACAGAAAACCACAGAATATTATAATACTATAACAGAGGTGTATAAACTACTCTTATCCTAAGTAGAAAGACTGAATAATGAACCAATCAAAAAGAATAACTACAACTTTTCAAGACATAGTACAGTAAGATATAAGTAAAAACAACAAAAAGTTAAAAAGTCACCTCACCCAACAACAGCGAATCCACACAGGGGAGAAGCCCTATGAATGCAATGACTGTAGCAAGGCATTCAGTCACAGCTTGTCCCTCACCAAACATTAGCGAATCCACGCTGGGGAGAAGCCAGCCCTACGAATGCAACCAGTGTGGCAGAGCCTTCAGCCAGCTTGCTCCCCTCATTCAGCATCAGAGGATCCACACAGGAGAGAAACCCTATGAATGTAACCAGTGTGGCAGAGCCTTCGGCCAGAGCTCCCGTCTCATCGAACACCAGAGGATTCACACCAAGGAAAAGCCCTATCGGTGCAATGAGTGTGGGAAATCCTTCAGCCACAGCTCCTTGCTCAGCCAGCATGAAAGGACGCACACTGGGGAAAAGTCCCATGGGTGTCACGATTGCGGAAAGTCCTTTAGGCAGAGCACCCACCTCACTCAGCACCGGAGGATCCACACAGGAGAGAAGCCATATGTGTGCAGGGACTGTGGAAAGGCCCTTACACACAGCTCCTCCCTTACCAAGCACCAGAGAATTCACACTGGATAAACCCACTCCACATGTGCTGGGGACATGGGAAGACCTTAAGCCATAGCTCATCCTTTTCTAGATTTGACTCAATCATACACATGAGAAACGTATATTCATACAAAAGCCTTTTCACACAGCACTCCCCTCAGACACCCTCAGAGAGTTCACACTGATGGGAAATGACCATGGGACCACCAAGCTCTAGGTCATCCATCCCTGCATCCAAATAGTAGGGAAATGTGGAAATAATCAACACTCATGACCTTCAGCCTCGAACACCCATTAGTGCTACATTATAGAACCTACAAAACAGAAATGGAACAAGTGTAGTGGATCCAGGGAAAGCTTTTGTCCAAGGATTCACCGTATTCCAAACCAGAGATGTTCAAATTGGTGAGAAATCCAACAAATGCCTTTCATATATACAAGAACCAAATGAAGTCAGAATTAGCCATTATTGCACATTACATTTTTGGGTGGGGGGGAAGTGCTTATGAACGGTGCAGGTTGACTCTGATATTCATTCCCAAATGACAATATGGCAGAGTGTTCCAGAAATGAGAGTGGCATCTTTATGGAATCACTATGGATACTGACTGTCTCAGTAAAAAGCTGTCTGGTTTGTGTGTATATTGTTTGATCAGGGTACATGGCAGCCAGTTACAGATTGGAATTCCATATGACAAAGTATCAGTGTACTATAAACAGGTTTTTAGTTATCCCTGCATTATTTTTGCAATTAATCTTTATATACAATGAGACTGAAAAGCTTTGTATGGGAAGACTCAAAATGTAAAGCTGCTTCCATAGAGTCTCACTGACTTTGAGATGGCTTTTACTGCTCTGTTCTCCCTCTACATTTCTCTGCAGAACTCGCATTAGCAACACAGATATTTGTTTTACAAAAAGGGAGATTTTTCCTTTGTTAAACCATCATCTTATAAGCAATAGCAAATTCATGTTAGAAAAAAAAAGTGGGGGGATGAAGTTAAGGTGAGTTTTTATTAGTTTTCTTTTTGCTTGTTCATGTAAATAGTGTTAAGTTGTTAGCAGTTTAAAATAATGAGTTGTAAGTTATAAGAAGGTATCTGCAAGCCTCATGGGAACCTCAAACCAAAAAACATACAATAGATACACTAAAAATAAAAAGCAAGAAATTAAATCATATTATCAGAGAAAATCATCTTCACTAGAGGAAGACAGAAATGAAAGAAAGAAGGAAGAGAAGACCACAAAACAACCAGGAAACAAAAATCAAAAGGGAAGAACTAAGTCCTTACTTATCAATAATAATACTGAAGGTAAATGGACTAAACTTCCCCATCAAAAGACACTGACTCACTGAATGGATGAAAAAACAAGACCCACTGATCTGTTGCCTAGAGGAAACATACTTTACCTATACAGACACACAGACTGAAAATGAAAGGATAGAAATAGACATTCCATGCCAATGAAACTAAAACAGAACAGGAGTCACTATACTTAGATCAGACAAAATTGATTTCAAGACCAAAACTGTAAGAAGAGACAAAGAAGGACACTATATGATGATAAAGGGGTCAGTTCAGCCAGAGGGAGGACATAACAATTTTAAATAGATATGCACCCAACACTGCAGTGCCCAGATATATAAAGGAAATATTACTCAAGTGAAAGAGAGAGATAGGCCCCAATACAGTAACAGCTGGAGACTTCAACACCCCACTTTCAGCTTTAGAAAGATCTTCCAGACAGAAAGTCAACAAAGAAACAGCAGATGTAATCTGCACTACGGATGAAATGGATCTAACAGATATTTACAGAACATGTCATGCAACAACCGCAGAATACACATTCTTTTCCTTAGCACATAGGTCTTTCTCAAGAATAGACCATATGTTAGGTCACAAAATAACTCTTAAAACTCTCAAAAAACTGAAATAATATCAAGCATCTTCTCGAACCACAATGGAATAAAACTAGAAATCAATAATAATAGGAATTTTGAAAACTATACAAATACATGGAAATTAAACAATATGCTCCTCAATAACCAGTGGCTCAATGAAGAAATTAAGAAGGATATTGAAAAATTTCTTGAAACAAATAACAGTAGAAACACAACATGCCAAAACCTATGGAATACAGCAAAAGCAGTACTCAGAGGGAAGTTTATAGCTATAAGTCTCTACATTTAAAAAGAGTTTAGAAAAACTTCAAGTAAATAATCAAATGATGGATCTGAAAGAACTAGAAAAAAACAGCAAAACAACCCCCAAATTAGTAGAACAAAAGAAATAATAAATATCAAGCAGAAATAAATGAAATTGAAATTAAAAATACAATACAAAAGACCAATGAAACAAAAAGCTGGGTTTTTTTTGAAAAGTTCAACAAAATTGACAAACCATTAGCCAGACTACTAAGAAAAAAAGCAAGAAGATCCAAATATATCAAATCAGAAATGAAAAAGGAGACATTACAACTGATACCGCAGAAATTCAAAGGATCATTAGTGTCTACTATGAGCAACTATATGCCAGTAATTTGGAAAATCTAGAGGAAATGGACAAATTCCTTGATAGATACAGCTTACTGAAATTGAACCAGGAAGAAATCCAGAACCATTCAGGCCAATAACAAGTAATGAGATAGAAGCCATAATAAAAAAAAATTCTCAGTAAAGAAAAGCCCGGGACCTAATTGCTAAATTCTAGTAAACATTTAAAGAACTACGACCAATCCTACTAAAACTATTCTGAAAAACAGAGGAGGAAGCAATACTTCCAAACTCATTCTATGATGCCAGTATTACCCTGATACCAAAAACAGACAAAGAGACATCCAAAAAAGAAAACTACAGGCCAAGATCTCTGATGAATATTGATGCAAAAATCCTCAACAAAATATAGCAAACAGAATTCAACACTACATTAGAACGATCATTCATCATGACCTAGTAGGATGTTTTTCCCGGGATGCAAGGATGGTTCAACATATACAAATTAATCAATGAGATACATCATAATAATAAAGGATTAAAAACCATATGATCATTTCAATTGATGCTGACAAAGCATTTGATATAATTCAACATTCCTTTGTGATAAAAATCCTCAAAAAACTGGGGATAGATGGAACATACTTCAACATAATAAAAGCCTTATACTACAGACCCACAGCTAGTATTGCAATGAATGGGCAAAAACTGAAAGGTTTTACTCTAAGATCTGGAACTTGACAAGGATGCCCAGTGTCAAAACTGTTATTCAGCATAGTACTAGAAGTCCTAGCTAGAGCAATCAAACAAAAAATATATATATATATATAAAGGGCATCCAAATGGGAAAGGAAGAAGTCAAATTATCCTTGTTTGCAGATGATGATATGACCTTATACTTGGGAAAACCTATAGACTCCACAAGTAAACTATTAGAACTGATAAACAAAATCAGTAAATTTTCAGGAAACAAAATCAACATACAAAAAGGACTAGCATTTCTATATGCCAACAATGAACAATCTGAAAAAGAAACTAAAAAATAACTCAAATGCTTACTTCAGCAGCACATATACTAAAACTGGAATGATACAGAGAAAATTAGCATGGCCCCTGCATATGGATGACACACAAATTCATGAAGCATTCCATAGTTTTAATCTCATGCCAGTCATAATGGTGATTACTAAAAAGTCAAGAAACAACAGATGCTGGCGAGGCTGTGGAGAAATAGGAACACTATTACACTATTGGTGTGAATGCAAATTATTTCAACCATTGTGGAAGACAGTGCAGTGATTCTTAAGGATCTAGAACGAGAAATACCATTTGACCCAGAAATCCCATTACTGGATATATAGCCAAAGGATTATAAATCATTCTGCAGTAAAGACACATGCACATGTATGTTTACTGCAGCACTATTTACAACATCAAAGACATGGAACCAACCCAAATGTCCATCAATGATAGACTGGATAAAGAAAATGTGGTACATATACACCATGGAATACTATGCAGCCACATAAAGGAATGAGATCATGTTCTTTGCAGGGACATGGATGAAGCTGGAAGCCATAATCCTCAGCAAACTAACACATGAACAGAAAACCAAACACCGCATTTCTCACTCATAAGTGGGAGTTGAATAATGAGAACACACGGACACAGTGAGGGGAATAACACACATCGGGGCCAGTTGGGGGGTGGGGGCGAAAGGAGGGAGAGCATTAGGGCAAATAGCTAATACATGCAGGGCTTAAAACCTAGATGATGGGTTGATAGGTCCAGCAAACCATGGCACATATATACCTATGTAACAAACCTACATGTTCTGCACTTGTATTCTGGAATTTAAAGTAAAATTTAAAAAATTTAAAAAATAATCCAATTTACAATAGTCACACATAAAATTAAATACCTAGGCATTAACTTAAGCAAAGAAATGCAAGATCTCTGTAATGAAAACTGTAAAACACTGATGAATTATATTGAAGAGGACACCAAAAAATAGAAAAATATTCCATGTTCATGGATTGGAAGAATCAATATTGTTAAAATCTCCATAGGACCCAAAGCAATCTACAGATTCAAAGCAATCCCTATCAAAACACCAATGACATTCTTCACAGAGATAGAAAAAAAATCTCAAAATTTATATGGAACTACAGAAGACCCAGAATAGCCAAAGTTATCCTAAGTAAAAAGAACAAAACTGGAGGAATTGTTCCTCCATTGCCTGACTTCAAATTATACTACAGAGCTAAAGTAACCAAAACAGTGTGGTACTGGCATAAAAGCAGACACATAGACCAATGGAACAGAATAGAGAACCCAGAAACAAATCCACACACCTACAGTGACCTCATTTTTGAGAAAGGTGCCAAGGACATAATCTGGGGAAAAGATAATCTCATCAATAAACAGTGCTGGGAAAATTGGATATCCATATGCAGAAAAATGCAGCTAGACCCCTATCTCTATATACAAAATTCAAATCAAAATGCATTAAAGACTTAAATGTAAGACCTCAAACCATAAAATTACTACAAGAAAACATTGAGGAAAATCTCCAGGACACTGGTCTTGGCAAAGATTTCTTGAGCAATACCCCACAAGCACAGGCAACAACATAAAAACGGACAAATGGGATCATATCAAGTTAAAAAGCTTCTGCACAGCAAAGGATATAATCAACAAAGTGAAGAGACAATTCACAGAATGGGAGAAAATATTTTCAAACCACCCATCTGATAAAAGATTAGTAACCAGAATATAGAAGGAACTCAAAGAACTCCAATGGAAAAAAATCTAATAATCCAATCAAAACATGGGCAAATGATTTGCATAGACAGTACTCAAAACAAGACATACAAATGGCAAACATGCATATGAAAAGGTGTTCAACATAATTAATCATCAGCAAAATGCAAATCAAAGCTACACGAAATAACATCTCACCCCTGTTAAAATGGCTTATATCTAAAAGACAGGCAATAGCAAATGCTGGCAAGGATGTGGAGAAAAGGGAATCCTCATACACTGTTGGTGGGAATGTAAATTAGTACAACTACTAAGGAGACCAGTTTGGAGGTTCCTCAAAAAAATAAATTGAGCTACCATATGATTCAGCAATCTCACCGCTGGGTATTTACCCCAAAGAAAGGAAATCAGTATATCAAAGAGATATCTGCACTGCTATATTTGTTGCAGCACTGTTTACAATAACTAAAATTTGGAAGCAACCGAAGTGTCCACCAACAGATGAATGGATAAAGAAAATGTGGTACATATACACAATGGAGTACTATTCAGCCATAAAATGAATGAGATTCAGTCATTTGCAACATCATGAATGGAACTGGAGATTATGTTAAGTGAAATAAACCAGGCACAGAAAGACAAACATTGCATATTCTCACTTATTTGTGGGATCTAAAAATCAAAACAACTGAATTCATGGACATACAGATTAGAAGGATAGTTACCAGAGGCTGGGAATAGTAGTGGGGGGTTGGTGGTGAGGTAGAGATGGTTAATGGGCACAAAATAAACAGAATGAATAAGCCTAGTATTTGATAGCACAACAAGGTGCTTATTGTCAGTAATAACCATATATTTTTAAATAATGCAAACAGTAATTGGGTTGTTTGAAACTCAATGGATAAATTAGGGGATGGATACCCCATTCTTCATGATGTGCTTATTTCACACTGCATGCCTGTATCAAAACATCTCATGTATCCTACAAATATATACACCTACTATGTACCCATGAAAAGTAAAGGCCGGGCATGGTGGCTCATGCCTGTGATCCCAGCACTTTGGGAAGCCAAGGTGGGTGGATCACGAGGTCAAGAGATTGACCCATCTTGGCCAACATGGTGAAACCCCATCTCTACTAAAATACACACACACACACACACACACACACACACACACACACAAAAATTAGCTGGGCGTGGTGGTGCGCACCTGTAGTCCCAGCTATTTGGGAGGCTGAGGCAGGGGAATCGCTTGAACCCGGGAGGTGGAGGCTGCAGTGAGCCGAGATTGCGCCACTGCACTCCAGCCTGGTGACAGAGCAAGACTCCATCTCAAAAAAAAAAGTAAAAATTAAAAAGAAAGTAAATAAATATTATTTTTTGATTACAATATAACTTATTACAGAAGAACCATTTCTTTTAAGGAAACAAAAGGAAACTATTAAAGGTTCAAGAATTCCTAAAATTTAACACTTATTTCTCTCCTAGATCAACCCTTAATTCCAGACTTCTCCACTATTAACAGTCAAAGTTTGAAACTGACACTCAAGTTCATAAATATCAATGCTTTTTTTTTTAAACACACCCTTTCATGACTGGGGCTCCAGATCATTTCCATGAAGCCTATGAAAATACTAGTGCTCCTATAACTTTTCGTTTAGAATGGTGTTGCCTAGACTTACTTCCTTTGACTCATTTCCTCAAACAAGTTCTTGGTCTCTCTTTTTTTTTAATCAAATGGCATAATATTCCTAGGATTAAAATCTCAGTCATTCTTCTCCCCAGAAAATTATTGACTCATATCAATTCTAGCTTATAACATTTTTCAACATCTACCTTTTCCTTTTAATTCATAACACTACCTAGTTCAGGCCCTCAGTGTCTTGGGTATCATATAACTTTATTGTTATGTATTGAGCTTAGTTTCAAAGTATTATGGTAGATATTTTTGAGAGATAAGAAAGAACAAACATTTAATGAGGGCCTCTATATGTCAAAAATGATAGATTATCCCTTTAGACCTTAAGACAAATGTGCAAGGTAAGTGGCACATTTGTCTGAATGTTCAAAAATTTTGAAGAAAAGAAAATTAGGATTCAGTGAAATCAAAATAACTTGTCACGTCATTTGGGTTTAGCTGGAACTTAACTTTGCATTATCTTGACTCTTTTCATTATGCATACATAACGGTTCCACATGTTGGAGATGACAAACTACGTGATGCAATTCCTAATTTCATGAAATTGACAATTTAGTAAGGAAGATGAGATGTGTACCGAAAGAACTATGATCCCAAGACCAACATGGTCTAAGTGTTATAAGACACAAGAAGGTACAGTGTGCTCCTGCTGAGGAATTTGGGGGAAAAAAAGGTTTCTGGAGTAGAACTGATTTTGAACGAAACTTTAAAAGATATGTAAAATTCAAACAAAAAGAGTGGAATGAAAGTATTTCAGGGGAGGCAAGAGTATGAAGGACAATAACGGAAAGCTTAGAATAAAGCCAAGTCATGATGGGCTTCACAAGGGCATATGGACTTAACTCTGCATTCAACAGGCGGAAAGGAGTGACTTAAAGTGGGTATATCAGGGGTCAGTTTCAGGCTTCAGGA
Organism: Homo sapiens; assembly: GCF_000001405.40. Lineage (NCBI taxonomy): Eukaryota > Metazoa > Chordata > Mammalia > Primates > Hominidae > Homo > Homo sapiens. Next base: position 101,919,914 of record NC_000023.11, read on the forward strand.
TTGAACCAGAAGAAGGGTAGTGGGCACAGAATGGAAGGAAAGAATAGAAGAGGTATATCAAAACTAGAGAGTATTAAAGCTTGAGTTTAGAACTTGCTATGAATACAACAATCCTTTAGATTTATTACACTTTTTTTTTTTTTTTGAAACAAGGTCCTACCCTTTACTCGGGCTGGAGTGCAGTGGCGCAATCATGGCTCACTGCAGCCTCCCCCTCCTGGGCTAAGCGATTCTCCCACCTCAGCCTCCCATGTAGCTGGGACTACAGGCATACACCACCATGCTCAGCTAATTTTTTTATTTTTTGTAGAGACGGGGTTTCACCATGTTGCCTAGGCTGGTCTCAAACTCCTGGGCTGAAATAATCTGCCTGCCTCTGCCTCTGCCTCCCAATGTACTGGGACTACAGGTGGGAGCCACTGTGCCCAGCCTAGATCTATTACATTTAAGCTTAAGTAATGTTGTTCCTGATGCAGGAGATGGAGCTTTGACTTTACATGAAACAAATTCGTCTACAATTGTCAATGCCAAATTCTCTTTGTGGGTGTAATAAAATAAATATGTTGATGCTCTGATTTCAGTAATTGAAAATTAAAATACATGAAAATATGAAATTATAAAAGATACTGGAGTGATGATTCACATTTACAATGTACTTAAAAGGTAGACTGTGAGTTCTGCAAGGAGAAAATAATGGAAAAAAAAGAAAAATTAAAATGTACTTAAACGGATTTATCCAAATTTTTTCTAAGTAGCATGCTTTCCTAATTCAGTCAAATGGTTTATATCTACTCATATATTCAGGAACAAATCCTAATGTAAAAATAATTAATCAATCAGGGTTTTCTATCACATCCAAACACATAGCTTTTCAAAATCATACATGCTGAATTAAAATCAAAGTATCTGTGGGTGGTTCAATTCATCCATAAGTGATTCTTATGATCAGTTCGGATGGGAATCGTTGCCCTACAGGACAGGCTTAGACTCTTACAGATAACAGCTGTCCAATATCTATTTGGTGACTAAGCTGATTGATATAAAAGTCTTGCCATCTAGAATGGTACTTATCAAGCTAAATTATGCTTTAGTCTAACATGAAGAGATTTTTGAAAAAAAAAAAGGATATATAAATGTACATCTTTTTTGCACTACTTCAAATCTACTTAATTCTCCGAAGTTGAGGCTAAATAATCTGTGCTTTTAGCCTATATTTGGCCGTAATCTCTTAGTCAAACTAGTCATTTGGTTCAACCTTCCACCACGGTTGTTTTCAAGCCTAGCTGCACAGCAGAATCACCAATTAAAACATACCAGTGCCCAGGATCCACTCCAGACTAATTAGAATCTCTGAGAGCGGTTCCCAGTCATATTTTATTATTTGTTTTGTTTCTTAAAGCTTTCCAGGTGATACAACAAGGGTAAGTATAAACCTTCTTCTAAAATGACAATCCTTCAATATTTTAAGACAGCATTATTTATTTAGGACATATTTATTCTTCCCTCCCTCTCTGCCCTATTTGTGAATTAATCCCAGTATGTCATAATTTCTAATCCTTTTTTAGTGTTATTAGTTTGCCTAAATCCCTGCCACTCATAAGGTATAACCTAAACACAATCACTTTAATACTGTAATAACAACAAATAAGTAAAATGGGACCACCTTTTTCACCCTGCTATTAACTAGCTGTGTGACTAAGAACATATCACAGCCTTTCAGATTTCTGTTTCTACCTGACTTTATATGGGTTGATGGAGATCAATGAAAAAATATATTTTAGATGGGAATATATACGGAAGCAAAATTTTGGTGGGGTACTTATTTTTTTAAATTGTGGTAAAATCCATGTAAAATTTACTATCTCAACCATTTTAAGTGTACAGCTCAGTAGTATTAAGTATATTTAACTCCTTATTTTGAGTATTTATCTTCTATTAATACAGTCTACAATAGCTTCACCATTTTTTGGTGGTCATATCATACTGTTGACTCATGCTCAGCTAACTTTCGATTAAATACGTGGTTCTTTTTGATCTAGAACTGGTTAAAATATATCCCTCTAGGACATAGTTAGATAGAAATTCTATTGGATCCCAAACAGATCTAATATATACTTATATTTTTTATTTTAAGTTTCACCTTCTTAGAGTCAAACAACCATTTCCAGGCTTTCAAGATCTTTTTGGATCTTCTAGAATCTGCCACCAGGAGGCTCATGGAAGAGGGGTTTCCACTGAGAACAAATTTATAAAATGGGTGTTGTTTTCCAGAGGCTACTGTACACTGCCACATTCTCCTCAGGTTGCATTTCCTCTAAATTTGACATGAATTTGATGATGTCCACTTTCTAAAAGTCATACCTAAGACTTGGAGAGGTTAAACAGTTTGCCCAAAGTCACACAGTTGATAAGTGTCAAAGCCAGGATTCAAATCTAAGTCTGCCCAAGATTTCCCTGAGCTCACTCTTAGAAAGGCTAGGCCTTTTTTTTTTTTTCCTGAGATGGAATCTTGCTATGTCATCCAGGCTGGAGTGCAGTGGTGTGATCTTGGCTCACTGCAACCTCTGCCTCCGGGGTTCAAGTGATTCTTCTGCCTCAGCCTCCCAAGTAGCTGGACTACAGGCGTGCACCACCATGCCCGACTAATTTTTGTATTTTTAGTAGAGACGGGATTTCATTATGTTGGCCAGGCTGGTCTTAAACTTCTGACCTCAGGTGATCCGCCTGCCTTGGCCTCCCAAAGTGCTGGGATTACAGGCAAGGCTAATCTTAAAAAGAGACTTGATCTCCAGGCTTGACATATGTAAGAAACATATGTCTGATTCACAAGAGATGCTAAATGTTTCTTTCGATCCACCCGACCCCCAACCCCCACTATTTGAGACATGATTTTTGGACTCCCAGAAAAAAATGACCAATAGCCAATTCTGGAAGTCGAGAGGAAACTGGTGACAATACAGATGTCTTTCAGCCTGTTTCAGGGTGACAGCTTAGAGGAAAGGCCAGCCTCAGGGAGCAGATGTTCAATTAGAGGATAGGTGAGCAGATAATGTTGACTGTGAGGAAGATGACTGGGACAGGAACTAATGCTTACTGAGAACTCACTACCTGCCAGGAATAAAACTGTTCTGGCATAGAATTGGGACTTAGGAGCTGATTCTAGTAGAAATGGGAACCAAGGGATAGCTGAAGAAACTTGGGGGCATCTTCCTCTCTTCTCTTCTTTATACTCTCACCATGTCTTTTCTCTTCCTTAACTGATTAGAATATGAAATAAATCTATTTTTATTGGTTGGTTGTTAAGTGTGGGTTTATACTGATTCTTAATTCCAATAGTAAGAGTTGTAAAAAGCATTAGGATGAGAGAGACTGCATTAGTTTTCACCCTGCTATTAACTAGCTGTGTGACTAAGAACATATCACAGCCTTTCAGATTTCTGTTTCTACCTGACTTTATATGGGTTGATGGTGATCAATGAAAAAATATATTTTAGATTGGAATATATACGGAAGCAAAATTTTGGTGGGGTACTTACAGAGGACCCAAACACCTAGCTGCTTCCAAATACGAAGCACAGAAGATGATTTAAAGTTTTAAGCAGCTATACAGTTAACACAAACCTTTAAGGGCCTAAAAAATCAAAGGGTCCCAATATTTCTTCTCTTAATCTTCCATTATCTTTATTTTCTTGTCTATGTCCTAACCCTAAAGCTGGTTCTCTCCAAAATATCTCTTTGTAAAGATCTATGAGGCATTTCTATTACCAAGTGTAATATTTTAATAATTGCAACTAGAGTTAAAAAGAAATTTTTCTGCAAAATTAGTATTTTGGTTATGATTTAGGTACAACAGTTGAGTTTTCCCCAATGATAAATGTACAAAATTCATGGCAGATGGTCTTTTATCTTTCAATCTAATTAAGAAAGAAATTAGGAGAGCTAGGGTTAAAAATATAAACAGATTACACATTAGAATATCAAATGACAACATACTAAATATTGTGAAGTATGATTTCAAGTCTCATCTGGAAAAAATACATGTCTTTGAAAATGGTATGGTAAATACTTCCTGGTTAATTTTAGGCATATTTTTTCAATATTTCTAGCCTAGAATTTTTCAACTGTTCTTCATTCCCTGGTACATTTGAATTTTTTTATGCTACTATAAACTTGGAAAAGAGATAAGGATAGAGGAGCAAGTTTTTTTTTGTTTTTTGAGATGAAGTCTCACTCTGCTGCCCAGGCTGGAGTGCAGTGGTGAGATCTTGGCTCACTGCAACCTCTGCCTCCCGAGTTCAAGTGATTCTCCTGCCTCAGCCTCCCAAGTAGCCAGGATTACAGGCATGTACCACTGTGCCCGGCTAATTTTTGTAATTTTAGTAGAGATGGGGTTTCACCATGTTGGCCAGGCTGGTCTCGAACTCTTGACCACAGGTGATCCACTCATCTCGGCCTCCCAAAGTGCTGGGATTACAGGCGTGAGCCACCGTGCCCGGCCAAGGAGCCTACTTTAGTGAAACTTGGTATTGAGATCTTAATGACACAAAGGCATGCTCTCAAGTATGAAGTGGAATATACCATCTTTAAAATATACAGGAATTTCTGATGCTGATATCATTTATTTCCATTTTAACATGAAACAAAAGCAATGGGGAATAAGAAAGTACTATCAAAACCTAGGTTCAAAATGGGAAGATAACCTATATCTGATAATGAAGTAAGGGTTTAAAAATAATAAGATGTGGAAAAGATAAGACCAATGTTTACTAGATGGTCCCATTTATACTCAGGGTATAAGAGGGTAAAATTGCTTTGCAATGCTGTGCTTTGTGGTAATAAGAAACTATTCAAGTTGCCAACTGTTAACAAATTAAGCATGACTTTTAAATATATATTACTTTCCATAAATACATCAGAAAGTTCTTCAGAGTGGAGAAATATGGTCATATAACAAAACTATGACCTATACGTACAGAGTTTCAATTTGGGATGATGAAAAAGTTCTGGAGATGGACAGTGGTGAAGCTTGCTTGGCAATGTAAATGTAGTTAATGCCACTGAATTTCACACTTAAAATGGCAAAGTTTATGGTGTGCATATTTTACAATAAAACATAAAATAAAATATTGAAAAAAATAAAAGATAAAAGCATCTGAATCACTGCATGAAGGACAGCTGCCCTGCAGAGTCAACCTGCTGCTCAGAGGAAACTGCATGAGCAAGTGATGGTTGTTTTGCTACCATGACATAAACAATCCACTTCTGAATAACATTTATGATGGTTATTTGAAATGAAATGGTAGTTTTGTGACAAATTATAAATGGGATCTGATCAGAGAGCTCATATATTCCAGTAATGTATTTGATTACATTTAAGTGTGGCTTCAGCATTTGGTGGGAGAAATGAATAAACTCCAATTTTCTATAAATAAGAGTGTTTTACCTCTTCATTTCCCTCTTACAAGAAATGTTTTCATGACCTAAGAAAATAAATCTTTCATAATAATTTGTAATGGGGAGAAAAACTATGACCTACAGTACTGGGATGTTGGAAAAAAATAAATAAGATTCTGAGTTGGTCAAACAGATTCAAATCCCATCTTTACCCACAACTATATAGCCTTCAGCAAATTATGTAACCACTATGGACCGTTTTTTATTTCACCTAAAAGGTACAGAAATACAATGTGTAATTTTTAATTCTAGGATTTGGTGAATGTTAAATGAAATAATTTTTAAAATGTTCAACACATGTAGGCACTTGATAAAGTATGCTTGTTCACTAATCCAGAAGCTTTGCATTTTTTACTTAATATTATACATAATCATTTTATTTAGACCAGAGTTATTTTAGAGGTCATCTAGTTCATGGTTTCTGAAACTCGGCACTATTGTCACTTTGGGCTGGATAACTGATTGTGGTGAGGAGCCTGTCCTACGCATTATAGGATATTTGGCAGCATCTTTGGCCTCTGCCAATCAGATGCCGGTAGCATTCCATAGTTGTGACAACCAAAAATATCTCCAGACAACGTCAAATATCCCGTGAGGCAAAACTGCCTCCAGTTTAGAACCAATCCAATGTCCTCATTTCATAAAGGAGGAAGCTAAGGCCCAGAGAGGTAATAGGAATTAAAGAATTGAGGGAGGTAAACTGTAAAACATGATTCTAGACTCAGGTGGATTTGGTCTATCAAAAAATTCTAGTAGTCTGGGAAGAGACAATAGTAATAGAGGGATGTTCTTAAGTCAGTAAGATGCAATTAGGAGTACTAATAGCTCACATTCTATGGACTTGGGCATTACTAAAATTCCTTATGTTGATATAAAATACTCAATTCAGTTTGTACCAGAATATCTGCCTTCAATGATATAAAAAGCAAAGAGATTGACTTGACAGAAACTTACTTTTTAGCTACTTTTGTTGGATTGTGCCTACTCCAAATAGCAGCACTATTATGTGAAAGTAAAGTAACATTAACTTCTGCATTCAAAAGTGCAGCTGAGTGTGAAATCCAAATTATCATATTTGAAATTTTCTAATTAATGCTACTACATAACAACAGGCAATTTAAGATGAAATGCATTTTTATGACAAAAATAAAACATTTATGGCTTGAGTGAGAATAATGAATTTGGTCCACCCATGCTTATGGAATTGTAAACCATGCAGGATCTCTGAGGAAAGGAACCAGAAAATTACCATATTTCTTCAGTTCCGGGCAAGAGAATTCTCTGTTCATTCCAATTAAATGTTCTTTGTTAACCCCCAAGTTTAAGCTATTCAAATTAGGTGACTCTATTTTAGATATAACTGGCTATATTTAATAAAGTGAATCTCACTTGCATTTGTTAAATGACAATTAGGTTGAGTTGCACAAAACCCCAAATTTCCTCCTCAGGATAACCCGTCAGATGTTTATGGGAAAAACTTGCTATTAGATGTTTTAATGCTTTGCTGAAGTGGGAAGTTCACAGGCCAACTGATCTTGATGCAAAAACATCTAGCATTATAAAGGATTCGTTGTATACCCTATTTTAATAAAGTAACAAAAATGGAGCAAACTTCAGGACTGGCTGCAATATCATAAACATAAATCTCATTCTCAGTCACAGATTTCAAGTCAGGCATTACAAAATCTGAGAAATAATCATTTTAATTGTGCAAAGAGCACATGTGCTATATTTTCCATGATTACACTTTTAAACTCCCTCAAGCATTCTTGATTAAATAGAATTAAAAAAAACTGACTTGACCTTTGCAATCTTTTAACACCATCACAATCTTAGAAAAGAATGAGCAGAGCACAGCACTAAGTTATAGGAGACTGGGGAACTGAGTTAACCTACACAAAATGTTTTAACTCTTTTTCCCCTAAAGGTCACACTCTGTTTAAGGAATTTTCATGAATAATAGCTGTGGTAGAAATGCAGATCTGTACCTCTCAGCATGATGACCACTCACAGCTATAATGCTATCTAGTGTCCTTAGTTTTTCAGTTTATAAGACTACCACCTGACTTATGAGTTTGCCAAGTTTTAGCTACTTTACACAGTTATCACAATCAAAGAAATAATGAAGGGTTTCCCATGGCATGTTAACAATTACATATTACAACAGAATTAACAAAATAATTGGGAGTACTAGTTATATGTTTAACATTTACATTGTCTTTATTTAAACCAAGTCCTTTACCTTCATAATCATAAGCACTTTGTAGCTAGCCAGCTCAGGGTTCATGCTTGTGAAGTCAGAAACTGAATTAAGGTACTGTGTAAATCCATTAACACACCTGATCCCATGACAGCTACTTTGCATCAGAAAGCCACCAAATACATGGCATTCATTCCAACAGGTTAGTAAATGTGAATGAATCTGCAAGGCTGGTTTCAGATGAGAAAGAATCAAAGTTTTTATCCTAACTGATATGTAATAAATATAGTAGGGGGTATGCTTAAGTTAGTCTTTACAACAAGCTTAGTTAGTATTTTCACACACTGAAATCTAATAGAGAGGATCACAAACGAACAAATAATAATTTACCTCTCTCCAGATATCTCCACCTGCCAAATGCAGATAATTAAAAACTAATTCTGTAACAGTTTACTATTCTTCCGTCACACCATTAGATTTACAGTATAATTTGCTTCACTGTGCCTGTAGTATATAAAATACTATGAGCTACAGAGTACAGATTTATAATAAACAATGGAATGGTCCTGTGGCTCAGGATTCTGACTAGTAACATTTAAAACTGCATTCCTTCCCTTATTTAAATATTTTATAATTTTACTATCAAGCACTATTATTGAGTTGTTTAGTATAGCTGTGTTTAATTTGTCCGTATATCCTTAACACTAAGCATAGTGCCTGGCACACACACATAGAAGTGTTCAATAAATGATTCCTGAATACATGAAAGGTTACCCACTAGATTTTCTTTTTCTTTCTTTTTTTGTTTGAGATGGGGCATCGCTCTGTTGCCCAGACTGGAGTGCAGTGGCACTATCTCCGGTCACTGCAACCTCCCACTCCCAGGTTCAAGTGATTCTTCTGCCTCAGCCTCCTGAGCAGCTGTGACTATAGGCATGTGCCACCACGCCCGGCTAATTTTTTGTATTTTTAGTACAGACAGGGTTTCACCGTGTTAGCCAGGATGGTCTCCATCTCCTGACCTCGCGATCTGCCCGCCTCCGCCTTCCAAAGTGTTGGGATTACAGGCGTGAGCCTCCGCGCCCAGCCTACCCACTAGATTTTCTTATGGTGGTCTTACTATCATTTGACTTGAAACTTTACTGAATAATATGGAGACAAATGATAGTCTTGTTAGGGCATTGCTACACAAACGGATTAATAGCTAAATAAAAAGCCAGAAGGTCTTCCAATCTAAAACAGGATAAATTTGATATATTTTTTCTTAAAAGGAAGAGGTAAATAAGCAATTTTTTTTTTACTATGAATATATCAGAACATTATTCCTGGGTGAAAATTCATTTTTGAGCCATTAAACATTTTTGAAAAATGAAATATGAAGTGTCCTACAAAATCTCATAATTCCCTTTACTGTGAATTCTGAGTGTATATGTGTCTTTTCAGATGGCATTTCTTTTCTTTCTTTGTTCTATTTCTAGGTTTACTGCTCAATGTCCCATTTGTAATCTTTGAAAGCTTCTAATATTCCGTTTGCTAGTTTCTAATCTCCATTGACATTTGTTCATTATCCACCCCAAGACAGATGAAATCCTCAAGAATAACAGCTACAGTTCAAAATGGATCAGCAAATGCTTTTCCAAACCACTTTTAATGATCCTATAAGGAGTGGATTTGCAATAACTGAATCTTGACAATTCTTTGACATCTTTTAGGGCAATCTCTTTAACTAGGACTTAAACAAGCAAAAGATATTGGCACACCACCAAGTAACATTTTCCTTTCTTCTCCTTTATCTGCCATCATAATTGACAACCATTTATGGCATATATATATATATTCTATATATAGAGAGAGATTATATATATATATATATATATATATATATATATACACACAGAGAGAGAGAGAGAGAGAGAGAGAGAGAGACACACAAATATTTTGAGGCCTAATAGTGTTTCGAACAGTGCAATATATAAAATGTTTGCCATTTGTTAAGTGAAAAGGTGAGAGAATTTTAGTTTGGACTGAATAGTGAATGAAGGATATATAGCTAAAATGAAATGGTAAGAGAGAATTTTTAGGTTAACAATTATATTTGGTTTTTCATATGCTAGTAAATTGTCTCAACACTAACTCAACATAGATCTCATTATTCATTGAATGTCAGGTGATAACTATCAGAAAAGGTTTCTTACGATTTATGAGTTATTGTTCTAGTGCACAGCCATGGAAATGTGATGGAAAGACTATCAATCAGAACAGCAAAATCATGGTTGATACTTTCAGATCTGAAATCAACCCTCGGAGTGTGGGGAGTTTTACTCCCTTATTTCAAAAATGTCAAAACCCAAATCGAGAGGGCATGGGGCCTGTTCAGGGTCACAAAGTCCAGTGAATTAATTAGCAGGTGAACCTATGTTAACTGCATCACACTCCTATGCCAGGGTGCTCCTCATTTTACTGCCTACAGCAATAACATAAGTAAGGTATTGCTCCTACTTTATGAAATTAGCTCTCTGAAAGCCTTTAATATTTGCATATATTAAAAGATACTGCAAACAAACCAGTTGCATCTCCAGGCAAAAAGCCATATTTTTTTTTCCACGAGATACTGGTCTTAAACCTTACTGTGAACAGACGATGAGAGCCAAATTGAATTGTGATCTTGATGCCTATAAAACTGCTCTTGCCTACTAGCTGGTTATGGACATAAAGGTTGATATAAATTTTTAAAATCCAGATTTCATGTTTCCATCCATTAAGGCTGATTGAAGACACTAAATGGAGTCTTTCAAAGGTTGACTTTAGTAAGAGAGTTGATAAATAAAACATTACAGTGTACTTCTAACTTCCATATTTAATAAGTGGCATTTATGTAATGTGCCTATACAAATATTGTAAGGGATTTTTTTTCTACTTTGCCATTCCTCCAAAGTGAAAGGTGTGAAAGGTTATGGAATAGCACACAGGGATATATCATTTAAGAATGTGAAGAAGAGATTATTTTTATGCGATAATTTTAATGGAGTATCTTCCTAAGAAAAAGGAACTTACTTTCCTCTATTTTGGTGTCCACAATCTTTCACTTTGGAGGCAAGTTAGCAACATAAGGTAACACAGCAAATTCTGGAAATTAATTACGAAATTTACATGGCAAAATGCTTTACTGGGATGCTCTGCAGTGGAATGGTCTCCACCAGCTAAGAACATTTCCCAAACTGCTTTAAAACACATTTCAATGGCAAATTTTACAGTTTGCTATTAGTAGGCTGTTTACAAGTATACAGAACTTTGTGTGAATACCGCTTATATTGATACAGTCAAGAAATATCTTTTTATGTTAGGAGTAATATGTGTTGGTAGGTACAACAGAACTTATTAAAGCCAAACCACCTTAAAGATGGACCTGTAAATCTTGCTTTACTAGGTCACATCCTCAAATAGCCAAAGAAAACTCTCCAAAGTGATTCCTGAAATCTGTACTTCTGCCACACTCTCTTCCTCTCTTTCCCTAGTAGAGTCCCCTCCACCAGACCTTACCTTCCTAAAATCCGACAGATCCTACTTTAAAGCTCAAGTATACACTTGTAACCTGCCCAAATTTCTAACGCCATCTCTCTGTAAATATTCTACTTCTAGTTTCTACACTGCAGGACGTTGAACACCAAAGGGGGTTTACTCCCCCTTATTTCTTCGGTATTTCCTCTTTTATCTCCGCCCCTTTCTCCATCGGTCCCCGTTCCCTTATCCTTGACCCTCTTGGCCCACAGCACTTCTATCTTGCCTCCTCTCTCTTCCAAATCACACCTCAGCTTCCTACAGCACACTAAGGTGTCCTGGCTGGGAGAGAAATTATGTGGTATTTTTTTTTCCCTTCAAACTCCTGCCTCATGAGTACCTGCAATTCTTTTGCCTGGGGGCCCCCATCCTTTACAGGTGGGAGAGGTAGGGAAGGCCCTCTCTGCTTCAGTCCATCTTGCACACTCGGGGCTAATACGGCGGGGCGGGGCGGGGCGAGCTTGGCCTTTACTGCGCCACGGCAGGTGGGGGTGGGGCAGTGGCGAACCGCGCCCAGCCCAATCTCGGACGGGCTGAAGAGAGGCAGCGAAGGAGATGGGGCCGCCCCCGCACCCCGGGACGGGAACTCACCTTCTCTGAGGCAAGGGCGGGTGTCTACTTTAAAACTACTGCCCCCCCTCCCCGCCGCCGCCATAGTGGAGCCGCCAAAGCCGCCGCCGCCGCCGTCGCCACAGCCACCGGCAGGCGGGCAGGCAGGGGCGGAGGTGGCGGAGGAGGCAGGAACAATTACTGCCGCCGCCGCCGCCGCCGCCGCCGCTGCCGCGCAGGCGGTGTAGGAGGAGGAGGAGGCGGCAGAGACGGTAGCTTCCTGAGGGGAAGACTCCGCCGCCAGCGGGGTGACTGTGCTCGGCGCCGCCGCCATCGCAGCGAGGCGCGCGGACAATTGCACTTGCGTCTCGATTCCGTTAAGCTCCTTTAGCCCCGCCTTCCGTTAGCCCCACCCCCTTTGTTCCTCTTTTTAACGCTTCAGCTCGAGCCTCGTTCTCGCTCCTCAGTCCACCAATCGGAGAGCTTTAAGCCCGCCGGCCGTTTCCCCCTCCCCCACTGCCTTGCGTCACCCCACCTCCCTTTGGAGGGGAAGCAACGACGGCCAAGGGCAAAGGGCAAAAAGCGCGGGATGTGAAAGCACGTGGGCCTCGCACAGTGAGGCTTCTTTGGAGATCTAATCTAAAACCAATTTAAGAGGAAAAAATGTCTGGAAACTATTGATCTCACCTCCAAAATATCTCTGAAATATATCTTCACCTGGCTTTTTTTTTCTCTTTCTTTTTTTTTTTTTTTTTTTTTTTTTTTGAGGGAGAGTCTCGCCCTGTAGCCCAGGCTGGAGTGCAGTGGTGCGATCTCACTCACTGCTACCTCTGCCTCCCGGGTCCTGGTTCAAGCAATTTTGCCTCAGTGTCCCGAGTAGCTGGGATTACAGGCATGTGCCACCATGCCCAGCTAATTTTTGTATTTTTAGTAGAGATGGGGTTTCACTATGTTAGCCAGGCTAGTCTTGAATTCCTGACCTCATGATCCACCTGTCTCGGCCTCCCAAAGTGCTGGGATTACAGGCGTGAGCCACCACGCCCGGCCCCTGGCTTTCTTAAAGCACTTAGTACAGAGAATAGAACAGAAGCTTTCATTCTGACACATTGTTTCCGTGGCCTCTTAAAGGACTGCCTATCTATCGATCTGCCCATCTTAATTACAATAACTTCCTGTGAATTCAGCACCCAATAGAAGTACTAGAATATTACTGATCACTTAAATCTCATCTTGTCCCCCCAACCTCTCCTCTCAAAGAGACCAATATCCTGATTTATATTTATTATTTCTTTGCATTTTAACATATATTCTTATCACATAGATATGTGCCTAAATAGTGTTGTTTAGTTTTGATTGTTTTCAATTTTCACAAATATTTATATCTTTTTCTAGGTAGCATTCTGGGACTTGTTTCTGCTTTTTTTTCCCTCAAGCAATACTCTTACCTCAGCCTCTGGAGTAGCTGGGATTACAGGAAGGAGCCACCATGCTTGGCCTGGGACTTGTTTCTTTCACGTAACATTCTAAGATTCATCTATGTTGTTGCTTGTAGCTGTAGTTATGCACTGTCGATGCTGTAGGATATCTCACCCTTTTCCTTATTGATGGGCACACCTCCTGGTGCCTTTGTGCAAGTCTCCCTTAAGTATTCTCTCCTTTCCAGTCTTAGATCCGTTGCTGTATTTCAAGTCCTCATGATATATGGTCAGACGTATGGCATCCACCCCACTGGTCTTCTTTCCTCTGATCTCAATCCCTCCAATCTATTACCAAGTTGTTGCCAGTCGTCACTGGCTGTCCAGTGCTTATTGGACAAAGTCAAAAGACACAGTTTTGCCCTGTTAGTCTCCCCATTCACCTCTTTGACCTCATCTCTTTCCACTGTCCCCATCTCTCCCCTCTGCTTTTACTTTGATTTAGCAATCCCTAAATCTTCTTAGATTCCTGTGAAGACCGCCAGGCGCGGTGGTTCACGCCTGTAATCCCAGCACTTTGGGAGGCCGAGGCGGGTGGATCACGAGGTCAGGAGATCGAGACCATCCTGGCTAACACAATGAAACCCTGTCTCTACTAAAAATACAAAAAAATTAGCTGGGCATGGTGGGGGGCGCCTGTAGTCCCAGCTACTCAGGAGGCTGAGGCAGGAGAATGGCTTGAACCTGGGAGGCAGAGCTTGCAGTAAGTCGAGATTGTGCCACTGCACTCCAGCCTGGGCGACAAAGCGAGACTCCATCTCAAAAAAAAAAAAAGATTCCTGTGAAGACCATGTTATTTCATGATGTAATGTTACTATATATGTTCTTCTCTCTTCCTGAAACACCTTTTCCCCCACATTAGGCACTTGCCTAATGAAATCCTATACACCCTTAGAAACCCAGACAACACATCACCTCACCAAGTAACCTGTTCTGTCTCTCCTTAGAGTTAATTTCACCTTCTTCTGTGCTACATCTATATCTGGTGTGTATTTTTATTGTAATGAATTATATACTTTGTACTTCTCAAGAACCTGGGACCATTTGAGACAAAAGACAGCGTCTTATTTTCCATGACTCATGCTCCAGCCCAGTAAAGTCCTAGGACAGAAGTTGAAAGGCAGGGATCCCTAGGCCCAGGTCTCTAAGTCCCTAGATCTGGCTTATGATATGTTTTCTTCTACGTACACAATTGTTTATTCATGACCTCATCAACATTTGAAAGGGGTATTTCATGCAAAATAAAAGTCTCTTAACAACATGAAGATTTGGCAGTACTGGCTGTGCATTCCTGAATGGCTACAGTTGGCTAGAGCTGAATAACCAGTTAGAGAGACTTGGAGTTCTGGGCTTTTAAACACTTATCTTTATGTTGTTTTTTGTGGTTCAATAATTTACCCAAGATTACCTGAGTCAATGGGTAGCTTCTCTAGACTTCTACCTTGTCCTTATGTAAGTTAGATCAAATTTTACTCGTTAAGGAAATTACTGGATAGGCCAGACACAAGAAATAATCTGCTCAAGTAGCTAGTAGGACAAGGCAAGCATACAAATGGGGTGTGATTTTATTCCTTCTGATATGGAGGGATCTCTCAAAAACATTGTTTTTTGAAATATGAATCACAATCCACTTAGGTAAGAAATATTCATTCAGAATCTCTGGAGGAGTGGGCATCACTCAAGATTCAGTCAGCAAAAAAGAAACTACACTAGGTATTTCAAACAGAAAATATTTAATGTAGAATATCAGGTACTTAAAAGAATCAGAAAGGTTAAAGAAGTAAAATCCAGGAGACTTACGCAGATAAGGTCATCTGGCAGTTGGAAGCTTTTTCATCCTCGTCTATGTTCTCTCCTTTGTTGCAGAAGCTGGAATCCTGTGAATTACATTTCCTAAACTTCTTGCCAGCAGGATTCTGAATATGGTTTAGGTATCACCAATGCTATGTATTTGTATGATATTTTTTAAATAGAAAGGAAATAAAAACTGTTCTTTATGTGGAATCTGGCAGATATAAAACAAATTTTTTTTCAGACCCTAGCATTCTTCTGTAAGTCTTGTACTCAAAGGCTTTGGAGGATCTGTGAGATTAGCAGTGGTTTTCTGCAGTTCCCTGACCTCTGTCTGACAGTAACAACTATATCAGTCAACAAATATATATTAAATTATGGAATTACTTTGTCCTTCTTAGGATCCACGGAAAATTCTGTCTCTGCCACTTTAACAGTAAAAAGAAGTGGTAGGATAATGCACAAAATAAAATAAAATTATTAGTTAATTTTCTCCCCATCCTTCAGCTGCATTTGGTGACATGCCATAACATGAAAATGCCACCAAACCTCAGTCATGCACTGTGACAATAAGCACACACTTCCCTTTCCCTCCTCTTATACTTATCATTGCTCTCAATGACAGTAATGTTATTAAGTGAATGCCAATGTAATTTATCTCACAGGAAAGAGGAGGTGGAATATAGCACAGAGTAGCAATTAAGGAAAGCCTGCTATGGGCCAGATGTTTCCTAGAATTTCCCAGTCTTCTCACAAAAGTGATGTTATATTGGGCTCATTAATTCCATTTAAAAACGCAAAACTCAGTCTCATGAGTGTAAATAACTTCTCCATGGTTCTTTACTTATTGATTAAAATGGTCTGTTTATATCATTGACCCACAGGGAGGAGACTGTATTAATTGAAATGAATTTCAACTACCAATCCCCCAAATCATAGAAAGGAAACAAGGGTGGGATTAGGGGAGGGAAGTTGCGTGTAAGGTAGGGGTAGAGGTGCTAAAAAGAAATGAGAGAATATTTTTGCATATGTGAGAAATCAGCAAAAAACAAAAAGCATACCAGTGGTCATTTCACTATATTTGCAGTGAAATATAAAATACCTCATTTGGAATAATATGGGGAAATTGAAAAGCCATTATCAACAAACACAATACATTTAAAGGCATCAGAAAATGGGAGAAATAATCCAAACAGAATTTAATAGCATATAAGTAATATGACTGACATAGGCATGAATCTGACTAGGTATAATAGTAATGTTTAATTTTATTAACAAATGATTCAAAAGTGAGAAGCAATGGCAAACATCCAAAGTTGTTTAACAATACTAAAATTAAAGACAAATAAAAAGATACATTGAGATATACAAATAATCACCTCCCAAAGGCACTACCACTTAACACTATTACATTGACAATTAAGTTTCAACATATGAATTTTGGGGAACATTCAGACAATAGCAGTATGTATAATGTGACTCAATTTTGAACAAAAATGTATTTGCACATATGAACATATAGCCTTGGAATTATATATAAACACACATAAAATATATCTGGAAAGTATATATGAAAATACTATGAGTAGATAGCCTGTGGTAAGTCAGGCTTAAGATGAAACTATATGCTAATTAATGCATATATTTCCCCATTGTTTCAGGATTAATAGTGATAGATAAAATTACAATAGTACAGGATGTACCTGGTAGGGAATGGAAGTTATAGAAATTTATCTTTATTGATATGAAATGTTGTCAAATGTATATACATACATATATTTAAATGAAAAAGAAGTTATACAGAACTTTTATAAAAATAGATCTGTGTATGCCTAATGTATTTGTCTCATAGTGTACACTTTCATATATTCTCATTCTTGTTCTCTGCTCCCTACCCTCATCACAGACACACGCACATGTTGTCAGCCTAGAGAGGGTCTGAAGGAAATATCCTAGCATGTGATTTCGTATCCAGATCTATGCCAGAATCACTCTTAATGTTTCCTTTCTATGTAAACATCTAGAAAGTTCCAGAACATTCTCACTGTTTGACTTTAACCATAGGGAAGTGTCTTCCTTTAACCTAAGCTTCTTTATAATTGGTTAAAGGAAGAATGTAGTTAGACATTGGTCACTTAATCATTCTGTGGAGTATGGAGTCGGTGAACGATTTCATCACTCCATTTTCCTTTGTTTCATGTGCCTTTCTGATCTCTGATTTTTATATTTTATGTTATTCATCCTCTTTATATCGCCATGCAGGTCTTGCTTTAAAAGGCATCAACTTTCCTTCCAGGTGGTGTCTAGAGTTGTTCTTTTGGATAAAAACTGTTCCCCGCATTCAAGTGACAATGAAGATAAATAAAAGTAATTTGACATGTAATAGTGTATATTAGATTTTTAAAATTTAAGACTGATCCTAAACCTAGCTAATAATCATCTTCTGGATGTAAAGAACATCAGAATAAATGTCATTGTAGCCAATTTTTTTGTTATTGATAAAGGGTGTATTTCAGGTAGGCATTCTGAAAGAATTTAAGACAATTATAGAATGTGAAATTTTGTGCTAAGGGAAGAGGCTGAGAATTTAGCTTGATGATATATGGTGTGTGTGTGTGTGTGTGCATGTGTGTGTGTGTGTGTGTGTACTTAAACCAAATCTAGGTGTTTGAACTCTTCTTCAACAGAGCCACTCACCACAAGTCTTTTCTTCAGGAAAGAATGATTTTAAAATAACTCTATTCCAGGAGTGTTTGGGTGAGGGTCTGAACATTTTTACCGGGCCTCGTATTCCAAAACTACTCAAAAGCACCACAGTATACTTAACTAATTATAACAGTTGGCATTTACTGAGTCCTGAGTATGATAAGAGAGAGAGTGGCCTACTTTAGGTGCTGCAAAGACTGATGGCTCTGATTATGGGATACACATCTGCTGACTCTCACTTTAGTGCTCAATCCAATAGACCTACTCCCCTGAGTATTGTGTCTTTTCAGCCTCCAGGGATAGCACAGAAATGAGGTTCCAAGAAGGGAAAACCTTGCAACTTTATAGCAAGTTTATATAGTAATGATTCTGATAGTCCTTCCCCAAAGGGACCTATGACCATTTACTTAGCTAACTGTACACTGAGGGAAATTATTTATACATTTTTTAGGCCTTTGGACATAGGGTTCTAGCTGACCCTATGCCAACTAGATGCCTGAAGACCTGAAGCATCATCATGGCCCTCTATTGGAGGCCCTCACTGTGTTTCTACTGAGTCTGCTCAGGTCCGGTTCACTGTCATTCTAATGAACCCACAGACTAATCTGCTTGTCGTTTCCCTGATCCACAAATATATAATTAGAATGGATATACATGACAGATGATAGAATCTCCACATTTGTTCCTTAGCCTGTGAGGAGAAAGCTATCATTCTGGGGAAATTCAGTAGTAGCAGCTTCAGAGCTGCTACTATTCCAGCCAGAACAATAAATAAAACAACCATAAAAAATCCTGTGTGGGCCAGGTGTGGTGGCTCATGCCTGTAATCCCAACACTTTGGGAGGCTAAGGTGGGCAGATCACCTAAGGTCAGGAGTTCAAGACCAGCCTGGCCAACATGGGGAAACCCCGTCTCTACTAAAAATACCAAAAAACAAACAAACAAAAAAAAACCGAGTGTGGTGGCACACACCTCTAGCCCCAGCTACTCAGGAGGATGAGGCAGGAGAATCGCTTGAACTAGGGAGCTGGAGGTTGCAGTGTGTGGAGTTTGCACCACTGCACTCCAGCCTGAGTGACAGAGTGAGACTCCATGTCAAAAATAAATACATAAATAAATAAGTAAATAAAAATCCTGTGGGGAGTGGCAGAAATTTGTGCCACTCTTAATGAATTAAATGATGTAAGGGTAGTGATGTCTATCATTTTCCCATTTAATTCACTAGTCCAGAGAGATTATATAGAGGAGGAGAGTGAACTACCATAAACACAAACAAGTATTAGCCCCGATGCAACTACTGTACTGGATGTGGTATTTTTGTCAGAACAGATGAACATGGTTTTAGGTACATTGTGTGTGGCCGCTAATCTAGCAATGAATTATTTCCCATTACTGTCATGAAGAATGACCAAGTGCAGTTCACGTTCACATGCTTTGAAAAACAGAATCAATTTAGGGCTTTGCCCCAGAGATATGGTAACACTGCCACTGTTATAACGTAGTCTGAAGAGATATGGACTGTGTGGACATTCTGCAGAACATTGCTTTGATCCACTATATCGATAACACCACATCAATTGGATCAAATGAGAAAGAATTGGCAGGTACATTGAAGTCATCAGTAAAACACATGTGCTTCATAGGGTGAGGAATAAAATCATTGCAGATTCATGTCAGTAGAGTTTCTAGGGGTCCAGTGGTTTTGGGCATATTGGCACAATCCTACAGAAACACTACACACATTGTAGTATTTTGTGTTGTCCACCAATAAGTAGAAAACACCACACCTGATATACTGCTTCAGATTGCGGAGGCAATATATTCTAACTTGGGAATACTGCACTGATCCACTTACTGAGTGGCATGCAAGACTACCAACTTTGACTGGGGCTGAAAGCAGGAAAAGACTCTAAAGCAGGTCCAAGTTGGAGTGCAAGTAGCCCTGCTTCTTGGGCCATATGACCCAACAGATCTTATACTATTAGAAGTGCATTTGGAGGAAATAGATTCCATGTGGAATTTATGGCAAGCTTCAACAGGAGACTTACAAATAATCTCTGATGTTCTGAATCAGGGCCATGCTATCTGCAGTGAAGAATTAGCATTCAAAAAAGATTCCCTGTCATGTTATTAGGCCTTAAAATACACAGAGCACCTGATTCTTCAACATCAAGTGAACATATAGCCAGAATTTCCCATCATAAACTGGATACTGTCAGACTCACAAGATCATAAACTTTATTATTGTTATTATTATTATACTTTAAGTTTTAGGGTACATGTGCACAATGTGCAGGTTAGTTACCTATGTATACATGTGCCATGCTGGTGTGCTGCACCCATTAACTCGTCATTTAGCATTAGGTATATCTCCTAATGCTATCCCTCCCCCCTCCCCACACCCCACAACAGTCCCCAGAGTATGATGTTCCCTTTCCTGTGTGCATGTGTTCTCATTGTTCAATTCCCACCTATGAGTGAGAACATGCGGTGTTTGGTTTTTTGTCCTTGCGATAGTTTAATGAGAATGATGATTTCCAATTTCATCCATGTCCCTACAAAGGACATGAACTCATCATTTTTTATGGCTGCATAGTATTCCATGGTGTATATGTGCCACGTTTTCTTAATCTGGTCTCTCATTGTTGGACATTTGGGTTGGTTCCAAGTCTTTGCTATTGTGAGTAGTGCCACAATAAACATACGTGTGCATGTGTCTTTATAGCAGCATGATTTATAGTCCTTTGGGTATATACCCAGTAATGGGATGGCTGGGTCAAATGGTATTTCTAGTTCTAGATCCCTGAGGAATCGCCACACTGACTTCCACAATGGTTGAACTAGTTTACAGTCCCACCAACAGTGTAAAAGTGTTCCTATTTCTCCACATCCTCTCCAGCACCTGTTGTTTCCTGACTTTTTAATGATCACCATTCTAACTGGTGTGAGATGGTATCTCATTGTGGTTTTGATTTGCACTTCTCTGATGGCCAGTGATGGTGAGCATTTTTTATGAGTTTTTTGGCTGCATAAATGTTCTACCAGAGGTACAAGGAGGAACTGGTACCATTCCTTCTGAAACTATTCCAATCAATAGAAAAAGAGGGAATCCTCCCTCACTCATTTGATGAAGCCAGCATCATCCTGATACCAAAGCCGGGCAGAGACACAACAAAAAAAAGAGAATTTTAGACCAATATCCTTGATGAACACTGATGCAAAAATCCTCAATAAAATACTGGCAAACCGAATCCAGCAGCACATCAAAAAGCTTATCCACCATGATCAAGTGGTCTTCATCCCTGCGATGCAAGGCTGGTTCAATATACACAAATCAATAAATGTAATCCAGCATATAAACAGAACCAAAGACAAAAACCACATGATTATCTCAATAGTTGCAGAAAAGGCCTTTGACAAAATTCAACAAACCTTCATGCTAAAAACTCTCAATAAATTAGATATTGATGGGACGTATCTCAAAATAATAAGAGCTATCTATGACAAATCCACAGCCAATATCATACTGAATGGGCAAAAGCTGGAAGCATTCCCTTTGAAAACTGGCACAAGACAGGGATGCCCTCTCTCACCACTCCTATTCAACATAGTGTTGGAAGTTCTGGCCAGGGCAATCAGGCAGGAAAAGGAAATAAAGGGTATTCGATTAGGAAAAGAGGAAGTCAAATTGTCCCTGTTTGCAGATGACATGATTGTATATCTAGAAAACCCCATTGTCTCAGCCCAAAATCTCCTTAAGCTGATAAGCAACTTCAGCAAAGTCTCAGGATACAAAATCAATGTACAAAAATCAGAAGCATTCTTATACACCAATAACAGACAAACAGAGAGCCAAATCATGAGTGAACTCCCATTCACAATTGTTTCAAAGAGAATAAAATACCTAGGAATCCAACTTACAAGGGACGTGAAGGACCTCTTCAAGGAGAACTACAAACCACTGCTCAATGAAATAAAAGAGGATACAAACAAATGGAAGAACATTCCATGCTCATGGGTAGGAAGAATCAATATCGTGAAAATGGCCATACTGCCGAAGGTAATTTATAGATTCAATGCCATCTCCATCAAGCTACCAATGACTTTCTTCACAGAATTGGAAAAAACTACTTTAAAGTTCATATGGAACCAAAAAAGGGCCTGCATCGCCAAGTCAATCCTATGCCAAAAGAACAAAACTGAAGGCATCACGCCACCTGACTTCAAACTATACTACAAGGCTACAGTAACCAAAACAGCATGGTACTGGTACCAAAACAGAGATATAGATCAATGGAACAGAACAGAGCCCTCAGAAATAACGCCACATATCTACAACTATCTGATCTTTGA
This sequence comes from Homo sapiens, assembly GCF_000001405.40. Classification (NCBI taxonomy): domain Eukaryota; kingdom Metazoa; phylum Chordata; class Mammalia; order Primates; family Hominidae; genus Homo; species Homo sapiens. Next base: position 101,942,000 of record NC_000023.11, read on the forward strand.
CAAACCTGAGAAAAACAAGCAATGGGGAAAGGATTCCCTATTTAATAAATGGTGCTGGGAAAACTGGCTAGCCATATGCAGAAAGCTGAAACTGGATCCCTTCCTTACACCTTATACAAAAATTAATTCAAGATGCATTAAAGACTTAAATGTTAGACCTAAAACCATAAAAACCCTAGAAGAAAACCTAGGCATTACCATTCAGGTCATAGGCATGGGCGAGGACTTCATGTCTAAAATACCAAAAGCAATGGCAACAAAAGCCAAAATTGACAAATGGGATCTAATTAAACTAAAGAGCTTCTGCACAGCAAAAGAAACTACCATCAGAGTGAACAGGCAACCTACAAAATGGGAGAAAATTTTTGCAACCTACTCATCTGACAAAGGGCTAATATCCAGAATCTACAATGAACTCAAACAAATTTACAAGAAAAAAACAAACAACCCCATCAAAAAGTGGGCGAAGGACATGAACAGACAGTTCTCAAAAGGAGATCATAAACTTGAGTGGTCCAGCAACAATTCTTTGTAAATTGGTAGTGGTACGGCTGTGATTGGGCATAGGCAGGTCCAGAAAGCACAGTGAAACGATTGGAGAGGGGATCCAGACTTCCAATTTATCAACACTGTTGCATCAGAGCCTCAGGTCTCAGCTCACATTTACGGCCATGGGAGATCCCTTATGACTAGCTGATGGAGAAGGAAAATGACAGAGCCTGATTCATGGAGGGGTTGGCTCAATATGCGGGTACAAGCTGAAAATGGAATGCTGCTGCACTAAGCCTCACTCAAAGGTAACTGAAAGACATCCATTTTAAGGGCAAAGCTTCCCAATATGCATAGGGAATACCAGGGCAGAGCATCTGGTAATTTATCTTGGTTCAAGGAGAATTGGCTGGAGGTAGGTATATATATATACTCACAGGCAGTGGAAAATGACTTGTCAGGTTGGTCAGCGTCCTGGAAGGAGAAATATTTGAATATCAAATACAGTAAAGTCTGGGGAGAAGGCAGGCATGTGGATGGACTAATGGGAATAGGCAGAAAGTGAAAATCTTTGTATTGCCCATTAATGTCCACTAGAGAGCATCTACCACAGAAAAGATACTAAACACTTAAGTAGACAGGATAACCCAGCCAGTTACCTTCAGCCAGTCTCTATTAGCAGTCTATTATGGTGCTAGCAAAATGGGTACCTGAAGGGAGTAACCCCTAATGACAATGATGAATACTATGCATGGGGCCAACAGCATGGGTTTCCCGAATCCATTTTTCTATCAAGTGATCCCACTATTATGCTGTGTCCCTCTGTACCATCTTTTGGAACTCAATGGGAAATTTTCTCCTAAATCACACTATATGATAAAATCGGTGATTAGGAAAATACATGAAATAAAAGAAAATGATAAAATTATTCTTTTCTTCTTTACTAATTCCATAAGGTAATTCATCCTATAACCACTGAATATTGAAAATAATGTGATAAGTCTCTTTCTCTTCCCCCCCCGCCGCAAACACACACACACACACACACACACACACACACACACACACACAACTTTCCTTGAAAAATGAGATACTACTTATCAAGGAACAAATTCAGTACTTTGGCTGCTGGAGGGGCCACTGGACTGAATTCAGGAAACCTCTCTGGGTTCCAGTGAGAGATCTAACCCAGTAACTCTGCAACAACCTTGTGTAAATCCCTTCACCTCTCGTTTTTAGCTTACCTGTCAGCCTGAATTTTATCTATCCTGCTTCTCGAATATCCAGAATTGTGCAGGAGAATAATGTGAGGATTAGATAAATTACTTTATTTAAACATCTTCTGGGTCATCACATTGAGGCATGATGGCATCAAAAGGCACACTGGGGCTAATTACTAGCAAGAGCAGAAGTCTTGGATTCAGTAGCCCTAGGTACCGGTTCCAGCTTTATGGTAAGGATGTGGAAGTGGTTTAAAGCACCCTGAATTAAAGTTATTGGTTATCATTTTACTACAAAATAGAATCCAGTTTAACATAGTATGCAATGAGAGTCCACCCAAGTACCCATCAAACCAAAGTGTCCATTGCCTTAAAGGACCAGTTCCCCTCCTAGGTTATATATGATGTCTTCTTTCTCATAACTGGAAGCCCCTTTCCTATACTCAAGTAACAATTGGGTAATGAGGTGCATTTTTGTCCTTTCTCAGGAATACCAGACTTTAAAATGCAAACCAAGATTGTTCTTTCAAATAGAACTTCATTCCCATAAGACCACACACCTACACAACAGGGTTATCATTGATCAAGACATTGATCACAAGATACCCAATGTACAATTCTCACAAGAGTACCAGGATCACAAGACCACAGCCAGTACACTCAGCCTTTTTTTGATACACAAAATCAAGCCATATTTTCCATTTTTTTTTTGATTCGGAGCCTTACTCTGTTGCCCAGGCTGGAGTGCAGTGGCATGATCTCAGCTCACTGCAACCTCTGCCTGCCAGGTTCAAGTGAGTCTCCTGCCTCAGCCTCCTGAGTAGCTAGGATTACAGGTGCGTGACATTACACTTGGATTTTTTTTTTTTTTTGTATTTTTAGGAGAGACGGGGTTTCACTGTGTTAGACAGGATGGTCTCAATCTCCTGACCTCGTGATCCACCTGCCTCGGCATCCCAAAGTGCTGGCATTACAGGCATAAGCCACCATGCCTGGCCCACATTTTCCATTTCTAGAACCCATATGATTTATAGAACACTTGCAATGTCTCTCAATAGCTCTTTTTCTATTAATATGTCTTCACATTAGACATTCAAATATATAATACAGATGACTTATCAAGTCAATTCTCATATTTTTGTTGATCTTACCTTAGGTTCTTTTCAATAATGACTAATGCTAAAGGCAATAACATTGAATATAATGTCATAGGAATATGAGTTACAATATAATTTTTTCTATACAGTGACTGTGTTACCCAAGATTTCATCTGGTGAATAGAAATGATAACACTCCGGATCATAGTTATGCTGAAGGAAATAATTGGGTAATTTGTGTCAAGGAGCAAGCATAGTACCTGGCACACAGCAGTCATGGAGTTCCTGGGGTTCCCAGAGTACAAGGACCATGTAAACTTTCTTCAATCCTTCCCAAAACCAGTGAGCACATATTTGGTGATAACAGCAACAATAACAACAACAAAAAACAGTTTTTAAAGTTTCTTCTTAATGTAGAAAAAGATGAAAAAACAAGTTTAAAACAATATCACTTGTTGATATTTGTTGTGAAAAGTTGGTAGGATAAAATGAAGGAAGTTAATAGGATAAAAAAGAAGCATGGGGTTGATAGGTGCAGCAAACTACCGTGGCACATGTATACCTATGTAACAAATCTTCACGTTCTGCACATGTATGCCAGAACTTAAAGTAAAATAAAAAAATGGAAAGCTGGTGATTTTAAATCATGTTCACAAAATTTTTGACAGTTGCTATGGTCTGAATGTTTGTGTCCCTCTCAAATTCATATGTTGAAATCAATTTCCCAATGTGTTAATATTAAGAGGCGAGGTCTTTGGGAAATGACTAGGTCATAAGGGCAGAGGCCTTGTGAATAGGATTAGTTTCCTTATAAAAGAAGCCTGCAAGAGCTTGTTTGCCCCTTTTGCCCTTCTGGCATGTGAGGGTACAGCTAAAGGGAGTCATCTTTGTAGCAGGGAGCAGGCACTCACTAGACATCAAATCTGCTGGCAACTTGATCTTGGACTTCTCAGGCTCCAGAACTGTGAGCCATAAATTTCTCTTGTTTATTGATTACCCAGTCTAGGGTATTTTGTTATAGCAACCCGAATGGACTAAGACAGAAACTGGTACCAAGAAGTGGATTGCTGCTGCAACTAGTATCTAAAAATATAGAAGTGGCTTTGGAACTAGGTAATGGGTAGAAGCTGAAAGAATTTGGAGGCACATGCTAGAAGAAGACTACATTGCCATGAGTGGAGCATTAAGAGTGATGCTGGTGAAGGCTCAGAAGAAGAGGAGTGCTGTAGAGAAAGCTTCAGTCTTCTTAGAGATTACCTAAGTGGTCATAAGCAGATGCCAAAGGTGTTAACTGCTTACACCCCGAGCCGACCAGTTGCACTTCAACAGTCCTAGGAACTGCCCAGACCACCCATTTTCCAGCCTAGGGTCTATATGGGTCTATTCAGATTACTGCACCAGAGGGAGGGTACTGGACTAAACAAAATGCATTAAACTTCCTCTATCTCCACTAATCTTCATTCTCCTTCTGGTTGGCTGGTAGGATTACAAATTATGATATATTCAGCTAACATACATTGAGAATTTAAGTGTCAGGAACAATACCACTTAAGATATGTGCACTCCTTCTTTTATTCTTTCCAACACTTTTATGTTGTGTGTACTTTTATTTTTATTTCATAGATGAGGAAATAAGTTCTTAGGGAAAACACATAACTATGGTTAATTATCATGCAAACAACAATAAGTTAAACTCAGGCTTTCATTAAATATATCTATATATTAGATCGCTTTATGAACTTGCCATTTTGTTCCTTAAACATTCATTATCATGTTTCTAGCCATAAAATGGGCACTTCTCACTTACGACTCTAGATATAGGATACCCAAATATAATATCACCTTCCACTTAATGACACCTTCCCATTTTACTACCTCTTTTCTATTTTGGCATAAATTATGCCAGATTGATGCCTGGATTTAAGGAAGATAACAGAATGGGGATCAATAAAATCCAGAACCTCCCCCACCCCAAAAGTTTATTCCATATGCCACAAAAAGGCATTCTGCCAAAGTCTGCCGTCATTCTCCTTTATAATGGTTTTTAAGTTTAGTTAACTAACTGTAGGTTCTTAACAGGGAATAGAGATCTCTGCAACTGATCCCACACTTACAACTGTGTAGATCTTCCAATGAAGAATAAAAGATCTGAAATTAGTATTCAGAGCCAATATTATTAAGTAGGATACCAGCTCTGGCTCCAACCCATCACAGTGATGTTGAATGAGGAGCCACTACAGGATTCAAGATGACAATATCCATGAATCTCATCATAATAAACAAACACCCTGAGCATACCAGGGACTATATGCCAAAAGCCTGAAAATGTTGTAGAGCATTTATTCTGGTTATGCTTGTCCTGGCCAAGACTTAATTTAGTTCATGGTTTGGATGTGGACTTTGCCACTTCTGCTCAATGCCAAAGTCCTTGGGCTTCTTTTCCTCCTTCTTGTTTGGAGTATTCAATTAGTTCACAGTTTTTCTATAAGAAGTGACTCTGTAACTGCTAGGGCAAAAGACAAATCTCTGGACACTTTCATAATAACTTTTCAAAGGTACTTTACCTCAAGGTCTTAAAGGTAGCTCCAGACTCACATCAGGAGCCCTGACCTCCCACCACACTAGGTTCTTTACAGTTAACATCCACAAGCAGTAATGAACAACACAGGCCAACAATCATCACCTCAAGAATGATGACCTCAGACCGTCAATCCAACTTTTCCAAGATGATGACCTCTGCCAAAGAGACCAACTCTTTCCAAATGATGATCTCAGCACAACTGACAGTCCCAGCATTAACAATGATACCCTAGGATGTCCTGCCCCCAAAATTCCATGCCCAAACCCACCAAACAAAGATTTTGATCTCCTCCTTGCTTCCAAAAACAACCCCTGGCTCTTCCACTCCACCTGTAAACCCACCTGGATCCCCTATAATTTCCCCAACTACTCTTTCTTATTTCTCACCTCCTGCCTTATACCCCAAGTTTCAATCTATGCAGATATTTGTTTCCTACCTACCAGATGCCAACACCACCATGGTTACTGTGAACTGCTTAACTAAAGATCCCACCCATCCTGCTTATATATGCCTTTGTGATTTCATATACTTCTTATTTATGCAATGTTAAGGATACCTTACAAAGAAGTAAAGCTTATTGGCAGGTCCTTACTTGCCTAGACCATACCTAAACCCTGTTGAATGACACCATGGAGAGATCTCACAAATACAATCCCACTGGGGATTACTGTTTAAACATATTAATTTTGAGGGGACACAAACATGCAGCCCACAACAACCTCTCTCATTTAGCCTCCCCACAGAAAGAAGCACCAACCTATCTTTTTCTATCATATTGGACCTTATGACAATCTCTGGTATAACAGGAACACATTTAGTTATTTTCAATTCTGTAACACAGACTGAATTCATAAGGCCACTCAGACATTGTCACAGTCCTGGCAGACCATATACAGTAAGCATCTTAAGCCTTAGAAGCCCTTAATGAGGCACAAAGCCCTCTAGTTGCTGTGGTAGCTGACAAAAGATTAGCATTGGACTACCTACTGCCATGTCAAGGTAAAGTTTCTGTCTTAAAGAGGACCTCCTGCTGCATGTAGGTTAATAAGACAGAACAAGTCTCCAGAATATTTAAACAAATAGAACAAACCAAAATAATTAATAATACTACAAGAGTACTCTAAGAGATTCTCCAGACCCCAGTTGATACCTTCTCTTGGCCGTCTCCTGCATGCAGTGACTGGCTCTGCCCTATCTTTCAGGGAGCTATAATAGTTGCTGGTCAAATTATTGTGAATTGACTTTGCAAATTTGATCTCTCTCAGACAAAGTATATGTTTATTTACGGGAAACCTGAGCAGTTGCTGTGCTTACTCAGATTTAGGCATAATTGAGAAGACCACAGGAAAAAAAATCTTGTATCCCCACTGATACTTGACTGAGTGTCAGCAACCCCTAAGCCACATTCCTACTGTGTCTTTTGCCTTCCTTTAGCATTAGTATCCTGATAACCGTCACTCTGCCCCCACACACATACCACAAGCTAATGCACCCTCTTGATTCCTCTTTTAAACTTTTTGCTGGCAACTTCCTCTTTTATAAAGTGCCTGTGTACTTGCCAGTCTCTCTCTCTCTCTCTCTCTCTCTCTCTCTCTCTCTCTCTCTCTGTCTCTCCCTCCTCACCTGCCCCTAGGCTCTCTCCCAGAGGGCTAACCTTTCATCCTCTTGCCTTGAGATTTCCCTGCCTGTGTAAGTAATACATCTTCCTTTGATCATACCAAAGGATGACTGTTACAAGTTTCGATATCAGAAACAAATATTTTCAGGCCGGGAGATTTCCAGTGTCCCAGTACAGTTGCTATACCAAGAGGGTTTATTCACCATCCATCACAACAAAAGCGACTGGGATAGGTCATCCTTCCTCCAATTGGTCTGAGTCTGCTTAGGTGAGCTGATGCATGTGCCCAGCTGAATAATTCCATAGGCTTCTGCTTCCATCTACTATATTCAGGCTCCTTTCTATGTCATTCAGTGTGACAATGTTGAAAAGAGAGACCACTATAATTCCATGTACACACTCATTTAAGCAATAGAGGAAGAGGATGAATAAGGGGAGATAAGAACCCTGACACATAATGAATGAATATGTATATTCTGGAAAATCTGTCTTTTTTGGAGGGAAAAACCAAATAAGGGGAAAATTCCATCTTTTTGGAGTGAACAGCCAAAACAGGAGAAAGGCTTTGCTTTGATTTAAGCAAATTTATCCACTCCTTCAATACGTATTTACTAAATACCTACTATGTTCCAGGAGTTGTACTAGATACTGTAAATAAAAAGATGAATAAGAGGGCATAGTCCCTGACCTCTGAAAGCTTACAATTTGATGAAGTATACAGACAAGTAATCAAGCTTACAGCACATGTAAGAAGTGTTACTGGAGGGATGGGGGCTGTAGTCTGCTGTAGGTTGAAGAAGGAATTGAAGGTGAAAAACTGCAGAAATATAAGAGATAAGAAAGAATATAAGAAATAATTCTGGAGTTTGGCTGGCAAGATGGCTGAACAGGAACAGCTCTGGTCTGCAGCTCCTAGGAAGACCAATGCAGAAGGCAGGTGACTTCTGCATTTCCAATTGACATACCCTGTTCATCTCATTGGGACTGGTTAGACAGTGGGTGCATCCCATGGAGGGCAAGCAGAAGCAGGGTGGGACGTCGCTTCACAAGGGAAGTGCAAGGAGCAGGGGAGCCTCCCTTTCCCAGCCAAGGGAAGCCATGAAGGACTGTGCTATCCGGCCCAGATACTACACTTTTCCCACGGTTTTGGCAATCCACAGACCAGGAGATCCCCTTGTGTGCCTACACCACCAGGGTCCTGGGTTCCAAGCACAAAACTGGGCCATTGTTCAGGCAGATACTGAGCTAGCCTCAGGAGTTTTTGTTTTTGTTTTTGTTTTTGTTTTCTTTCTCTATCCCAGTGGCACCTGAAACTCCAGCGAGACAGAACCGTTTACTCCCCTGGAAAGGGGGTTGAAGCCAGGGAGCCAAGTGGTCTCATTCAGCGGGTCCCACTCCCACTGAGCCCAGCAAGCTAAGAACCACTGGCTTGAAATTCTCGCTGCCAGTACAGCAGTCTGAAGTTAACCTGGTACAATCCAGCTTGGTGGTGGGTGGGGCGTCCACCATTACTGAGGCTTCAGTAGGAGGTCTTCCCCTGACCACGCTGAAAAGGCCTGGAAGTTCGGACTGGGTGGAACTCGCCACAGCATGGCAAAGTGGCTGTGGGCAGACTGCCCCTCTAGATTCCTCTTCACTGGTCAGGGCATCTCTGAAAGAAAAACAGCAGCCCAAGTCAGGGACTTATAGATTAAACTCCCATCTCCCTGAGACAGAGCACCTGGGGGAAGGGGCAGCTGTGGGCGTAGCTCCAGCAGACATAAACATTCCTACATACCAGCTGTGAAGAGAGCAGCGGATCCTGAAAAGGAGGGTTCTCCCAGCACAGCGCTTGAGCTCTGCTAAGGGACAGACTGCCTCCTCAAGTGGGTCCCTGACCCTTGCGCATCCTGACTGGGAGAGACCTCCCAACAGGGGTTGACGAATACCTCATACAGGAGAGCTCTGGCTGGCATCAGACCAGTGCCCCTCTGGGATGAAGCTTCCAGAGGAAGAAGCAGGCAGCAATCTTTGCTGTTCTGCAGCTTCTGCTGGTGATACCCAGATAAACAGGCTCTGGAGTGGACCTCCAGCAAACTGCAGCAGACCTGCAGAAGACGGGCCTGACTGTTAGAAGAAAAACTAACAAACAGAAAGCAATAACTTAAACCTCAACAAAAAGAACCCCCACACAGGAACCACATCCAAAGGACATCAACCTCAAAGATCAAAGGTAGATAAATACATAAAGATGAGGAAAACCCAGCACAAAGAAGCTCAAAATTCCAAAAACCAGAATGCCTCTTCTCCTCCAAATGATTGCAACTCCTCTCCAGCAAGGGCACAAAACTGGACAGAGAATGAGTTCGATGAATTGACAGAAGTATGCTTCAGAAGGTGGGTAATAACAAACTCCTCTGAGCTAAAGGAGCATGTTCTAACCCAATGAAAGGAAGCTAAGAACCTTGACACAAGGTTACAATAGCTGCTAACTAGAATATCCAGTTTAGAGAAGAACATAAATGACCGGATGGAGCTGAAAAACACAGCATGAGAACTTTGTGAAGCATACACAAGTATCAACAGCTGAATCGATCAAGTGGAAGAAAGGATATCAGAAATTGAAGATCAAATTACTGAAATGAAGTGTGAAGACAAGGTTGGAGAAAAAAAGATTGAAAAGGGACAAAAAAAGCCTCCAAGATATATGGGACTATGTGAAAAGACCAAACCTGTGATTGATTGGGGTCCCTGAAAGTGACGGGGAGAATGGAACCAAGTTGGAAAACACACTTTAGGATATTACCCAGGAGAACTTCCCTAACCTAGCACGACAGGCCAACATTCAAATTCAGGAAATAGAATACCACTAAGATACTCCTCAAGAAGAGCAACCCCAAGACACATACTCATCAGATTCTCCAAGGTTGAAATAAAGGAAAAAAAGTTAAGGGCACCCAGAGAGAAAGGTCAGGTTACCTACAAGGGAATCCCATCAGACTAACAGCAGATCTCCTGCAGAAACCCTACAAGCCAGAAGACAGTGGGGGCCAATATTCAACATTCTTAAGGAAAAGAATTTTCCACCCATTATTTCATATACAGCCAAACTGAGTTTCACAAATGAAGGAGAAATAAAATGCTTTCCAGACATCTAATGCTGAGGGATTTTGTCACCACCAGGCCTGCCTTACAAGAGCTCCTGAAGGAAGCATTAAATATGGAAAGGAAAAGCTGGTACCAGCCACTGCAAAAACACACCAAAATATAAAGACCAAAGACAATATGAAGAAACTGCATCAACTAATGTGCAAAATAACCAGCAAGCATCGTGATGATTCACACATGACAATATTAACCTTAAATGTAAATGGGCTAAATGCCCCAATTAAAAGACACAGACTGGCAAATTGGATAGAGTAAAGATCCATCAGTGTGCTGCATTAAAGAGACCCATCTCATGGGCAAAGACACACGTAGGCTCAAAATAAAGAGATGGAGATATATTTACCAAGCAAGTGGAAAGCAAAAAAAAAAAAAAAAAAAAAAAAAGCAAAAGTTGCAATCCTAGTCTCTGATAAAACAGACATTAAACCAACAAAGATCAAAAAAGGCAAAGAAGGGCATTACATAATGGTAAAGGGATCAATGCACCAGAAGAGCTAACTATCCTAAATATATATGCACCCAATACAGGAGCACCCAGATTCATAAAACAAGTTCTTAGAGACCTGCAAAGAGACTTAGACTCACACACAATAATAGTGGGAGACTTTAACACCCCACTGTCAATATTAAATAGATCAACAAGACAGAAAATTACAAGGATATTCAGGACTTGAACTCAGCTCTGGATAAAGCAGACCTAATAGATATCTACAGAACTCTCTACCCCAAAACAACAGAATATGCATTCTTCTCAGCACCACATAGCACTTATTCTAAAATCGACCACATAATTGGAAGTAAAAAACTCCTCAGCAAATGCAAAAGAACTGAAATCATAACAGCCCCTCAGACCACAGTGCAATCAAATTAGAGCTCAGTATTAAGAAGCTCACTCAAAACTGCACAACTACGTGGAAACTGAACAACCTGCTTGTAAATGACTACTGGGTAAATTACGAAATTAAGGCAGAAATAAGAAAGTTATTTGAAACCAATGAGAACAAAGAGACTACATAGCAGAATCACTGGGACACAGCTAAAGCTGTGTTTAGAGGGAAATTTATAGCACTAAATGCCCACATCAGAATGTGGGAAAGATCTAAAATCGACACCCTAACATCACAATTAAAAGAACTAGAGAAGCAAGAGCAAACAAATTCAAAAGCTAGCAGAAAACAAGAAATAACTAAGATCAGAGCAGGACTGAAAGAGATAGAGACATGAAAAACCCTTTTAAAAAATCAAAGAATCCAGGAGCTGGTTTCTTGAAAAGATTAACAAAATAGATACACGTTAGCCAGACTGAAAAAGAAGATAAGAGAGAGGAATCGAATAGACACAATAAAAAATGATAAAGGGGCTATCACCACTGATCCCACAGAAATACAAACTACCATCAGAGAATACTATAAACACTTCTACACAAATAAATTAGAAAATCTACAAGAAATGGATAAATTCCTGGACACATACAACCTTCCAAGACGAAACCAGGAAGAAGTCAAGTCCCTGAATAGACCAATAACAACTTCTGAAATTGAGGCAATAATTAGTAGCTTACCAACCAAGAAAAGCCCAGGACCAGACAGATTCACAGCCAAATTCTACCAAAGGTACAAAGAGGAGCTGGTGCCATTCCTTCTGAAACTATTCCAAACAAAAAAGAGAAGGATTCCTCCCTAACTCATTTTAAGAGGTCAGCATCATCCTGATTCCAAAACCTGGCAGAGACAACAAAAAAAGAAAATTTCGGGCCAATATCCCTGATGAACATAGACGTGAAGATCCACAATAAAATACTGGCAAACCGAATCCAGCAGCACATCAAAAAGCTTATCCACCACGATCAAGTTGGCTTCATCCCTGGGATGCAAGGCTGGCTCAACATATGCAAATAAATAAACATAATCCATCACATAAACAGAACCAATGAGAAAAACCACATGATTATCTCAATAGAGGCAGAAAAGGCCTTCAATAAAATTCAACATCCCTTCATGCTAAAAACTCTCAATAAACTAGGTATTAATGGAACATATCTCAAAATAATAAGAGCTATTTATGACAAACCCATAGCCAATATCATACTAAATGGGAAAAAGCTGGAAGCATTCCCTTTGAGAACTGGCACAAGACAAGGATGCCCTCTCTCACCACTCCTATTCAACATAGTGTTAGAAGTTCTGGCCAGAGCAATCAGGGAAGAGAAAGAAACAAAAGATATTCACACAGGAAGAGGAAGCCAAATTGTCTCTGTTTGCAGACGACAAGATTGTATATTTAGAAAACCCCATCATCTCAGTCCCAAAACTTCTTAAGCTGATCAACAACTTCAGCAAAGTCTCAGGATACAAAATCAATGTGTAAAAATCACAAGCATTCCTATGCACCAATAATAGAGAAGCAAAGAGCCAAATTATGAGTAAATTCCAATTCACAATTGCTACAAAGAGAATAAAATACATAGGAATACAACTTACAAGGGATGTGAAGGACCTCTTCAAGGTCCCACTGCTCAAGGAAATAAGAGAGGACACAAACAAATGGAAAAACATTACATCCTCATGGATAGGAAGAATGAATATCGTGAAAATGGGCATACTGCCAAAAGTAATTTATAGATTTAATGGTATTCCCATCAAGATACCATTCACTTTCTTCACAGAACTTGAAAAAACTACTTTAAATTTCATATGGAACGAAAATGGAGCCCATATAGCCAAGACAATCCTAAGCAAAAAGAACAAGGGTGGAGGCATCATGCTACCTGACTTCAAACTATACTACAGGGCTATAGTAACCAAAACAACATGGTACTGGTACCAAAACAGATATATAGACCAGTGGAACAGAAGCCTCAGAAATAATACCACACATCTACATCCATCTGATTTTTGACAAACCTGACGAAAACAGCAATGGGGAAAGGATTTCCTATTTAATAAATGGTGCTGGGAAAACTGGCTAGCCATATGTGGAAAACAGAAACTGGACCCCTTCCTTACACCTTATACAAAAATTAACTCAAAGTGGATTAAAGACTTAAACCTAAAACCTAAAACCATAAAAACCCTAGAAGGAAACCTAGGCAATACCATTCAGGAGATAGGCATGGGCAAAGACTTCATGACTAAAACACCAAAAGCAATTACAACAAAAGCCAAAATTGACAAATGAGATCTCATTAAACTAAAGAGCTTCTGCTCAGCAAAAGAAACTATCATCAGAGTGAAAAGACCACCTACAGAATGGGAGAAAATTTTTGCAATCTATCCATCTGACAAAGAATCTACAAGGAACTTAAACAAATTTACAAGGAAAAAACAAACAACCCCATCAGAAAGTGGTCGAAGGATGTGAACAGACACTTTTCAAAAGAAGACATTTATGCGGCCAACAAACATATGAAAAAAAGCTCATCATCACTGGTCATCAGAGAAATGCAAATCAAAACCACAATGAGATGCCATCTCACACCAGACAGAGTGGCGATCATTAAAAAGTCTGGAAACAACAGATGCTGGTGAGGATGTGGAGAAATAGGAACTCTTTTACACTGTAGGTGTGAGTGTAAATTAGGCAACCATTATGGAAGACAGTGTGGCAATTCCTCAAGGATCTAGAACCAGAAATACCATTTGACCTAGCAATCCCATTATTGGATATATAAGGAAAGGATTATAAATAATTCTACTATAAAGACACATGCACACCTATGTTTATTGTAGCACTATTTACAATAGCAAAGACATGGAACCAACCCAAATGCCCATCAATGATAGACTGGATAAAGAAAATGTGGCACATATACACCATGGAATACTATGCAGCCATAAAACAGAATGAGTTTATGTTCTTTGCAGGGACATGGATGAAGCTGGAAACCATCATCCTCAGCAAACCCAGGAACAGAAAAACAAAAGCCACATGTTCTCACTCATAAACAGGAGCTGAACAATGGGAACACGTGGACACAGGGAGGGAAACATCACACACTGGGGTCTGTTGGGGGATGGGGGGCAACGGGAGGGAGAGCATTAGGACAAATAACTAATGCATGTGGAGCTTAAAACCTAGATGACAGGTTGATAGGTGCAGCAAACCACCATGGCACATGTATACCTATGTAACAAACCTGCATGTTCAGCACATGTATCCCAGAACTTAAAGTAAAAAAAATAAATAAGAAATAGTTCTTTAAAAATATTTAATTATTGAAACAGTGACCAAAGAATCTCCATATTGTTTATTGACTGCAATGAAAAACCAGTAAATAGTGAAATTTCAGAGACCCTAGGAGGAGAGGGAACAATTTATTCAGCAAAGTCCTGAAGTCATAGGAGGAGTGGGGAGTTCTAATGAGGTGGATATTACAGTGGAGTTTTCAGCCAATGGAGAGTTCAAAGGAAAGGAAGTATTTTGGATATAGCAGTATAAGAGACCGGAAGAGCTAACCTCATGTGCAGAGATGACAGATATGTAGGATTTTGTTTTGAATGGGGAAATCTCCCATTCCACTAGGCTTCTAGGGAAGATTGTAGAAATAAATGCAGATAAAGATATGGTTGTTTGGGTGGGAGGAGAAAGCTCAGGGAATCCTATCTTCTGGTATCTGTTTTCTTTGTCAAGTAGGAGATGAGGTCATTTGATAACAGCCGAGGACTCAAGGACAACAGTAAATGTTTGAAATAACTCCTGGGATAAAGAGGATAAAGGGAAGAGAGACCCATAGAAGCATTATATAATTATTACACAGCAATTTAATTAAAAAGTACCAAAATTATTCCCACTTTTTTTTAGATATGGAAACTGAGAAATCAACTTGCCTGTGGCTCTACAGCTAAGTGACACTATTAGGTGATGGAGCCAGGAGTCCTAGGCAGGTATCTAAATGTTGCAGCTCCAAAATCACTGTGCAACTGTGTCTTTTTTACCTGCCTTTAATGGGAACTACAAAAAGACAGCATAATGTAGCACACATAGTGCTCTATTTACAACTTTTTGTTAAGAAGATCCATTATTAATAAAGGCATACAATTTTAGTGCTAAAATAGATGGTAGCAATACTTTTTGTCACTCATTTTATAGGACAAGGCAAGTGAGATTACTAGAGGAAAGGTGACTAGCTCAACAACAGATAGTTAATTATCGGCAGAACTAAGAATCTAATCCATGTCATTCTGACTGCAAAATCTCACTACCACCCTTGAAGTACTAATTCTTTTGGCTTACCACAGGATATGAAAGTCAACCAATAGTAACTTCCTTTGAAATAAGGTTTTGTGTTAAGCCATCTGTCTTCATCACTCATTTGCATAAAGAGAAGGCCTATTATAAAATTTATTAGCTAAGCCATTAGTTAATGGGACACAGGACAAGTAATTTTTAATGAGAGGTAGTGATATGGTTTGCATTTGTGTCCCCACCCAAATTTCACATTCAATTGTAATCCCTAATGTTGGAGGTGGAGCCTGGTAGGAGGTGATTGGATTATGGGGACAGTTCTCATGAATGGTTTAGCACCAACCCTCCTTGGTACTGTATAGTGAGTGAGCTCTCATGAGATCTGGTTGTTTAACAATGTGTGGCACCTGCCCCTCTCTCTCTTCCTCCTGCTCTGTCCATGTAAGACATGCCTGCTTCTCTTTCACCTTTTTCCATGATTCTAAGTTTCTTGAGGCCTCTCCAGCCATGCTTCCTCTACAGTCTGTGGAACATGAGCCAATTAAACCTCTTTTCTTTATAAATTACACAGTCTCAGGCATTTCTTTACAGCCAGGAGAAAACAGACTAATACAGGGAGGAAGGAAAAAATGATCTATACTTGGAGAAAGGCAGATCAGGGCAGACACCAGCCTGTCTACTTCAAAAGTAAGAGGACAGAAGAAGAACACTGAACAACTGGAGAAATGAAGTCTAAAGAGGTACTACAGGGAGTAGTAAGGAAGGAGGAGTGGCAACATGTGTGCTATATATTTGCTTTCTCTGGGTTAGACACACTTATAAATGACTGTCTGGGACCCAAGATCATCACCTGTATGTAACCACACATCATCCTCTTGGTGAAATTTGAGATCTCTTCAAAGCTTGGAGGGAAGAGAAGACCTCAGGAACAGTACTTAGGATGTGTAGCATAGAACAGTTTATGTAAACAAAGGCTGGCTCCTGCTTGTGCATGCACTTCTAGCACAATTTCACAACCTAGATGAGTCATGTATCTTGTTTATTATAATTGCATTAGGACAGATCCTTCTTTGAACACATTTTAGGATCATGATGACATCAAGCACTCATTTTAAGTGTGGGAATGTCCTCAACGAGTTTGGAGAGCAGAAGATATATAATTTGAATAACAAAATGGTCCTATTTGGCTAAGACATAGGATATGTGGGGAGTAAAAGGAGAGACGAAACTGAAACACCAGGGTGAGGAGTCTTCGTGTGATTCAGTATGTAGTAGGAAAGTAAAAAATGGCATCTGAGTGATATATGATCAGACTTATAGTTTAAAAAATAAATTGTTATAACAATAATAGCTAACTTGATTAAACATACTTTGTACTACTTTATATAAGTGTTGGGAGAGGGTGTGTATGGAGAGGGAGTGCCCTCTCAGAAACCCTAAGAGATAGATGTTACTAACGTCCTCCTTTTTATCACAGGTGAGAAAATGGAAGCACAGAAGTTTACGTATTTTGCCTACTGTCACATGAGGAGCAAATGACAGAGCCAGAATTCAAGCCTAGGTTGTCCAGGTCTCTAGCCTATGTTCTTAACCCTCACTGATTCTCAATTCTGAGTACACATTAGACTCACCTGGAGAGTTTTTAAAACATATTCATACCTGAGACTTACCAAGGCTAATTAAAACAAAACCTCTGTAGTTTTTAAAAGCATCTGTATAATTCTGATGCACTGTAAAGTTTGAGAATCACCCCATTACACTCTGCTGGAAATGGACAAAATGGATTCTTATAATCGCCCAATGGGTTTTTCTTGCCTGCTGCACAGACAAAACCAATTCACTGAGACCATGGCATTGCAGCAAAAAAAGAGTTTAATTGATGTGAGGCCAACCCACAAAGGAGAATTATAGTTATTACTCAAATCATTCTCCCCAAAGGCTCAGAGGTTAGGGTTTCTCAAGGATAGTTTGGTGAGGAGGGGACTAGGAAATCAGGAATATTGATTGATTGGGGATAAAATCACAGGGGTGTGGAAATGGTCCTCGTGTTCTGAGTTAGCCTCTGGGTGGGAGCCACAGGACTGATTGAGTCAGAAGTCACAGTCTGGGTGGGATAAGTCTGAAAAATATCTTAAACAATATTAGGTTCTATAATAGTGATGTTGTCTATAGGAGCATTGGGGAAGACACAAATCTTGTGACCTCTGGCCTCATGACACCTGAGCAGTAAGGGAATATAGAAACAATGCCTACATTTTAGCAGAGTTCAGGTCCCTCTCATAATCATATTCTTGTGGCCTTTCATTATTTTACAAAGGTGGTTTTTGGTCTCTGAGCAAGGAGGAGGTTAGTCGTAGGGAGGGAACTACTATCATCTTTGCTTTTAAGTCAAACTATAAACTAAATTCCTCCCAATGTTAGCTTGGTCTATGCCCAGGAATGACCAAGGATAGCTTGGAGGTCAGAAACAAGGTGGGGTAAACTATGTCAGATTTCTTTTACTGTCAAAATTTGGAAAGTCAGTTTCATTATCACTTCCACAGTTAGACTTTTCATAAACATTCTAAGCATATATAGGGAGATGATAGTTAAAATACTTACTAACTGATACGAGACAGGCAGCAAACAATCAGAATAGACATGCTGGTCATAAACAATGAGTATGGTGTTGCCTTACAGTGTGCTGAATTTTAAAAATTGCACACACATATACACACAGAGTAGATATTTTCCCTTGTCAACAAAGAGATTTATATTATCCTTTTAAATAGCTGCATCTTTTCTCACTGTACAGAGTTAGCATACTTTATTTAACCAGTACCCTGGTTATGCCCATTTTTTTCATTTTTTATTGTTTGTTGCACACATTGTTTTGTGAGGTGACTCTCCCTAAACTACCCAAAAGTAACAAAATAGTAAACATTAGTTCCAACAGAATAGAAATATTCTCACATTGTAGATAGAAATCAAGATTTTCTTTCACATTATTTCTAGCTGCTGTAGGCCAGCGCTGCAATTAACATTCATCTTGCAGAAAATAGTTTAATCCTTTCGCCAGGAAATCTTGCCTCAGAGCCAGGTCTCCTAATGTAGAAAATAATATATTTGTTCTTTAGCTCACTCCACACACTTTGGCTTCTGTAGAGTTCCTAACTATACTTGAACTTCTATCTATCTTCTTTTCCTTGTCTTTCCGTATCTTGGTCTTCCTTGAGTTTCTTAGGCACATATACCTGTGTTTCTCCCAGGTTTATTCTATTGCATGCATCTAATAACCATATGTCTTCTTCTTGCAGGCATGGTTTCTGACTTGATATTTGCCTCAACATTTGATTTGGGTGTGATTTCAGGTTTCTAGCTGCTTCCTAGCCTAAAATAACCATGCACTTGACACCCTGGACCCTTGACTTCTAATCCATTCTTTACACTGTCCCAAACCTGTGGATATCTGTAGCACTGTGGAACTAAAAATCCTACCAACACAGAGAGTACTCTTTACTAAGTGTAGAAAAAAAGAACAATGTTTTATTTTTGAATAAGCATAGCCAAGTTTTGTGTGCATAAGCAATCTGAATGAGGCTACAATGTCAGGGCATTTTCACACACATTTATATAAAGAGTTTGTAGCCAGTACACAACTCACGTCCTTCAGGTTTAATGGTATCCTTATTTTTCCTATAAGAGGGCTTAACAGCACAATGTGTGTATATATATTTTTTCATATAAGTCATCTTAAATTCATTGGCAAATTGAAAATAGCTATTTGTTTTAGTTAATTGCCTTCAGTCTAGGGAATAATAAAACATCTTTTATCTTCTTTTTGAGCAAATGGTTACAGCCAGAGATAAACTCCTGGATTAAGCTTCCAAGGTGCCAGGGAGGCTTCCCTGGGTGTTTACATTTCAAAAGAGATGAAGTTCAGACCCTTAGGGAGAGTTATTTACATTCCAAATGTTAAAGACTGTTGATTAATTTGGTTTTCCAAAGAAAGGCTCTTAGAAGGGGAAGGGAAATTGTATATATGTCCCTTGTAAACAGACACAATCATTACAGTAGGTCTGTCATTGATCCCAGTGGGATTTTAGACCCCAAAAACCGTTATGAGAACTGTCTAAAATGCAGCAGCAAAATCACCCACCGAGCTGAAAAGACTCAGGAAACCTTATTTATCTTTCTGGAGAGATTTCTAGTAAGCTATAGGATTGCTCCTAAACTTCTCTACCAGCATCCCGGGTCCCCAAAGAGAATCAGTTCATGCTTTTCCTTTGAGAACAGAGGGCTCAAAAGCTCACTCTAATTTACTCTGGGTTTTAACGAAAGTAAGGGCTAAAGTCTCTTCTGATGCACGGACATTATTTTAGGGCCCAGGTGAGTGATAAGTTGGACCCTTTCCAGGAGTCCCAAAACTAGTAGAAGGAAAAAAGGGAGATGGGAAACAAGGATCAAAGGAAGGAGGAGAGGAGCCAGAGAAGCAGGAGGAAGGAAGGATAAAGGGAAATGTTGGCTTTTCACCTTTGAGGAGTTAGCAAATATCTCCATTATGGAATGCATGGGTGGAGGCTACAGAGAAGGAGAAAAAGAAACTTAAATGTACTTAACAGGTAGAAGCCAAACTAAAACTATTTACCATATACATGTTTACATGTACATATACAAAAGTGTTCATAAAGAAAGTTGACGCTAATTTAAAATTTAAGATGTGTCAGAAAGGTTGGCATTCTAATGAGGTTACCAGACCAGGATAAATCAAAAGACAAGAAAGAAAGGCAACTGGTCACATCACAGATTGTCACTGTGTATAGAGCACACTTGACGTAAGTAACTCCATCTTAGAAAATGACTCGATCTTACATTTCAAAATACATCAAGCCAACAGGGGCCAAATATTGGTCTAATAAATAGAGACAACACCTAACTAGATATGGGGATAGCCCTTTACTATCAATTCTCACCAGAAGACTCAAAGACCATAAAATGAGCAGGACATCACCAGCTAGACATGGTCATCTCCATAGACGACATCTTGCTGTCACTTGTGATCAGCACCCGACACCTGCCAACAAAGGCTCTTCCCAAATCAAGAACCCTTCCTTGCAAGACATTGATAATTGACAATCATCCAGATCAGTCTGGGACACTCTCCTTGTCTATGCCACTCTCCTTAGACTAGTTTGTAAACCTCCTTTTCCTGTTCACTTTTCTCTTGATGTTAAATGTTACCTTGTTTGATGTGGAATGTTTAATCTATAACATGTATATATTGATTAATTATACTACTATGTATAATTTGAAATATTGACTGACCTGTGGAGTGGTTTGAGCCTGTGTGCCCACGACTCTGACTACTGAATGAACTTGTAGTACTAAGGAGAATTGCCATCTTGGGAACTCCTTCATGGCTTTTATAATTGAAACAGCATCAATAAAAGACTGATCCTGTGAAAAGCCACAAATGTGTGTGGACCAGTTATGCCTTTGAGCTGCTCAAGACACACTGCTTAAAGGAACCAATAATAAGTTAGTTCAACTCTTTTATCTTATGAATGAGGAAACTGAGGTCCCAAATGAAAAGATTTGGGAAAATTCAGGTATTTAGAGACAAAACTTGGCCTTTTAAAATCTTAGAGTGTGCATGCTTTTAAAAAGTTTTCAAAATATTTTTCTGCTGATTTTTTAGATTTGGCTATTTCAATAAAGATATCTATTTGATATTTTATAAAGACTATAAGTTCCCAGTTTTGAATCTAGAAGAACTAAAAAAGAGATTAGCAATCTTTAATATTGAGGAAATGTCTACTTTGTAGTTCAGACTAGGAGATTTGGTAATACTGTCATTGTATTAGTTCGTTCCCACTCTGCTATAAAGGACTACCTGAGACTGGGTAATTTACAAAGAAAAGAGGTTTAATTTACTCACAGTTCCACAGACTCTACAGGATGCATGGCTGAGGAGGCCTGAGGAAACTTACAATCATGGCAGAAGGGCAAAGTAGAAGCAAGCACATCTTCACATGGTGGCAGGAGAGAGTGAAGGGGAAGGTGCCACCCACTTTACAACAACCAGATCTCATGAGAACTCACTAGCTTAAGAAAAGAAAGGGAGAAATCTGCCCCCATGATCCAATCACCTCCCACCAGGTCCCTCCCCCAACATTGGGGATTACAATTCAATATGAGATTTAGGTGGAACCCAGAGCCAAATCCATATCAGTCATTAACTAATAACATTTAGAGTGACAGAACAGGAACTAAAATTTACACATCAATTCTTTAGTCATAGAAACTATAAAATAACCATGAAAAGATTTGATAAACCACTAAATGTTTGTTCTATTTAAATTAGTTTTTTTATTTTGAAAAGAAAAAGGGGGTCTGAACTCTTTCTAAAAAGTGATTGTGAGAGCAGGTTGTAAAATGAATATAAAGGGCCAAGAGTAGAGAGGAAGGACTGTCTGCATTGCAGATGTAAGATGTTATCCCATGGGCTCTGTAAAGGTATGGGTAAGAACAGATCAGTAACACATTCTTCCCTACAGCTCCTATAATGCCTCATATACAACAATGCTCAATAAATATTTTCTGGAATAGGTAATTTTAGATTCTTTGAAAAAAATACTGTTCTTACATAAGCAGATGGAAAAAGAGGAAGCTTTGACTAAAACGCCAAGGTTGTCCAGGGTTGGAAAAGTTGAGAGTATCCCTCCTAGGTAGGAAAAGAAAAAAGCAGTAGAGACTCAAAGAAAATAACTTAATGCCAAGAAGAAAGTAGAATCTTTATTTTTAAAAAGTAGGGAAGTGAATATTGGGAAGGCCAAAAGGATAGAGACAGGAAAAGGAACATGAGAACAGATAGGGAATTTACATTTCCTACAATGAAATGCATCCTATTTCAATTGAAAAAAAAAATCACCATTTGAAAATTTATTTTGAAGAAATAACCCATGTATGTAGTTAAAACAAATCAAATAGCCCAAAAGAATATATAGGGAAAAGTAATTCTCTATCCCAACCCTGAAACCCAGTTCTTCCAGTTCACTTCCTCAGAGGAAACTACTATAATGAAGGAGCCCAGAGGAACTTCACCCCAAGATATAGCACCTAGGTATAATGAGTATTTTGAATTAAGAGCCCTCAAAGATCAACAGATTCTGCAAGAGACATTTCCCTTATCTGCATTAAGACTGGCCCTATCAAAGAGAACAATTGTTTTCCTTCCCCTCTGTATTAGTCCGTTCTCACACTGCTGTGAAGAAATACCAGAAACTGGGTAATTTATAAAGAAAAAAGGTTTCATTGACTTACAGTTCTGTATGGCTGGGGAGGCCTCAGGTAACTTACAATCATAGCAGAAGTCACTGTCACCAGTGTCCGTATGAAGAGATCACCAAACAGGCTTTGTGTGAGCAATAAAGCTTTTTAATCACCTGGGTGCAGGCAGGCTGAGTCCTAAAAGAGAGTCAGTGAAGGGAGATAGAGGTGGAGCCATTTTATAGGATTTGAGTAGGTAATGGAAAATTACAGTCAAAGGGGCTTGTTCGCTGGTGGGCAGGGGCCGGGGTCACAAGGTGCTCAGTGGGGGAGCTTCTGAGCCAGGAGAAGGAATTTCACAAGGTAATGTCATCAGTTAAGGCAGGAACTGACCACTTCCACTTCTTTTGTGATTCTTCAGTTGCTTCAGGCCATCTGGATGTATACCTGCAGGTCACAGGGAATATGATGGCTTAGCTTGGGCTCAGAGGCCTGACAGGCACCCCTTACAGGGCAGGGGAGAGAATGAGCGCCCACAGGGGAAATGCCAGATGCTTGTAAAACCATCAGATCTCATGATAACTCACTATCATGAGAACAGCATGGGGGAACCACTCCCATGATTCAATTACCTCTCAGCAGGTCCCTTCCAAGACACGTGGGGATTATGGGGATTACAATTCAAGATGAGATTTGGGTGAGGACACAGCCAAACCATATCACCCTCCTTGTTACCTCATTATATTGCAGAAAAGAAGACTGAGGAATGTAACCACACTTGAATGAACCCTTTCACATGCTAATGCTTATCTCTTAGGATCACTGAATAGGACCATTTACAAGTTAATTTCTATTCACTGCCTTGCATCCATTCATTCTCCCTAGTAATCATTTACTGCCCCTGGACAGAGTGACCTATATTCCCCATTTTCCCCCTCTCCCAACTCCTCTATGATGAAGCTAAAGTATTTGGGCCCTATTGGGTTATTTGGGTAGTCACTCTGTGATTCTCCCCCATGCATGTTAATAAATTTGTATGCATTTTCACCTATTAACTACCTTTTGTCAGTTTACTTTCAGTGAACTTTCAGAGGATAAAAGGGAATTTTCTTTACACACATACAGCAATCAGCTTCTATTAGGTGAGGAAACATTCCCAAAGTTGCATGGCACTTTGGCGAGAAAGCCAAGGTTTGAACTCATATACTATTCATGTTTCCCCACATCTCCTGATATTTTTCCAGTTTAATCTTAGATTTTCAGTGCATAAGAAATGAGTAAAATTGGAGTAATCATTAAGAAACCAAGCTTGGGAGTATTACCATTGTTTTGCTATTTTTAAGGCTTAATTCTATTTCCTAATAAAATATTAGGCTGAAATATAAAACAGATTTGTGAGTCTGTAGAAAAAAAATGGGCAATTAAAATTTGGAATATACCTGAGTTGACTGTAAATATAATAATTCCCAAATAATTATATTTTGTCTAATAAGTAAACATTTATTAAAACAGCGATTTCAAAGTATAAGATATATTGCTTTATAAGATGCCAAAATATTGATGAAATGATAGTTGAGTT
The DNA here is from genome assembly GCF_000001405.40 of Homo sapiens. Classification (NCBI taxonomy): domain Eukaryota; kingdom Metazoa; phylum Chordata; class Mammalia; order Primates; family Hominidae; genus Homo; species Homo sapiens. The sequence continues at coordinate 101,966,163 of NC_000023.11, forward strand.
GACTTAAGAACAGATAAATGACAATATTAAAAAATACTGTTAAAAGTCTTCTTGTTAACATGACAGTGTTAAAGTCTCTATTGCAGCACTAGTGGGCCCTGTTCTATTCTTACTGGGGTAATACAGCTACAGTTAATGCCAGTTGAATTATTAAAGAATCAGGAACTGTTAGACCTGTGTGTATTAAGCAGTGAGAGCCAGGAAGTGAAGTCCAGTACAGATGTATTCTCTTCCTCTGAGCCAGGCTTGGAAAATGCTACTTAATAAAAAGCACAGATTTCCTGATGAAGCCTTGAGAAATAAAAAGGGAAACTTTAGATAGAAATGTTCATACTCTCTCTGGAGCATATGAAATATTTTACTGTATGTGTTCTAAAAATATAGTTTTGGGTATAAACTGTTAAAGCTGCTTCAAAGTTATCCTCTAACAGGTGTCTCTGGAGCAGATGTGAGAGGGGAGGTATGGAAAGCATGGATTTACAGTGATAACTAGTATGATTGTGCTTGCTTCCCTCTTCAGACAATTTCCTGAGCCTCATATTTTCTTCTCTGTCTTAGGTTTATTCCTAGACTAGGTCTTGACACCCAGAGGGTGTGCATCTACCTTCCTCCTATTTCTCAACCTATGACATACTCTCATACTTACAGATGACTCAAAACTTGGCACAGCAACATGAAAGATGGCCTGATCAAAAATCAAACTGACCTTGAGTCTGGTATGCTAGATTTAAAGCAACTAGACAAGATTAAAAGTGAAGATCTGAATTTGGATTCTTTAAAAAGAATTATTGCAATATGGGCAAGCTAAGAAAATTCTCACCAAGCAGCAGCACCTGTGAGCAAAATCACCAGCAGCACTGGAGATTTTAATTGACTTTATTTGCAATATGACCTTAGATTAGTATGAAGTTTTGCTGAAGAAGGAAATGTGCCCAAGGGCTAAAAGAAGGACAGTGTCCAGATCCAGGAGGATTTGATGACATTACATCTGTACTGTTATACTGCATTCAGGACACCGTAATTTTTAGGTGTCATGACTAAGAATGGTAAGGAACCCTTGGTTAGGTACATTTCTGTGGCTGTCATTCTCCCTTCTACATCTAACTCCCCTTCCTCTCACCTGCCACACTTTTGCCTCTCTCTCTATCATTTTTCTTCCTTCCCCTCTACTCCCTTTTCTGAAAGAGTGTAACTGCCCCTCAGTTAATACCACTGAAGGAGCTTTTTGGGTCCTGAGATGTAACTTCTCTTCCCATAAGGAACCCATCTAGCCCAAGCAGATAGTCATGTTGGATGTAAGGCCCTTCCTTTTCCCAGATTGAAACAGAGGGTAGACAGGAGCATCTTGGGAGCAGAGGAGTGTTGGGAGTCAGAGAGATAAAAACCAGAGCTTCATGGTAAGGGCCTGCCTTGGAGCTGCAATGCCAGGGGCTTCATGATTTCTTGCATTGTAGACAGTGGACTGCAAAAGTATAAGGGTGGCCTTTGATATGTGGTAGTGGTTGTTTTTCTGTGGGCAAGCCAGGATCCTCCCTTCGATGCCAGTGAATAGGCTGAGACAGGAGAATTGTTATTAACAACAATAACACTTAATATTTACAGAGTCATTACCACATGCCAGTGATTCCCATATATTATCTGATTTAATCTTTATAATAGCTCAGTGAAGTGATTTTAATGTTTCTATTTTATAGAACAGAATTTCAGAAAGGTTATATAAACTGCAAAAAAATCATACAATTAGCTGGTAGCAGAAGATGGACTAGATCCCACAACTGTCAGGTGACAGAGATTCTGCTCTTAACCATTACATTATTCAACCTAATTATTAATTCAATATAATAGAATTATCCTGGGGTTCCCTAAAGAGGTTCTATCGATGTTAATTTCTTATTTATTTATTCATTTATTTATTTTGAGATGGAGTCTCACTCTGTCTCCCAGTCTGGAATGCAGTGGTGTGATCTCGGCTCACTGCAAGTTCTGCCTCCCGGGTTCACGCCATTCTCCTACCTCAGCCTCCCAAGTAGCTGGGACCACAGGCGCCCGCCACCACGCCCGGATAATTTTCTCTATTTTTTAGTAGAGACGGGGTTTCACCGTGTTAGCCAGGATGGTCTCGATCTCCTGACCTCGTGATCTGCCCGCCTCGGCCTCCCAAAGTGCTGGGATTGCAAGCGTGAGCCACCACGCCTGGCCTATCAATGTTAATTTCTGAATCAGATAACTTTCCTGCAGTTGGGAAAGATGCTAACTTTTGGGAAATCTGGGTGAAGTACATATGAGAATTCTCTGTATTATTTTTGCAATTTTTGTAAGAAATTAATCAAAATTAAAGTTAAAAAATTAAAATTGAAAATAAAAAATGTGATTACAAGACGGCTTTGGAAGCTGAATGGTTATAGAAAGCTTGGGAAAGAATAGCATGAGACTTTGTCAAGTCTCTGGATTTCAATCTTTCCTTATCAATTACAGGATGGGCACCATGAAAGGGATGTGGCCTCTGAAGTCAGGTGTGGGTCCAAATCCTTGCTCCAGTATCTAGCAGCTGTGTGACTTTGAGCAAATTCTCTAATCCTTCATTGTCTTATGTTAAAAGGGTAATAAAATACCTATCTGCTACTATATTTTATTTAGATTAATGACTTTACTATTATCTTAAAAATAAAAGATGCTCATTATTAAAATATTTAAGAAAGAAGAAAAGTATAATGTTTTTTAATCACCCAAAATGTCACCATTCTGTTATTTGGAAGAGTAAATTTTTAAAAATATGTAAAATAGCCAACATATATATTTATGTTTATAAATTTTCATGTTTATCATTATATAAAACATAATATGACATCAATTGTTAATGTATCAATGACATCAATTGTTAATGTATCATTTCTATTTACCTTTTAGAAAAAAAAATCTACCAGTTATTCTATAATGTGCCATGACTGTAGGCTGCATCAGGATTTTAGAAATGTTAAATTTTGGAATTATGCATTCTGAAATCAATAAAATACTTTATTATGCAATATTTACTTCATTCTAAAAAGAACTTTTTCACATTTCAATGTCTTAAATATAAGATATATATTACAATCAATATATAAATTCAGTGTATTATTTCTTGTACTAGCCTTAGCCCACATGCAACCCATCTGAATCAAGGAAATATGCATTAAATAGGCATTAAATTTATATAAAAAGTTGCAAAGATATACAACAGAATGTTATCAGTCATTAAGTACAAGATAAAGATTATTTTTAAAACTTTTTTCTTTTATTTCTATTTAAAATTTTTTTACAATGGGCTTTTTAAAAAGCTGAGTAAGGCAGTATAATGAGTCCCCAAATTTGTTGTACATTATTCAGAAGCCAAGCAGGTATATTCAACTTGAGGTAGCCATAGAACTTTTATTCACTGTCCTTCCAAAGACTGGGGATCTTGGACATAGCTCCTTGTAATGGTGAACAGGAGTAGTCCTCAGTAAACTGCTCTCCCACTAGCTGCTTCATTTTAACCTCCTTCTAATTCCAAATCTATAGTTAAATTACAACATGGAAGAAGGATGCAAATAGGCTTTATTTCAATGCCAATTCTGATTGATTGGTAGTGGCTCCTAAAGCCCCCACTTGGCAAGGATTATGAGGCCAAGTTGGAGTTCAGTAAAAAAGGGTGCCTTGTGATTAGTCATGTTTGCCAGGAAGCATGGTAGCACAATGTCTGAGATTTTCTCAGCCTCCTTGTTCTTTTATCTTTAAGCATAGCGCTTACTTTTTTCTATCAGCAACGTTAAAAATCTTAACCAGCCTAAAGGCTATACTGAATTCCTGTATTATTGTTATTTATGCTAAATTAAATCTTTCCTAGAAAAGTCATAATTCAAATTTGAAAGACTAAAGAATGGCATAGCTTGGCATTTGATTTAGAGATATGGTCTCACTCTCTTGCCAGACTGGACTCAAACTCCTTGGCTCAAGTGATCCTTTCACCTCCCAAAGTACAGGGGTTATAGGCGTGAGCCACCGTGCCTGGCTAAAATTTCAAATAAATTGAATTATACAACATCAATTTTGTATATATATGGCTGGCTACTTTTACTCAGAATAATGCTTTTGAGATATATCCAATATCTGAATTCGATATATATAAAATATTAATTGCAATATTAGCAGTTAGTGAAATATTAATAGCAATATTAGCAGTTAATTCTTTTCCATTTCTGAGCAGTATTTCATTATATGAATAAACTGTAGTTGGCTTGTTCATTCTACTGATTACTGATATCTAGGCTGTTTTCAGCTTTTGGCTAGCTATTATGAATGAAATCTGCTATGAACACTCTTGTACAAAGCTTTCTGTGGACATATGTTTTCATTTCTCTTTGATAAATACCTAGGATTGAATTACCGGGTCCTAAAGTACATTCATGTTTAAAATTTTAAAAAAATTGGTAGCTTTACACCATTCTAATTAATGTAGTGCTCAAAACAAAAACAAAGACATTCATTGTGCTTGGAGAGGTAAAGAGAAAGGCATAGCTTGAAATAGCATGAATTTAAAAAGGGCTCAGGGGGCAGGCACCGTGACTCATGCTTGTAATCCCAGCACTTTGGTAGGCTGAAGCAGGAGGATCACTTGAGCCCAGGAGTTTGAGATAAGGCTGGGCAACATAGTGAGACCCTGTCTCTACTAAAAACAAACTATCAAATGGCCTGAGGGATGGAGAGTGATTGCAAATAGACACGGAATTTCTTTTTGGGTGATGGAAATTTTCTAGAATTAGATATTGAAGATGGTTGCACAACTATGTGAACATACTAAATATCAGTGAATGGTATATCTTAAAATGGTGAATTTTATGATACATGAATTATATTTCAATAAAGCTGATATATGCAGGACACGGTGGCTCACATCTTTAATCCCAGCACTTTGGGAGGATGAGGTGGGGGGGATCACTTGACGACAGAAGTTCGAGACCAGCCTGGCCAACATGGTGAAACCTTGCCTCTGCTAAAAATACAAAAATTAGCCAGGTGTGGTGGTGTGCGCCTGTAATCCCAGCTACTCGGAAGGCTGAGGCATGAGCATCGCATGAACCCAGGATCCAGAGGTTTCAGTGACCCTGCACCACTGCACTCCAGCCTGGGTGGCAGAGCAAGACTCTGTCTCAAAAAATAATAATAAAGTTGATATTAAAAAGTGCCACTGTATAGACGGACTAATAGGTAATCTTTTGTGGGTCACTCAGTTCTGCATTCTTGTCTGGTTTTCTTACTCCTCCTCTTCCTGGAGTTCATTTTGGTTCTCATCTACAGTGGTTAATTGTCACCGGGATCGTACAATGTGAGCAAGGACAGAGAAGTCATAGCTTTTCTCTGATGCCACTCCAGACCACCTGAAGTATGTTCAAGGAAATAACAGTTACTCATCTGTGCAGTAGCAAGTGTAAGTAATATTATTTTGAAAGTAATATTGTTTTGAAAGTAAAAAGGAGTATATGTATATCAAAACATCACATTATACACCTTAAACATATACAATTTTTAATTGTCAATTATAATTGACAAAAATTTTCACAACAAAGCTGGAAAAATAATAAAAAATAAAATGGAAAAGGTGTCTGTTTTGAAATTTTCCAAACATCTTATATTCACCCAAGCCATCATTATTATTATTGCTATTGTATTAATTTTTTTTTTTTTTTGAGACGTGGTCTTGCTCTGTCACCCAGGCTGGAGTTCAGTGGCACCATCTTGGCTCATTGCCGGCTCTGCCTCCCGGGTTCACGCCATTCTCCTGCCTCAGCCTCCCGAGTAGCTGGGACTACAGGCGCCTGCCACCACGCCTGGCTAATTTTTTGTATTTTTTAGTAGAGACAGGGTTTCACTGTGTTAGCCAGGATGGTCTCGATCTCCTGACCTCGTGATCCGCCTGCCTCGGCCTCCCAAAGTGCTGGGATTACAGGCGTAAGCCACCGCGCCTGGCCTGTATTAATATTTTAGGTAAGATTTGTGTTTGCAGTATATACGAAAAGTTTTTATTTTAATTCTGTAGTCATTACTTCAAACAAAAATATCTGTGGTCATTACTTTTTTTCTGAAAAAAAAAAAAAAAAAAAAAAAAAGGACACGACCTAAATGCTTCAGTCAAAAAATAATGGCTAAGTAAGCTATATTTCCTAAGTCAGCTATACATGCACTTAGTATGCAGCTGTTAAATATTATATTCATGAAGAGTGTACAGTAGCATACAAAATAGCTAAATTGTTGTGTTTTGTTTTAATTTTTAATTTATGGGGGTACATAGTAGATGAATATATTTGTGGGCTACAGATATCTAAGTTGTTAAGTAAAAATATAGGAATTTTTTTTTTCTTTTTCAACTTTTGTTTTAGGTTCAAGGGGTACGTGTGTAAGTTTCTTACATGGGTAAATTGTGTGTTGCTGGAGTTTGGTATACAAATGATTTCATCACCCAGGTAGTGAGCATAATATGTGATAAGCAATTTTTTAACACCAACTCTCACCTTCCTCCTATCCTCCACCCTCCACCACAAGACCCTGGTGTTTTTTGTTCCCCTCTTTGTGTCCATGTGTACTCAGTGTTTAGCTCCCACTTATAAGTGAGAAAATGTGATATGTGGTTTTCAGTTCTTGTGTTAATTTGCTTAGGTTAATGGCCTCAGGCTCCATCCATGTTGCTGCAAAGGACATGTTTCATTCTTTTTTATGGCTGTGTAGTATTCCGTGGTGTATGTGTACCACATTTCCTTTATCCAGTCCACCATTAATGGGCATCTAGGTTGATCCCATGTCTTTGTTATGGTGAATAATGATGCAATGAACATAGGAGTGCATGTGTCTTTTTGGTAGAATGATTTATATTCCTTTTGGTATAGATCCAACAATGGGATTGCTGGGTCCCCATGCATACCAAACAGAATGGTAGTTCTGTTTTAAGTTCTTTGAGAAATCTCCAAACTCTTTTACACAGTGGCTGAACTAATTTACATTCTTACCAGCAGTGTAAGCATGCCCTTTTCTCTGCAACCTCACCAACATCTGTTATTTTCTTCTTATTAATAGCCATTCTGACTGATGTGAGATGATATCTCATTGTAGTTTTGATTTGCATTTCTGATGAGTGATGTTGAACATTTTTTCAAATGTTTGTTGGCCACAAGTATGTGTTCTTTTGAGAAGCATCTGATCAAGTCCTTTGCTCATAATTTTTTTTTAATAGGGGTGTTTGCTTTTTGCTTGTTAATTTAAATTCCTTTTAGATTCTGGATATTTGACCTTTGTTGGATGCATCATTTGTAAATATTTTCTCCCATTCCATAGGTTGTCTCTTTACACTGTTAATAGTTTATTTGCTGTGCAAAAGCTGTTCAGTTTAATTGGATCCCTTTTGTCAATTTTTGCTTTTGTTGTAATTGCTTTTGGCATCTTCATCATGGAATCTTTGCCTGTTCCCATGTCCAGAATGGTATTGCCTAGGTGGTCTTCCAGGGCTTTTATAAATTGGGGTTTTACATTTAAGTATTTAATCAACTTTGAGTTGATTTTTGTATGGTGTAAGAAAGGGGTCCAGTTTCAATCTTCTGCATATGGCTAGCCAGTTATCCCAGCACCATTTACTGAATAGGGACTGCTTTCCCCATTGACTGTTATTGTCATCTTTGTTGAAGATGAGATGACTGTATGTGTGCAGCTTTATTTCTGGGTTCTCTAACATATTCCTTTGGTTTATGTATCTGTTTTTATACCAATACCATGCTGCTTTGGCTACCATGGCCTTATAGTATTGCTTGCAGTCAGGTAGTGTGATGCCTCTGGCTTTGTTGTTATCACTTAGGATTTTTTCAGCTATTCAGGTTCCTTTTTGGTCCCATATGAATTTTAGAATAGTTTTTTCTAATTCTGTGAAGAATATCATTTGGTAGTTTTTGACAATAATATCAATGAACCTCTAAATTGCTTTGGGCAGTATGGCCGTTTTAACAGTTCTGATTCTTCCTTTCCCTGAGCATGGAATGTTTTTCCATTTGTTTGTGTAGTCTCCGATTTCTCTCAGCAGTGTTTTGTAATTCTTGTTGTAGAGACCTTTCACCTCCCTGGTTATTTGTATTACTAGATATTTTGTTCTTTTTTGGCTATTGTGAATGGTATCATGTTCTTGATTTGGCTCTCAGCCTGGATGTTATTAGTGTATAGAAATGCTACTAGTTTTTGTACTTTAATTTTGTATCCTGAAACATTACTTAAGCTTTGTTTTAATCAGTTATAGTAGCCCTGGGGCAGTGACTATGGAGTTTTCTAGGTATAGAATAATATTGTCTGTGAATAGAGATAGTTTGACTTTCTCTGTTCCTATTCGGATACCATTCATTTCTTTCTCTTGTCTGATTTCTCTGGCTAGCACTTCCAGTATTATGTTGAATAGGAGTACTGAGGGTGGATATCCTTGTCCTGTTCTGGTTCTCAAGGGAAATGATTTCAGCTTTTTCCTGTTCAGTATGATGTTGGCTGTGGGTTTCTCATAGATAGTTCTTATTATTTTGAGGTATGTTCCTTTGATGTACAGTGGGTTGAGGATTTTTAACATGAAGTGATGTTGAATTCTATCAAAAGCCCTTTCTGTGTCTACTGAGATGATCATGTGGTTTTTGTTTTTAGTTCTGTTTATGTGATGAGCTACATTTATTAATTTGCATATGTTGAAGCAACCTTGCATCCCAGGAATAAAGCCTACTTGATCATGGCATATTAGCTGGTTGATGTGCTAATGGATTTTGGTTTGCTAAGATGTTGTTGAGGATTTTTGCTTCTATGTTCATTAGGTATTCTGGCCTGAAGTTTTCTTTTTTGTTGTGTCTGTGCCAGGTTTTGGTGTCAGAATGATGCTGGCCTACTCAGGAAGCTGAGGTGGTAGGATCACTTGAGCACAGGAGGTTGAGGCAGCAGTGAGCTGTGATCACATCACTGCACTCCAGCCTGGACAACACAATGAGACACTGTCTCAAAAAAAAATAATAATGCTGGCTTCATAGAATGAGTTAGGGAAGAGTCTCTCCTCCTTGATTTTTTGAATCATTTCAGTAGGCTTAACACAAGCTCTTCACTATATTTCTGGTAAAATTTGGCTGTGAATCTGTCTAGTCTAGGGCTTTTTCTGGCTAGTAGGTTTTTATTACCAATTTAATTTCAGAACTCATTATTCATCTGTTCAGGATTTCAACTTGTTCCTGGTTCAATCTTGTCAGGTTGTATGTTTCCAGGAATTTATTCATTTCTTCTGTTTCTAGCTTGTGTGCATAGAGGTGTTGTTAATAGTTTCTGAGGTTTTTTTTTTTTGGATATCTGTGGGGTCATAGATAATGTCATCTATGTCATTTCTGATTGTGTTTATTTGGATCTTCTCTCTTTTTTCTTTAATAATCTAGCGGCTATTAATCTTATTTTTTTCATAAAACCTACTTTTGGTTTTGTTGGTCTTTTGTATGGATTTTCTCATCTCAATTTCATTCAGTTCAGCTCTGATTTTTAGTACTAAACTTCCTCTTAACACTGCTTTAGTTGTGTCCCAGAGATTCTGATATGCTGAATCTTTGTTTTCATTAGATTCAAAGAATTTTTTATTTCTGTCATAATTTCATTCTTTACCCAAAAGCCATTCAGGAGCAGGTTGTTTCATTTCCATATAATTGTATAATTTTGAGAGATCTGCTCGGGATTTATTTCTATTTTTATTGCATTGTGGTCCAACAGTGTAGTTGGTATGATTTTGATTTTTTAAAATTCGTTGAGAATTGGTTTATGGAAGAGTGTGTGGCCATTTGTGTAGATAAGCAGAATGTATATTCTATTATTGCTGGGTGGGATGTTCTGTAGATGTCTTTTAGGTCCATTTGGTCAAGTGTCAAGTTTAGGTCCTGGATATGTTTGCTAGTTCTCTGCTTCAATAATCTAACAAGCTCAGTGAGGTCTTGAAGTCTCCAACTATTATTGTGTGGTTACTTAAGTCACCTCCTAGGTCTCTAAGAACTTACTTTACGAATCTATGTGCTCTAGTGTTAGGCACATATATATTTAGGATAGTTAAGTCCTCTTATTGAATTGAATGCTTTATCATTTATGTGATGTCTTTGTCTTTTTGATCATTGGTTGTTTAAAGTCTTCTTTGTCTGAAATAAGAATAGCAATCCCCCTCTTTTTTGTTTTCTGTTTTCTTGGTAGATCTTTCTCCATCCCTTTACTTTGAACCTATGGGTGTCATTGCATATACGATGGGTCTCTTGGAGACAGCATATAGTTGGATCTTGCTTCTTTATCCAACTTGCCACTCCTTATCTTTTAAGTGGGACATTTAACCATTTATTTTCACGTTAATAATCACATTTGTGGATTTGATCATGTCATCGTGTTGTTAGCTGGTTGTTATGAGACTTGATTGTATAGTTCCTTTACAATGTCAATGACCTATGTACTTAAGTATGTTTTTGTGGTGACCTGTACTGGTCTTTTGTTTTAATGTTCACAGTGCATTAGAGAACTCATGTAAGGCAAGTCTGGTGGTAATTAATTCCCTTAGTGTTTTCTTGTCCGGGCTGGATTTTATTTCTCCTTCACTTATGAAGCTTAGTTTGGCTAGATATAAAACTATTAGTTGGACTTTCTTTTCTTTAATAATGCTGAATGTAGGGCTGCAATCTTTTCTGGCTTGTAAAGTTTCTGGTAAAGGTCGACTCTTTGCCCAGTGGGGTTCCCTTTGTATGTGATGTGCCCCTGTTCTCTGACTGCCTTTGATATTTCGTGTTGTGTTGACTTTGGTGAATCTAGTGACTATGTTTCTTGGGGTTGTTTGTCTTGTATAGTGTCTCCCAGGGATTCTCTGAATTCCCTGAATTTGCATATCAACCTGTCTTGCAAGGCTGGGGAAATTTTTTGGACAATATTCTCAGATATATTTTCCTTGTTGTTTGCTCTCTCTCCCTCTCTTTCAGGGACTCCAATGAATCACAGGTTTGACAGGTTTGGTCTCTATACATAATCCCATATTTCCAGCAGGTTTTGTTCATTTTTTAAATTTTCCTGCCTTCATTTTTTCTGAGTGAGTTGTCCTCAAGATCTAACATTCTTTCCTTGGTTTGGTCTATTTTGTTAGTAATGCTTCCTATTGCATTCCAAGATCTAACATTCTTTCTTTGGTTTGGTCTATTTTGTTAGTAATGCTTCCTATTGCATTCCAAAATTCCTGTGTTGAAGTTTTCATTTCCAGAAGTTCAGTTTGGCTCTTTCTTAAAATGGCCATGCTATCTTTCAACTCTTGGACCATTGTACTGTGTTCCTTGGATTGGGTTTTAACCTTCTCCTCTTTGTTGACGAGCTTCCTTGCCACCCAGATTCTGAATTCTATCTGTCATTTTAGCCATTTCAGTCTGGTTGAGAACCATTCTTAGAAATCTAGTGTGGTCATTTGAAGGTAAGAAGGCACTCTGGCTTTTAGAGTTGCCAGAGTTCTTGCTCTGGTTCTTTCTCATCTTTGTGGGCTAATGTTCCTTTGATCTTTGAAGTTGCTACCTTTTGGATAGACTTTTTGCTTTTATATTATTTGGTGCCCTTGAGGGGTTGACTGTGGAATAAGTTGTGTTTAGTCAATTGGCTTCATTTCTGGGTCCATTGCCAATGCCTTCTTTTCAAAGATCTGTTCAGAGTATTCCAGTCTACTTGATGGTCTGATCTCTTGGTGGGATAAGCTCTTCCTGGATGCAACTAGTTTTCCACCTTGGCTCTTCCTCCTGCATTGTTTCTATCACATGATCCTAATTGTGTAGTTTAAACAAATTAGAATACAACTTTAACATATGCCAAAATGTTAATAGTGCCTATCTTTGGGCAATTATATATTTTTACTTCCTGAATTTTCTAAGTTAACTAGATTTTACTTAATTTTTTTTTATTTCCATAGGTTTTTGGGAACAGGTTGTATTTGGTTACATGAGTAAGTCCTTTAGTGGTGAGCCCATCTAAATTCAAACATTATTGAAAAAGAAACTTCTTTTCTATTTTGCTTCTTAGGGAAAGGAAGCACCAGGAGATGGAGTTCTTTTCTACAATATGGTAGCATCCCAAATGTCGCTATTCATGTTCTGATGGTTTCTAGCTTTTGTCCCAATTGCAAATCTAATGGAAACCCTAAATGACTCTGTGGCACATGAATAAATAAGAATATCTTATAGTAAGCCAACCACAAAACCTAGATAATTTAAAAGTCTTGATAAATACCATGTATGCGTCATATATTTCACAACAACTTCTGTTTTGGAAAATATAATAATTGCAGTTTAGTTTAAGTTTTTTACAAAATAGTACTAGTTTCACTTTGTTTTTTTTTTCTGAGATGGAGTCTCGCTCTGTCCCCCAGGCTGGAGTGCAGTGGTGCAATCTTGGCTCACTACAAGCTCCGCCTCCCGGGTTCACGACATTCTCCTTCCTCAGCCTCCCGAGTAGCTGGGACTATAGGCACCCGCCACCACGCCCAGCTAATTTTTTGTATTTTTCTTTTTTTTTTAGTAGAGACGTGGTTTTACCATGTTAGCCAGGATGGTCTCGATCTCCTGACCTTGTGATCTGCCTGCCTCAGCCTCCCAAAGTGCTGGGATTACAGACGTGAGCCACCGTGCCTGGCCTAGTTTCACTTTTATAATCAAATGTGTTCAGGGTTGTTGGAAAATGGGAACTTTTGTATATTGGGGTGGGTCACCTAGGGTGTGTCTGCCACAACTAGGAATTCTTCTTCTAGCTATATATTGCAGAAAAATATCACACATGTGCACAAGCACACATTTACATGGCTATTAACTGCAGAAATATTTGTTTTATCAAAAATTTGGAAACTATTAAATGTCCCTCAGTAGGGGAATGGATAAATAATTTGTATATAGTCATAGCATGGAATACTTATTGCATTTAACACTGATGATCCATATACTGTATGAATCAATACGCCTACACTATAAATACCTAAACAAAAAGAGGTAGCAATATTTGTTCTCTGGCATTTTTAGCTATACATGCACCTTAAGGATGTGAACAAACTGAGAAAATGCCTGTATTGAGGGCTGATGGGGGAGTATTATCAGTGTTGTCCTAATTACAAATCTAATTGATATCCTAATGACTCTCTGGCACATGAATAAATAAGAATATCTTACAGTAAGACAACCACAAAGCCTAGATAATTTAAAAGTCTTGATAAAGTCCATATATGTGCCATATATTTCACACGAACTTCGTGGCAAGTAAACTTATTGAGTTATCAGTGTTTTGGCCATCCACTCTTCACTCCAAGGAGGATTTCATGAGAACCACTTGGAAAACTTTACCTATATCTCTGCAGTTTGAGTGCTAAAAGGAATCAGTATTTGAGTCCCACTTGTGGAAGACTGAGGGAACAAATTGTGACTAAAGTAGCTCTGGCCTGGTGGCAAAATTATAATATGGCTGCGTTTAAAACAAACTGCACTTTCACTGAAAGTATGAGAAGTGTGTGAGTATTCCTGTGTAACAAGTGTCATTCCAACAGAAGGGGGCTATTCTGCGCTAACATTACAATGGACCCCATACAAGAGTGCCCAGAAAGCATTAAGATCCCATCAGAAAGACCATTAGAAGCATTGAAACTGAGGGGGACCTCAAAAGTAATAGCTAAAGGGGGCATTGTCCATAGTAAGATGTTACCAGTAAGGGATCATGAAGGAACCTGCTTAAGCACCCTCTGAGAGAAGGAGTTGCCAATTTTTTATCTGCTGTGTTGAGGGTCCTGATTTCAGATGGCAACTATACCAGTTGCTAAGTCATCTTAACTTTTTTTCTTCCTTTCTGCTCTATATTCCTATAGGTGCTGAAAGGAGTATTTAGTGTGCAGGATAAAGGGTGGGGAAAGAAAAGAGTGAAGATGACTATAGGCTTCTTCACCTGAGGCAGGCCAGAACTAAGGAAAGGGGAGACCTTCATCAAAGGGTACAAAATTTCAGTCAGACACAGGGAATAAGAGATAAAAGTTTTGAATTAAGTAAAGATTCAAGTTTTGATATTACATCATGTAAACTTTCAATGACAGAAACTGAACATATCTCACATGTGAAAGAAATCCCCAAAGCTGTGAGATCTTCCCAAGATATCCTAAGAGATGGGAAAAAATAATTCCTTCAAGTAGATTTAAAAGATCAGTGGGAAAAAGAATAAAGCAGCTTTCTACTTCTGACCTATAAAATCAAATTCATTCAATAAGCTTACTTGCCACTAATAGTGTTGGATCAGAATTCTTACCAAAGATTTTCCAGTTTTCACCTAAGTGGGTCTCCCATTGTTTGCAACATAGGCCTTACCAGTCTTCACAGGGATGCACCATGAGCATCACATAGCCTTTCCATCCAACTGTCCTTGCTCCTGCCCATCTTGTTGTCAAAAAAGGGTGCTTTTCGGAGCATCCTCAAGACAATTCTAAGATCAAAGGGGACACCTAGACATTTGGAAAGGTGGTGAAATGGAGCCCTAAACCTTGGATATTCAATTGCACACAGTCAAGCCCCTTAATCTGGGGCAGTGGAGAGTGTATACTCTGAACACACCAGCTCAGGCTGGTTTCTGTCTCCTACAAGCAGTTGGCTTAATTAATTTATCCAATGAATCCATTTGTCAGTCTTTGATGGGAATATGAAGGAGGCTTTATGGAAAAGTCAATTTGTTCAGTTGGCTTCAATATTCTAGATAGAAAGCCCACATCACTTATTAACTTGTTACAAGCAAGTTGCATTAACAGAGTCTGTAGAACGCAAAAGTCTATTTTATTAAATCTTTTTTTAGTTATTCATAATTATTTATTATCAGCTTGCTTTGCATCAGGGACTCCTGTAGGCATGGAAGATATAGCAGTGAATAATACAGATAAAATGACTGTCCTTCTGGAATCTATGTTATTGTAGATGGAGATGGGGAAAAGACAACAGAAAATTAAGATAGTAAATATAAAGAAAGTATACAATGCAAAATAATGAGATATGTTATGATGAAAACAACTGCAGAAAAATAAGGTCATGGGATATATATAATAGGAATGTGTGCTTGGGGAATGGTACAACAGTTTAGACCCCTCGAGGAGCATTGGCAGCAATGACATCAATCAGTGTTAGCAGCTGGAACTGTGGGGAACTTGGTGGAGGAAACTTCCACTTGCCAGAAGTGGTGAGCACTTCCAGATCCTAGCAGCAAAGAATGGTAACAACTCCTTTATCTCTAGGAAACATCTACTTCTCCCCTTTAACACCTTTGTAACACCCTTGTAACCAATTCTCTGCATTAAATCCCTCTCTGCCTAAAATACTTAGAGTGATTTACGTTTCTGAAACAGAACTTCACTGGTAATACCTTGGAAGAGCAAAGATCCTCCTAGCCTTTAGAAGTAGATAAAATCAGGGTTCTCTTTTTCTGTCTCTTATATTTGCCACCTCTGTAGGGTGGCCTCACTTTTTATCTCTAAAGAAACACTGCTTTCATGAAATAGTCCTTAAATCTGGTAATTAGCAGTAGTGTGTACTGGTTAAGAATATGTACTCTTGAATCAAACTGCCTTGATTCAAATCCTGGCTCTACCAGGAGCTGTATGACCTCAGGCAAGTTGTTGAATCTCTTTTGCCACAGATTCTTCATCTGCAAAATGGGAATATTAATGATTCTACTTCATAGGAGTTTGTGAGAATACATTAGATTCTGTATATAAAGTTCTTAGAATAATCTATGGCACATAGCACGTATAAAAGTGGCTGGGAAAAAGAATTTGCTTTTTCTTTTAATAGAAATTGAAAATTTTTCCATGTTAATGGATTGGAAGATGTAATATTGTTAAGATGGCAATACTACTCAAACTGATCTACAGATTTATCACAATCTTGGTCAACATCACAGCTGATTATTTTGTAAGAATTGACAAGGTAGTCCTAAAATTCACATGGAAATACAAAGGGACCCAGAACAGCCAAAGCAGTATTGAAAAAAAAAAAAAAGAAGTTGAAGGATTCACACTTCCTGATTTTGAAGCTTACTACAAACCTACAGTAATAAAGGATTTGTCGTACTAGTAGAAGGATAGACATATAGCTCAATATGTACTTACATTTGTGGTCAATTAATTTTCAACAAGGGTGTGTAGACTGTTAAATGGAAAAGAATAGTTTTTTCAACAAATGGTGCTTGGACAACTGGATGTCCACATGCTAAAGAATGAAGTTGAACCCCTACCACACATCATATGCAAAAATTAACTCAAAATAAATAATGACCTAAATGTAAGAGCTACAACTATAAAACTCTTAGAAGAAAGTGTAAGGGCAAATATTCATTAGCTTGAGTTAGGCGATGCTTTCTTAGTTATGACACTTAAAGCACAAAATCAAAAGAAAAATAGTTAAAATGAACATTGAAATTAAAGTATTTTGTGCTGCATAGGACACTATCAAGTAAATAAAAAGATAACCTACAGAATAGGAGAAAATTTTTGCAAATCATATATCTGATAAGGGATAAGCAACTACAATGTATGAAGACCCCATAATTCAACAATAGAAAGACAAATAACTCGTTTTTAAATTGGACAAAGGGTTTGCTCCAAAAACATGTACAAATGACCCTTGAGCATATAAAAAGATGCTCATCATAAGTCATCAAGTAAATTCAAATAAAAACCACAATCAGATAATCACTTCCTATCTACTGGAATGACTGTAATAAAAATATAGACAATAACAAGTATAAGCAAGGATATGGATGAATTGAAACCCTTATATACTGCTACTGGAAATATAAATTAGTACAGTCATTTTGAAAAATATTTTGTCAGTTCCTCAAAATGCTAAATCTAGAGTTACCTTCAGTACTTAAACTTTGCCTGGGAGAATAAATAACACTGCTGGCTTGCCTCTTTCAGCAAGTTCTTCCTAATGCATTTCTTAAATTAAGCAATGTGTGTGGTAGCTTGTCTCTGAGCAGGAGGATTCAATGGAAATACAAACGTTTGCACACAAACAGAACACTTATACATGAAAGTTTATAATGGCTTTATTTATAATTTCCCCAAATTGGAAATAACTCAAATGTCCATCAACTCATGAATGGCTAAACAAACTATGATATGTTTATACAATGGAATGTTATTCTTCAATAAAAACTTGTCTTCCATGAATACTCACTGCTCTCTGCCCTTTTCTAGGTTTCCCTGAAGGCTCCAGAAGCCCCAGCATGTGAGGACCGTGGCTTAGATGAATGGTTCCCAAATATGAAAAGTCTTGCCATGTCAGAATCATCTGGGATCCTTGGCGGGATACATATTCCTGTGAACAACCCTCAGAGAATACAAATGGGTTTGTGATGAGGCCTAGGAATCAGATTTTAATAGGCTCCACAGGGTTGAGGACTCCTCTAATTCTGTCATGCAGGTTCTGTTAGAAAAAAATGCAGTGGACTGGCTTTTATCATGACAGTAGGTACTCAAAGGCACCAAGGACAGAGGGTTTTCTGATTTGAATCAAGTGAACAGAAAGATTGTTATGTATATCTGCAGTTTACCTGTATACTTTGCTATACCACTTATGAAGTCATTCTAGATTTATTTTTCACACAGATGAGGAAAGTGATGCAAGTGTTATGCAGCAAGTCAGGAACCTCAGAAAGACTTGAACTCAACACTTGACTCCCTGTCCAGGGATAAGCCACCACACCCATTGCTTAATTTAAATGATGCATTAGAAAGAACTTGCTGAAAGGGGCAAACCAAGAGGGTTTATTTTTTTCTCCCAGGTAGGAAAGAGAACCTGCCTGCCTGAATGTTGTGTCCACAGCTAAGATCTCTGCTATCAGCCTCAACCTTAGAGTAGGCTGAATTCCAGTGCTTTGGAGGCATGGATTCCCTGAGCCCTTGTGAAATGAAAGTTGGCTGCTGTGGAAGAAGAAACTATTATTATGGGTTATTTTTCATTCAGTATTTAAAGGGTCACCTCTAAGAGCAATGAAAAGTCATTTTTATAATAGCAAAAAAGCTAATAATCTCACCATATAAACACCTAAAAAAGAAAGCAAATTATGGCACTATGGACATAATCATGAATATATTATTTGCATTTACTTGCACCTTTTTTTGAGGATAAATTCTTAAAAGTTGTTTTTTTTCAGGCAAAGCATTATTTAGATTTCAAGATTTTTTGTCAATAAATAATATTAAAATATTTATATCAATTCACATTTCCACTAACAATGTGGGAGAGTTCATACCTCTCCCACATTATTTACAAGGACATTTAGAGTTCATAACGCAGCTAATCTCCTACTCATTGGTGAGAGACTGAGCTCTCGCCATAAGATAGGAACAAGATAGAGGTGCCTGCTTTCACTGTTGCTGTTCAATGTTATAGTGGAAGTTCTAGCTATAACAATTACACTAGAAAAAAAATAAAAAGCATCCAAATTATAAAGGAATAAGTGAAATTAGACACAGATAACATGATCCTATATGTAGAAAACTGCAAGGAATCCACAAAAAAATCTACTGAAGCTAATAAACAAATTAGGCAAATTTGCAAGGTACAAGATCAACACACAAAAATCAGTTGTATTTCTACATACCAGCAACATATCATTTCTAAAACTTGCTGAGAAAACAATAGCATCCAAAGGAATAAAATACTTAGGAATAAATGTAACCAAAGAGGTATAAGACTTGTACACTGAAAAAAATACAAAACATTGCTGAATGAAATTAAGGAAGACCTAAATAAATGGAAGGGCATCCTGGGTTCATGGATTAGAAACTTAATATTGTTAAGATAGAAATACTACCAAAACAACGTACAGATTTAATGCAATCTCTATAAAAATTCCAATCACCATTTTTGGAGAAATGGAACAGTCAATCTTCTAATTTGTATGGTATTTCTAGGGGCCCCAAATAGCAAAAATAGCGTTAAAAAGTATAAAGTGAGAGGATTCACACTTCCCAATTTCAAAACTTACTACAAAGCTACAGTAATCAAAGCAATGTGGTATTGGCATAAAAATAGATATACAGACCAGTGGAATTAAACACATTCCAGAAATAAATTCATACATCTATAGTCAATGGATTTTCCATAAAGTTAGCAGGACTATTCAAAGAGTATTCTCTTCAACAAATAGTTTTAGAACTACTGGATATCCACAAGCAAAATAAAATGTTGGACTCTTACCTCACACCAAATAAAAAAATCAACCCAAAATGGATCAATAACCTAAATATAAGAGATAAAACTATAAATGTCTTATAAAAAACATAGCAGTAAGTCTTCATAACCTTGGATTTGGCAAAGGATTCTTATATGTGATACCATATGTACAAGCAACAAAATAATCTTGTAATTGAGAGATTGGAGGCTCACTAAATAGAGAAGAATGACTATGAATTGATACTGATATTATTGTTTAAAAGTTTCAATTAAAAATTAACTTATACCTGAGAGGTTTGGGAAAAAATAAAAATAAAAAATAAATTATAAATAACTTAAAACTTGAACAAAATTATCATCATAATTATTATTATTATCATTATTATTTGAGACAGAATCTCACTCTGTCACCCAGGCTGGAGTGTGGTGGCACAATCTCGGCTCACTGTAACCTCTGACTCCCAGGTTCAAGCAGTTCTCCCTGCCTCAGCCTCCTGAGTAGCTGGGATTACAGGTGCCCACCACCACGCCCAGCTAATTTTTGTTATCTGTAGCAGAGACAGTGTTTCGCCATGCTGGCCAGGCTGGTCTCGAATTCCTGACCTCAGGTGATCCACCCGCCTCAGCCTCCCAAAGTGCCGGGATTAAAGGAGTGAGCCACCGTGCCTGGCCAATATTATTATTAAGACTATTTTTATAAAACTCATTGATGCATGCCTCCAAATCAAGGGCCGTTTACCAGTTATCTGCCTTGTCAGGAATCTGGGAATTCTGTGTGCCTCATCTAGGTTCCCTCAGATATGTTATCAGAGTTCTCTGGGATGTGGAAATATCATTTCCATTCTCTGTGAGTCAGAGCTATGAAGCCTCTTTTCTAAGATCCTATATGTTGTCCTAAGATCCTATATGTTGTCCTAAGATCCTATATGTTGTCCTAAGATCCTACAGTGGGAAACCTGGGATTGGCACCAAGATTGCTCCCAAATTCCCTGTTCTTGTTTTAACTCCTTATTCCTTAACTATCAATTACAAGTCTAAGAGACAGAAAAGACATTTTGTCCTATTGTTCTATGGCATGGTATCACCAGAATACTCATTTCCAGTTCCAGAGACCCAGATCTATGTTCCTCTCCTCCCACTAATGAGCTTTGTTTTCCTTGTATGTAAAGATTATGGAGAGAGCTTAGGTAATCAGGTTATTTTACCTATTCACATTTTATAATCTAAGGTCTGATACTCACCTCTTGAAATGGGTTACATTTTGTCCCCTCAAAAAAGATATGTTGGGGACTGTGTGGAGTGACTCACGCCTGTAATCCCAGTGAAGCAGGAAATGGGATCTGGAGGCAGGAAACATAAGGCCAATTCACACTTCAGCTATGACAGGAAATATCTTCTCCACAGGGCATATGCTGAGTAAATGACTTTGTAATTTTACTTCATCCTCTTCATTTACATAGGGCATACTCCAAGTAACCAATGGAATCCTCTAGAGGGTATTTAAACTCCCAGAAATTCTGCAACGGGGCCTTTGAGCCCCTATGGCAGGGCCCACTCCCACCTGTCCAGTGTACTTTCGTTTTCAATAAATTCCTTCATTCCTCCCTTGCTTTGTTTGTGCGTTTTGTCCAATTGCTTGTTCAAGATGCCAATAACCTGGACACTCTCCACCAGTAACACCAGCACTTTGAGAGGCTGAGGCTGGAGGATCACATGAGGCCAGGAGTTCAAGACAAGCCTGGGCAACAAAGCAAGACCACATCTCTACAAAAAATAAAATAAGTAACTTTGCATGGTAGTACATGCCTGTACTCCTAGCTGCTCTGGAGGCTGAGGCAAGAGGATTGCCTGAGCCTGGAAGTTCAAGGTTTCAGTGAGCTGTGATAGTGTTATGGCACTTCAGCTTGGGTGACAGAGTGAGATCCTGTCTCTAAAGTTTTTTAAAAAGTTGTGTTGGAGCCCTAGCCCCCAATATCTTAGAATGTGACCTTATTTGAAGATAGGGTTTTTATAGAGGTAATAAAGTTAAAATGAGGTCATTAGGGTGGGGTCTAATCCAATATCACTAATATCTTTATAAAACGAAGAAATCTGGACACAGAGAAAAGACCGTGTGAAGAGACACAGAGAGAAGATGGTCATCTATAAGCCATACAAAATTGCTTGGGGCAGATCCTTCCCTCAACACCTTCAGAAAGAACCATCTGTGTGTCACCTTGATTTTGGACTTCTAGTCTTCAGAACTATAAGACAATACACTTCTGATGTTTAAGCTACCTGGTTTGTGGTACTTTGTTATGGGAGCTCTAGGAAAGGAATACATCCTTACATTTCTCTGCCTTATCCCTTATATTACTTACACAAGAATTTGAATGTAGTCATTTAAAGTCATTAAGTTTGGGGAAAACAAGTAGAATGGAGGGGAAAACTGAGCCACAGGGAGTTGGGATCACTACAGAGGTATCCTCATGGAATCTGCATAACAATCCTGTGATATAGGTATCAGAAAGGTTACTTGCATTTTCCAAATACACACAACTTGGGGAATGTCTGAGCAGGAATTCGAACGCGATTCTGACTGCTTCCAAATTCTGTGTTCTCCCATTTTTCTACATGGCACTGCTTTAAGAAGTTGAAAAATAAGGCTCATGTACTGGCTGGAATAAATTAGATTGATCAGATATTCTTGTCTGGTCATGTATATGTGAGAGGGTATTCACAAAGACAACAATGTCTAGAAGTCAGGACAGACATGTCCAGTGATCATAGAGATACATACTAGCAGGTTCTGGCCCTTAACATGAGTATATTAAATGCTTATTGAATGAGTAAATGGCATGACATTCTATGATATACACCCAAAAAAGAGTCCATCTCTCAAGGCTGAGATCCAGACCTTGGTGGAGAGGACATAACCATGGCTCATTGAAAGAGCAGTCACTTTGGTGTCACCGAGGCTCAATTTGCTGAAAATCCATCCTCTGGAAATTGCTGGAGATCATCATTCTAGAGTTGCCAAATGAAATACATCTAGTTAAATTTGAATTTCTAATAATAAATGAATAACTTTTAGTATAATTATGTCCCAAATATTGTATGCATCTTGGTAATATAAATAATTATTCATTGTTTATCTGAAGTTCCAATTTCACTGGGTGTTCTCCATTTTTATTGTTAAATGTGGCAAAACTAATTACATGATAGCATAAAATGCAAGTTCATATGAAAAATGTAATTTCCTAAAATAAAGCAGATAACAGATTAACATTGTTTTACATATTTAAAAATATTTTTCACCTGTGGTCCTAGCTACTCTGGAGACTGACATGGGACAATCACTTGAGTTCAAGAGGTCATGGTTGCAGTGAGGTGTGATCATGCCACTGCACTTCAGCCTGGGTGACAGAATGAGACCCTGTCTCTCTCTCTCTATATATATATGTATATTTTTTACTACCTGGGCAAATAGAGGTCCACTGTAATTTTATATTTACTTTTGAACAGAATCTATTGACATCTCATACATAAAGCACCACTGAAAAATTCCAGTCTATATTTGTGGAAGAATGAGAATTCGAAAGAATAATGTTATAAAAATAGTTACGACCTTACAGAACTTCTGGAAGGCTTTCCTAGAAAAATAACTACCGGAACTAACCTTTTAGTGAAGTAGTTATATGGAACATTTTGAACATAATCCACTATTTTCCCTTGAACAAATTTAACTACAGATATATTAAACACAAAATTGTAATGTTTAGCTGATTATAGGAATGACATCTTAAAATCAGCAGAATGCCACAAGTCAAAAATTAAAATAGAACAAACTTTACTGAGCTACTGTTACCCTCCTAATGATTTTCATACATATAAACTCTTACACAGGGCTGGCATGTAGAAAATATTCAACAAAGAGTAGCCTTTTAAAAAGAAAAGAAAAGAAAAAAAGAAACTTTACTGGGCTATAGTTCATATACATATAATGTATACTATATATATATATATAATAGATGACTAAGGAAAAAAGCCTTTGGATTTTGCTACTCAAATCCTTCTGATGGCAGCTCATTTGTGGCTGATGTACTTGATGACGGCCTTCATGCCCTCAGAACCAGTGTGAACAGCCACCTTTATGGGAAGCAGCAGGTGAAAAACAGTTTGAACCTCTCTGGAGATGATGCCTGAGCACCTTTTGTAACAGACCAGCTAACAGGCCTTGTTTGGGATGCACTCATGGATGTCATCAAGTAAATAATCCAAGATGTTTGTGGGCTCTTAATGAAATGCCTAAGTCAGCATGAACCTGCTTCAGAACATTGTGGGCATCGGTGGAGTAACTCTCTCAGTGGCCCCATCTCTTTCACTTCTTTTTCCCTACTGGGTTTTAGAGGCAGCTTTTTTTTTTTTTTTGAATACTTCTTGCTAAACATAGGAAAGTCAGTAGAAGGTTCAGGCATGATAGAAGTACCTTTCTAGTGCCTTTGAAAAATGAGAATGGCCACTGATGACAAGGTGGGGCCCAGTTATAGGGTCTGTATTCAAATGAAGTGTTGGGTAAACTCAATATTTGATCAGACAATATGCAGTGAGGGAAAGCCTGTCAATAAACCACACCATTTTAGATGTGATTGAATATTCCTCCTACTTTGGATGAGTCAATTAGAAGGCAAGAAGCCTAGAAGTTTCCTGTGACCTTCACTAAAAGCACATTGCAAAGATACCCCTACAGCAGCAACATTGTAGAGATGTCAGCTTCAGTCCCTTGAAAGATCCTTACCTCTGTATAACTGATGTCCATAATGCCAGAGGAATTATGCTGGCTACATTTGGGCCATTTGTCCTCCAACCCCAATCCACAGTTGTTTAGGTCCCAAGCCACCTTGACTTAAGGAGGAATACTCTGACATGGGGAAACGTACTGCTTCTGGAAAACAAAGGACTTAGTTGACCCACCACTGCCTGTGGTTCTCACCAAAAACCTCACAGGATTGGAAAAAGGAGAAATGGCAAAATCCAGTCTCAACACAGACAACACAAACACAAATGGAGATATATATCTATATGTATATCTGTATCTATGTCTATATGTATCTACTCCATATACACAAAATATATATGTATATATATACTATATATGTGTGTGTGTGTATATATATATATATATACACTATACATGTGTGTGTGTATATATATATATACACTATATATGTGTGTGTGTGTGTGTATATATATGCTATATATGTGTATACATTGCTCAATGAGGGGGGACGTTCTGAGAAATGCCTTGTTAGGTGCCTTTGTTGTGCCAACATCATAGAGTGTACTTACACAAACCTAGATAGTATAGCCTACTACACACTTAGGCTGTATGCTATAGCCTATTGTTTCTAAGTTACAAACCTACACAGCATGTTACTGTACTGAATACTGTAGGCAATTGTAATAAAATAATAGGTAGTTATTTATTTAAATATATCTAAACCTACAAAAGGTACAGGAAAATACAGTATAAAAGATTACAACATGGTACACTTGTGTGAGATACTTAGCATGAATGGAGCTTGCAGGATGAGAAGTCACTCTGAGTGAGTCAGTGAGTGCATAATATTGTAGGCAGTTGTAACACAATAGTAAGTATTTGTGTCTCTAAACATATCTAAACCTAGAAAAGGTACAGCAAAATACAGTACAAAAGATAGAAAATGGTACACTTGTACAGGGCACTTACCGCGAATGGAACTTACAGACCTGAAAGTTTCTCTGGGTGAGTGGTAAGTGAATGAGTAAGTGGTAAGTGAATGTGAAGGCCTAGGACATTACTGTACACTGCCATAAACTTTATAAACACTGTACACTTAGGCTAAGCTGAATTTATTTTCAAATGTCTTTCTTCAATAAAAGCTTACTGTAACTTTATAAATTTTAAACTTTTTGACTTTTATAATAACACTTACCTTAAACACAAACACATTGTACAGTTGTAAAAATATTTTCTTTCTTTTTATCCTTACTTTATAAGCTTTTTTTCTAGTTTTAATTATGTTTTAATTTTAAACTTTTTGATAAAAATGAAGACATAAACTTACACATTAGCCTAGGCCTACACAGGGTCAGGATCATCAATATCACTGTCTGTCACCTCCACATCTTGTGCCACTGGAAGGTCTTCAGGGACAATAACATGGATGGAGGTGTCTTCTATGATAACAATGCCTTCTTCTGGAATAGCTCCTGAGGGATCAGCCTGAGGCTCTTGAGGAGATATCACTCTTTTCAGGAATATGTCCAAGATTGTTTGCTTGGTTTGTTTCTTTTTGTCATCATAGATTTGCTTGTAGACAGATAATGCACCATGCACATTCTTCTCCATTAATGAAAACCTTTTGGTGTTGGGGTCCATGTTTTCAAACTTTCTATGAAGCTTGTTGGGGTCTGTAAAATCTTTTTCTAAACCCTTTACTGTAAATTTTCTTGGGAGTTCTTCTTCTTTTTGTTCTCCTGTAATTTCTTGCCCCTTTATGCATCCTTATTCAAGTTTCAACAACTGCTCACTAGTCAATTCATCAGAAACCACCTCTGGGAGCTCCTCAGTGTTATTCTTATCCACAGGCAGGTTAAAGTTGTTTGCCATCAGCTACGGTGTCACAAAGTGATAGCAATTTTTCAGCTTCATTATAATCTTATGAGACCACTGTTGTACACGTGGTCTGTCATTGACTGAAACATCTTTATGGCACATGACTGTGTGTGTGTGTGTGTGTGTGTGTGTGTGTATACATACATAAATCTTTAAACATATATCAAGTTCAAGATTGTTTTCTTGACAATACTTAGGTCCTAGAAAAATACCTGAAACATGAAAACTGTTGGCAGGAAAAAATTATTAAATTATACCTCTAAGTAATCTCCTCAGGGAGAAAGAAAAGATTAATATAATAGAAACTATGTTAAAATAAAAGGGATACTCCTCTAAAATCTATGATAATACATTCAAAAAATATTGATAAAATGTATGAATTTGTGGAAAAAGCTAACACCTCTCCCTATACCCTGAAAGACTAAGAAGAATTGAAGAAATTAAGGTAATTAATGAGCTACCATCACAAATGTCCAAGCTTCCAGGTATGTTTTCTGACAGACCATTAAGGAATGGATATTTCTACTGCTAATGAAATGGTTCCGACTTATGAAAAAAAAATCAATTTTTTATTTAAAGAAAATAAAATATGATGATAAAACATACTGAAGAGAGCATGTTTTAAAAGTTCCTATAAATCATATTTATAAATGATGACACAATCCATCAGAATATATTAGCAATAAAATTTGATTTCTCACTAAAAGATGAACATTAAAGGACCAACCAGGATCCATAAAAAATACAGAAATTGTTTAGTATTGAATAAAATACAAACACGATTCACTTTATGGCATTAAGATAAAAGAGAACATCTTGGCATAATTTCAATAGATGCTTCAAATTCCTTTGCTAATATAATGAGTTAGAAAATGTTTGTTTCATGTTGAAATAATCGTATTAGCTGGGAATGGTGGCTCACACCTGTAATCCCAGCACCAGCACTTTGGGAGGCAGAGAAAGGAGGATTCCTTGAGTTCAGGAGTTCAAAAGCAGTCTGAGCAATATGACAAGAATCCTTCTCCACAAAAAATAAGATGGTGCACACCTGTGGTCCCAGCTTCTCAGGAGACTGAGGTGGAAGGATAGCTTGAACCCAGGAGGTCAAGTGTGCAGTGAGCCATGTTTGTGCCACTGCATTCCAGCTTGGACTACAGAGCAAGACCCTTTCTCAAAAAAGAAAAAAAAAAAGAATAGTATTATCATCATTAGAGTCAGGATTCAGGACAAATAAGCCATCTCATCAGGAAATTATTGATCATTATTGTAGAATATTGGAGAAATCATTTAAAAGAATTTGGAAAAGGATATTGCTGCCCAAGGGGACTGAGAAAAATGGCCTCAAAATCATCTGCAAGTGCTACGTGACTGACTTATACTTCTGGAACAAAATTTTGGAAAACCAAAGACTCTTTTCAGAGCCATGCATATAATCAGAGAAAAGCTGTTCATAAGTTCTAAAAAACAAAAAATGGTGTTTTGCTGAGTCACTTAATTTCTACTGGCTGTTTGAAAGTGCTAATACTTGTCAATATGCTGCACCAGTATTTTCCCCATTTTTTTAATATACTGATTTCATATATTACTGTATTATATGAGATAGCATTTTAACATACTGAATCCATTGTGACAGTTGTGTTGCGTTTTGGCTATTTTCCATTTGCAAATTCATAAAGAAAATAAAAGGATTAGCACATTAAGTTTTAAAATGCACCATAATTGAACTATAGAATGAAGACTGAGATGACAGAGGTGATTGAGATAGATGAAACCTGGCAAAGAGAGAGGAAAATTGAGGCTTGATATTATAGATTAAAAGGGAAAATTAATACATCTGATTGTTAACCAGTGGAAGAATAGGAAAAAACATTAAGTGAGCTCTGGGAGTGAGTGAATGGGAGAATAGGGACTAACTGTGCAATTGTGTGCTAATGCTGTGACTTAATGACAAAAGGTGAAATAAGAAAAACACCTTTACCACAATAAATAAAATATTCTAAGTGTCAACCCAAGGAAAACAATATAATAATAAAAGAGTATTAATTTTTTCAACAGGACTTAAATTAATAGACTCAAATAAATACATAACCAAGGACCCCCAAACAGCACATAAATAGCTAAAAAAAAAATGTCAAGAAACAGTGTCTTCAACATACCAGAATCTCTGGGATGCATTCAAAGCAGTGTGTAGAGGGAAATTTATAGCACTAAATGCCCACAAGAGAAAGCAGGAAAGATCCAAAATTGACACCCTAACATCACAATTAAAAGAACTAGAAAAGCAAGAGCAAACACATTCAAAAGCTAGCAGAAGGCAAGAAATAACTAAAATCAGAGCAGAACTGAAGGAAATAGAGACACAAAAAACTCTTCAAAAAATTAATGAATCCAGGAGCTGGTTTTTTGAAAGGATCAACAAAATTGATAGACCGCTAGCAAGACTAATAAAGAAAAAAAGAGAGAAGAATCAAATAGACGCAATAAAAAATGATAAATAGGATATCACCACCGATCCCACAGAAATACAAACTACCATCAGAGAATACTACAAACACCTCTATGCAAATAAACTAGAAAATCTAGAAGAAATGGATAAATTCCTTCACACATACACTCTCCCAAGACTAAACCAGGAAGAAGTTGAATCTCTGAATAGACCAATAACAGGATCTGAAATTGAGGCAATAATCAATAGCTTACCAACCAAAAAGAGTCCAGGACCAGATGGATCCACAGCCGAATTCTACCAGAGGTACAAGGAGGAACTGGTACCATTCCTTCTGAAACTATTCCAATCAATAGAAAAAGAGGGAATCCTCCCTCACTCATTTGATGAGGCCAGCATCATTCTGATACCAAAGCCGGGCAGAGACACAACCAAAAAAGAGAATTTTAGACAAATATCCTTGATGAACATTGATGCAAAAATCCTCAATAAAATACTGGCAAACCAGATACAGCAGCACATCAAAAAGCTTATCCACCATGATCAAGTGGGCTTCATCCCTGGGATGCAAGGCTGGTTCAATATACACAAATCAATAAATGTAATCCAGCATATAAACAGAGCCAAAGACAAAAACCACATGATTATCTCAATAGATGCAGAAAAGGCCTTTGACAAATTTCAACAACCCTTCATACTAAAAACTCTCAATAAATTAGGTATTGATGGGACCTATCTCAAAATAATAAGAGCTATCTATGACAAACCCACAGCCAATATCATACTGAATGGGCAAAAACTGGAAGCATTCCCTTTGAAAACTGGCACACAACACGGATGCCCTCTCTCACCACTCCTATTCAACATAGTGTTGGAAGTTCTGGCCAGGGCAATCAGGCAGGAGAAGGGAATAAAGGGTATTCAATTAGGAAAAGAGGAAGTCAAATTGTCCCTGTTTGCAGATAACATGATTGTATATCTAGAAAACCCCATTGTCTCAGCCCAAAATCTCCTTAAGCTGATAAGCAACTTCAGCAAAGTCTCAGGATACAAAATCAATGTGCAAAAATCACAAGCATTCCTATACACCAACAACAGACAAACAGAGAGCCAAATCATGAGTGAACTCCCATTCACAATTGCTTCAAAGAGAATAAAATACCTAGGAATCCAACTTACAAGGGATGTGAAGGACCTCTTCAAGAGAATTACAAACTGCTGCTCAAGGAAATAAAAGAGGATACAAACAAATGGAAGAACATTCCATGCTCATGGGTAGGAAGAATCAATATTGTGAAAATGGCTATACTGCCCAAGGTAATTTATAGATTCAATGCCATCCCCATCAAGCTACCAATGCCTTTCTTCACAGAATTGGAAAAAACTACTTTAAAGTTCATATGGAACCAAAAAAGAGCCCGCATCGCCAAGTCAATCCTAAGCCAAAAAAACAAAGCTAGAGGCATCACACTACCTGACTTCAAACTATACTACAAGGCTACAGTAACCAAAACAGCATGGTACTGGTACCAAAACAGAGATATAGATCAATGGAACAGAACAGAGCCCTCAGAAATAACACTGCATATCTACAACTATCTGATCTTTGACAAACCTGAGAAAAACAAGCAATGGGGAAAGGATTCCCTATTTAATAAATGGTGCTGGGAAAACTGGCTAGCCATATGTAGAAAGCTGAAACTGGATCCCTTCCTTACACCTTATACAAAAATCAATTCAAGATGGATTAAAGACTTAAACGTTAGACCTAAAACCATAAAAACCCTAGAAGAAAACCTAGGCATTACCATTCAGGACATAGGCATGGGTAAGGACTTCATGTCTAAAATACCAAAAGCAATGGCAACAAAAGCCAAAATTGACAAATGGGATCTAATTAAACTAAAGAGCTTCTGCACAGCAAAAGAAACTACCATCAGAGTGAACAGGCAACCTACAAAATGGGAGAAAATTTTTGCAACCTACTCATCTGACAAAGGGCTAATATCCAGAATCTACAATGAACTCAAACAAATTTACAAGAAAAAAACAAACAACCCCATCAAAAAGTGGGCGAAGGACATGAACAGACACTTCTCAAAAGAAGACATTTATGCAGCCAAAAAACACATGAAAAAATGCTCATCATCACTGGCCATCAGAGAAATGCAAATCAAAACCACAATGAGATACCATCGCACACCAGTTAGAATGGTGATCATTTAAAAGTCAGGAAGCAACAGGTGCTGGAGAGGATGTGGAGAAATAGGAACACTTTGACACTGTTGGTGGGACTGTAAACTAGTTCAACCATTGTGGAAGTCAGTGTGGCGATTCCTCAGGGATCTAGAACTAGAAATACCATTTGACCCAGCCATCCCATTACTGGGTATATACCCAAAGGACTATAAATCATGCTGCTATAAAGACACATGCACACGTATGTTTATTGCGGCATTATTCACAATAGCAAAGACTTGGAACCAACCCAAATGTCCAACAATGATAGACTGGATTAAGAAAATGTGGCACATATACACCATAGAATACTATGCAGCCATAAAAAATGATGAGTTCATGTCCTTTGTAGGGACATGGATGAAATTGGAAACTATCATTCTCAGTAAACTATCGCAAGAACAAAAAACCAAACACCGCATATTTTCACTCATAGGTGGGAATTGAACCATGAGATCACATGGACACAGGAAAGGGAACATCACACTCTGGGGACTGTTGTGGGGTTGGGGGTGGGGGGGAGGGATAGCATTGGGAGATATACCTAATGCTAGATGACGAGTTAGTGGGTGCAGCACACCAGCATGGCACATGTATACGTATGTAACTAACCTGCACAATGTGCACATGTTCCCTAAAACTTAATGTATAATAATAAAGAAAGAAAGAAAGAAAGAAACAGTGTCTTCTTTAAGCTCACTGGACTCTAATATTTCTATTTTATTTCATGCATATTTATTTGACTATAATCATTTCCAGTCTATATTCTTTAATTTAAAATACATAAGTCATCATGATTTGCCATTAGGAAAAACACTAGGACCATGGAGGATGATGGTAACATCCAGTGAAAGCCATCCATTTCTCCTTTCCACTGGCTCAGCCAGTAAAGGACTGACATCCCTGAGCCACAGCCAATGACTCAAACTTTGGATAGATGATCTGGGCTGAACCAACAAGTCTTCTCGGAATATTCACCCATGGAGATTGAGGAGGAGTATGGTGTGGTTCTTTGCTTGGCATTCCCCACTCCCACTATTCAAACATATGTGCCTGGTTTTTACACTTCCATATCTGAAATGGGTTGCTTTAGAAAAGGAGATAGATCAAATGTTGACGGAAGAAAGAAGTCCTACTCTGCCTGTCATATCATAATAACCCTGTCATATCATAATGCTTCTGCAGTGATGAATAGAAGGGTTGGAGCCTGTGCAAGTAAGGAAATTAGAAAAGAGATCCCTGTGTTAGTCCAGGTTTCTTAGTGGAATATATAAATATTAAGTGTGCAGATTAGAAAGAAAGGCATCCACAATCTCAGGAGACAAAGAGTAATGATGTTCTCTGGCCTGGTTTACGCTGGAAATGTAAACCCCCCCGCCAAACATAGTAATGGCAGATCTGTGTTTACTTTGATTGGGAGCTAAAACTATAACCAGGAATCCAGTCTGAGAATACACAAAAGAAGCTTCTGTCTTCCATGTGAGCTTCAGGGATAAAGGTTGCTTAGACCTTGTGGAACCTCCATCTCAATAAATGCTTAATATTCCCAGTGGCCAGAAAAGATGAGACAATAAGTCTATGTGTTAATACAAAACTTGTGTCCCAAATTTGTCTCTTAATAATTAAACTGCAGCTTTCTTTCTTGCTTGTTTTCTTTTTTCCTTC
Organism: Homo sapiens; assembly: GCF_000001405.40. Taxonomy (NCBI): domain Eukaryota; kingdom Metazoa; phylum Chordata; class Mammalia; order Primates; family Hominidae; genus Homo; species Homo sapiens. Next base: position 101,998,402 of record NC_000023.11, read on the forward strand.
TTTCTATCTGTCCTCTTGAAAAATTCAGTACAAAAGTAATTGTGAGGGTTCAGTGACATCACTGAAAATGATGAAATAAAGAATTCTAGGGATACTTCTCTCCCCAAAATCAAATAATGATTTGGTAATAGCTGTCAGAATCCACTTTTGTAGAACTATGGAATTTAGTCAAAAACTTACAACAACCAGGGGAAGATATGATGAAGAAAGAAGCTGCTGCTTTGTGGTAACAGAGCACTGTGGAATTTTAAATTGCCTTTATACCATTCCCCTTTCCCATATTGGCACCAACCACGAGAACAGCAGCCTTTACTCTTGGTGCAGACTGCTAGTGACAGAAGGAGTAGTGCCGTCTTTACTATCAAAGAATTGTGATTGTGGATCTCAATGTATCTGGCAGCTCCTTCAAGGACTAGCACAAAGATTCTTTTAGTTTCACCCAAATTACAACATTGCTCAGGCCAAAGAGGCTTCCAGGTCAGCTTTCAACAAAAACATTTAAAGGTACATGTGTTGACTGCAGTTTGAGACTTTCATAACCCAGTCTTAATAATGAATGCAACAAGTACACAGAAGATCAATAAATAATAGAGTGCTTGAACAATAATACTAACCATCCAGACAAAAAAGACATATAGAGGCCACTTCACTCAACAATAGCAGAGTAAGGGACAACACTCAAAACAAGCAATAGACAGACCAAGAAGCCTAAGAAGAATGAGGCTGAGAGAGAAAATGCACGGGGGAAAGAGAGCTTTTAAAAGTTACTGAACAAGCAGTTAAGATGGCCAACTAGATGTAGCCAGGAGGAACATCTGCCGCCAAGAGACTGGGACATTGGGAAGACTGGCACATTCCAGGCAGATCTTAGGAGGAAAGACATTGAGAGTAGATGGAGGGAGGAAGCAGATGCTGGGCTGAAGAGGGAGGAAGCTGGGAACCCTGCATGAGACTACTGAGCACTGGTACTCATTTCTGGCCTTTAGTGACTCCTGGGGAAATAGTGAGTTGAACAGATGAGGAGTGGCCCACTCTCGCCATGTACCTCCAGAATCCTGGAAGCAGGAGACCCAATGATCCCCCAAAGACACTTGAGCTGGCAGGGAGAGAAGCATAGAAAAGTGATAAGGGCAGGACTCCAGACTATGCTGAGCCCAGAGGATTGGGTGTGGTAACATTTGTTGTGGAGCATGGCCCGGGATGCCCATCCCTTAAGGCTCACCATGCCCCTCTAGGAGACTTTAGCCTTGGGGTGACTGTTGGACCTCAATAGAGAAGGGTGGTTTTGCCAGAGAGACAGAGCCAATCTGATCTGAGTGCCCCCCGACAACTGGCCTCTACTGAAGCCTCAGCCTGACACATGCCCACTTGCAGCATAGCCTTGGATGCCCAACCAGGGTGCTTCCCAGGGGCCCCTCATCATAGCTCCTTCACTGTCAGACTGTGTCTGATCATTGGAGATCTCCAGCAGAGCAGCCCCTACTAATGTGCACCAGTCCACCTACACCCTTCTCCCGCTGCAGCCTCCCCGACATGGCCTTGCTGACATGCACTTGTCCATTCCTGCTCCCCAGCTGCTTTGACAGTGTGTGCATTCAGGCAGACCTTGCTTTCCCTCTCTCATCAGCATGCACTTGCACATGCACTGTGCTGTGCCACTGCTGCCAGCATGAGTGCACTCCACAATGTCCCCTGCTGATATGTGGGCACACAGCCACACTGCCATTGCCAGCACAAATGCACGCAGGAATGCCAATAACACTGACTGCCCACAACCCTGCGCTGCAACCACAGCTGCTGCTAATGTGCCCATGGCAACCCTGCCTCCCCCTGCCACCACCACTGCTGCCGCTGATGGTGGAAGTGCAAGAACAGACACCAGCAAACCCATCCCCACCAGAGCCCCACCCCTACCACACTGCCAGCAGGAGTGTATGCAGGAATGCTGCAGCTCCCCTCCTGCTGGTATCCAACCCCAGCCAACTCACATGCACTCTGCCACACTGCCAAGACTGCTGGCTTACATGAATGAGCACAGACCCCACTGTGACCACCCTGATGAAGTGGTTTATCCAGGACCACCCATCAGAGGGCTGTAGCCAGCAGACCAGAAATACCTTGGTCCTTTCAGCACAGCGGTACCTAACCTAGAGGGACTAGAGAAGAAAGACAGGAGCCCTGTACCAGCCCCCTAGAGTTAGAGCATGCAGCCCAGAAGTGCTGAGCTAAACCTTGGCCCTTGGAAATCTTCCAGAAACAAAGCTAGCTGACTGAACCCACCTTATACCAAAATCAAATCCCAAGGGCACCAAAGAAGAAAAAAGAAAAACAACGACAACAACAACAAAAAATCCAAAAGACAGCAGCTTCAACGATCAAAGGAACATCAGCCCACACAAATGAGAAAGAACCAGTGCAAGAACTCTGGCAACTCAAAAAGCCAGAGTGTTTTCTCATCTCAAAATGACTGCACTAGTTTCCCAGCAATTGTCCTTACCCAGGCTGAAACGGCTGAAATGACACACATAGAACTCAGAACATGAATAGGAATGAAGATCACTGACATTCAGAAGAAAGTTGAAGTGCAATCCAAGGAACTTAAGGAACATGATAAAATGATACAAGAGATAAAAGATAAAATGACCATTTTAAGGAGAACCAAACAGAACAGATAGAAATGAAATACTCATTTCAAGAATTTTATAATACAATCACGAGTATTAATGGCAGAATTGAGCAAGCTGAAGAAAGCATCTCAGAGATGGAAGATGGATTCTCTGAAATAATTCAGTCAGACAAACATAAAGACAAAAACAATAAAGAAGGAAGAATAAAACCTCTGAGAAATATGAGATTCTGTAAAGAGACCAAATCTATGACTCAATGGCATCCCTGAAAGACAGGGAGAGAAAGCAAGCAACTTGGAAAACATATTTGAGAGTATCAGCCACAAAAATTTCCCAAACCTCACAAAAGAGGCCAATATTCAAATCCAGAAAATGCAGAGAACCCTTGCAATATACCATACAAGATGACCATCCCAGTGCCGGGCGAGGTGGCTCACACCTGTAATCCCAGCACTTTGGGAGGCCAAGGAGGGCAGATCACCTGAGGTCAGGAGTTTGAGACCAGCCTGGCCAACATGGTGAAACCCCGTCTCTACTAAAAATACAAAATTAGCTGGGCATGGTAGTACATGCCTGTAATCCCAGCTATTTGGGAGGCTGAGGCAGGAGAATCCTTGAACCTGGGAGCCAGAGGCTATGGTGAGCTGAGACCGTGCCACTGCACTCCAGCCTGGGCAACAAGAGTGAAACTCCGTCTAAAAAAAAAAAAAATGACCATCTCCAAGACACATAGTCATCTGATTTCCAAGGTCAAAATGAAAGAAAAAATGCTAAAAGCAGTCAGGGAGAAGGGGTAGTCATCTACAAAGGGAGCTCCATCAAACTAAGAGTGGTCATTTCAGCAGAAACCCTACAAGCCAGGAGGGATTGGGGGCATATATTCAGCATTCTTAAAATAAGAAATTTCAACCAAGAATTTCATATCCAGACAAACTAAGTTTCATAAGCAAAGGAGAGATACATTTCTTTTCAGATGAGCAAAAGCTAAGGGAATTCATTATGACCAGGCCAGCAAGACTTGCAAGAACCTTACAAGAGGTCCTTAAGGGGGTGTTAAATATGGAAAGGAAAGACAGTTACTAGCCACCACAAAAATACACTTTATTATACAGACCATTGACACTGTAAAGCCACCATAAAATAATGTCTGTATAGTAACCAGCTAAAAACATGATGTCAGGATCAAATCCACATATATTAATATTAACCTTAAATGTAAATGGGCTAAATGCCCAAATTATAATAAGAGGCATAGAGTGGCAAATTGGATAATGAAGGAAGATTCCCTGTATGCTGTCTGCTGTCTTCAAGAGACTGATCTCACGTGCAATGAAATCCATAGCCTGAAAGTGAAGGAATGGAGAAAAATTTAGCAAGCAAATCAAAAACGATGAAGCAGGGGTTGCTATTATAATTTCAGACAAAACAAACTTAAAAAACCAAATATCAAAAGAGACAAGGAAGGACATTACATAATGGTAAAGGGTTTAATTCCACGAGAAGACCTAACTATCCAAAATATATATGCACCCAACACACAAGCACACACATTCATAAAGCAAGATCTGAGAGATCTACAGAAAGACTTCAATAACCACACAATAGTAGTGGGAGACTTCAACATCCCACAGACAGTATTAGACAGATCATCGGGGCAAAAAACTAGCAAAGGTTTTGGTACCTGAACTCAACACTTAACCAAATGGATTTAACAGACACCTACAGAACTCCCCACTCAAAAACGACAGAACATTCTTCTCATCTGCACCAGGCACATACTGTAAAATTGACCACACAATCATCCATAAAACAAATCTCAGCAAGTTAAAAAAAAATCATACCAACCACGCTTTCAGATCACAGTGCAATACTATATAAATAAATACTAAGAAAATCACTCAGAAACCATAGGATTATATGAAAATTAAACAGCCTGCTCCTGAATGACTTTTGGGTAAACAATAAAATTAAGGCAGAAATCAAGAAATTCTTTGAAACCAGTGAGAAGAAAAATACAACATATCAGAATCTCTGGGACACAGTTAAGCAGTGTTAAGAGGGAAGTTTATAGCACTAAATGCCCACATAAAAAATTAGAAAGATCTCAAATTAACACCTAACATTACACCTAGAAGAACTAAATAAACAAATACAAACCAATGTCAATCCTGGCAAGCGAAGAGAAATAACCAAAATTGTAGCTCAATTGAACAAAATTGAGAAGTGAAAAACCATACAAAAGATCAAGTAAACCAGCTGGGCACAGTGGCTCATGCCTGTAATCCCAGCACTTTGGGAGGCCGAGGCGGGCGGATCATGAGGTCAAGAGATCGAGACCATCCTTGCCAACATGGTGAAACCCTGCCTCTACTATAAATACAAAATAAATATTGGCTGGGCATGGTGGCATGCACCTGTGGTCCTGGCTACTCAGGAGGCTGAGGCAGGAGAATCACTTGAACCCAGGAGGGTGAGGCAGGAGAATCACTTGAACCCAGGAGGCAAAGATTGCAGCGAGCCAAGATCGCGACACTGCACTCCAGCCTGGTGACAGAGCGGGACTCAAGAAAAAGAAAAAAAAATTCAACTAAACCAAAAGTTTTTTTTTGAAATAATATATAAGATTGATAGAAGGCTTGCTAAACTAATAAAGAAAAAAAGAGAGAAGATCCAAATAAATGCAATCAGAAATTAAAAAAGGGGAAATTACCACCGACCCCACAGAAATACAAAAATCCCTCAAAGACTACTAAGAACACCCCTATACACACAAACTAGAAAACCTAGAAGAAAAGGATAAATTCCTGGCAAGATGCAACTTCCCATGATTGAACCAGGAAGAATTGAATCCCTGAGCAGACCAATAATATTTTCAAAAATTGAATCAGTAATAACATGCCTACCAACCAGATAAAAAGCCCAGGACAAGAGGAATTTACAGCTGAATTTTACCATATGTATAAAGAGGAGCTGGTACCATTCCTACTGAAACTATTCCCAAAAATTGAGAAGGGAGTCCTCTATAATTCATTCTGTGAGGCCAGCATCATTCTGATACCAAAATCTGGCATAGACACAAAAATAAAAAAAAAGGATTCAGGCCAATATTCTTGATGAACAACATACTATGAAACCATATCCAGTAGTATATTAAAAAGCTAATCCACCATGACCAACTAGGCTTTATCCCTGGAATGCAAGGTTGGTTCAACATATGCAAATCAATAAATGTGATTCACCACATAAACAGAACTATAAACAAAAACCGTATGATCATCTCAATAGACCCAGAAAGGCTTTTGATAAAATTCAACATCCTTTCATATAAAAAACCCTGAAAAAACTAGGCATCAAGAGAACATACCTCAAAATAAGAATGATCTATGACAAACACACATACTGGATGGGCAAAAGCTGGAAGCGTTCTCCTTGAGAACCAGAGCAAGGCAAGAATGCCACATCTCAATACTGCTATTCAACATAGTACTGGAAATCCTGGCCAGACCCATCAGGCAAGAGAAAGAAATAAAAAGCATTCAAATTGGAAGAAAGACAGTCAAACTGTCTCTCTTCACAAAAATATGATTTTATACTTAGAAAACACTATAGTCTATGCCCCAAAGCTCCTAATTTTGATAAACATCTTCAGCTGAGTTTCAGGATACAAAATCAATGCACAAAAATCACTAGTGTTCATATACACCAACAACTTCCAAACTGAGAGCCAAATCAAGAAAGCAATCCCATTCACAGTAGTCACATTAAGAATAAAATACCTAAGAATACAGCCAACCAGGGAGGTAAATGATATCTACAATGAGAATTACAAAATACTGCTGAAAAAAAATAAAAGATTCACAAACAAATGGGAAAACATTCCATGCTCATGGATAAGAAGAATCAATATTGTTAAAATGGCCATATTGCCCAAAGCAATGTATGGATCACAGTGCAATATTATATAAATAAATACTAAGAAAATCACTCAAAAACCATAGAACTATATGAAAATTAAACCACTATTTCTATCAAACTACTAATGAGATTCTTCACAGAATTAGAAAAAAATATTTTAAAATTCATATGGAATCAAAAAGAGCCCTAAAAGCCAAGGCAATCCTAAGCAAAAAGAACAGTCAGAGGCATCACATTACCTGACTTCAAACTATACCACAAGGCTACAGTAATGAAGACAGCATGGTGCTGGTACAAAAATAGACACAAAGAAACAGAATAGAGAGCCCAGAAACCATGCCACACAACTACAACCATCTGATATTTGACAAATTTGACAAAAACAAGCAATTGGGAAAAGTTCTCTCTATTTAAAAAATGGTGCTGTGATAACTGGCTAGTATTATGCAGAAGGTTGAAACTGGACCCATTCCTTATACCATATAAGATGTATTTAAGGCTTAAATGTAAAACCTGCATCAAAATAAAAAAAGCTACTGGAAAATAACCTAGGAAATGCTATTCTGAACATAGACTCTGGAAAGATTTCACAACAAAGATGTCAAAAGCAATTGCAACAAAAGCCAAGAATTGACAAATGGGACCTAATTAAACTAAAGAACTTCTGCAAGCAAAAGAAACTACCAAAAGAGTAAACAGACAACCTACAGAGTAAACAGACAACCTACAGAATGGGAGAAAATATTTGCAAACTATGCATCCAATAAAGGTCTAATATCCAGAGTCTATAAGGAACTGAAATAAATTAACAAGCAAAACCCAAACAACCCGTTAAAAAGTGGGCAAAGGATATGAGCAGAGACTTCCCAAAGGAAGGCATACACATGGCTAACAAGCCTATGAAAAAATGTTCAACATCACCAATCATTAGAGAAATGCAAATGAAAACCACAATGAGATAGCATTTCACACTAGTCAGAATGGCTATTATGAAAAAGTCAGAAAATAACAGATGCTGGTGAGATTGTGGTGAAAAGTACATGCTTATACACTGCTGGTGGCCATGTAAATTAGCTCAGCCATTGTGGAAATCAGTTTGGAAATTTCTTAAAGAATTTAAAAGAGAAATATCATTCAATCCAGCAATCTCATTATTGGGTATATACTCAAAGTAATATAAATCATTCTACCATAAAGTCTCATGCATGTGTATGTTCATTGAAGCACTATTCAAAATAGCAAAGAGATGAAATCAACCTAAATGTCCATCAACGATAGACTACAGAAAATGTGGTACATATACACAATGGAATACCATATAGTCATTAAAGAGCATGAGATCCTGTCCTTTGCAGCAGTGTGGATGGAGCTGAAGGACATTATCCTAAGCAAAGTAATGCAGGAACAGAAAACCAAAGACCACCTGTTCTCACTTATAAGTGGGAGCTAAGCATTGAGTACACATGGACACAAAGAAAGGCACAACAGACACTGGGGCCTACTTGAAGATAGAGGGTGAAAGGAGGGTGAGGACCAAAGAATTCCCTATTGGATACTATGATTATTACCTGAGTGATGAAATAATCTGTACATCAAACCCCAATGACACACAATTTGCTTATATAACAAACCTGTGCATGTGTCCCTGAACCTAAAATAAAAGTTTAAAAAAAAAAAGAAATAAACAGAGCTGGTACCACAAATGATTTCTTTAGCACCTGAAAGGGAATAAGGAAAAGACTCTAAAAATTTTCTACATACTTTACCCCAACCAGCCCAGACCTTTACGGTGAACTCAGTCATTGAATGATTTTGTATTGATGTCTGTACGCTCAAGAGCTGAAGAAATCTTAAATGGGTACTACAGATCTCAAGTTGACAGCAATGAAATCAACCTAAATGCCTATCAAAGGTAGACTGGATAAAGCAAATGTGGTATATCTACCAGAACACTTTAAGGTTGCCTACGAAAAAATTGACCAGTACCAAACATTGCAGCAACACAAAAAGAAAAATTGCTCATTCAAAAGGAAAGGGATTGTAAGGTGGCATAGAGCTGTGTCTACAAGCTTCATTAAACAAAATATATTGGACCCCTAAAATCATCCAGATAGGGATAGGGACATGAGATTTGAGCAAACTCAGAAAAAAAATTGATGAAGAAAGTGAAGACTGCTTTTGGGAGGGTGCTGTTACACAAGTACAGAGGAAAGCCAGCAAGTGCTAGAAAAGAGGGATCCACTAACCATAAGGGAGACCGCCTGTCAAACACAGAGCTTGTTCCTAGGATTGTCAAGAAGCTTTCATATCCCAACTTATTTACACCCAAAATGAGAAAACTCTCAGAGAATTGTAATCCAAGGCAATTTATCATTTTGTTGGGGTCAAGAGGAATAATGAAATTAGAATGGATTTTCTTGCTACCCAAGTATGACATCTCTAAGGAGCTTGTCTGAAATGCAGAATCTCAGTTTCCACCTGAGTCTTCTGAGTCAGAACCTGCATTTTAGCAGGATCCTCAGTTGACTTGTATGTACCTGCATTTTGAGAAGCATTGGATTACATTGCTTTGAGGTTCCTCCCAGTCCAATTAATCAGTGGTGCATTCAGTCTAAAGTCAATTTTTATTTAACTATATATTCATAAGTGTGCCTATATAAGTGTGTATGTGCATACATACATATACATATATGTTAGAAAATCATACTAAAAGGGGATTTTTTTGTTTTGTTTCTGGAGAAAGTGATGCAGACTTTCAAATGGCTACTTTTAACAGTGGAGGGTGTAGTGAGAATTAAATGAATAACATTTATAATTGGTAAGTCATTAAAAACTCCCTGTATATACTGGGGGAATAAGAAAGCCATATGCATGTCCAGGAAAGACTCATGATTAGTAAAGGCTTGAAAATAATCTAGTTTTCACTTCTGGCTGACCTTCAGGCTCCACACAAGCAGCGAGTGAAGGGTAAAGTTGATTTGTAAACATCCTGGTTAAGCATTGAAGGAGTGCCCTAATAGAAAGCCAATAAGTAAAGACTAATATAATATTTTTTCTTTTTGTTTTCTTTTTTTCTTTTTTGTTGATACCAGTATTTAAGAAAACCTCTCTCAAAATACTAGTTGACCACTATGCTAATGAGACAAAGACTTCAGTGGCCTCACATGACAAGGAAGGCAAGCTTTACAAAAAGAGTTTAGAAAAATCACCAAACAAACAACAATAACACTACCTCCAAAATAGCAACAACAAACCCCAGGTGGGACAGGGGTATATTGTTTCTAGAGTTGTCACAGTAGCTTATTTCAAATGTCAGATTTTCAACAAAAATTATGAGGCATACAAAAAACAAAGTATGGCCCACTGAAAAGAAAAAAAGAAATTAATAGAAACTGTTCATGGCCTGGGCATTGGATTTACTAAACAGAAACTTTAAATCAACTATCTTAAATATGCTCAAAGAGTTAAGAAAATCATGGACAAAGAACTAAATCAAAGCAAGAGAATGGTGTCTCATCAAATAGGGAATATTTCCTCTCTTTCTTTATCTCACTTATTTTTCTAGCCATGCTTCTTATTATTTCCCTCGAGTAATCTCAATTACAATAAAATGCTAAAGATCAACTAGCCGCTACCATTAGCCAGCTACCATAGCTATATAATGCAGCTTCTCCTATAGAAACTTCACAAAGAAGTCTTACTTCTTGACCCTCAAAAATTACTCAGACCTCTAAGTTTTAAAAATCAGTAACAGTTACTACTTCACCCTGCCCTGCTAGTCACATAATTATAAATAATTCTAATAATACATTTAATAAAACTCCTCGAGTAACAGCATTAGACCCCAAAACCTCAGGATTGAGATTCCCCTCAGTAGCCATTGCTATAGTATTATACACAAATATCACTAATATACCTCCTAAATAAATTAAAAATACAATTAAACCCATAAATGTACCACCAAAATGTAACACAATGCCACAATTTACCCCCTCAGTAAAAATTAACCTCAATCCTCCATAAATAGGAGAAGGTTTTGAAGAGAAGCCCACAAAACCTACATCAAAGACAATACTTAATAAAAATACAGTATATGTCATAATTCTCACATGGTATCTAACTATGACCAGTGACATGAAAAATCATTGTTGTATTTCAACTATAAGGACTCTAATGACCAACATACAAAAATTCACCCCCTAAAAAGATTATTAATCATTTATTTATTGATTCATCAGCACCATCAAATATCTCATTATGTGCCTTCCCCATTAATTATGTACTAGTACTATTTATGCCTGAACATACATTATACACTTATGTCTTATTGTACATTAAATTATGTCCCCCATGAATATTAAGCAGGTACATAAAATAACAACCCATCATATGTTAAATTAATCCATACGGAATCACTGATTTTTCCATATGAATATTGTCCACTACAGTGTTTTCTCATGATACCACATAGGACATTTTATTATTGCTCATACATAGTACATATAAGTCAAGTCATTTCTTGACAACATGCTTATCACTTCCAACAAAATTTCTTACCTATCAAGCCTCGACAAACCAGCAACCCACTCAGGAAATGTCCCTTTCCCCTCTCCAGGCCCATGAAACTTGGGGTTTCTAAAGTAAAACTATATCTGGCATCTGGTTCTTACTTCAGGACCATAAGATCAAGATTGCCCAGTTGTTCTTCTTAGATAAGACATTTTGATGTATTAGTGACTAGCTGCCTCATGATCACTCACGAATGCACTGCCATTCATTTGATATTTCTAAATTTTGGGTGATGATATGACTCAATATGGCTGAAAAAGCCTAGGCCCAGTCAATTTCATTGTAGCTGACCTTAAATTGACTATTACACGTTCACATTGTAAGCATAAGTTGATAATTTATTTATGCTTGATGGACATAATAAAAATAAGATACAAACAGGCACACATAGACATGCACACAGGAATTATTTCTAGACACATGTATGATTAACTCTGCAACCTCCCCTCAACCCCAGGTTAATATAATTAATACAAGTCTTTTATTCTTAAAAAAAGCAGGAAATCTTATACTTACCATCTATGGCGAGGCCTCACATATACCTATTTATAATTTAATTGATTTTAAATCCAACTGTAACTTTGACTAGAATTAAATTTTAGCCAAATTCCCAATTAAAGCATTTTCAAAAACTGCAATTTTTAAATAAAATATAGGCTTTCTGGGCTAAAAATTTTCCTTTTTCTTTACAAAGTTACTAAAAATAACCTCAGTACTAGCATAGCACTTCAGCTTACTATTTTTTCCCCAAGAGGGATTTCTCCAGATTTAAGTTAGTGTAGCTTAATATGGTAAAGCAAGGCACTGAAAGTGCGTAGATGAGTTCATGTAACTCCATAAACACACAGGTTTGGTCTTGGCCCTTTTATTAATTTTTAGTACAGTTGCACATTGAAGCTTCCACATCAGAGTGAGAATCCTCTTTAGATTATCAAAGATCAAAAGGAGCAGGCATCAAGCACACTAACTGTAGCTCATAACACCTTGCTCAACTACGCCCCCACGGGAAACAGCAGTGATAAAAATTAAGCAATAAATAAATGTTTGATTAAACTATACTGATTTTCCTTGGGGTTGGTAAATTTTGTGCCTGCCACCATAGTCATACGATTAACCCAAATTAATAAAACCCAGCGTAAAGCATGTTTAAGATTCTTACCTCAATAAAGCTAAAGTTTAAGCCATAAAAAGCTACAGCTAATATAAAAATAATCTATGAAAATGACTTTACTGTACTGAGAACATGATAGTTAAGACCCAAACAGATTAGATACCCTACTATGCTTAGCCATAAACCTAGATAACTTATTAAATGAAGTTATTCACTAGAGTACTACAAGAAACAGTTTAAAACTCAAAGGATTTGGTGATGCTTTGTAGCTCTCTAGAGAAGCCTGTTTTATAATTGGTAAACCTAGATAAACCTTATCATCTTTTGCTAATTCAGTCTATATACCATCATCTTCATCAAATCCTAAAGAGGACTTAAAGCAAGCACAAGTAAATACATAAAAATATTAGGTCAAAAGTGTAGCTTCTGAGATGGAAATAAATAGGCTACAGTTTCTAATCTTAAAATATTCATGACAACTTTTATGAAATCTAAAGGCTAAAGGAGGATTTAGTAGTAAATTAAGAATAGAAAGCTTAACTGAATAGGGCCATGGAGCACACACACACTTTCCACCATCTTCCTCAAATATCCCAATAATACTACATTTGTAATAAACAAAAATTTATATATCAGAGGAGAGAAGTCATAACAAGGTAGGTGTACTGGAAAGTTTGCCTGGAATAAATCATAATATGGCTTAATCTAAAGTACCCGGCTTACTCCTGGGAGATTTTACATTAACGTGACCACTTTGAACTAAAGCTAGCTGCAACCCCTAATAAATTAAACTGCAATAATTATTTAAACTAAAACATTTATCCAAAAATTTAAAGTATAGAAGATAGAAATTCATTTAGGTGCTATAGTTAAAGTATGGGAAGGGAAAGATGAAATAGCAATTCCAAGTACAAAAAAGCAAAGCTCACCCCTTATACCTTTTGCATAATGAATTATCTAGAATAATTTCACAAAGAGAACTTCAGCCCAAACCCCTAAAGCCAGACAAGCTACTCACAGTTAAAAGAACATACTCAACTATATTACAAAATAATGGGAAGGTCTATGAATAGAGGTGAAAAGTTTATCGAGCCTGGTGATAGCTGGTTGTCTAGAACAGGATTTCAGTTCAACTTTAAATTTACCTACAGAGGCAGTAGATCTTAATGGAAATTTATTTTATTTTATTGTTTTCCCAAAAAGTGGTCAAAATTACTGTCCTTTAATATAAAATGGTAAAAAAGAAAAGGAATAAAAACTCTGTAACACGAATTCTAAAATTTTAATAACACATTCAAAGACAAAAATATTAACCCATTCTAATAAATAGGGTATATTTAAATATTAAAATAGAACATTATTATAATCTGTAAAAATTCACCAAGCTATACACTTCTGATTTGCTTACTTTTTTGAATGCGTGTTATATTTCAATGCAAAGTTTACAAATATAAACAAATTTGATTTATTTGTGCCAGTGGATGTGCTATTTTACAGGTGAAAATGATGCCTTAACTTATTGAATAACATATTGTAAATATCCTTTGCAGGTTTGAAGTTGGGTCACAATTTCAAGCGACTGTAATGCTGTTTTTGTTACTTCAAACTTTCTTTTAAACCACCATGGCACATGTATACCTATGTAACAAACTTGCACATTCTGCACATGTATCCCAGAACTTAAAGTAAAATAAAAAAAGAAAGCTTAATGTAAATTTAAATGTTATTCTAAAGAGGAATAACTCTTTTGACATAGGAAACAACCTTACTTAGAGAGTTAAACACTACGCAGATAGAACACTAGACAGAAAGTCAATAAGGTAACAGAAAACTTTAACAATTTACAAAACAATGAGACTTAATGGACATATATAGAACATTCTACTCAGCAACAGCAGAATACACATTCTTTACATGTGTATGTGGAATATTGCCCAGACTTGACTACATGTTAGACTGAAAGACAAGTCTCTAAATTTTAAAAGATTAAAATTATACTAAGTATCTTTGCCAACTATAACAGAATCAGTAACACAAATAAAATGAAGAAATTCACAAATGAATGAAATAGAACAATATACTCTTACACAACAAACTGGACAAAAAGGAGTGACATAATTACAAATGAAATTAGAAAATATTTTGAGGTGAATGAAAATGAAAACAGAACAAATCAAAACCCATGGGGGGCGGGGGGTGCAGTGAAAGCAGTTCTCAAAAAGAAATGGATAGCTTTCAATGCTTACATTAGAAAAGAAGAATGATCCCAACTTAACAACCCAACTTTACACCTTAAAGAACTAGAAAAAGAAGGGCAAGCTAAATCCAAAGCTATCAGAAGGAAAGAAACAGTGATTAGAGTGGAGATAAAACAGAGAATAGAGAGCAATAGAATCAATGAAACCAAAAGCTTTCTGAAAAGATCTACAAAATTTACATACTTTAGCTAGACTGGGCAAGAAAAAAGAGAAAAGCCTACAATTATTAAAATCAGAAATGAAACTTGGGATATTACTACAGACTATAAAAAAAGGGATTTTAATAGAATAATATAAACAATTGTATACCAACTAAATATATAACCTAATAAAATGTTTACATTTCTAGTAAGACATAAATGAACAAAAATGTCTCAAGAAAAAAATGAAAAATCTTATTCTACCTTTACAAAGTAAAGAGGTAGAATCAGAAATCAAAAATCTCCTAACGAAGGAATCCCAGGATCAGGTGGCTTCACTGGTGAAATCTAGCAAACAGTTAAAGAAGAATACCAACCCTTCTCAAACTTTCCCAAAGAATAGAAGAGTAAGTAACATCTCACAACCATTCTATGAGGCCAGTGCTCCCCTGATATTAGAATCAGACAAAGACATCTGAAGAAAAGAAAATTACAGACCTTATGAATATACATCCTGAATAAATACTAGCAGAAATCTTGAACAAAATACTAGCAAACAAATCCAGTAGTATATTTAACAGTATTGCACATCACAAGTAAGTGGGATTTATCCAAAAATTACAAGAATGGCTTAACATACAAAAATCAACCAATGTAATATACCATGTTAATAGAATAAAGGGGAAAACATCCCATGATTATATTAATTAGTGCAGAAAAAAACCATTTGACAAAATCCCACACATTTTCATGATAAAAAAATTTTAAAACTAAGAATAAAAGAGATATTCTCAGTAGCATAAAAGGCACACATAGAAAATTCACAGCTTACATTTTACTCAATGATGAAACACTAAAACCTCTTCCTCTAAGATCAGGAACAAGGCCTAGGATACTTGCTTTTACCACTGTTATCTAACATTATAGTTAAAGTTCTAGCCAGTGCAATTAAGTAAGAAGAAAAATAAAAGGTAAGCAAATGGGAAAGGAAAACATATATATCTATACACAGATGACATCATCCTATGTATAGAAAATCCTAAACATACTACAAAAAAGAAACTGTTACAGATAATACATAAATTCAGGAAAGTTGCAGTAACTTAGATCGCCACATAAAAATCAATTGTATTTCTATATACTAGCAATGAACAACCTGAAATAAAATAAGAAAATTTCATTTCCAAAAACATCAAAAAGAACAAGATATTTAGGGATAAATTTTATCAAAAAAGTACACGATTTGAACACTGAAAACAAAGTTTCTAAAAGAAATGAAAGAAGAAGAAAATAAATGGAAAGACATCCAGTATTCACTCCAAAGGGAGTGAATGCTTAATAGTTTCTTTTTGGGTTGATGAAAATATTTTGGAACTAGGTAGAGGATTGGAGATCTTAATATTGTTAAGATGGCAACATTATCAATGTGATCTAATGACTCAGTGCAATCCTTATTGAAATCACAACTGTCTTTTTTTTTCAAAAATGGCAAAAGTGATCCTGAAAGTCATATGAAACAGAAAGGGACCTGAATGTCCAAAATAATCTGATAAAGAAAAATAAAATTTGAAGGCTCACACTTTCTGGTCCCAAAACTTACTGCAAAGCTACAATAATCAAGAGTGTAATGTTGATATAAGGAGAGTCATATAGACTAATTGAATAGAATTTTGAGTCTAGAAATAAACCTCTTCATCTATGGTCAATTAATTTTCCACAAGGGTGACAAGACCATTCAATGGGGAAAGGCTAGTCTTTTCAACAAATTGTGCTGGGACAACTGGAGATTTGCATTCCAAACAGTGAAGCTGGACTCTCATGTCACACCATACAGGAAAATTAACTCTAAAACTACAACATTCTTACAAAAAAAGGGGTAAATCTTCATGACCTTGAATTTGATAATGGATTATTAGAAACAATATCAGAAGCATGGGCAGCAAAAGAAAGACAGATAAATTAGGCTTCATCAAAATTAAAATATTTTGTGCATCAGAGTTCACTATAAAGAAAGTGAAAACACATTCTACAGAATGGGAGAAAATATTTGCTAATTATATATCTGATAAAGGTCTACTATGCAGTATCTATGAAGACCTCTTATAACTCAAAAAGAGACCAACAATGCAATTAAAAAATGGACAAAGGACTTGAATAGTCATTACTCCAAAGAAGATATATAAATGACCAATAGTCACATGAAAAGATGCTCAACATCTTGAGTCATTATAAATACACAATCAAAGTCACAATGAACCACTTTCCACTCACTGGCCTGGAGATTATATATATGTGTGTATATATATATATATACACACATATATATATACACACACACATATATATATATACACATATATATATACACACACACACACACACACACACACACACACAGAGCCCCAAAAAACAGAAACAAACAAACAAAAACTGGAAAAGGGCAAGGGTTGGCAAGATTGTTGAAACATTGGAGCCCTTGTACGTTGCTGGTGGGGGTGTAAAATGATGTAGCTGTTTCAGAAAAAAGTTTGGTGGTTTCTCAAATAGTTAAGCATATAAGTAGCATATGAGTGAGCAATACCACTCCTAGTTATGTACCCCCAAACACTGAAAACAGGTATTCAAACAAATATTTGTACACAAATATTCACAGCAGAACTATTCATAGTAGCTCAAAACAACCCAAATGTCCATCAGCTGATGAATGGATAAACAAAATGTGGCATGTCCCCTCAATAGAATATTATTCAGCCATAAAAAGGAATGCAATACTGGTGCATGCTACAAAATGAACAAATTTTGAAAACATTAAGCTGAGTCCAAGAAAAGAGACACAAAAAGTCATATATAAATGGAATGTGATTCATATACAAAATATCCAGAATAAGTAACAGAAAGCAGACTAGTGGTTGTCATAGGCTGGTGGGAGGGGGATGTTATATAAATGGGCCAGAGATGACCCCTGTGAATTAGCCTAACATGGTCCTCTATGTTGTTTTATTTTTCAAAGCAAGATATGACCATTAATACAAAGCCCACTGGTGCCAAACTCAAAATCACACGTATTCAATTGCTTTAAATATAGTCCAAAAAGCCTCATATATTTAAGCATGTAGATCGATTTACTTTACATACTCACAAAACCACACCCCACATATGTTAATCGTTAGGTATAAAAAGACCCCTAATTGTTGCTGCCCTTTAGAACTGTGTCCCAGAGACTCCCCACTTGCTGCTGAGTGACATTACCTAGACATGTAAGTCCTCTCTCTGATTTTCCCTTCTCCCATAGGAGTTCCTTCACCCTATTCCTCTTATGAGTGGTAGCCTCATGCTGCTGTCTTTGATAAATATCTTGCTGGGAAGGGCTTCATCTCTCATGCAACCCTACCCAAGCACTGCCCCAAAAAAGTTGTGTGATACTGCCTTTTGTGGTCCTGTCTCTTCCTTGATCAATCCCCAAATCCCCAAACTTACCAAAGGGAGTGAATGCTTAATAGTTTCTTCTTGGGTTGATGAAAATATTTTGGCACTAGATAGAGGTGATGATTGCATAACATTGTCAACACATGAAATGGTACTAAACTGTATAGTCTAAAATAGTTCGTTTTAAGGTATGTAAAATGTACCTCAATTAAAAAGGTTTCATATTCTATTATTGCATTTACATAACACTCTAGAAGCAAAACAATTACTGAGGTAGAGAACATGTTCATGGTTGCCAAGAGCTAAAGATGGCAGTGTGAAGAGAGAGTAATAAGTGTGACTATAAAAACAAAAGTCTTTAAAAATAAAAAAAAGAATTAGGGAACTGAGCAGATATGGGCCATATGGGTAGTGAGAGTAAATAGGTCATAGATAGGCTGTATGGGTAGTGAGAGTGAATAGAAATGACCTGGAGCAGAATGTTGGAGTATGAGCGAGGTAATGAGAGTGTCTGCATGAAAAACCATGTAAGGGTGCATCAAGAAAGCCCTCACCAGACACTGAACATTAGTACCTTGATCTTGGATTTCCCAACCTCCAGACTGTAATAAATAACTTTCTGTTCATTATAAATTACCCAGACCATGCTATTTATTTATTTATTTTTCTTTTTCTTCCCCATGTGATGTGCAGGAAAGTCTATGGTATTTTGTTATAGCTGCGGAAATGAACTGAGAAAGAATTTGATACTGAGAAGTGAGATGTTGCTATAATAAGTACCTGAAACTGTGGAAGTAGCTTTGGAACTTAGTAATGAAGAGAGGCTGTAGGAGTTTGGAGGTGCATGCTAGAAAAAGCCTAGATTGCTGTGAGTGGAGTGTTAAGGCTAAATCTGGAGAGGGCTCAGAAGAAGACAGCTGTAGAGGGAGCCTAAATTTTCTTAGAGATTATGTAAGTGGTCCTGATCAGAAATATGGACAGCAAGAGCCATTCCAATGAAGTCTTAGACAGGAATGAGGAGCATTTTATTGGAAACTGGAGGAAAGGCCATTCTTATTCCAAAGGGTCAAAGAACTTGGCTGAATTGTGTCTATATCCTAGTACTTTGTAGAAGGCAGAACTTAAGTGTGATGAACTAGGATATTTGGT
The DNA here is from genome assembly GCF_000001405.40 of Homo sapiens. Taxonomy (NCBI): domain Eukaryota; kingdom Metazoa; phylum Chordata; class Mammalia; order Primates; family Hominidae; genus Homo; species Homo sapiens. The sequence continues at coordinate 102,017,597 of NC_000023.11, forward strand.
AAAATAAATCTCTAAGCAAAGTAATCAAGGTACTAGATGGCTTCTCTTGACTGCTTATGCTAAAATGTGAGAAGGGAGAAATAATTTAAAGACAGAATTTAATATCAAAAGGGAAGCAGAACTTAGAGTTGAAAAATTCTCAGCCATTAAAAAATGAGAAAACATGTTCAGGAGAGAACACCAGGGATGTGGCCAAGTAACCCCTTAATGAGGAGGTTAGTATGGATAGTAGGAAGGCAGAAGTTATCCATCAAGACAATGGAGGAATACCCCAAAAGCATTCTGTATATCTTCAAGGCTGCCACTCCCATCAAAGCTCCAAGGTGCCAAGGTCTTGAGGGCAAATATTTTCAAATGAGGGGCCTAGAGTGCTTGTGAGACCTTGGGGATTGCTGACAAGGGCCACCTTAAATTTCTGCTCCACACATGGGCACAACCCTTTTTAACCACCATCCCAGCTGAAGCTGAATCGGGCACAGATGCAGCTTTGGCTGCAGCTTCAGAGGGCACAAGCCATAAACTTTGGCAGTGTCCATATGGTGTTAATTCTGCAGGTGCACAAAGTGCACAAGCTATGGAGGCATCTACCTAGACTTCAAAGACTGTCCCTGACAACTTTGGGGACCAGGTGGAAAACTGCCATGGGGCAGAGCTGCTGCAGAGAACCCCCACTAGTGATGCAGGAATTTTCTTGGTCACTTTCACAGCTGGGACCTCCAGTGATGTCCTCACCACCCTGGCCTTACTGAAACCCAGGCCTGCTGCTGGAGGCACCCCACCCACTCAGCCCACCTGGGCCAAGTCTGGCTTGCACACTGGTTCAGCCTGCAGCTGGGCCGGGAGCACCCCAGCCCACCTGTATAATAGCTTGTACCCGCATTCGGTGCTTCCCAAGCTCTTGTTGTGCTTCCCAAGCTCTTGTCCTGCATCCAAGAAGAATGAGGATATGCTGACAGTTGAAGGATGAGGATCGGCATATAAGAATTTTATTGAGTGGTGGAACACCTCTCAGAAGAGAGGGGATGTGATGATGAGGGGTGGTGGTCACCCACTCGTGCAATCTGGTGGTTTTTTTTCTCAGTGTGGCTGGGTCCAGGTCTTTTTATGGATTCAGAATGGGGAGTGCGTGCTGATTGTTTTTGTGAGGATGCAAAAAAGATTAAAGCAAAGTTACCACTCAAAGGTGGGCATGACAGTGTAGAAAACCAATTAGGAAACAGTAGGTATATGTAAAATAGGCGAAGGGTGGGGATCAATCAGAGGAAAGTGCACCATATGGGAAGACAGATTCTCAATGTGGTTCAAGGATTTAAGTTGTAGCTTGGCTTTTCGGCTTTAAACTATCTTTGGCTTGGAGGCAAGGTTTCACCAGGGACCCACCTTTATCTGCCTAGGCATTTGACTGCCTCCTGTCACCATCACCAGGGCAATGTCCAGAGAAGTGATGGGGTCAAGGCCAACACCAATAGCTCCTACAATGGCAAAGCCTAGTGAAATTGTGGGGGTAGGACTGCCCCTGAAGACCCCAGATCTGTAGAGCCACCAGAGTGTAACACTGGCCTGGGTGAGTTGCAGACACCTGAGTTCAACCTGTGAAAGATGCCGCATGGGCTGCATTTGGTAAAGTCACAGGGACAGGGCTGCCTGGGGCCTTCTGTGCCCAACCCCTGCCTCAGTATGTCAAGAAGGCAGAATATGGAGTCAAAGAAGATCTTTATGAAGCCTTGAGAGGTAATGTTCTTTGACTTATTGGATTTGGGACTCACTTGATATCTGCTATCCTTTTATTCTTTTCTATTTCTCCTTTTTGGAATAGGAATTTCAATCATATGCTTGTCCCACCATTGTATTTTGGAATCACATAACTTGTTTGATTCCACAGGCTCATTGCTAGAGAGGGAATTTTCCTCAGAATGAATCATACCTGGAATCTCACCCATATCTGATTTAGATTATATTTAGATGAGACTTTGAACTTGGACTTTAAAGTTGATGCTGGAATAATTTAACTCTTGAGGGTAAGTGGATGAAATAAATATATTTTGTATGTGAAGAAGGCATGAATTTTGGGGTTCCAGATATGGAATATGGAAACTCAAAATAAAATTCAAATGCCCCCCAACCATCTGAAAAGACTTCCTCCTCAGCCAGGACTTTTTTAAAATTTAACCTGAGAGACTGTTTCAGGCCATGATGGGAAGTGGGAATTGAACATGCTTCATTATACCTCTCCAACATTAACATCAACACAGACTAAGTCTGATAAGAAACTTTTACAACCTATTCTCTCTAAAGCCTAATACCTAAAGGTATCCTCAGCAAACAAGAACTTGGGACTCTATAATCCTTTATCTTAACCCAGGCATTCCTTTCTATTGATCCCATGTCTTTAGATAAACTTAACCAATGGTCAACCAGAAAAAATTTAAATCTACCTATAATCTGGAAGCCCCCACACTTCAAGTGCCTTTCTGGACCAAGCAAATATATTTCTTACATGTGTTTGATTGAAGTCTCACGTCTCCGTAAAATGTATAAAACCAAACTGTACCCCAACCACCTTGGACACATGTTCTCAGGACCTTCTGAGGGCTGTCTCATGGGCATGGTCACTCATATTTGGCTCAGAATAAATCTCTTCAAATATTTTACAGAGTTTAATTCTTTCCATCGACAAATATTATTATTTGAATGTTCGTGTCTTTTCCAAAATTTGTGTTGAAGCTGAATCCCAAATGCAACAGAATTCAGAAGAGTCTTAAGGAGGTGATTAGGCCATGAGTTCTCTGCCCCATAGATGGCATTAATGCCTTATAAAAGTACTAGAGGAAACTAGCTAGGCCTTATTTTGCCCTTTTACACTTCTGCCATGTGAGGATGTAGCAAGAAGGCCTTCAGCAGACACTGAACACTGATGCCTTAATCTTGGACTTCTCAGGCTTCAGGGCTGTAGAAAATAAATTTCTATTTTTTATAAATCACCAAGTCCAATGTATTTTTATAGCAGCAGAAACAGACTGAGACACTGTCCCTTTGGCTACTCCCAGTTTTTATCTATAGGGTAATCCCCAGAAGATTTAATACAAATGATGCAATTGCTCTGGCAATGCTTTTTCAGAGACTGATAAAGCAAAGCTTGGAGGAGAAGTGCATGTTTAATTCCAGTCTCTAAACAAGCATGAAGTAAGCTCTCAGTAAGCTTCTAGAAGATAGATGAAATTTAAATTAAACCTGGTTCATCAGGGAGTAAGCTTACACTTACTTAAATGTCAAACTTCAAGTGCAGAAATAGAAATGACAGGTGTACTGTGTGATACCTCGTTGGTTTTCAGTCTGTTAGGCAATTCATCAGCAGTAAATCACAAAAAGAGAAAGCATTACTTAAGTTGAATATAACACTTATTTTGGAAAAGGAAGTGGTTCTTAAAATGTCTTTTGTATTCTGTTGATCTGCACCTCTCTTGTGGTTGGGGTACTGGGCAATGGCTTTAATGTAATTATTTCCAAGAAATTAAAGAAAATTCAACATTTAATAAGTCAAAGATTTTTTTAAAGTTCCAAGTGACAACAGCAAGATGGCAGAATAGGAGATTTCTACCATCATCTCCCTGTAGACGTTATCAATTTAGACAATTATCCATGGATGAAGGCATCTTTGAGGAAGTCTGGGTGTCCAGTAGACAAATTCCAGCACACTGTTGCTTTATAAAATCTAAAAATAGATGCATCAAAGAGGGTAGAAAGAACAGTTTCACTTTATCCACATCGATTATCCCCCAAGGGAGCATAATTCGGTGCCAAGAAAGTCTTCTTTGGACTGCAACTTTTCTCACAGGAGAAAATAAGAGCATAGTGAGTGTGCTCCTGGCTCCCCCAGCATGCAGGACACTGATTGAGGTTCACTTTTTCTTGCCCCTCACAGAAGACTGAGGTCTTTGGTGTGGCTGAGTGGTTGAGAGATGCTGAGAATAGGAAAGGGAGGCCACAAAACCTACTAACCACTCTGCAGAATCCATCAGGAAGGCTGCACACAAGCTTCTTGACATATCTTGCCTGTAGACTTCTCTCCCTACTGGTCCACAGGCATTCCAAACACTCTATTTGCCTCACCCCTGGCTTCAGGATAGCTCCTAAGTTCATTCCTGAGGACCATGTGTACAAGTATCTCACACAGAGAGCTGGTTTGACTCTGTGTGATTTATGTGATTATGCTCACATAAATTTGAGCATTTTAGGACACCACCATAGGAAAAACAAACAGAATTCTCTCTGTACTCAGACTGGCTTTGCAGAGTCGAGAGAGAAAATATAATCTCAAGAATCACCTCCTCCTTGGAGCAGAAACAAGAGCTGTCGAGTGGGTACAACCATGGAAAAGGGCTGAGAGAGCTTTATAATCCTTAGCTAGGCTGTTTGGTGAAGGTGCTTCTCTCTGAAAACAGCCACTAAAGATGGAAGAAAGTGACTGATATGGTTTGGCTCTGTGTCTTTACCCAAATCTCATGTCAAATTGTAATTCCCAGTGTCGAAGGAGGGTCCTGGTGGGAGATGGTTGAATCATGGGGGCGGACTTCCCCCTTGCTGTTCTCATGATAGATTTCTCAGAAGATCTAGTTGTTTGAAACTGCGTACCACTCCCCTCTTCACTCTCTTCTTCCTGCCAGCCATGTAAGACATGCTTGCTTCCCCTTCACTTTCCACCATGATTGTAAGTTTTCTGATGCCTCCCCAGCCATGCTTCCTGTACAGTTCCACAAAAAGGAGGTTCTTTTAAACCTCCTTTCTTCATAAATTACCCAGTCTCTGGTAGTTCTTTATAGCAGTGTGAGAAGGGACTAATACAGTGACTATTTCTTCAAATGTGAAAACAGCAATACAAGATTTTAAGAAACATGAAAAATCAAGGAAACATGACAACACCAAAGAAACACAACAATATTCCAGCAAACGACCTGCAAAACATGGTAATTTACAAATTTCCTGACACATAATTCAAAATAATGATTTTAAGGAAGCTCAGAAAGCTACAAGAAAGCACAAACAAAAATTACAAAAAACAATACAAGAACAAAATGAGAAATTTAAGAAAAATACAGAAATCATAAAAGATGACCAAACAGAAATTCTGGAGTTGAAGAATACGGTGAATGTAGTAAAAAATGCAATAGAGAGCATCAAAAGCAGATGTGATCAAGCAGAAGAATCTGAACACAGGTCAATTGAAAATATCCTCGGAGATGGGAAAAAAAGAGAATAAAAAGAAAGCAAGAAAGCCTATGGTAATTTTGGGACATCATTAAAAGAGCTAATTTTTTCATCCCCAACATCCCAGAAGGAGAAGAGAGAGAGAACAGGGTAGAATGAATATTTAAAGAAATAATAACTGAAAACTTCCCCAACCTGGGGAGAAATATAGACATCCACGTACCTGAAGGTCAAGTTTGCCAATCAGCCTCAACCCAAGAACACTTCACCAAGATATATTATAATCAAATTGTCAAAACTCAGACATAAAATTTGTGAGGAAGGAGTAAAAGTGTAGATCTCTGTATGTGATGGAGGTTAAGTTCTTATCAGCTTATAACAAACTGGTATAACTACAAAATGCTTTAAGTAAGCCTCATGGAAATCATGAAGTAAAAATCTATCAGAGATACACCAAAGATAAAGAGAAAAAAAATCAAAATATACCACTACAGAAAAACACTAAATCACTAAAGAAGTCAGCAAGAGAGAAAGAAAGAAAAAAAGGGTACATAGAACAACCAGCAAACAACCAAATGGTAACAGTTAGTGTTCACCTATTGTTAATTACCTTGAATGTAATTGTATTAAATTCACCAATGAAAAATCATAGAGTAGCTGAATGAATTAAAAAACCAGACCTACTGTATGCTACCTGAAAAAGGTTCACTTCAGCTTTAAGAACACACCTAGACTGAAAGTGAAGAGATGGAATAATATATTCCATGGAAATGGTAACCAAAACAGAGCAAGTGCAGCTATACTTATATCAGACAAAATAAATTTTAAGTCAAAATTGGTCACAAGAGAACCTAAAAGTTATTATATAATGATAAGGGGAACAATTTATCAAAAGGATATAATCATTATAAATGTATGCACTCAACATTGGAGCACCAAAATATATAAAGAAAATATTAGTAAATCTGAAGGGAGTAATAAACAGCAATACAATAATAGTAGGGTAGGGTATTTCAATACCTTATTTTCAAGTAATGGATAGATCATCCTAACAAAAATTCAATAAGGAAACACTGGGCTTGAAATGCACATTAGACCAAATAGACCAAACAAAAATACACAAAACGTGGAACCCAACAGAAACAGAGTACATTTTCCTCAAGTGCACATGAAACATTCTCTGAAACAGATTATATGTTAGACCACAAAAAAATCTTAAAGTGCTAAAATGATTGAAAACATATCAAGCATATTTTCTAACCAAAATAATATGGAAGTACATAAATATATATACCAACTATGTACCCACAAAAATTAAGAATTAAAAAAAGGAAGAGAATGGAAGACACTGAAATATGCAGAAATTAAACAACATGTTCCTGAACAATCAATGGGTTAAAAAAGAAATCAAAGGGAATATTTAAAAATATCTTGAAACAAATAAAAATGGAAACACAACGTACCAAAACTCATGAAGTCCAGCAAAAGCAGTTCTAAGAGGAAAGTTATAGTAATAAAAGTCCACCTGAAGAACACAGAGAAATCTCAAATTAATAAAATCTCATTTAGCACCTCAGAAAACTAGAAAAAGAACAAACTAAACCCAAAGTAAGTAGAAGGAAGGAAATAACAAATATTAGAGCAGAAATAAATTAATTATAGGCTAGAATCACAATAGTAAAGATCAAAGAAATGGAGTTGGTGTTTTGAAAAGATAAAATGGACAAAACTTTTGCTTGACTTACTAAAAAAGGAGAGAAGACAAAATCAGAGACAAAAGAGCAAATATTAGAATTGATATTACAGAAAGAAAAAGAATTGTAAGAGATTGTCATGAATAATTATACACCAACAAATTGAATGACCTAGAAGAAATGGATGAAGTCTTAGAAACATACAACCTACCAAGACTGGAGCATTAATAAATACAAAATTTGAACAGATCGATTATGAATAAGGAAATTGAATCAGTAATTTAAAATATCCAATAAAAATAAAGCCCAGGATCTGATGCCTTCACTGGTGAATTCTTCATTTAAAGAAGAATGAATACCAATCCTTCTCAAACTATTCCAAAAAAAAATGAAAAGTAGGAAACACTTCCAAACACATTTTACAAGGTCAGAATTACCCTTATAGCAAAGCCAAAGAAGGATGCTACAAGAAAAATTTACAGGCTAATATCCCTGGTGGACATGGATGCAAAAATACTCAACAAAATCCTACCAAAGTGGTTTTAACAGCACATTAAAATGATCACACGTCGTGATCAAGTGAGATTTATGCCAGGGGTGCAGAGATGTTTCAATAAATAAAAGTCAATAAATGTGATACACCACATTAACAGAATGAAGAACAAAAATCACACAATCATCTCAGTAGATACAGAAAGAGCATTTGACAATATTTAGTGTCCTTTCATGATAAAAACCATCAACAACTAAGTATAGAGGGAATGTGTCTCAACACAGTAAAGGTTGTATAACAGAAACCCACAGCTAACATCATATTCAATGGTGAAAAATTAAAAGCTTTTCCTTTAAGATCGGGAATAAGACAATGATGCCAACGATGCACATTCTCACCACTTCTATTCAATGTATTACTGGAAGTACTAGCCAGAGCAATCAAGCAAGAAAAATAAATGAAAGTCATCAAAATCAGAAGGAACATAGTAAAATTGTCTCTATTTGCAGATGTCATGATCTTATATATCGAACACCCAAAAGATGCCACCAATAAAATGTTAGAACTAATACATAAATTCAATAAATTTGCATGATACAAAATCAACATACAAAAATCGTGTTCCTGTAAACCAACAATGAATTATTTACAATAGCATCAAAAGAATAAAATACTTAGAAATAAATTTCCCCCAAGAAGGCAAAAGCTATTCATGAAAGAAACTGAAGACACAAATAAATATAAAGATATTCTGTGTTCTTGTATTGGAAGAATTAATATTATCAATGAGGGGTTTCAAGATGGCTGACTGGAGGCATCCAGCCCTTACCTCCTCTCCAAAGAAGGGCCAAAACAGTGAATAGATAATCACACATCAAATAGAGCAACGAAGACAGAACACTGGAATTCAACAAGGAAGTGGCAGGGAACCTCTGAGGCATGGAAGGAAAGGGATGTGAAGGAACGGGATCAGTTCAGAAACAGGAAAAACAACCCAATTTGAGGAAAAGGTAAGCAGGAGATCCCCAGTGGTTCATATTCTCACCATAGATTCTCACAATTCTAACCATGAAAGAGTCCCTCAACCCTCATGGGCCTTCATATTAGTATAGGGTGGTTCATGGAGTCCACATGATGGCATTGTTCCAGAGACAGAGTTTACAATGGGCCTCACAGATCCCACCAAAACTCGAGCAGGTGCAGAACACTACCTTTTTGAGAGGCCAGCTCCCACCAGGACACAACCTTCCCTGGGGTCCAACAGCTCCTGCATCCCACATCCCTGAAGCCCTGCTGATATCTCCCCATGTCCATCCAGAGAGCTTAAGTATTGTGACACTGGCTGGATCCAGTGGTGGTGGTGTGGCTGGGTCCCCAGGACTCTAGACCATGCAGTGTCTTATACCCCAGGGAATAGCAGTGCAGCACACAAATGAGGCTGCTCCCCTGGGACAAAGGTATCTAAGTAGGCGCTCCCTAGAGCCTGAGAGCTGTCTCTCTGTGGCTGCTAACATAGACAGCAACCCTAAACCTTCCAGTTACAGGACTGCATGCACCTTCAAGGGACTTGGGCAGTGGTCTATTTGGGTGATGTCCCAAGGCCTAAGAAAAGGCCTGCCCTACCTGTCACCACCAGGACACACACAAGCCATCTAGGAGCCTGAGAAGAGACACTACCTACCACTAGCACCCAAGTGTGTTCTCTAAGAATGTGAGGATTAACCTGTCCCACCTGCTATTACTGGTATCCACACAACCATAGAAAAACCTGACAACAGGTTCACCTTGCCCATCACTGCTGGTGCCCACATGCACAATCCATGGGCCCAAGGAAAAACCCACTCTACCCATCACCACTGCTGCTGGCTCCAAGAGTGTTGATCAGAAGTCTGGGGATCAGCCTTCCCTGCCTGCTAATGCTGGCACCCATGTGCAGCATCAGAGGCCTTAAGACAAACCCACCCTGCCTGGTGGAGGCATCAGTGCCCATGTGTGCTTTCCAGGGGCCTGGTGATCAAGCTGCTCTGCCCACTGCTGGCACCTGTGTACACCATTGAGGTACGGGCCTGAAGACAGGTCCACTCTGCCTGCAGCCACCAGCACCATGAAATCTGGGGGCCTAGGAATTGACTCATTCCATCCACCACTGCTGGATCCCATGTGCATCTTCTGAGGGTCTGAGGATGAGTTTGCTGAGCCTGCTACTACTACTACCACCACTGGCACTTATCTGCATGTGCTGCCTGGGGCTCTGGGGTATCATTGGTGTCACTGATGCCTGTCTATCCTATTGCCACTGCTGTTAGTGCCCACATGTGTTGCATGGGAGCCCAAGTATTTGCCTGCCGCCACTACTGACATTGCAGGTGCTATGCACTCCACTCAGGGACTTGAGGACCTGCCCACATGGTTGGCCTGCTGCTATCACTGCAGCACCCAAGCAAGCCACCTGGAGGCCCAAAAACCTATCTGTCTGGACCTGCCACCATCAGTGCTCAAAATACCTTTAGGGACCTGAGGACCAGTATGCCTGGCCTGCCATTGCCACCACTGGTGCCCAAGGACTGGCTTGCCTGGCATCCCTGTCATCAGCAAAGTATCACCACAGTTTCCACTAATAACTGCAGGCTAAGCCACTAAAGAACCCACAGACACCAATGATTCTGATTACAACCAAAGAAATCATATGTAGATCACACTACCACACCCACACAGAATCAAAGCCAAAGAACCCCACCCAACCAACACTATAGAAAAAGTCTTTCCCTATGAAAGTCAATCCATAAAATTGGAAGAAGTGACTGTTTTACCAAATGCCCAGATATCAATATAAGGACACAAGAAATATGAAAAAACAAGGAAACAACACATTCGAAGGAAAAAAATAATTCCCCAGCAAAAGATTCCTATTAAAAAGACATCTATAAAATGTCTGAAAAATCTCAAAATGATGATATTAAAGAAACTCAGTGAGATACAAGAGAACACAGTGAACAATATAAGGAAATCAGGAAAACAATTCATGATTTGAAAGAGAAATTTAACAAATAGGTATCACAAAAAATCAGGAATCCTGAAAATGAAGCATTTAATGAATGAAATAAAAGATCCAAAAGAGCTTCAACAATAGATTAGATCAAGCAGAAGAAAGAATTTCTGAACTTGAAGATATATCTTTAAAAATAACCCAGTCAGACAAAAGAGAAAAAGCATTTAAAAAGGGGACAAAGCCTATGTGACATAGGAAAAACCATAAGGTGACCAAATATTTAAATATTGGGAGTTCCAGAAAAAGAAGAAGTGGGCAGTCAGATAGAAAACCTATTTAATAAAATAATAGCTGAAAATGTTCCAAGTCTTACAAGAAATAGGCACAGCAAGATATAGGAATCTCAAATAGAGCCAAATATGTTCAACACAAAAGGGTCCTCTTCAAGGCACATTATAGTCAAACTGCTGCAATTGAAAGACGAAGAGATTTCTAAAAACAGCATAAGACAAGAGTCAGGTCACATATAAGAGAATCCCCATCAGAACAACAGTGGATTTCTCAACAGAAACCTTACAGCCCAAGAAAGATTGGGATGATATATTCAAAGTATTAAAAGAAAAAAGCTTCCAGCCAAGAATATTACACTCAGCAAAGTTACCCTTCAAAAATAAAGGAGGAATAAAGTATTTCCCAGATACATAAAAACCGAGGGAATTCACCACTAGGTCTGCCCAGCAAGAAGTGAATAAGGGAGTCCTACACCTGAAAGCAAAAGAACAATATCTACCATCATGAAAACAACAAATTTTTACAAAAACATATAAAACTTACTGGTAGAGAATCCTGTACCAGAAATCAAGGTATCCAGGTTCTCTCAACAGAACTGACTAGGCATGTGGCATGACCCATGGAGAGGAAGAAAGAACAGTGTGGTGCAGTGGCCCACCTGAGAGCCACATGAGTCAGGGGAACCCCCACACCCCAGCCAAGAGAAGTGGTGAGTGAGCATGCTACCTAACCTCGGAAACCGTGCTTTCTTCACAGAACTGTGCAACCCATGGATCAGAAGATCTCACTCATGAAGCTACACCACCAGGGCCTAGAGTCCCAACCATGGAGCCACGCAGATTCTCAACAGCCTGTCAGCTAGAATCTGCTTAAGCCTGTTGAGTTCCCAGGGAAAGGGCAACCAACATCACGACTGTGGCTGCCTCCTGTCTAAGCCATTTGAGCACCTTGGGGGAGGGGCAGCAGCCAACAATGGGACTGATACCTGCCTAACACACTAAGCTCCCAGGGCAGGGAAAGGGCAGCAGCCATCTCTATAGCTGCAGGCTGTGCTTTTCCCCTGCTGGAGCCAGAGAGGCTAAATTTCTTGGTCCCAAGAGGTATCCCCCACAGCCCAAGACACTGGCTGTGTAGACTGCAGTCACAGTGTCTCTTCAGGCCTGACCCTGACTGATCCATACTCACTGGGTGGGGGCTCCCTGCAGGAACTCCAGCAAAGCCAGCCAGAGGCTCAGGGACAGAACTCTGATCTCCCTGAGCCTGAGCCCCTAAGAGGAGGGGTGGCCACAGTTTCTACAGACCAGCAGACTTAGTCTTTCCTCCTGCTAACTCTGAGGAATCCAGGCAGCCCAGACAAGTGGGTTTCCCCACAATGAAGCACACCACCTCCACCAAGGACAGCCAAATTGCTTTGTTAAACAGGTCCTGCTCCCCATGCCATCCAACTGGGCGAGACCCTACAACAAGGGTTGTCAGACACCTTATACAGCAGCTTTCCTACTGGCATCAGTTTGGTGCCCCTCAGGGTCAGAGATCACAGAGGAAGGAGCAGGCAGCCATCTTTGCTGTTCTCCAATCTTGTTGAGTGGCATCTCCAGGTGTGGGAGAGAACCAGATAAATAGGGCATGAAGTTAACCCCCAGTAAACCTCAGCAGCCCTACAGAAGAGAGACCTGACCATTGAAAGGAAAACAGACAAAAAGCAACAACAACAGAATCAACAACAAAAAAGTCCCCACAAAAACCCCATCCAAGGGTCAAAAGCCTCAGAGATCAAAACTAGAAAAACTCATGAAGATGAGAAAGAATCAATGAAAAAATGCTGAAAACCCAAAAGGCCAGAGTACCTCTTCTCCTCCAAATGATTGCAACACCTCTCCAGAAAGCATGCATAACTAGACAGAGGATGAGATGGACGAATTGACAGAAGTAGGCTTGAGAAGGTGGGTAATAATAAACTCCATTGAGCTAAAGGAGCATGTTCTAACCCAATGCAAAGAAGCTAAGAACCTTGATAAAAGGTTAGAGGAGCTGCCAGCTAGAATAACCAGTTAAGAGAGGAACAGAAATGGCCTGATGGAGCTGAAAAACACAGCACAGGAATGTCATGAAGCATACACAAGTATCAACAGCCAAATCAACCAAGTGGAAGAAAGGATATCAGTTTGAAAACCACCTTGCTGAAATAAGGCATGCAGACAAGATCAGAGAAAAAAGAATGAAAAGGAACAAACAAAACCTCGGAGAAATATGGGACTATGTAAAAAGACTGAAACTACAATTGATTGAAGTATCTGAAGGAGACAGGGAGAATGGAACCAAGTTGGAAAACACACTTCAGGATGTTATCCAAGAGAACTTCCCCAACCTAGCAAGACAGGCCAACATTCAAATTCAGGAAATACAGAGAACACCACAAAGATATTCCTCGAGAAGAGCAACCCCAAGACACATGATCATTACATTCTCCAAGGTCGAATGAAGGAAAAAATGTTAAGGGCAGCCAGAGAGAAGGGCCAAGTCAGCTACAAAGGCAAACCCATCAGACTAACTGTGTACCTCTCAGCAGAAATGCTACAAGCCAGAAAAGACTGGGGACCAATATTCAACATTAAAAAAAATTCAACCCAGAATTTCATATCCAGCCAAACTGAGCTTCATGAGCAAAGGAGAAATAAACTCCTTTTCAGACAAGCAAATGTTGAAGGATTTCGTGACCACTGAGCCCGCCTTGTAAGAGCTCCTGAAGAAAGCACTAAATATGGAAAGAAAAACTGGTACCAGCCGCTGCAAAAACACACCAAAATATAAAGGCCAATGACACTATGAAGAAACTGCAACAACTAGTGTTCAAAATAACCAGCTAGCATCATTACAATAGGATTAACTTTACACATAATAATATTAACTTTAAATGTAAATGGGCTGAAGGCCCCAACTAAAAGACACAGACTTGCAAAGTGTCAAGCCCCATCAGTATGTTGTATTCAGGAGACTTATCTCACATGCAAAGACACACATAGGCTCAAAATAAAGGGATGGAGGAAAATTTATCAAGCAAATGGAAAGAAAAAAAAAGCAGGGGTTGCAATCCTAGTCTCTGACACAACAGACTTTAAACCAACAAAAGTCAAAAAAGAAAGAAGGTCATTACATAACAGTAAAGAAATCAATTTTGGGGGGTGGAGCCAAGATGACCGAATAGGAACAGCTCCAGTCTACAGCTCCCAGCATGAGTGACACAGAAGATGGGTGATTTCTGCATTTCCAACTGAGGTACCGGGTTCATCTCACAGGGGAGTGCCAGACAGTGGGTGCAGGACAGTGGGTGCAGTGCACTGCGCATGAGCCGAAGCAGGGCAAGGCATCACCTCACCTGGAAAGTGGAAGAGGTCAGGGAATTCCCTTTCCTAGTCAAAGAAAGGGGTGACAGATGGCACCTGGAATATCGGGTCACTACCACCCTAATACTGCACTTTTCCAATGGGCTTAACAAAAAGCACACCAGGAGATTATATCCCACACATGGCTCAGAGGGTCCTACACCCATGGAGCCTCACTCATTGCCAGCACAGCAGTATGAGATCAAACTGCAAGGCAGCATGGAGGCTGGGGGTGCGGCACCCGCCATTGCGGAGGCTTGAGTAGGTAAACAAAGCAGCCGGGAAGCTCGAACAGACCACCACAGTTCAAGGAGGGCTGCCTGCCGCTGTAGGCTCCACCTCTGGGGGCAGGGCACAGAAAAACAAAAGGCAGCAGTAACCTCTGCAGACTTAAATGTCCCCGTCTGACAGCTTTGAAGCGAGTAATGGTTCTCCCAGCATGCAGCTTGAGATCTGAGAATGGGCAGACTGCCTCCTCAAGTGGGTCCCTGACTCCCGAGTAGCCTGACTGGGAGGCACCCCCCAGTAGGGGTGGACTGACACCTCACACGGCCGGGTACTCCTCTGAGGCAAAACTTCCAGAGGAACAATCAGGCAGCAGCATTTGCGGTTCACCAATATCTGCTGTTCTGCAGACACCGCTGCTGATACCCAGGCAAACAGGGTCTGGAGTGGACCTCCAGCAAACTCCAACAGACCTGCAGCTGAGGGTCCTGACTGTTAGAAGGAAAACTAACAAACAGAAAGGACATCCACACCAAAAATCCATCTGTATGTCACCATCATCAAAGACCAAAGGTAGATAAAACCACAAAGATGGGAAAAAAACAGAGCAGAAAAACCAGAAACTCTAAAAATCAGAGTGCCTCTCCTCCTCCAAAGGAACACAGCTCCTCACCAGCAATGGAACAAAGCTGGATGGAGAATGACTTTGACGAGTTGAGAGAAGAAGGTTTCAGAAGATGAAACTACTCTGAGCTAAAGGAGGAAGTTCGAACCCATGGCAAAGAAGTTAAAAACTTTGAAAAAAAAATTAGACGAATGGATAACTAGAATAACCAATGCAGAGAAGTCCTTAAAGGACCTGATGGAGCTGAAAACCAAGGCATGAGAACTACCTGACAAATGCACAAGCCTCAGTAGCCGATGCGATCAACTGAAAGAAAGGGTATCAGTGATGGAAGATGAAATGAATGAAATGAAGCGAGAAGAGAAGTTTAGAGAAAAAAGAATAAAAAGAAATGAACAAAGCCTCCAAGAAATATAGAACTATGTGAAAAGACCAAATCTACATCTGATTGGTGTATCTGACAGTGACAGGGAGAATGGAAAAAAGTTGGAAAACACTCTGCAGGATATTATCCAGGAGACCTTCCCCAATCTAGCAAGGCAGGCCAACATTCAAATTCAGGAAATACAGAGAATGCCACAAAGATATTTCTCTAGAAGAGCAACTCCAAGACACATAATTGTCAGATTCACCAAAGTTGAAATGAAGGAAAAAATATTAAGGGCAGCCAGAGAGAAAGGTCGGGTTACCCACAAAGGGAAGCCCATCAGACTAACAGCGGATCTCTTTGCAGAAACTCTACAAGCCAGAAGAGAGTGGGGGACAATATTCAAAATTCTTGAAGAAAAGAATTTTCAACCCAGAATGTCATATCCAGCCAAACTAAGCTTCATAAGTGAAGGAGAAATAAAATACTTTACAGACAACCAAATGCTGAGAGATTTTGTCACCACCGGGCCTGCCCTAAAAGAGCTCCTGAAGGAAGCACTAAACATGGAAAGGAACAACCAGTACCAGCCACTGTAAAATCATGCCAAATTGTAAAGACCGTCGAGGCTGGGAAGAAACTGCATCAACTAACGAGCAAAATAACCAGCTAACATCATAATGACAGGATCACATTCACACATAACAATACTAACCTTAAATATAAATGGGCTAAATGCTCCAATTAAAAGGCACAGACTGGCAAATTGGATAAAGAGTCAAGACCCATCAGTGTGCTGTATTCAGGAAACCCATCTCATGTGCAGAGACCCACATAGGCTCAAAATAAAGGGATGGAGGAAGATCTACCAAGCAAATGGAAAACAAAAAGAGGCAGGGGTTGCAATCCTAGTCGCTGATAAAACAGACTTTAAACCAACAAAGATCAAAAGAGACAAAGAAGGCCATTACATAATGGTAAAGGGATCAATTCAACAAGAAGAGCTAACTATCCTAAATATATATGCACCCAATACAGGAGCACCCAGATTCATAAAGCAAGTCCTTAGTGACATACAAAGAGACTTAGACTCCCACAAAATAATAATGGGAGACTTTAACACCCTACTGTCAACATTAGGCAGATCAATGAGACAGAAAGTTAACAAGGAAATCCAGGAACTGAATTCAGCTCCGCACCAAGTGGACCTAATAGACATCTACAGAACTCTCCACCCCAAATCAATAGAATATACATACTTTTCAGCACCACACCACACCTATTCCAAAATTGACCACATAGTTGGAAGTAAAGCACTCCTCAGCAAATGTAAAAGCACAGAAATTATAACAAACTGTCTCTCAGACCACAGTGCAATCAAATTAGAACTCAGGATTAAGAAATTCACTCAAAACCGCTCAACTACATGGAAACTGAACAACCTACTCCTGAATGACTACTGGGTACATAACGAAATGAAGGCAGAAATAAAGATGTTCTTTGAAACCAATGAGAACAAAGACACAACATACCAGAATCTCTGGGACACAGTCAAAGCAGTGTGTAGAGGGAAATTTATAGCACTAAATGCCCACAAGAGAAAGCAGGAAAGATCCAAAATTGACACTCTAACATCACAATTAAAAGAACTAGAGAAGCAAGAACAAACACATTCAAAAGCTAGCAGAAGGCAAGAAATAACTAAGATCAGAGCAGAACTGAAGGAAATAGAGACACAAAAAACCCTTCAAAAAATCAATGAATCCAGGAGCTGGTTTTTTGAAAAGATCAACAAAATTGATAGACTGCTAGCAAGACTAATAAAGAAGAAAAGAGAGAAGAATCAAATAGAAGCAGTAAAAAATGACAAAGGGGATATCACCACTGATCCCACAGAAATGCAAACTACCATCAGAGAATACTATAAACACCT
Organism: Homo sapiens; assembly: GCF_000001405.40. Classification (NCBI taxonomy): domain Eukaryota; kingdom Metazoa; phylum Chordata; class Mammalia; order Primates; family Hominidae; genus Homo; species Homo sapiens. Next base: position 102,034,802 of record NC_000023.11, read on the forward strand.
CTATGCAAATAAACTAGAAAATCTGGAAGAAATGGATAAATTCCTCGACACATACACTCTGCCAAGGCTAAACCAGGAAGAAGTTGAATCTCTGAATAGACCAATAACAGGATCTGAAATTGAGGCAATAATTAATAGTTTACCAACCAAAAAAACTCCAGGACCAGATGGATTCACAGCCGAATTCTACCAGAGGTAAAAGGAGGAGCTGGTACCATTCCTTCTGAAACTATTCCAATCAATAGAAAAAGAGGGAATCCTCCCTAACTCATTTTATGAGGCCAGCATCATCCTGATACCAAAGCCTGGCAGAGACACAACAAAAAAAGAGAATTCTAGACCAATATCCTTGATGAACATTGATGCAAAAATTCTCAATAAAATACTGGCAAACCAAATCCAGCAACACATCAAAAAGCTTATCCACCATGATCAAGTGGGCTTTATCCCTGGGATGCAAGGCTGATTTAACATATGAAAATCAATAAATGTAATCCAGCATATGAACAGAGCCAAAGACAAAAACCATATGATTCTCTCAATAGATGCAGAAAAGGCCTTTGACAAAATTCAACAACCCTTCATGCTAAAAACTCTCAATAAATTAGGTATTGATGGGACGTATCTCAAAATAATAAGAGCTATCTAAGCCAAACCCACAGCCAATATGATACTGAATGGACAAAAACTGGAAGCATTCCCTTTGAAAACTGGCACAAGACAGGGATGCCCTCTCTCACCACTCCTATTCAACATAGTGTTGGAAGTTCTGGCCAGGGCAATCAGGCAAGAGAAGGAAATAAACGGCATTCGATTAGGAAAAGAGGAAGTCAAATTGTCCCTGTTTGCAGATGACATGATTGTATATCTAGAAAACCCCATTGTCTCAGCCCAAAATCTCCTTAAGCTGATAAGCAACTTCAGCAAAGTCTCAGGATACAAAATCAATGTACAAAAATCACAAGCATTCTTATACACCAATAAAAGACAAACAGAGAGCCAAATCATGAGTGAACTCACATTCACAATTGCTTCAAAGAGAACAAAATACTTAGGAATCCAACTTACAAGGGATGTGAAGGGCCTCTTCAAGGAGAACTACAAACCACTGCTCAATGAAATAAAAGAGGATACAAACAAATGGAAGAACATTCCATGCTCATGGGTAGGAAGAATCAATATCGTGAAAATGGCCATACTGCCCAAGGTAGTTTATAGATTCAATGCCATCCCCATCGAGCTACCAATGACTTTCTTCACAGAATTGGAAAAAACTACTTTAAAGTTCATATGGAACCAAAAAAGAGCCTGCATTGCCAAGTCAATCGTAAGCCAAAAGAACAAAGCTGGAGGCATCACGTTACCTGACTTCAAACTATACTACAAGGCTACAGTAACCAAAACAGCATGGTACTGGTACCAAAACAGAGATATAGACCAATAGAACAGAACAGAGCCCTCAGAAATAATGCCACATATCTACAACTACCTGATATTTGACAAACCTTAGAAAAACAAGAAATGGGGAAAGGATTCCCTATTTAATAAATGGTGCTGGGAAAACTGGCTAGCCATATGTAGAAAGCTGAAACTGGATACCTTCCTTACACCTTATACAAAAATTAATTCAAGATGCATTAAAGACTTAAATGTTAGACCTAAAACCATAAAAACCCTAGAGGAAAACCTAGGCAATACCATTCAGGACATAGGCATGGGCAAGGACTTCATGTCTAAAACACCAAAAGCAATGGCAACAAAAGCCAAAATTGACAAATGGGGTCTAATTAAACTAAAGAGCTTCTGCACAGCAAAAGAAACTACAATCAGAGTGAACAGGCAACCTACAGAATGGGAGAAAATTTTTACAATCTACTCATCTGACAAAGGGCTAATATCCAGAATCTACAAAGAAATCAAACAAATTTACAAGAAAAAAACAACCCCATCAAAAAGTGGGTGAAGGATATGAACAGACACTTCTCAAAAGAAGACATTTATGCAGCCAAAAGACACATGAAAAGATGCTCATTATCACTGGCCATCAGAGAAATGCAAATCAAAACCACAATGAGATATCATCTCACACCAGTTAGAATGGTGATCATTTAAAAGTCAGGAAGCAACAGGTGCTGGAGAGGATGTGGAGAAATAGGAACACTTTGACACTGTTGGTGGGACTGTAAACTAGTTCAACCATTGTGGAAGTCAGTGTGGCGATTCCTCAGGGATCTAGAACTAGAAATACCATTTGACCCAGCCATCCCATGACTGGGTATATAACCAAAGGACTATAAATCATGCTGCTCTAAAGACACATGCACAAGTATGTTTATTGTGGCACTATTCACAATAGCAAAGACTTGGAACCAACCCAAATGTCCAACAATGATAGACTGGATTAAGAAAATGTGGCACATATATACCATGGAATGCTATGCAGCCATAAAAATGATGAGTTCATGTCCTTTGTAGGGACATGGATGAAGCTGGAAACCATCATTCTCAGCAAACTATTGCAAGGACAAAAAACCAAACACCACATGTTCTCACTCATAGGTGGGCATTGAACAATGGGAACACATGGACACAGGAAGGGGAACATCACACACCGGGGACTGTTGTGGGGTGGGGGGAGGGGGGATAGCATTAGGAGATATATCTAATGTTAAATGACGGGTTAATGGGTGCAGCACACCAACATGGCACATGTATATATATGTAACAAACCTGCACGTTGTGCACATGTACCCTAAAACTTAAAGTATAATAATAATAAAATTTTAAATAAAGAATAAAACACTTATTACTCAACTGAAAACATTAAAAAAAAAGAGAAATCAATTTAACAAGAAGAGCTAACTACCCTAAATATATATACACCCAATACAGGAGCACCCAGATTCATAAAACAAGTTCTTGGAGACCTACAAAGGAGACTTAGACTCTGACACAATAATAGTGGGTGATTTTAATATCCCAATGTCAATATTAGACAGATCACCAAGAAAGAAAATTAACAAGGATATTCAGGACTTGAACTCAGCTCTGGATCAAGTGGACCTAACAGACATCTACAGAACTCTCCACCCCAAATCAACAGAATCTACATTCTTCTCATTACTGCATGGCACTTATTCTAAAATCAACCACATAATTGGAAGTAAAACACTCCTCAGCAAATGCAAAAGAACTGAAATCATAACAGCCCCTCAGACCACAGTGCAATCAAATTAGACCTCAGGATTAAGAAACTCACTCAAAATCACACAATTACATGGAAATTGAACAACCTGCTCCTGAATGACTCTGGATAAACAATGACATTAAGGCAGAAATCAAGAAGGTCTTTGAAACCAATGAGAACAAAAAGACAACTTAGGAGAATCTCAGGGACACAGCTAAAGCAGTGTTGAGGGAAATTTATAGCAGTAAATGCCCACATCAGAAAGCTAGAAAGATCTCAAATTCACAACCTAACATCACAATAAAAAGACCTAGAGAAGGAAAAGCAAACAAATCCAAAAGCTAGCAGAAAACAAGAAAGAACTAAGATCAGAGCAGAACTGAAGGGGATAGAGACACAAAAAACATGCCAAAAAAATCAATGAATACAGGAGCTTTTTGAAAAAATTAACAAAAATAGATACTCCACTAGCTAGACTAATACAGAAGAAAAGAGAGAAGAATCGTATCTACACAATAAAAAATGATGAAGGGGATGTCACCACTGACCCCACAGAAATACAAACTACTATCAGAGAATACTGTAAACAGCTCTATGCAAATAAACTAGAAAATCTAGAAGAAATGGATGAATTCCTAAACACATACTCCTTCCCAAGACTAAACCAGGAAGAAGTCAAATCCCTGAATAACAAGTTCTGAAATTGAGGCGGTAATTAATAGCCTACCAACCAAAAAAACACCAGGACAGGCCAATTCAGCCAGATTCTACTAGAGGTACAAAGAGGAGTTGATACTATTCTTTCTGAAGCTATTCCAAAGAGTTAAAAAGGAGAGACTTCTTCCTAACTCATTTTATGAGGCCAGCATCATCCTGATACCAAAACCTGGCAGAGACACGACTAAAAAAAGAAAACTTCAGGCCAATATACCTAATAAGCATCGATGAGAAAATCCTCAATAGAATACTGGCAAACCAAATCCAGCAGCACATCAAAAAGCTTATCCACCACGATCAAGTCAGCTTCATCCCTGGGCTGCAAGGCTGGTTCAACATACACAAATCAATAAATGTAATCCATCATAGGAACAGAGCCAATGACAAAAACCACGTGATTATCTCAATAGATGCAGAAAAGTCCCTCAATAAAATTCAACACCCCTTCATGCTAAAAACTCTCAATAAACTAGGTATTGATGGAATGTATCTCAAAATAATAAGAGCTATTTCTGACAAACCCACAGCCAATATCATATTGAATGGTGAAAAGCTGGAAGCATTCCCTTTGAAAACCGGCACAAGACAAGGATGCCCACTCTCACCACTCTTATTCAACATAGTATTGGTTGTTCTGTCCAGGGCAATCTGGCAAGAGAAAGAAATAAAATGTATTCAAATAGGAAGAGAGGAAGTCAAAGTGCCTCTGATTGCAGAAGACATGATTCCATATTTAGAAAACCCCATCGTCTCCGCCCAAAAACTCCTTAAACTGATAAGCAACTTCAGCAAAGACTTAGGATACAAAATAAATGTGCAAAACTCACAAGCATTCCCGTATACCAATAACAGACAAACAGAGAGCCGAATCATGAGTGAACTCCCATTCACAATTGCTACAAAGAGAATAAAATACTTAAAAATACAGCTAACAAGGGATGTGAAGGACCTCTTCAAGGAGAACTACAAACTGCTGCTCAAGGAAATAAGAGAGGACACAAAAAAATGGAAAAACATTCCATGCTCATTGATAGGAAGAATCAATATCATGAAAATGGCCATATTGCCCAAAGTAATTTATAGATTTAATGCTATTCCCATCAAACTACCATTGACATTCTTCACAGAATTAGAAAAAAAACTACTTTAAATTTCATATGGAACCAAAGAAGAGCCTGTATAGCCAAGACAACCCTAAGCAAAAATAACGAAGCAGGAGGCACTATACTATCTGACTTCAAACAATACTACAAGCCTACAGTAACCAAAACAGCATGGTTCTGGTAAAGAGAAAGAAATATGTAGATCAATGTAACAGAACAGAGACCTCAAAAATAAGACTTCACATCTGCAATCATCTGATCTTCGACAAACCTGACAAAAACAAGCAATGGGGAAAGGATTCCCTATTTAACAAATGGTGCTGGGGGAAACTAGCTAGCCATATGCAGAAAATTGAAACTGGACCCCTTCCTTAAACCTTATAAAAATTAGTTCAAGATGGATTAAAGACTTAAATATAAAACCCAAAACCATAAAAACCCTAGAAGAAAACCTGGGCAATACCATTCAGGACATAGGTGTGGGCAAAGACTTCATGATGAAGATGCCGAAAGCAATTGCAACAAAAGCCAAAATTAACAAACAGCATCTAACTAAATTAAAGAGCTTCTGCACAGCAAAAGAAACTATCATCAGAGTGAACAGGCAACCTACAGAATGGGAGAAAATTTTTGCAAATATCCATCTGACAAAGGTCTAATATCTAGAATCTACAAGGAACTTAAACAAATTTACAAGAAAAAAATCCCATCAAAAAGTGGGCAAATTGTATGAACAGACAATTCTCAAAAGAAGACATTTATGCAGCCAACAAACATGACAGAAAGTGAAACATCACTGATAATTAGAGAAATGCAAATCAAAACCACAATGAGATACCATCTCACACCAGTCAGAATGGTGATTATTAAAAAGTCAAGAACAATAGATGCTGGCAAGGCTGTGGAGAAGCAGGAATGCCTTTACACTTTTGGTGGGAATGTAAATTAGTTCAACCATTGTGAAAGACAGTGTGGCAATTCCTCAACGGTCTAGAACCAGAGATACTATTTGGCCCAGCAATCCTATTACTGGATATGTCCAAAGGATTATAAATCATTCTGCTATAAAGATGCATGCATACATATGTTTATTGCAGCACTATTTACAATAGCAAATACATGGAATCAACCCAAATGCCTATCAATGATAGACTGGATTAAGAAAATGTGGTGCTTATATACCATGGAATACTATGGAGGCATAAAAAGGAACAAGATCATGTTCTTTTCAGGGACATGGATGAAGCTGGAAGCCATCATTCTCAGCAAACTAACACAGCAACAGAAAACCAAACACTGCATGTTCTCACTTATAAGCGGGAGTTGAATAATGAGAGCACATGGACACAGGGAGGGGAACAACAAACACCAGGGCCAGTTGGGGTGTGGGGGGAGGGGGGATAGAGAGCATTAGAATAAATAGCAAATGCATGCAGGACTTAAAACCTAGATGATGGGTTGATAGGTTCAGCAAACCACCATGGCACACGTATACCTATATAACCTACATGTTCTGCACTTGTATCCCAGAAGTTAAAGTAAAATAAAAATAAAAGATCAGAAACAAAGCAAAGATGTCCACTTTTATCCCTCTTATTCAACATAGTCCTGAAAGTTCTAGACACTGCAATGGGGCCATAAAAAGCAATGAAATCCATACATATTGAAAAAAAAAAAACTTACTGATAGAGCAGACACACAAATGAGAAAGAAATCAAATGTTACACGGCAGAAAACCGCCAAACTACAATGTTAAACATTAAGAGAGAATAAAAGAACAAAGAACATACTAAAAATCAAAAAAGAATTAACAAATATGACAGCAATAACTCCTCAACTATCAATTATAATCTTGAATGTAAACAGATTAATTTCCCCACTTAAAACGTATAGACTGGTTGAAATGTGTAAAAAAAGACCCAATTTATGCTTCCTAGAAGAAACTCATTTAACTTGTAAGGACATATAGACTGAAAGCTAAGGGATAGGAAACAATATTTCATGCAAACAGATACAGCACATAAAACAGAATTTAAGTCAAAACCAGTAACAAAAGGACAAAGGAGGTCATTATATAATGATACAAGGATGAATTTAGCAAAAGGATATAACAATTCTAATTATATATGCACCCAACACCAAAGCACCTCTAAGGGAAGAGATAGAGTCCAATATAATAATAGTTGGAGACTCCCAATACCCCTCTCTCAGCATTGGACAGGTCAACTTGATGGGAAATCAACAAAGAAATATTGGACTTGACTGTACTTTAAACCAAATATACCTAACAGATATGTACAGAACATTTCATTCAAAGGCTTCAGAATATTCTTGTCTTCAGGATATGGAACATTGTCTAGTATAGACTATATATTAGGCCACAACAACTAATTTCAACAAATTTTTAAAAATTGAAATCATAAGGGGGTGGCCAAGATGTCTGAGTAGAAGCAGCTAGTGTGTACCACTCAGATGGAGAGGAATGGAAGGGGTGAGCAAATACAGCACCTTCAACTGAAACATCCATGTACACACGTTGTGACTAATCAAGGAAACAACTCAACCCATGGAGAGTGGAGAAAAAGCAAGGCAGAATGACTACCCACCTGGGAGTGACACGGAGCCAGGGGAACCTTCCTTGCATAGGGAAGCAGTGAGTGAATGAGTGATCAGGGGAACCCACAAAGATCTTCTCCCACAGATCTTTGCAACTCTTGGGTTAGAAGATCTCCTTGTGAACCGACTCCACCAGTGCCTTCAGTCTGACACATACGGAGTCTTGGCAGAGAAGCAGCTCAGGCACATGCCTCAGGGGCCTTAGATATCTATGCTTTCCAGCAAAAGTGGCTGTAACTCTGGAAAAGCAGGAGGTTAGACCCCCATACATACTCCTTAGAAAGGGACTGAATTCAGGGAACAGAGCAGCAATGGTATGCAGACCCCACTTCCATACTACTTCGCAGAATAAGACCCACTGGCTTGGAAAACCAGTGAGCCACTGGCAGCAGTGGCTTACACTTCCTTGAAATGAAGTGCCCAGAGGGAGGGATGGGCCACCATCTCTGCTGTTTCACAGCCTCAGCTACTCTTGCCTTAGGGCTCTAGTGAGTCAGAGGCAACTAGGCACTGGAGCAATTCCCAGCACAGCCAAGCAGCTCTACAGGGAAATGGCCAGACTGCTTATTCACACAGTTCCCAAATCCTGTTTCTCTTCACTGGGCAGATTCTCCCAGCCAGGGTTTCCAGTAACCTCCACTGGTGTTTTCTGGCCAACAGAGGTTTCCAGCCTCCCTGGGATGGAGCTATGGGCCACCATCTTTGCTGTTTGGCTGACTTAGCTGTTCTTACCTTCAGGCTTTCGAGAGACCAAGGCAACTGGGGGCTGGAGCGGACCCACAGCACAGCACAGCTGCTCTACAAAAATGTGGCCAGAATGCTGTTTTAAGTGGGCCCCCAATCCTGTTCTTTCTCACTGGGTGGGACCTCCTGACCAGGGTCTCCAGCTAACCCTGCCGGGGTTTTGAGCGGACAGAGATTTTAAACCCCCCTGGGATGGAGCTCCCAGAGGAAGGGGGTCATCTTTGCTGTTTGGCCAACTGTCATCTTTGCTGTTTGGCCAACTTAGCAATTCTTGCCCTTGGTCTTTGGAGAGTCTGAGACAACTGGGGGCTGAAGAAGACCCCCAGCACAGCACAGCTGCTCTATGAAAATGTGGCCAGACTGCTGTTTCAAGTGGGTCCCAGGTCTCATTCTTCCTCACTGGGCAGGACCACCCAACCGGGGTCTCCAACCACCTCCTACAGGTGCGTTACAGGTGGCCACAGGTCCATACCTCCCTGGGATAGAGCTCTCAGAGGGAGGGGCAGGCTGCCATATTTGCTTTGTCACAGCCTTCACTGTTAATACCTTCAGCTACTGGAAAACCTGAGGTGACTAGAGATTGAAGCAGACCCCCAGCATACCGTAGCAGCCCTATGGAAAAGTGGCCAGACTGTTATGTGGGGTCCTGTCCTACATCCACTCACTGGGCAGGTCCTCCATGCCTGGGCCTCCAGCCACCCCCCACCAGAGCTATTAAGCCAGTAGCAGCTCTGCAACTCCCTGGACACAGCTCCCACTGGGAGGGCTGGGTTGCCATCTTTGCTTTCTTTCAGTACTTGCCCTTGCTGTTTCCAGGCTTGGGGACAAGGGGCTCATCTGGACCTCCAGAGCAGAGTGAACACTTAACAGAAAAGTGGCCAGACTGTTCTACGCATATCTTGATCCTCACTTTTCCTTACTGGGCAGGGCTGCCTGACCTGAGACTTCAGCAAAACCATGTTGCCTCTGACTGACACTGCAATCAGAGGCATCCCAGCATTTCTCTAAGGAGAAAATCCCAAAGTCAACCCACAACCCCTCCACCACTACAGCTGGAGTGGTACAGCCCTAACAGTCCTTGGACTGGGAAGGAACAAAGGGTCTAGTCACTATGCTGGCACCTCCAGCACACTGCAGACACTATACAGAGAGGAGTATAGTGCCTCTCCCCTGGGAACCACTACCCCCACTCTTCACCAGGCAGGGCCCTGGCTCATGAATGAAGAACAGTCACCCCACCCATTGTTGAGCATACCCACTTGTAGTGGCCTGGAGTTACCCCTAGGGAGAGGCTCCCAGAAGCATATGACACCCCCTTTGCCACTGCCATAGTAACAATTCTATCCCTCCTGCCCTTGGCTGTGGAAAAAACAAAGAGCTTGATGGCTACATCCAAGTTTACAGCATGCCACAGCTACCATATGTAAAGGAGACCAATCTTTCCTCTCTGTGAGCCTTTGACCCCCTGCTCCCCAGCAAGTGGAGTCCCAAGCTCACACCAGCAGTGCAGTTGCCCAACTCCATCGGCCGAACACCCCCAATAACAGTAGCTGCACATTTCTTGGAGGTGGAGCCCCCAGGGGCAACTGAAAGCCTCTCTGCCACTGCCTCTGCAGGAACTGCCCTTTCTACCATCAGACTAATGAGGGTAGGAACTAATCAAAGACCCCAAGTGACTTATTCACACCTCCAACAAACTGCAGTCAACCCAAGGAGAAGAGTCTAGTCTATCTCCCATGGGTCCCACCCACTCCCCCTGCTCATTACTAGATGGGAAACCCTTGGCTTGGGCCCACAGCACAGATTCCCCATCCTGGGATGATTGCACAGAATGATTGCTGATCTGCATCTCTCTGGGGTGGAGCCCCTATGAGACAAGCGAAAGACCCTTGGCCACAGCCACCACTAAGGTCCCTTTCTCTGCTGCTTACAAGTTGGGAAAGAAAGATAAACCCCGAGATTGCCCCAGAGCTTCAGTAGGCAGCCTAGGAGTGCCAAGCCATGATCTGCAGCCAGCACTCAATGGGAAGAGGAGCCAACACTTTCAAAGCATTGAGAAGAAGCACAGTTGCAACTCTGAGGAAATATAGGGGAGTCACATGGCCAAACAAGAACCTACCAACTGACCAATACACCTAAGCACCACTTACTGGATCACATTACAAAGTTTCAACATCAAAAATACCTCACTAACATATTGCCTTGTGAAAACAAACACAAGAAGTCAACTACAAATACAGACCCTGTACAAAGCCTCAGCCCTGTGAAAACATCCAGAAAAGAAGTCTATTGACTGTACTAAATCTACACTGCAGTTAAAGGAACACCCATACACAGAGATGAGAAAGAACCAGTGCAAGAACTCTATTAACTCAAATAATCAGAATGTCATATGTCCTCCAAACACCTGTTCTCCAACAAGGGTTCTTAACCAAGCTGAGCTGGGGAAAATGACAGAAATAAAATTGAGTAGGAATGAAGATCATTGAGATTCAGCAGAATGGTAAAACCCATTCAGGGAAACTAAGGAAACTAAGAATCACAATAAAATGTTACAGGAACTGAGGGATAAAATAGCTGGCATAAAAAAGAACCTAACAGATCTGACAGAGCTGAAAAACACAATACAAGATTTTCACAATGCAATCACAAGTATTAATAGCAGAATAGATCAAGCTGAGAAAATAATCTTAGAATTTGAATCCTGCTGTCTGAAATAAGAAAGTCAGACAAAAATAAAGAAAAATGAATAAAAAGGAATGAACAAAACCTCTGAGAAATATGGAATTATGTAAAGAAGCCAAATCTATGGATCATTGGCACCCCTAAAAGGGAAGGGAAGAAAGCAAACAACTTGGAAAACATATTTCAGGATACCATCCATGAAAATGTCCTCAACCCTGCTAGAGAGGACAATGGTCATATTCAGGAAATACTGAGAACAACTGCAAGACTCTAACAAAGAAGATCATCCCTAAGATACATAATAATCAGATTTTCTGAGGTCAAAATGAAAGAAAGAATGTTAAAGGCAGCAAGAGAGAAAGGGCAGGTCATTTACAAAAGAATATTAGTGTAACAACGAATCTCTCAGCTGAAACCCTACAAGCCAGAAGAGGTAGGGGGCCTATATTCAACATTCTTATAGAAAAAAATATTTCACCAAGAATTTCATATCCAGCCAAAGTAAGCATCCTACGTGAAGGAGAAATAGAATCCTTTTCAGATAATCAAATATTGAAGGAGCATGTTTCCACCAGACATGCCTTACAAGGGATCTTGAATAGAGCACTAAATTTACAAAGGAAAGGCCATTACCAGCCACTACAAAAACATGCATTTCTCTAATGACCAGTGATGATGAGCTTTTTTTCATATGTTTGTTGGCTGCATAAATGTCTTCTTTTGAGAAGTGTCTGTTCATATCATTTGCCCACTTTTTGATGTGGTTGTTTGTTTTTTCTTGTAAATTTGTTTAAGTTCCTTGTAGATTCTGCTTACTAGCCCTTTGTCAGATGGATATATTGCAAAAATTTTCTCCCATTCTGTAGGTTTCCTGTTCACTCTGATGATAGTTTCTTTTGCTGTACAGAAGCTCTTTAGTTTAATTGGATTCCATTTGTCAATTTTTGCCTTTGTTGCCATTGCTTTTGGTGTTTCAGTCATGAAGTCTTTGCCCATGCCTATGTCCTGAATGGTATTGTCTAGGTTTTCTTCGAGGGTTTTTATGGTTTAAAACCATACATTTAAGTCTTTAATCCATCTTGAGTTAATTTTTGTATAAGGTGTAAGGAAGGGGTCCAGTTTCAGTTTTCTGCTTATGGCTAGCCAGTTTTCCCAACAACATTTATTAAATAGTGAATCCTTTCCCCATTGCTTGTTTTGGTCAGGTTTGTCAAAGATCAGATGGTTTTTGATGTAGATGTGTGGCATTATTTCTGAGGCCTCTGTTCTGATCCATTGGTCTATATATCTGTTTTGGTACCAGTACCATGCTGTTTTGGTTACTGTAGCCTTGTAGTATACTTTGAAGTCAGGTAGTGTGATGCCTCCAGCCTTGTTCTTTTTGCTTAGGATTGTCTTGGCTATACGGGTTCTTTTTTGGTTCCATATGAAATTTAAAGGAGTTTTTTCTAATTCTTTTTTTTTTGGTTCTTTTTTTTAATTTTTTATTATTATACTTTAAGTTTTAGGGTACATGTGTACATTGTGCAGGTTAGTTACATATGCATACATGTGCCATGCTGGTGTGCTGCACCCACTAACTCGTCATCTAGCATTAGGTATATTTCCCAATGGTATCCCCCCCTCCCCCCACCCCACAACAGTCCCCAGAGTGTGATGTTCCCCTTCCTGTGACCATGTGATCTCATTGTTCAATTCCCACCTATGAGTGAGAATATGCGGTGTTTGGTTTTTTGTTCTTGCCATAGTTTACTGAGAATGATGGTTTCCAATTTCATCCATATCCCTACAAAGGACATGAACTCATCATTTTTTATGGCTGCATAGTATTCCATGGTGTATATGTGCCACATTTTCTTAACCCAGTCTCTCATTGTTGGACATTTGGGTTGGTTCCAAGTCTTTGCTATTGTGAATAATGCCGCAATAAACATACTTGTGCATGTGTCTTTATAGCAGCATGATTTATAGTCCTTTGGGTATATACCCAGTAATGGGATGGCTGGGTCAAATGGTATTTCTAGTTCTAGATCCCTGAGGAATCGCCACACTGACTTCCACAATGGTTAAACTAGTTTACAGTCCCACCAACAGTGTAAAAGTGTTCCTATTTCTCCACATCCTCTCCAGCAGCTGTTGTTTCCTGACTTTTTAATTATCGCCATTCTAACTGGTGTGAGATGGTATCATTGTGGTTTTGATTTGCATTTCTCCGATGGCCAGTGATGATGAGCATTTTTTCATGTTTTTTGGCTGCATAAATGTCTTCTTTTGAGAAGTGTCTGTTCATGTCCTTCGCCCAATTTCTGATGGTGTTGTTTGTTTTTTTCTTGTAAATTTGTTTGAGTTCATTGTAGATTCTGGATATTAGCCCTTTGTCAGATGAGTAGGTTGCGAAAATTTTCTCCCATTTTGCAGGTTGCCTGTTCACTCTGATGGTAGTTTCTTTTGCTGTGCAGAAGCTCTTTAGTTTAATTAGATCCCATTTGTCAATTTTGGCTTTTGTTGCCATTGCTTTTGGTATTTTAGACATGAATCCTTACCCATGCCTATGTCCTGAATGGTAATGCCTAGGTTTTCTTCTAGGGTTTTTATGGTTTTAGGTCTAACGTTTAAGTCTTTAATGCATCTTGAATTAATTTTAGTATAAGGTGTAAGGAAGGGATCCAGTTTCAGCTTTGTACATATGGCTAGCCAGTTTTCCCAGCACCATTTATTAAATAGGGAATCCTTTCCCCATTGCTTGTTTTTCTCAGGTTTGTCAAAGATCAGATAGTTGTAGATATGCAGTGTTATTTCTGAGGGCTCTGTTCTGTTCCATTGATCTATATCTCTGTTTTGGTACCAGTACCATGCTGTTTTGGTTACTGTAGCCTTGTAGTATAGTTTGAAGTCAGGTAGTGTGATGCCTCCAGCTTTGTTCTTTTGGCTTAGGATTGACTTGGTGATGTGGGCTCTTTTTTGGTTCCATATGAACTTTAAAGTAGTTTTTTCCAATTCTGTGAAGAAAGGCATTGGTAGCTTGATGGGGATGGCATTGAATCTATAAATTACCTTGGGCAGTATGGCCATTTTCATGATATTGATTCTTCCTACCCATGAGCATGGAATGTTCTTCCATTTGTTTGTATCCTCTTTTATTTCCTTGAGCAGTGGTTTGTAGTTCTCGTTGAAGAGGCCCTTCACATCCCTTGTAAGTTGGATTCCTAGGTATTTTATTCTCTTTGAAGCAATTGTGAATGGGAGTTCACTCATGATTTGGCTCTCTGTTTGTCTGTTGTTGGTGTATAGGAATGCTTGTGATTTTTGCACATTGATTTTGTATCCTGAGACTTTGCTGAAGTTGCTTATCAGCTTAAGGAGATTTTGGGCTGAGACAATGGGGTTTTCTAGATATACAATCATGTCATCTGCAAACAGGGACAATTCGACTTCCTCTTTTCCTAACTGAATACACGTTATTTCCTTCTCCTGCCTGATTGCCCAGGCCAGAACTTCCAACACTATGTTGAATAGGAGTGGTGAGAGAGGGCATCCCTGTCTTCTGCCAGTTTTCAAAGGGAATGCTTCCAGTTTTTGCCCATTCAGTATGATATTGGCTGTGGGTTTGTCATAGATAGCTCTTATTATTTTGAAATCTGTGCCATCAATACCTAATTTATTGAGAGTTTTTAGCATGAAGGGTTGTTGAATTTTGTCAAAGGCCTTTTCTGCATCTATTGAGAAAATCATGTGGTTTTTGTCTTTGGCTCTGTTTATATGCTGGATTACATTTATTGATTTGCGTATATTGAACCAGCCTTGCATCCCTGGGATGAAGCCCACTTGATCATGGTGGATAAGCTTTTTGATGTGCTGCTGGATTCGGTTTGCCAGTATTTTATTGAGGATTTTTGCATCAATGTTCATCAAGGATATTGGTCTAAAATTCTCTTTTTTTTGTTGTGTCTCTGCCCGGCTTTGGTATCAGGATGATGCTGGCCTCATAAAATGAGTTAGGGAGGATTCCCTCTTTTTCTATTGATTGGAATAGTTTCAGAAGGAATGGTCCCAGTTCCTCCTTGTACCTCTGGTAGAATTCGGCTGTGAATCCATCTGATCCTGGACTCTTTTTGGTTGGTAAGCTATTGATTATTGCCACAATTTCAGAGCCTGTTATTGGTCTATTCAGAGATTCAACTTCTTCCTGGTTTAGTCTTGGGAGAGTGTATGTGTGAAGGAATTTATCCATTTCTTCTAGATTTTCTAGTTTATTTGCATAGAGGTGTTTGTAGTATTCTCTGGTGGTAGTCTGTATTTCTGTGGGATTGGTGGTGATATCCCCTTTGTCATTTTTTATTGCATCTATTTGATTCTTCTCTCTTTTTTTCTTTATTAGTCTTGCTAGCAGTCTATCAATTTTGTTGATCCTTTCAAAAAACCAGCTCCTGGATTCATTAATTTTTTGAAGAGTTTTTTGTGTCTCTATTTCCTTCAGTTCTGCTCTGATTTTAGTT
Organism: Homo sapiens; assembly: GCF_000001405.40. Classification (NCBI taxonomy): domain Eukaryota; kingdom Metazoa; phylum Chordata; class Mammalia; order Primates; family Hominidae; genus Homo; species Homo sapiens. Next base: position 102,050,350 of record NC_000023.11, read on the forward strand.
ATTTCTTGCTTTCTGCTAGCTTTTGAATGTGTTTGTTCTTGCTTTTCTAGTTCTTTTAATTGTGATGTTAGGGTGTCAATTTTGGATCTTTCCTGCTTTCTCTTGTGGGTATTTAGTGCTGTAAATTTCCCTCTACACACTGCTTTGACTGTGTCCCAGAGATTCTGGTATGTTGTGTCTTTGTTCTCGTTGGTTTCAAAGAACATCTTTATTTCTGCCTTCATTTCGTTATGTACCCAGTAGTCATTCAGGAGCAGGTTGTTCAGTTTCCATGTAGTTGAGTGGTTTTGAGTGAGATTCTTAATCCTGAGTTCTAGTTTGATTGCACTGTGGTCTGAGAGATAGTTTGTTATAATTTCTGTTCTTTTACATTTGCTGAGGAGAGCTTTACTTCCAACTATGTGGTCAATTTTGGAATAGGTGTGGTGTGGTGCTGAAAAAAATGTATATTCTGTTGATTTGGGGTGGAGAGTTCTGTAGATGTCTATTAGGTCCGCTTGGTGCAGAGCTGAGTTCAATTCCTGGGTATCCTTGTTGACTTTCTGTCTCATTGATCTGTCTAATGTTGACAGTGGGGTGTTAAAGTCTCCCATTATTAATGTGTGGGAGTCTAAGTCTCTTTGTAGGTCTCTCAGGACTTGCTTTATGAATCTGGGTGCTCCTGTATTGGGTGCATATATATTTAGGATAGTTAGCTCTTCTTGTTGAATTGATCCCTTTACCATTATGTAATGACCTTCTTTGTCTCTTTTGATCTTTGTTGGTTTAAAGTCTGTTTTATCAGAGACTAGGATTGCAACCCCTGCCTTTTTTTTGTTTTCCATTGGCTTGGTAGATCTTCCTCCATCCTTTTATTTTGAGCCTATGTGTGTCTCTGCACATGAGATGGGTTTCCTGAATACAGCACACTGATGGGTCTTGACTCTTTATCCAATTTGCCAGTCTGTGTCTTTTAATTGGAGCATTTGCATCAACTAACGAGCAAAATAACCAGCTAACATCATAATGACAGGATCAAATTCACACATAACAATATTAACTTTAAATGTAGTTTTTTCTAATTCTGTGAAGAATGTCAATGGTAGCTTGATGGGGATAGCGTTGAATCTATAAATTACTGAGGGCAGTATGGTCTTTTTCATGATATTGATACTTCCTATCAATGAACATGGAATGTTTTTCCATTTTTTTGTGTCCTCTCTTATTTCCTTGAGCAGTGGTTTGTAGTTCTCCTTGAAGAAGTCCTTCACATCCCTTTTAAGTTGTATTCCCAGGTATTTTATTTTCTTTGTAGCAATTGTGAATGGGAGTTCACTCATTATTTGGCTCTTTGCTTCTCTATTATTGGTGTATAGGAATGCTTATGATTTTTGCACATTGATTTTGTATTCTGAGTCTCTGCTGAAGTTGCTTATCACCTTAAGGAAATTTTGGGCTGAGACGATGAGGTTTTTTAAATATACAAGCATGTCATCTGCAAACAGAGACAATTTGACTTTCTCTCTTCCTATTTGAATACCCTTCATTTCTTTCTCTTGCCTGATTGCCCTGGATGGAACTTTCAATACTATGTTGAAAAAGAATGGTGAGAGAGGCCATCCTTGTCTTGTGCCGGTTTTCAAAGGGAAAGCTTCCAGGTGTTGCCCATTCCGTGTGATATTGGCTGTGGGTTTGTCATGAATAGCTCTTATTGTTTTGAGATATGTTTCATCAATACCTAGCTTATTGAGAGTTTTTAGCATGAAGGGGTGTTGAATTTTATTGAGGGACTTTTCTGCATCTATTGAGATAATCATATGGTTTTTGTCAATTGTTCTGCTCATGTGATGGATTACGTTTATTGATTTGCGTATGTTGAACCAGCCTCGCATCCCAGGGATAAAGCTGACTTCATCTTGCTGGATAAGCTTTTTGATGTGCTGCTGGATTTGGTTTGCCAGTATTTTATTGAGAATTTTCACATCAATGTTCATCAGGGATATTGGCCTGAAATTTTCCTTCTTTAGTTGTGTCTCTGCCAGGTTTTGGTATCAGGATGATGCTGGCCTCATAAAATGAGTTAGGGAGGATTACCTCTTTTTTTTATTGTTTGGAATAGTTTCTGAAGGAATGTTTCCAGCTCCTCTTTGTACATCTAGTAGAATTCGGCTATGAGTCTGTCTGGTCCTGGGATATTTTCGGTTGGTAGGTTATTAATTACTGCCTCAATTTCAGAACTTGTTAATGGTCTATTCAGGGATTCAACTTCTTCCTGGTTTAGTCTTGAGAGGGAGTATGTGTCCAGGAATTTACCCATTTCTTCTAGATTTTCTAGTTTATTTGTGTAGAGGTGTTTAAGTATTCTCTGATGGCAGTTTGTATTTCTGTGTGATCAATGGTGATATTCCTTTTATCATTTTTATTGTGTCTATTTGATTCTTCTCTGAGATACCATCTTATGCCAGTTAGAATGGCAATCATTAAAAAGTCAGGCACAACTGATGCTGGAGAGGATGTGGAGAAATAGGAACACTTTTACACTGTTGGTGGGAGTGTAAATTAGTTCAACCATTGTGGAAGGCAGTGTGGTGATTCCTCAAGGATGTAGAACCAGAAATACCGTTTGACCCAGCAATCCTATTACTGGGTATGTACCCAAAGGATTATAAATCATTCTACTAGAAACACACATGCACATGTATGTTTATTGCAGTACTATTCCCAATAGCCAAGACTTGTAACCAACCCAAATGCCCATCAATGATAGACTGGATAAAGAAAATGTGGCACATATACACCATGGAATACTATGCAGCCATAAAAAATGATGAGCTCTTGTCCTTTGCAGGGACATGGGTGAAGCTGGAAACCATCATTCTCAGCAAACATACACAGGAACAGAAAACCAAACCCTGCATGTTCTCACTCATAAGTGGGAGTTGAACAATGAGAACACATTGACACAGGGAGGAGAACATCACACACTGGGGCCTGTCGGGGGTGGGGGGCTAGGGAAGGGATAGCATTAGGAGAAATACCTAATGTAGATGATGGGTTGATGGGTGCAGCAAACCACCATGGCACATGTATACCTATGTAACAAACCTGCACATTCTGCACATGTATCCCAGAACTTAAAGTGTAATAAAAATAAATAAATAAATAAATAAATAAATAAAAACATGTAAATACACAGACAAGTGAAACTATAAAGCAGCCACACAAACAAGCCAGCAAAATAACCAGCTAACAACACAATGACAGAATCAAATTCAAATCCACATATAAATACTAACCTTGAATGTAAACAAGCTAAATGCTCCAATTAAAAGGCACAGAGTGGCAAGCTGGATAAAAAAGCAAGAGCTATTGATATGCTGTCTTCAAAAGACACATCTCATATGCAATGACACACATAGGCTCCAAATAAACCAGTGGAGAGAAATCTACCAAGAAAATGCAAAACTGTAAAAAGCAAAGATTGCAATCCTAATTTCAGACAGAACAGACTTTAAACCAACAAATATCAGAAAAGACAAGGGCATTATATAATGTTAAAGGGTTCAATTCAACAAGAAGACCTCAGTATCCTAAATATATATGCATCCAACACAGGAGCACCCAGATGCATAAAGCCAGTTCTGAGAGACCTTCAAGGAGACTTAGATTCCTACACAATAAAAATGGGAGACCTCAACATTCCACTTACAGTATTAGATAGATCATCGAGGGAGAAAATAAACAAAGATATTCAGGACCTGAACTCAGCACTGGATGAAATGGACCGGATAGACATTTTCAGAACTCTCCAGCCTGAAAAAACAAGAGAATATACATTTTTCTCATCACCACATGGCAGATACTTTAAATGCAACCACATGATTGGAAAGATAACACTCCTTGGCAAATGCAAAAGAACTAAAATTATAACAACCACTGTCTTGGACCACAGCACAATAAAATGAGTGATCAAGACTAAGAATATCACTCAAAGCCATACAATTATACAGAAATTGAATAGTCTGCTCCTGAATTACTTTTAGGTAAATAATGAAATTAAGACTGAAATAAAGAAGTTCTTTGAAACTAAGGAGAATGAAGATACAACATACCAGAATGTCTGTGGCACAGCTATTGTAGTGTTAAGAGGGAAATTTATAGCACAAAATGGCTACATCAAAAAGTTAGAAACATATCAATTTAACAACCTAACATCTCAAGTAAAAGAATAAGAGAACCCAGAGCAAACAAATCCCAAAGGTAGAAGAAGACAAGAAATAGCCCAAATTAAAGTTTAATTGAAGGAGATTCAGACACAAAAGTCTATGTAAAAGATCAATGAATCTAAGAGTTTGTTTTTTTAAAAAAGTAATAAAACAAATAGACCACTAGATAGACTGATAAAGAAGAAAAGAGAGAAAATCCAAATATACACAATTAGATATGACAAATGGGATATTATCACTGACCCCACAAAAATACAAATAACCATTAGAAACTACTATGAACACCTGTATGCACACAAACTAGAAAATTTAAAAGAAGTGGATCAATTCCTGGACACATACATCCTACCAAGACTGAGCCAGGAAGAAATTGAATTCCTGAACAGACCAATAATAAGCTCCAAAATTGAATCAGTAAGTCTATCATCCAGAAAAAGGCCCAGGACCAAATGGATTCACGGTTGAATTCTAGCAGATATACAAAGAAGAGCTGGTACCATTCCTACTGAAACTATTTATAAAAAAACTGACAAGAAAGGACTTCTAACTAATTCACTCTGAGGCCAACATTCTCCTGATACCAATGTCTGGCACAGACACAATGAAGAAAGATAACTTCAGGCCATATCCTGAATGAACATTGATGCAAAAATCAACAAAACACAGGCAAATGAATCCAGCAGCACATCAAAAAGCTCACCTGCTGTGATCAAGTAAGCTTTGTCCCTGGGATGCAATGTTTGTTCAACATATGCAAATGGATAAACAGGATTCATCATACAAACAGAACTAAAGACTAAAATCACATGATCATCTCAATAGATTCAGGAAAGGCTTGTGATAGAATTCAACACCCTTTCATATTTAAAACTCTCAGTAAACTATGTATTGAAGGAACATATCCCAAAATAATTAGAGTTATCTATGCTAGACCTACAGCCAGCATCACACTGAATGGGCAAAATATAGAAGCATTCCCTTTGGGAACCAGCAGAAGACAAGGATGCCGTCTCTCACCATTCCTATTCAACATAGTATTGGAAGTCTTGGCAAGAGCAATCAGGCAAGAGAAATAAATGAAGAGCATGAAAAAAGGAAGAGAGGAAGTCAAACTATCCCTTTTTGGAGATGACATGATTCTATATCTAGAAAACCGCATTGTCTTTGTGTAAATGCTCCATAAGCTGATAAACAACATCAGCAAATTCCAAATTCTCAGAATATAAAATCAACGTGTAAAAATCACTAGAACTGCTGTTTTTTTTTTCTTTAGACAGAGTTATGCTGTTGCTGCCTAGGCTGGAGTGCAGTGGCACCATCTCGGCTCACTGCAACCTCCACCTCCCAAGTTCTAGTGATTCTCCTGCCTCAGTCTCTTGAGTAGCTGAGATTGCAAGTGCCCACCACCACACCTGGCTAATATATTTCTTTTCGTATTTGTAGTAGAGACGGGGTTTCACCATGTTAGCCAGGCTGGCCTTGAACTCCTGACCTTGTGATCCACCCACCTTGGCCTCCCAAAGTGGTGGGATTACAGACGTGAGCCACTTCACCTGGCATAGAATTCTTTTTTTTTTCAATTGTATAATCTCACTTAATGTGAAATTTTGTTGTTGTTTGTTTGTTTCTATTTAAATAGTTTTCTGGGAACAGATGTTTTTTGGTTACATGGATAAGTTCTTTAGTGGTGATTTCTGAGACTTTGGTGCACCCATCTCCTAAGCAGTGTACACTGTACCCAATGTATAGTGTTTTATCCCTTACCCCCCTCCCACCATTCTCCCCAAGTCCCCGAAGTCCGTTATATCATTTTTATGCCTTTGGATCCTCATAGCTTAGCTCCCACTTATAAGTGAGAACATACAACATTTGGTTTTCCATTCCTGAGTTACTTTGATTAGAATAATGTTCTCCAACTCCATCCAGGTTGCTGCAAATGCCATTATTACATTCTTTCTTTATGTCTGAGTAGTATACCATTATACATATATATATGTATATGTATGTGTGTGTGTGTATATATATATATATATATATATATATATATATATATATCTATCTCACATTTTTTATCCATTCATTGGTTAATGGGCGTTTGGGTCAGTTCCATATTTTTGCAGTTGCAAATTGTGCTGCTGCAAATGTGCATGTACACGTGTCTTTTTCATATAATGACATCTTTTCCTTTGGGTAGATACCCAGTAGTAGGATTGCTGGATCAAATGGTAGTTCTACTTTTAGTCTTTAAGGAATCTCCATACTGTTTCCCATAGTGATTGTACTAGTAATTCCCACCAGCAGTATAAAAGTGTTGCATTTTCACCAATCCATGCCAACATCTTTTATTTTTTAATTTTTAAGTTATGGCCATACTTATAGGAGAAAGGTGGTATCTCATTATGCTTTTGATATGAATTTCCCTGATAATTAGTGATGTTGATTATTTTTTCATGTTTTTTGGCCATTTGTATATTTTCTTTTGAGAATTGTCTATTCATGTTCTTTGCCTACTTTTTGATGGGATTTTTTTTCTTGTTGATTTATTTGACTTCCTTGTAGATTCTGGATATTAGTCCTTTTGAGAATATTTTCTCACACTCTGTGAGTTGTCTGTTTGCTCTACTGATTATTTCTTTTGCTGTGCAGAAGCTATTTAGTTTAACTATCTCCCATCTATTTATCTTTGTTTCTGTTGCATTTCCTTTTGGGTACTTGCTTACAAACTATTTGCTTAAGCCAATGTCTAAAAGAGTTTTTCAGGTGTTATCTTCTATAATTTTCACAGTTTCAGATCTTAGATTTAAGTCTTTGATCCATCTTGAGTTGATTTTTGTATAAGGTGAGTGATATTGTTTGGCTGTGTCCCCACTCAAATTTCATTTTGAATTGTGATCTCGATAATCCCCATGTGTCAAGAGAGGGGCCCAGTGGGAGGTGATGGATCACAGGGGTGGGTTTTCCCAGGCTGTTCTCATGTTAGTGAGTTCTCATGAGATCTGATGGTTTTATAAGTGTCTGGCATTTTCCCTGCTTGCACTTCTTTTTCCTGCCACAATGTGTAGATCATTGCTTCCCCTTTGCCTTCTGCCATGATTGTAAGTTTCCTGAGGCTTCCCCAGCCATGGAGAACTGTGAGTCAATTAAGCCTCTTTCTTTTATAAATTTCCCAGTCTCATGTATGTCTTTGTAGCAGTGTGAGAACAGACTAATACAGTGAGAGATGAGGATCCAGTTTTATTCTTCTACATGTGGCTTGCCAATTACACCTGCACCATTTGTTGAATTGGGTGTCCTTTCCCCACTTTATGTTTTTGTTTGCCTTGTGAAGATCAGTTGGCTGTTAAGTATTAGACTTTATTTTGTGGTTCTCTATTCTGCTCCATTGGTCTGTATGCCTATTTTTATACCAGTACCATGCTGTTTTGGCAACAATAGCCTTTTAGTACAGTTTGAAGTTGGGTAATGTGATGCCTCCAGATTTGTTCTTTTGCTTAGTCTTGCTTTGGCTATGTGGGCTCTTTTTTGTTCTATATAAATTGTAGGATTGTTTCTTCTAGTTCTGTGAAGAATAATGAAGGCATTTTGATGGAAATTGCACGGCTTTTGGTAGTGTGGTAATTTTCACAGTATTGATTCTACCCATCCATGAGCATAGGATGTGTTTCCATTTTGTGTTTCCATGAGCATGGGATTGTGTTGTCTATGATGATTTCTTTCAGCAGTATTTTGTGGTTTTCCTTGTAGATAACTTTCATTTCCTTGGTTAGGCATATTCCCAAGGTGTTTTTGTTGTTGTTGTTTGTTTGTTTTTTGCAGCTGTTGTGAAAGGGATTGAGTTCTTTCTTTGATTCTCAGTTTGATCATTTTTGGTGTATAGCAGTGCTACTAATTTGTGTACATTGATATTGCATCCTGAAACTTTATCGAATTCATCTATCAGATCTAGGAGCTTTTTGGATGAATCTTTAGAGTTTTCTAGGTATATGATTATATCATCAGCAAGCAGCAACATTCTGACTTTGTCTTCACTGATTTGGATCCCCTTTATTTCTTTCTCTTGTCTGATTGCTCTGGTTAGGATTTTCAGTACTATGTTGAATAGAAGTGGTGAAAGTGGGCATCCTTGTCTTGTTCCATTTCTCACAGGGAATGCTTTCAGCTTTTCCCCATTCACTATAATGTTGGCTATGGGTTTGTCATAGCTGGCTTTTATTACCTTGAAGGATGTCCCTTCTATGCCAATTTTGATCAGGGTTTTAATTATAAAGCGATGCTGGATTTTGTGTACTTTTTTCTGCCTCTATTGAGATAACCGTGTGATTTTTGTTTTAAATTCTGTTTATGTGATGTATCACATTTATTGACTTGTGTATGTTAAATCATCCCTGTATCCCTGGTATGAAATCCACTTAATCATGGTGCATTAGTTTTTTTGACATGCTGTTGGATTCAGTTAGCTAGTATTTTGTTGAGGAGTTTTGCATTGTTCATCGGGGATATTGGTCTGTAGTTTTTTTGTTATGCCCTTTCCTGCAGTGGCTCTTGGAGCAAAAGTTCACAGTGAGAATCTCCACTTGTTGTTCTGTCCATCCAAGTGTGAGCTGCACGTTAGTCCTGTCTCCTAGTCACCATTTTCTTTTAAATGTCACAATCACTAGCCATTCCTATACACCAACAACAGTCAAGCTGAGAGCCAAATCAGGAATGCAATTTTATTCACAATTGCCACAAAAAGAATAAAACACCTAGGAACACAGCTAACCATGGAGGTGAGGTGAAAGATCCCTAATAAAATATTAGCAAAGTGAATCCAACAACATACCCAAGGAAGACAAGGTTTAACATCTAAAAACCAAATAATCTGATATACTGTATTAACAAGATAAAAGAAAAAAAACACATAATTTATAGATGCAGAAAAAGCATTTGACAACATCCAACACTCTTTCATGATAAAAAACCTTAACAGACTAGGAATACCTGAGCACTTCCTCAGCTGTTAACGGGCATCTACTGCAGGTGAAACCCATTGGAGAGATTTTTTGGCTTTGCTTCCTTCCCTCAGGGCCCATGGCCTCATCTTAGTTTAACTAATTACTTCTGTAAGTAATGTATTTCAAAATTAGGTCACATTCTGAGGTACTGGAGGTTAGGATTTCAACATATCATTTTGGGGACACAATTAAACTCTTAACACTTGAACTCTTAACCCTTAGTCCCCTTGAACATTCAATTACTTTGGTATCAATTCCCTTTTCCTTTCCTTTAAAACATTTTTCTATTAGATAACAACATTTTCCAGATGTTCCAGACTGTGCTAACACCAGTTACATTTTGTCAAATCCACTTCTTTGCTTCTGCCCCTAGGTCAAAGGACTCAGGCAGCCCAGGAATCATCCCTTGCATCTTTGTTAATTTCTAACTTCAGCAATTTGGCAGAGACGGATTTAGAGACAAATGAAAGGGACATTGTAGGCCTTCCTGGTAAACTACTGAAGATATCCAAAAAAGATCCAAAGTGATAGGGCTAATTGTGTATAAGAAAACCTGTGCAGATAACATGGCTGAAATCCAGACACAAACCATCACATCACAGTGGAAATACTCTGCAGAGATTCTACTGATCATAGTTGAAAAGATCAGATAGTGTGGATGATTGCAAAATGCATATTTGAGTAAAGTGTCACCAGCTCATGTGTCTACAACAGCACAGAGTTGTTTTGTCAAAAATGTAGCTCTGTTAGGGGCTGGTGGTCAGATCTTGATTCTGAAGAAATAACCAAATGGGAAGCAAAGTGTGAAAGGAAAATATTGGGGCCATAAAATTACTAAACTAAAATGAAAAGTCAAGCTGAGAACTTCTCAGGGCAAACTTGCTTCCCATTCTATTCAAAGTCATCCCCCCTGTTCACTGAGATAGATGCATATCTGATTTCCTCCTTTGGAAAGGCTTATCAGAATCTCAAAAGAATGCAACCATTTGTTTCTCACCTACTTGTGACCTGGAAAGCCATTCCCTGCTTTGAGTTGTTCCCGCCTCTCTGAATGGAACAAATGTACTTCTTAAATGTATTGGTTGATGTCTCATGTTTCTCTGAAACTTATAAAACTAAGCTGTGCCCTGAACACTTTGGGCACACGTCTTAAGGGCTTCCTGAGGCTGTGTCATGGGCATGCATCCTCAACCTTGGCAAAATAAACTTTCTAAATTAACTGAAACCATCTCAGATATTCAGGGTTCACATTTGCTAACCATGGAGGGATTCTGAGTGGAGAATGCCCCTGACCTTTGACAAATCTCTTATTGGTGCTTGTTACCAGCATGAGCTAATTTTATGGCTCAAACCAATAGGAAAATTAGCTGAAGTCTGAGAGCACATCCTCCAGAGAATCCCTGATCTCCCTAAATCTGGTCAATAAGGTTCATTTTGCTGTACAACTCCTCTTTTTTTTTCAGTTTTACTTGCTTCCAACACAAGGAAGGCAAGTTTTTCCTGCTTCCATGTTGATGGAAGGCAGGTAACTCCTTTATGGAGTTTGATCTTGCTTCCAACAGGGAAGATGAGTTTTTTCTTCCTGCTTCTAGGATGGCAGAGATCAGTTTTTGGCTTCAGACCCATTTCTAGGTAAGTAACTGAATTGGTGTTTGTCTTGGCTAAAGTTAAGATTAACAACTAGCTGGTCTTAATTTCTCCTTACCATTAGAGTACTCAGTAATCATACAAGTTCTGCAATCATTTGTTTCACTTAACTCTTTGTTTCTGTTTTTGTTGTTGTTTTTTGTCTTTTTCTTACTGGGTTTGACCAACTCTATCCAACTTGATCAAATCTGAAGGAAAGTTCCAAATTATGGGGAACAATGCCTCTAAAGTGGCTAAATCCCCCCTGCCCCATACACACACACAAAAGGTGGTGTGGTGGGGGGAGAAAAACAGCCAACAAAGGAAAAAATGGAACTACTTTTTATTTTGACTACTTAAGGGGCTTTATATACATAACAAGGTCCTCTTTGTACCTAGCCAGGCCAAACTGAAAGAGTTTGCTGTCATCCCATGCTGCAGTTCAATAGCTAAGGTCCTGATTTTTTTTTTTCACTACGACAGCCTGGGTTTAGTTCTTAAATCAAGCCCTTTCTGATTTGCTACTTGGTACTTCTGAAATAGCTGCAATATGTCCTAGCTAAAATATGGTAATGAGATTTAAAAGGATTTATTTTAAAGGAGCTCAGTGGTTAAAAGTCAGCTCAATTAAAAGGCTAACATCCAAGAAGTGTGTATGTGGGCATGTGTGCATATGTGCATATTTGTATTTAAAAAACCTTTATGTTGTTGTTTTGTTGTTTGTTTTTCTCTCCTAGGACCTTGTCTTTTTTTGAGTAAAAGTTTTTTTCTTCTCAGTTCACTGAATTCTGTTTTCACCTGATTTTTTTGACTAAAGTAGTTATTGCAACAGAGGCTACTCTTGGGTATTTAAGGAAGAATGTAGTTTAGACACTTAGAAATGTCTTTGTTTAGAAAAAAATTGTTTTTAAGTGCACTAAAAGCATCATGTGGTTTAGCCTCATAATTCTCCCTTTTTAGAGACCCAGAATTCAGTGTGGGCTCTGCCCATAGCTCAGAGATTCAGTTAAAAAAAGGTAGTCTCTATCTAAATAAAGTTGGTCTCCTTATACAATCCTACAATAAACTTATATAATTTTACATTTGATTTGGCATCTATCTTTAATCTTCCTCTAGCACGACCAGACTTTTTCTCTCTGTACTTTGAAATATAAATTTTTCTATGTCATTTTTCATCTAAGAGTTGCTTCCTTGAATATACAGATCTAGGTCTATTTAGTTGACAACTGACAGGGTAAGGAAACAGCTTATCAAGAGTTGGCAAGTCCAAGACAGAAAAAAAAGGAGGTCTGAGGATGTACTTCTATACAGTCTATAAGATGTACTTCTATCATCATGCCTAATACGTCTACATATTTCTGTGTTGTGTACACCATGTTTCACTACTGAAACTATATAAAGATCTGTAATTAATTGGCTTAAGAAAATAAAAATGCTTGAATCAAATATTTTATCAAAAAAAGAAAAGAAAGACTAGTCAACAGCTTTTTCAAGTTTATGTAACTTAAGTAAAATCTTTAATAAATAAGCTAGCTCTAAAATTATTGAAAAAGTAATATTAGAAATGTCTTAAGAATTGCCAGCATAAATTTTTGTTTACATTTATTAAACAAGCAATTTCATACTTATCCCTACCAAATACTACAAGGTGTCAAGATATGGTATAGGGGTTACAAAACTATAAACCAAGCCCAAAGCAGAATGATCTTTGCTTGTGTAATTTTAAATAAATAAGATATCGTTATTGGCTTAATGAAAACAGCTGCATCTCAAATTTAGTAACATAACTTCTAAATTTGTGGTTTTAGGCAGTCTAATCCACAGGCAGTAAGGAGGTTTGTTTTGGGAAAGGACCGTTATCATCACTGTTTAAAAGCTAAACTATAAATTAAGTTCCTAACGAAGTTAGTTACACCCAGGAATAAACAAGGACAGCTTGGAGGTTAAAAGCAAGCTGATGTCAGTTAGGTCAGATCTTTTTCACTGTCCCAGTTATTATTTTGCAATGGTTGCTTTATAACTTTAAATGATGACTATCACAGTTTTCATAAATTATCTATGTAAATAATTAAAATAATTAGGTAAATGTAATGGATAAATACTTGTAGAAAACTTGTTATAATTTAGAATATGAAGTTATATTAAATTAAATAATAGATGTTTTATTATTTGACTATTTTCCAATAAAAATATATGGTAGAAAAACATCCTTGCTAAAATAAAGTGTGTCCTTTTTAAAAAAAGTGAAAAAGTTTTGTCTATTCAAAGCTCATTTAAAGATTATGTATAAAACAAAGTAAAAGAACCAGGAAATAAGAGAGATGTAAAGAAAGTTATAATAATAAAGAGGTTTTTTATGGTAATAAAGCTCAAACAGAAATAATTTTATATGAGACAGATATTTGTATGGTAAATTCAGTCCTAAAATAAAATGACTGGTTGTGTAAGAAAGAGGGGTGTTTAGGACAGACCAGAAAGTCCAAGCATGTCATAAATGGTCTGTGTAAGTCACAATACGAGGATTTATTTTTAAAGACACTAAAATCTTTTATATGATCAAGTTGTTTATAATTAAAGAGAAATTATAATGCTCTTTCTAGACATTGGGCTTGATGTAAAAAAAGCACTTACACACTAAATTATTGGTTAGAACAATAAAGTTTTCTTAAAGGGTTGATTTACTCTTAATAAATTATGAGGTTTTAATTTTTTTAACCCAAAGTTCAACTTTTTTGCATCTTGCCATTTTGCAGCTTTCTCTCCTTTTTTAAAAGGAATGTTTTCTTCCAACATAATATTCTGTGCACTTCAGAAAGGCATATTTTCTTCCAAGAGAATATTCTTTTGCCTTGCGATAACTGGCCTAAAAGATTGTATGTTTTGTTGAAATAATTACTATGCTAATATTATAAAGTTTGTTTTGCTTAGGAAAAAACAGATTTAAATTTTATTTTAATTAAGGTTATTACATCATGTATCTTCCTGTATATACTTTTAAAGTCCTTGTGACATTGAGTTACAGGGTTTTGACTCCTGAATCTAAAAAGGACACCAAGTCCTGCTAAATCTTAAACACTGACAGCAATTAAATCCCCATCTCCTGGCCCTGAAGAAGATGCCAATCAAAATAAACTGTATTCCTGAGACACAGGGCCAGAAATTAAAGCTGTTTAACTCCCCAAGGCCCAGGGACTATCTCAGAAGAAGTGGGCACATCAGGGACTATCTCAAAAGAAGTGGGCACATGAGATTGTGAGGATCAATTTTGAAAGATAAAATAAGTTCAGTTTCTCTATAAATTAATCATTAATTTCAAAGGCATGCTGATACAAGACCAGCATATGGGCCCCTGTGTCATATTAACAAGGTTTTCTTGAAGCATTAACTGGCTCCCTATTAAAGGTTATAAAGGTTATAAAAGGCTTATGGAAGTTATATTTTATGGTCAAGATTAAAATTTTATAGATTGCTTATAAAATTTTGAAAAACAAATTTAACTGGCTTTGTGCTGTTTTTATTAGGGCTTATTTTTTGGAAAATTAAGTCTCCTTTCTCAAAGAATGAAGGTTTTTGCCCTTTTTGAAATTCTTGAGTTATCACTTTGGTTGAATGAATGACTTATTTTACAGTGATCTGTGATTGTATTTTGTGATATCAAGTGTTTTAAACCTTTGATATTTGACAAGCTTTCTGAAATCAAATTATAAATTATGTCTTTCTGAGCTAATTAATCCTTTAAGATATTAGGTTCCTCAAAGTCCACAAGTGACATAATTTGGCTTATTTGGTACAAAAATTATACAGGAAACATTGTCAAATATAAAATGGTGTTTGGTTTTCTTTGGGCTGTATTTGTGTAAATATGTTATTGGTATGTGTTTGAAAATTATGGGAAACTCCTGTCATTCTGATATAGCTTAGTGTACATTATCAGTAATAATCAAAATTGTTATGTTAAAATTACTGTGTGCCACAGAGGTCACAAATTTCCTTGTCAATTGTGTATTTGACTATGTTGGCCCTGAAACTTTTTGTCATCCATGGACAATTGTTGTGTTGTTTGGGTCCTCTTTAGAAGGTGGTTTTATTATCAGCTATAAAACTCTAACAGGTGCTCTTGAATTCATGTTTCTGATAACTTTGGAGACTGTGACACCAGAATAGAGGAAAAACTTTCAGAACTCATGGAGAGCTAAAATGCTCATGAATAGCAGCAGAACAGGAATTAACTGCACAGACTGAACTAATCTTTTTGACTTTTTGCTTAAAACGTTGTTGATCCTTTGTTATGCTTTTTCAGTCTTGTAACTTTTCTTTTGAGCTATTGACAGCTTTTAACAATTTAGTATACTCCTATGCACAAAATTTGGAGCATATTTGTTTCTTTCTACCTGATTTCTCCACAATTTGGAAATTATTTATGAGTATTCTTAACTTATGACAATACAGTTATTTGCATAAGTGCAATAAGAATCTGTTTTCATTTGTAACAGGACACTATTGGAGAAACTGGTTATTTTACCAAGGCTTTGATTGGAATGGTGGGCTTTCCTTTAAGGAATCAAACTTGACTTATGGAGTCAATAAAAGCCCTTGGAAAAACTGGCCTCATACTTTACACAGTCCCTGTACAGGATTTCTGACCTGTGGTAAGTAAAGAACGTCATTTTCTGACAGACCCAGGAGCCCCAGATTTATCTTGGAACCTCAAGAGGAGAGGAAATTCACCTAACTCATAAGTATTTGATGGTACAAATTCATGGCTGAGCTCTGCTTTAAAAAAGTCTTATATGAGATTCCGTCTATGGAACAAAGTTCCATCAAAGGCAATTTTAAAAAGTTTATGTAAAAAATAATTATTTTTGCTGTACTTTATACAAATAATGCGGACAAGCATAATAAAACAAATTGTTCCTACCATGATTTGTCATTAGTAAAAATGGATAACTGGAGAGAAAAAATATGTTTCAAAAACTATAGTTTTTACTCTATTTTTTCCTGGCTACAAGTCTCCAAAATAATATTTTCCAATGCTTCTTCTATTTTTCCTTTTTCCCCATTTTTTCCTAATTTGAAATCACAAAAAACAAAGCTATGCTTTCTTAAATCCCTGAGAACTGAAGCTAGGCAACTTAAACTTCAGAAGAAAATAATAGTAACCTGTTTACATATAAAAGCCACTTTCATAACTGCCTACTAATGGATGGTCTTCAGAGTAATGTGACCTGTATCAATTTTCCAGGATCATCCTTTTGTTTGTTGTTGTTGTTCTCCCTTCCTCCCCCTATTTTCTCTTCGTAGAACATGAGAATTCACAACCTCCTAAAATGAGTTTTCAGGACATACCCATCCAGGAATAAACTGTCCTAGCCACAAAAGTTCAGATGAAACCTGAGACCAGGGACCCATTTTCTCCTAAAATGCTTTCTCCAAAAGATTTTAAAAAAGAAAAGGGGGATAATATGAAAGGAAAATCTTAGGACCCCCAAATTACTAAGCTAAAAGGAAAAGTCAAGCTGGGAAATGCTCAGGACAAACCTTCCTCCCTTTCTATTCAAAGTCACCCCTCCTCACTGAGATAGATGAATATCTTATTGCCTTCACTGGAAAGGCTTATCAGAAACTCAAAAGAATGCAGCCATTTGTCTCTCACCTACTTGTGACCTGAAAGCCCTCTACCTGCTTCAAGTTGTTCCTGCCTTTCTGGATGAAACCAATGTACTTTTTACATATATTGATTGATGTCTCATGTATCGCTGAAATGTATAAAACCAAGTTGTGCCCTGACCACCTTGGGCACATGTCTTCAGGACTTCTTGAGGCTGTGTCATGGGTGTGCATCCTGAACCTTGGTAAAATAAACTTTCTAAATTAATTGAGACCATCTCAGATATTAGGGGTTCACAAAAGCTATGTAGGGGCAGAGGGAGCAAAAGGAAATGTTGTAGTTGTCAGCACAAACACACTGACATACTCACCCTCATACACACATATACTTTCCCATATACTCATACATTCATCGAGTTCTGTTATCATAATACTAAAATTTTCCCAAGATGCTTTGCTCATTCAATTCACCAGTGTAAATATCCATGTAAAATGTACCCTGAACTTTAGCAGTATACAGACACTGAAAAGATGCCATCCACATAGTGTTGATAATACAGAATATCAGGACACTTTAAATAACATGGGGCTGTGAAAATTGATTATGTGATATCCATAGGATGGAGTTCTAGGCAGGCAGGCAGCAAAAACAAATTATAATGAAAACAATGATAAGAACTAATTTGCTGTCTATTAGATTAGCAACAATTCATATTATTTCAAATTTGTAGAAGAACAGGCACTTTCATGCTGCATTGTTAGGAATACAAATTAGTAATAGAATTTTGAATGTAATGTGTTAATATGGAAGTTTTTAGATTGTATAGTTTTGAAAAAACACTTTCAGAAACTTAATATAAAATGCTTACAAAGATATCTACATATATATAATCAAGACTGTTAAGTATACTATTACTTGGAATAGAAAATAAGGTAAAGTAATTAATTTTTCTTTTTCAGTACAGTACTAGTGAAATAAATTTTGAAGCATCCATACAATGAAATGCCAGGCCAATGTTAAAAAAAAATTAAAATTCTGTTGTAAAGTAGTGTGAAATATTATCATAGAAATGTATTTACATGGAAAGGTGGTCATAATTAGGGCAAAGGTAGGTTACAATGATCATAAATGGAAGAATCTAATTTTGCTTATATAGGTGTCTAGCTATTTCTCCAGAGGTATCATAGGATTTTTAAAATGATACATTTGTCTTTCTTACATACAGCTTTCTCTTCAGCTTAGAAGGAGCCTATACTTTCTGTCTGATGGCCATCAGTATCCCTGTATACTGGGAATATGCCCTTTTCCACCCAGACTTCCAGAAAGCTCTTTAGGGTGGGTTCCACTTTCGTGCTCATTGGTGTTCAAGCTGCAGTTGAAGCTTCTGTCACAAGATGGCACCAATGTATCTCTATTGTCAAACTTTTCTGCAAAGAAATGTATGCAGAATGAAAAGTACAATCTCTCCCTTAAAACCGAGCTTATGAATCTATGTACAGAATGATTCTAATTCTGTGTTTAAAAAACTGATAGATGTGAAAAAAGACTATTAAAAAAGTGACTCTAGGAGAAAGGCAGAAACTCACTGGCTGATGTGGGTTACCTGGGGTAAGAGAGAAACTAAAGCAGGCGTACAATTTCCACACAGCGTGGGGGCTCAATTAGTTGTAAGTCCTTCCCCTTGATGTCCACTTCCCACTTTAATGAAGGTTTAGTGTGCTGACGTCATCTACGTTACTATTGTCAGTACCCCTGTTTCTTCCCTGCCCCGTGGACCAGTGAGAAGCATACAGGGCACTTTCCTTCTCACGATATTTGTGCAATTTCAGGGTATAAAGGTAACCTGCAGCATCCCATTGAAGCAAATGTGTCCTTCACCAATTGGTCCCAAACCTGGATGGCCTCAGACCTAGAGTGTCCTGTTAGTTATCTCAGAGCCTTGTCTGCTTCCTTGGGAGGCCCCCACTCTTCACTCCAGTCAGGCTGGACCCCCTCTGTCTTCTCTCACATCCAGCCCCAATGAGTCCTGCCCATTGTACCAGGCATAGCCCCTCTTTTAGGAGTCTCTAATAATTCCAGTGAGGACTTTCTCCTCTTACATAGTAAGGTAGTTCTACAGATGTCACCATAACTTCCACAAGGACCTGGGCCCTGTGCAATCATTATTGTAAACTCTCCATCCTCTGAACCACTGGAAGTATGAAAAGTGATGGATGCTCAGTGAACATTGGTGAGATGGTGCAGGTCAAGGCAGGAAAAGAAACTCATCTTGGATGTCTCAGGCACTGGGGCCTAAGAAAAGCTCCTGACTCTCGCTCCAGTGTCCCTCCCTACAGACCCACAGTAACCTCTTCCTGAAGCTCCAAGAAGGTCCCAGAGCCCCAGGTTATGTACACATCTGATGTGAATACAAAGGGCCACAACAGAGTACAGAAAAAGCACAAGTTATCAACACAAAAGGGGTGAGGACATTTTCCACTCCAATATTATTACACTGCATAACCCAGAGATAGCACTGAATTTCTTATGTAATATAGATTATTGTGTGTGGCTCCCTTGTTATACTTGCAATACAATGGTATATTTTGTGTAGGGAAACTCTCATATAGAGTAAAAGGATAAAGCAGTACATGGGAATAATAATCATCTTATTCTGGATGGTGATTTTCTCATTATCCAGAATGGGACGTAATTAGGGAGGACTAAATATTTTTCTTAACCTAGATTAATTTTACAGCTCTATGCTTTTTACTTCTCAAGTAGCAGAGCATTTACAGACTCAGTTTTTAATCCTAAATGTAATGCATATTCATTTAATAAATGTTTACTATTGAATCAAATGCAGAGTTTAAAAATATCAATATCCATCAATTCCATCATCATTGAAATCACATTATGCCATTTTATTCCATTATTTTTCTCTGCATGCATATCCACAAATGTACATGTATTATATGTATCATTTCTTAAAACTATTATATTACCATATATGTTTCTTAGTATCTTAGTTTTTGTTACTTTATTTTTGCTTTTATCTTAATTTTTATTTTAAGTATTAGCACATGGAGAGAGTGTTCTGATTAAATGACAAGGTATAAACTATTATCTAACTTTGTTTTTCAATGAACCTTTTACCAGCTAACCAAGCCCCAATACTTGGACTGTGCATCTAATTGGAGATGAAATACTCATTGCATGTTAAACAATGTTATATATCAGGGTCTGCTTATGAGCTTCCTATAGACTTCCTTTAATCTATATTTCAACCACTTTATCTAACAGTTATAAAAATCTTAGCTTTGAGGAGCATTGTAATGCATGGCAGGAAGTAGAATCTCCACTCCTACAATTCACCTTTTGATGGTTTGTGGAATAATAACAATAGTAAATAATAAAATACAACAACAATTATGGAGCACATTGTAGATAAATTGGTTGCTGTCAATCAGGCAACCAGCAAGTAATGGATACCAGGGTCAAATCCCAGTCCCTGTAACCCAAAGCCCATGCCCCTGCACACTGTTTTTACACTGAGTGCCCTTCTGTGTTAGATCAGAGACCAAAAACTTGAAAATGACTTATTCAAGGTCCTGTGCTCAGTTAAGGGGTTTAGTAACTTGGATACATGTTTGATGACTCCCTTGTTCATCTACCCAAGCCATTACTATTCTTTGCTCTTCTGTACCATTTTTTTTTTCTGAAACTCATAAGAAATTGCTTCACCCATGTCAAACTAGAAGGAAAATAAAGAGACAAGAAAGCATGTGAAAAAAGGAAGTGATAGAATGGGACAAAAGTTTACTTCATATTAGTGTATTTCCAGATGCCATTTTAAATATTCTATTTTATGAAACAAAGGAGGCAGAGTGGACTGTCAGCATAACAAGCCTACCATCTATGAGACATTCTTTTAGATTTTTCTCCTTTTCTTTTTACAGCAAGTTTGTGAAGATGGCACCCATAGTCTCATTTTACAGATGACCCAGCTTAGACTCACAGAAGGTACATACATTTTTTGGAGTCAAACATCTACACCCTGGCCTCTGCATAGGCCGTACAGCAGCCTCCCATTTCAATGATGGCTTTCCAGAGGTTAAGGACTGATAGTGGGAAACTCTCCTGATATGGAACCCGGGCTGTATTATGCCACCATTGGCCATCACTACCCTTTTGCTGATGAAGATGATGGTGGGGATAAAAACACTGACAGCATACTGGTCCATGGGCCAAGAAGCAGAGGTGAAGCTTTTACAAAGACTAGCTGATTCCTGAGATGTCGAACTGGACTCAGGAAGCAGTACGAGCTGTGGCCCTTTGAAAAGAGAACCTGAATCATAGGCTATTAACATGTACACAACTACTATATAAGGATATTTTATATTTAATGCTAATTCAATCCTAACAACTCTATCCAGTACCAATAATCATCCCTGTTATATATATTATCAGAAATGGGAGATTAGGTAACTTGACCTAGGCAAATGAACTTATAAATTACTGCTTCAGGATGCAAGACCTGGAATTACTAAAAAGACTGAGATTTTTCCTGTGAGCTGACATTTGATATTAATCAAGGAATTATTATTCAATTGTTCTTTTGAGAGTAATGTGCTTAAGTATTTTAAAAATACTTACAATCATTATAAATGCCATGTTCATAGCAAAAACTAAAAAACAGAATGTGTGTGAAAGTTGGGGAAGCGGAAGCCAAGATGACCCACTAGATGCAGCCAGAAAGAGAATCTCCCACCTAGAGACCAGACCATCAAGAAGATTGGCACACTCTGAGAAAATATTCTGAGGAAGGTAGGAAGGTATTGAGAAAGGATAGAGGGAGGACACAGATTCTGGAATGAAGGGAGAGGAAAATGGCAACTTTGCACAGGGCTGCCAAGCCCCAGGACTTGTTCCTGGGCCCTAGTGGCTCCCAAGGAGGGATGAGTTAAACAGGCGAGGAGTGATTCATTCTCACCATGGACCTCTGGAATCCCAGCTGCAGGAGATCTCACAACCCCCATGGATATTTGAGCTGAAAGGGAGAGATGCTTGGATTGATGGCAGAGACAGGACTGCAGCTTGTGCAGAGCCCAGAAGGCCTTGGCGCAGGAATAGCTGCAGTGGAACACAGCAAGGGACATCAATTCCCCACATCTCATCATGCTTCTCTAGGTGCCTTTGGCCTTCGTTGACTCAGCCCTGGACAGAGCAGGGCTATCTTGTCCATGGGATGGGGCTAATCTGATCTGAACACCCTCTGTCTGCTAATCAGTCTTGGGATCCCTGCCTGGACATTGTCACCTGAAATGAAGCCTTGAATGACCAACCAGGGCACTCCCTGGAAGCTGCCACCATAACTGCTTCAGCAGCAGACCCCAATTAACCATTGTAGAGCTTCAGCATATGGGCTCATGCTGATCCATACCCACCATACCCACCCACCCACAGCCTTTCCCTACTGTTCTTCTGGCACATGCTCACCCAGAGTCCCTCACCATTGCTCTGCCAGTGCACAAGCATTGACCTTCCGTCTCCATTTTTCTTGGTGTGTGTGCCTACAGGCCTTGCTGCTGCTGCACCAGGCCCACTGACACGTGCAAGCATGTACCCCACCAAACTGCCACTGCCAGTGATAGCATTCAGGCACACACTCTGCCACACTGCCTCTGCATGGATGCTGCCACACTGTTTCTGCCAGGAAATGCATACCCCATGGCACCACCATGTGATGCATGTATACAGAAGGATGCTGCTCCCCTGCACCCACCAGTGCCCCACCCCTGCTGATGTGTCCGTATCCCACCAGATTGCTGCCAGCACACACCTTCATGCAGACACTTTCATATCATCACTCCTGGCACAAGTGCATGAGTGCAGACCCCACTGCCACTGCCCGTATAAAGTGCTTGGTCCAGCACTTCCCTTAGGAGTGTTGCTGCCAGCAGACCAAGAACAACTTGGCCCTTCCAGTGCAGCAGATGTTTAACCCTGAGGGGCTAGAGAACAAAGCCATGGGCCTGGCACCAGCCGCCCAGAGTTGGACCATGCAGCCCAGGGGTGCTGAGCCGAGCCTTGGTGCCCTGAAATCCTCCAGAAAAAAACACAGTTGCCTGAACTCAACTTATACAACAGTCAAACCCTCAAGGACATAGAATACAAAAGCAAAGTATCTCATCTAAAGGACAGCAACTTCAAATTAAAGGAACATCAGCCCACACAGATGAGAAACAACCAGTGGAGGAACTCTGGTAACTCAAAAAACCAGAGTGTCTCTTTACCTCCAAACAACCATGCTAGCTCCCCAGCATTGGTTCTTAACCAGACTGAGATGGATGAAATGACAGACACAGAATTCAGAATCTGGGTAGGAATGAAGATCATTGAGATTCAGGTGAAACTCAAAGCCAAATTCAAAAATTCTATGGAATTTAGAAAAATGATATAAGAGCTGAAAGATAAAATAGACATTTTAAGAAAAAAAAACTGATCTTCCAGAGCTGAAAATCTTACTACAAGAATTTCATAATAGGAAATAATAATAACAGAATAGACCGAGCTGAGGAAAGAATCTCAGAGCTTGAAGATTGGTTGCTTGAATCAATTCAGTGAGATAAAAATAAATGGAAAAGAATGCATAAAACCTCTGAGCAATATGGAATTATGTAGAGACTAAACCTACGACTCATTGGCATCCTTGAAAGAGAGGGAGAGAGAGCAAGCAACTTGGAAAACATATTTGATGATATTGTCCATGAAAATTTCCCCAACCTCATTAGTGTTTGATTTGCAAATTCAGGAAGCTCAGAGAACCCCAGCAAGATATTATACAAGATGACAATTCCTAAGACATATAGTTATCAGATTCTCCAAGGTCAGTGTGAAAGAAAAACTCTTAAAGGCAGCTAGAGAGAAGGGACAGGTCGGTTATGAAGGAACCCCATCAGGCTAACAGTGGACTTTTCAGCAGTACCCTACAAACTAGAAAAGATTGGGTGCCTATATTCAGACTTCTTAAAAAAAAAAGAAATTTCAGTGAAGAATTTCACATCCCGTCAAACTAAGCTTCATAAGCAAAAGAGAAATAAGATCCTTTTCAGGCAAGCAAACACTAAGGAAATTCATTACCACTAGACCTGTCTTACAAGAGGTCTTTAAGGGAGTGCTAAACATGGAAACAAAAGGCTGTTACTGGCCACCATGAAAACACACTTAAGTACATATAACATTAACACTATAAGGCAACTACGCAATCCAATCTGCATAACAACCAGGTAACAACACAATGATAGGATCAAATCCATGCTTATCAATATTAACCTTGAATGTAAATGAGTTAAACGCCTCCACTTAAAAGACACAGAGTGGCAGGTTGGATAAAGAAGCAAGACCCAACTCTATGCTGTTTTCAAGAGACTCGTCGCACATGTACACATCTGACCCCCAAAGGCACAAAGTAAAGGGATGGAGAAAGCTCTACCAAGCAAACCAAAATCAAAATAGAGGATGAGTTGCTATTCTTATTTCGGACAAGACAGACATTAAGCCAGCAATGGTCAAAAAAGATAAAGAAGAGCATTATATAATGATAAAGACTCAATTAAACAACTCTTAACTATCCCAAATGTATATCTACCCAACACTGGAGCACCCAGATTAATAAAACAAGCTCTTAGAGACCTGCAAAGAGACTTAGATAACCACAGGCTAGTAGTGGGAGACTTTAACACTCCACTTACACTATTAGACAGATTATTAAGGCAGGAAACCAAACAAGATATTTGAGATGTAAATTCAACACTTGACCAAAGGGACCTAACAAATATCTATAGAATACTCCACCCAAAAACAGAACATCAATTCTTCTCATCTGCACA
The DNA here is from genome assembly GCF_000001405.40 of Homo sapiens. NCBI lineage: Eukaryota > Metazoa > Chordata > Mammalia > Primates > Hominidae > Homo > Homo sapiens. The sequence goes on from NC_000023.11 coordinate 102,074,654, forward strand.
TGGCACATACTCTAAAATCAACCACACAGTTGGCCATAAAACAATTTTCCACAAATTCAAACAACCAAAGTGATATCAACCACACTCTCAGGCCACAGCACAATAAAAATAGAAGTCAGTACTAAAAATGTCTCTCAAAATTACATGAAATATCTCTATAATTACATGAAAATTAAACAACCTGCTCCTGAATGGCTTTTGGGTAAACAATAAAATTAAAGCAGAAGTCTAGAAATTTTATGAAATGAATGAAAACAAAGATACAACATACCAGAATCTTTGCAACATAGCTAAAGCACTTTCAAGAGGAAAGTTTATAGCACTAAATGCCCACATTAAAAAAAGTTAGAAAGATTTAAAATTACAATCACATACCTAGAGGAAATACAAAAACAAGAGCAAAGCTAGCAGAAGAAAAGAAATAAGCAAAGACAGAGCTGAACTGAAAAAAATAATTGAGATGCGAAAAACCATACAAAAGATCAATGGAACAAAAGGTGGTTATTCAAAACAATAAATAAGATTGATAGACTGCTACCTAGACTAATAAAGAAAAAATAGAGAAGATCCAAATAAACTCAAGAAGTAATGACAAAGGTGACATTACCACTAACCACATAAAAGTACCAAAACTCCTCAGACTATTATGAACACCTTTATACACACAAACTAGAAAACCTGTAAAATGGATAAATATCTGGAAAGCTACAACCTCACAGGATTGAAGCAGGAAGAAATTTAAACTCTGAGCAGACCAATAATGAGTTTCAAAGTCGAAGCACTAATAAAAAAACTACCAACCAGAAAACTCCTGGAACAGATGGGTCCACAGCCATATTCTACCTGATGAATAAAGAAGAGCTGGTATCAATCCTACTGAAACTACTCCAAAAAGTTGAGGAGGAATGACTCATCCCTAACTCATTCTATGAGGCCAGCATCATTCTGATACCAAAACCAGACAGATACACAAAGAAAAAAGAAAACTTCAGGGCAATATCCCTGATGAACATAGATTCAAAAATCCTCAACAAAACATTAGCAAATTGAATCCAGCAACACCTCAAAAATCTAATCCACCAGGATCAAGTAGGCCTTAATCCTGGGATATGAAGTTAACTCAACATATGCAAATCAATAAATGTGATTCACTACAAAAACAGTACTAAAAACAAAAACCATGCGATCACCTCAATAAACGCAGAAGTTTTCAACGAAATTCAACATCCCTTCATGTTGAAAATTGTTAACAAGCTAGGCATCAAAGGAACATATCTCAAATAGTAACAGCCATCTATGACAAACCCGCAGCCAATATCATACCAAATGGGCAAAAGCTAGAAGCATTCCCTTTGAGAATTGGACCAGACAAGAATTCCCACTCTCACCACTCCTATTGAACATAGTTCTGAAAGTTCTATCCGGAGCAATCAGGCAAGAGAAAGAAGCAAAAGGCATCCAAACAGGAAGAGAGAAAGTCAAACTACCTCTCTTCCCAGACGATATGATTCTATACTAGGAAAACCCCATAGTCTTTTCCCCAAAGCTCCTAGATATTATTTAAAAAAACCTTCAGCAGAGTTTCAGGACACAAAATCAATGTATAAAAATCAGTAGCATTTCTACACACCAACAATGTTGAAGCTGAGAGCCAAATTAAGAATGCAATCTCATCAGAGATGATAGAAACAAATAGAAAAACAGTCCATGCTCATGCTCAGGAAGAATTAATATTGTTAAAGTGGTCATACTCCCCAAAGCAATTTAGAGATTAAATGCTATTCTTATCAAACTACCAATGACATTCTTCACAGAACTGGAAAAAGCCATTTGAAAATTCATATGGAACCAAAAAAGTCTGAATAACTAAAGCAATCCTAAGCAAAAAGAACAAAACAGGAGGCATTTCATTACCTGATATCCAACTATACTACAGGGCTGCAGTAACCAAAACAGCATGCTGATGATAGAGGATACCCTCATTTTATAAATTTGTATTTCTATAGTATTTTAAATAATTGTGAACTGATTAACATATGCTACTCATATTCACTGCTTCAGAAACATGTTCATAGTATACTGTTTTACAGGTAAAATAAACAAGTCAAAACAATTTATTTGATACTACTTCTTTGTGAGTATGTATGTTTCTGTATCTCAAACTTCTTGATGCCAATTATTAATACACTAACTCCTGCAGCTTTCTATTAAGCTCACATGGGGCTGAACTTGAAGACTCAGCATGTCAAGATCCTAGGGTGAGCACGAATATAGAAGGATTGCTATTAGTATGCAGAAAATTCCAGAAAGCTGTGGCCTATATAATGGAATTTATTCACCTCTCTATTCTCCTCCATTCTCTCACACTTTCTTTAGCTCTCTAGTTGATACTTTCACATCTGCAATTCTGACTCTGATCACCAGATAGTATCTTTTTCTATTTTCTATGGGTTACTTTTTCCTGTTGAAAACACAATTTTTATAAACAGAAGCAAAACTTCCTCAAAGCAGATGACAAAACAATAGGTACATGTGAGATCCCAACTCCCTTTGAAAAATTCATGATTATAAAAAGACTGAAAGAACATATTGTTGGGTTTTCTGCTCACTCCTACAACTACATGTAATTACTTGTTAAATATGTAATATTTGTGTACTGTGTGCCAAGTACTGTCAGTCCAATTCTATATTGGCTTTTTCACACCTTCCCTCTTGATCTCTAGATCTGTAAAACAGAAAAGTCCGTAGGCAGCAACATGGATCTTGGTGCCCACTCCATGCTGTATGACCTTACATGGACTCCATTCCAAGCAAGTTTTGTCCAACTTTCACCTTGAGACCTGGAAACTCAGCATCTAAACCGGAAATTGTGTGGTTGAGTTGGGGAGTTTGCTACCTTCAGAAACTGAGGCATTTTGTAATCCACACCTCTGTCCTCTTGCATAGCACTAATGCTTCTGAGCAAATCTCACTTCCAGATAGAGTGAACAATGTGTTAACCTTTGTGTAGTTTCAGTCTTTGTTTTTCTCTTGGGTGTGAACTAGAGGTCTTACTTGTTCTTTAGTTCTTGGCTATGTCAGAATGGTAGATTTCTGAGCTGGTTTTGTATGTGCTTTAACCTTAAGAGGGTGGTCACTCCCATTTAGTTGTCCAAAGGCTCCATCTGAGAAAATATGGTGGTTTTTTTTACTTCAGGTAAGACCTTGTCTCCCAGTTGTGGGGGGATTAACTCACATCCACAGGAGACAGAAAAGAGTAGAGACTGAGTTGTCAAAGACAAGCACAAGGCTGGGACCCTGTTCTGGATATCTAATTTTCCTGATTTAATGGAATAGTTTTTATATATTTCTTGCATGATGGTAACCTACCCTAAGGATTCTCTTTATATCCAACACCCAATATAATCCAAATCTCTCTCTTCTTTTTCCTGTCCACGGAAGTATATGCACAGGAAAATTTCTTTATAACACAGTAGTGGAGAAACCTTGTGTAACTGTGACATAAAATCCAGAAGCAATAAAGGAAAAAAGTGATACATGTGATTTTAGTTAAAAATGTGTGGTAGGCCAGGCACAGTGGCTCACGCCTGTAATCCCAGTGCTTTGGGAGTCCAAGACAGGAGGATCACATGAGGCCAAGAGTTTGGTACAAGCCTGGGCAACATAGCAAGACCCTATATCTTACAAAAAATTTAAAAACAAATAGCTGGGGATAATGGCATGCCCCTGTAGTCCCAGCTACTCAGGAGATTGAAGTTGGAGGATCCCTTGAGCCCAGGAGTTTGTGGCTGAAATGAGCTATGATTGCACTACTGCACTCCAGCCTGGGTAACAGAACAAGACCCCAATTTCAAAAAAAAAAAAAGTGGCCAAAAAAATCCCATAAGCAAATTAAAATTTAAAAAATTAAAAATTGGAAAAAATATTTATACTTAGATTAAAAAGGTTATATCACTAATATATAGAAATCTTATGAAAAAGTGAATGCAAAAACCAACAACCTGAAAGAAAAGGGGGCAAGAAATACAAACAGGTATTCTACTAAAAAATGGTCCTTAAACACAAGGAAATGCTCAACCTAACTCATGATAAGTGCTGCAAAGAAAAATGATTTCAACAAATTACTTCTCACCAATTAGTCTATGAGAAAGTAGGCATTCTCACATATTTTTGGTGGTCATGTAAAATGATACTACTCTATAGACAGAATTCAATACTATCTAGAAAATTAGAGGCATTTACTCTTGGAACCAGCAATCTCTCATTTAAGAATTTATCCCAAAGAAATGATGCAAAAACACCAAAGGGCATAGGCACAGGCTAGTCCTGGCAGAACAATTCATATCAACAGAAGACTAGAAATAAGACAATGTCTTCAAATAGTGGACTGGTTGAGCAAATCTAAAGTACACCTACATCCTGGAGTACTATTCTGCTATAAAAAGCCATGAAAACTCCCTCTATATACTGCTATGAGTGATCTGCAGGTTATATTGTTAAGTGAAAAATAAAGTGCAGAAAAGTTTTAGCTATGGCGGTTCGATACAATAGCCACTAGCCACAAGCGGCTATTTAAATTTAATTTAACTAAAGTAAAATGAAGCTTAAAATGTAGTTATTCAGGCACACTAGCCATATTTTAGGTTCTTGACAACCACTTGTGTCTAGTGGCTACCACGTTGGACAGTTCAGAGACAGAACATTTTTATTTCTGCAAAAACTTCTATTGGTCAGCAGTTGTGTAGAATGTGCCACTTTTTACCTGTGAATGGGGAGAAAAGAAATAGACATATTACATTTGCATACATATACAAAGTTTGAAAATTTAAAACAAAAATACAAAAATGATAACCCGTAAGGGGATGGAGGAGCAGCACAGACGGAACCCCATGTTGTATATTATCTTAAAATTATAATACATATTTACTGGTTCCATGTACTGAAAAAAGCAAGAAACAATGACCAACCCCATAGCAATGAGCAACTCTAGGTCTCAGATTGAATCCTCTTTTAACATTTCCCACTAAAAGGCACCAGGATCCCTTGGAGAAATGGCTGATTCCAGATCTGGGATCAGGAATGTACCAGGCAAGTTTAAACCAAACTATCATACCAGAGAGCATGTCAAATAGACTCAGAAACGAACCTGAAGGGGATACCACAGGAAAAAGATAGAACATATAAAAGATTAATGCTTGCAATGGATTAAAACACATCAAATGCATAAGGATTTATGAGTCCATGAGGACACTCTAAAATGCAAACACACAAATAAAATCAACTCACTGCTCACCTTTGGAGGCTCAAGAGAAACAACCCATAGTTCTGAAAAAGTGGAAATACTGCAAAGGAATTAAACATTCACCCTATCCTTCCATTGTGTACCTTTCCACAGAGTAAACTAATAGTTGGCGACAGGAAGTTTCTTTTGTTAAAAAATTCCAGCTAATAAATGCAGAAGAAATTATAGAATTAGAACATTACCTTCTGCAACCTTTAATTAAATGAAGATCTAGGAAATAATCATAGAGGCTACGAAAAACATGAGATAAAAAGCAGACGGCAAATTTTACAATGCATGCATCAGACTGACAACACCCAAATCCAGTGATCAATCTCAATGTCAGAGAAGGAGAGACAACTGGACTTCATGAGCCTCTTGCTGTGACACTATAGAAAGAAACACCAGCACATCTGAGGTACTTTTACCAAAAGCTTGAATCTAATGAAACCTCTTTTCTACTTACCAATTAAAAAAAATGAGAGGCAGAAGGACATAATAAAAAACAATAAGAATATAATCAGCAAAATCAAGAATGTAAACTATGCAGGATAAAACATCCAGTTTCTTAAACAAATGAAATGGAAAATTAAAAAAAAAGAGGGAAGACCTTCTTTAGATTAAAAAAGACTTAACATTTCATAAAAATTAAAATTAAAACTAAATGAAACAGCACCACACACCCACTAGAACATCAAAATGAAAAGAAGGAAAATATCAAGTGTTGGTAAGGATGTGAAGCAACTGCAACTCTTACACACTGCTGATGGGAGTAAAGATGGGCACAACCACTTTGGAAAATTTCTTGGCAGCATCAACAGAGCTGACATACAGAAGCCCTATGACTCAGTAGTGCCACTCTTGGGTACATGTCCAAGAAATAGAAATAAATGTTCATCCACAATGTATGTATAAGGTTGTTCATACCACCAATATTTGCAATAAGTGAAAAACTGGAAAATATCCATATCTTCATAGCAGATGAATATATTGTGAAATATTCACACAATGCCTTTTGTTTTTATAATTACATTTTTCTTTTTCTTAAAAAAATACTCTCTGATACCTGGCAAAATTCCTACTGAGGCATAGTTTTCACACCAAGGGATAGGAACCCTAATAACATCAATCACCATAAGCTGACATGGTTCAACAAATGTCTTTTTCTTCTTACTGACTGTACCAGTTAAAAGTGTGGGCTCTGGAGACAGACTAGGGACAAGCTTTACTTCTTACAAACTGCATCACTTTGAATCCTTTTACTTCATCTTAAAGTCACTCAAATGCCTCATCTGTAAAACTGGGATTATATACTACTTACCATAGAAGAAAAATAAATTAAATTTTAAAAATATTGCCTTGTTTTTGTTTTGTTTTGTTTTGTTTTGTTTTTGAGTCAGAGTCTCGCTCTGTCACCCAGGCTGGAGTGCAGTGGCACAATATCGGCTCACTGCAGCCTCTGCTTCCCGGCTTCAAGCGATTCTCCTGCCTCAGCCTCCTGAGTAGCTGGGACTACAGGCCCCTGCCACCATGACCGGCTAACTGTTGTATTTTTGGTAGAGATGGGATTTCACCATATTGGCCAGGCTGGTCTCAAACTCCTGACCTCATGATCCGCCCGCCTCAGCCTCCAAAAGTGCTGGGATTACAGGTGTGAGCCACCATGCCCTGCCGTGTTTTGGTTTTTAAAAGGATAAGTCAATGGTGAGGAATAACTTTATTTTTAAAATTCTACTTTAGAGACACTGGGATATCTGACTGTGATCTTGGGAGAGTAAAAGTGCCTCGCTGTGCCTCAATTTTCTCTTTTGCAGACTGAAAGAAACAATTGTCACTATCTAATGAGTTGCTGTTTTGAGAATTACTTGAGTAAATGCATGAAAACCTTTAAGGCAATGCTAGGCACACAGGAACAGCCCAATAAATGCTAGCTGTTTTTATCAAATACTTACAAGTTAAGATTTATATAGTTTTTATAGTTTGCAGCTATCTTTAATAAAGTTCATAATCTTACAACTGAATCCTTTTCATTAACTGTTATATTTTTAAAATCACTAACTTTCACTACAACCACTGTTGGATTACCTAATTACTTTGAGAATCTCTCAAAAGCACTTGGAAGGACTCATCTCAGAAAACAGCACCGCTATTTCTTACATGGCTGTACAAAAAGCTGAGGGGTCTTCCTTGACTCTGCCTTATTCCCACACAACCCACATGCACAGCCACTACAGATCTCACCTGCCCAACTTCCAAATGTGCCCTGTCCAGGTCCACTCCATCCTCTGGACTTCTGCATTATTTTCCTAATTGTTATCCCCACTCCCTATCTTGTCCCTGTCCAGTCCATTCTCCAAATAGCGACCAGTCAGCTTCTGAAAAAGTGAATCAAATCACATCTCTCTCACACTCTAACCTTCCACAGTCACAATACAATCATCCAGACTCCTTACATGGCCCAAACCATGTGGCTTCTTTGTGCCCCTTCAACCTCATCTCCCATCATTCTGCACTTACTTGCCAGGCTTCAGCCATTCCAGCTTGTCTTCTGCTCCTGGATCAATGGTGCCCACACACAGTGCAGGGACACTGACAAAATGGCCTGTCTATGTGCCTGGCTTCTTCCTGTTATTCAAGACTCAGCTCAAATGTCACTTCCTCAGAAAGAGTTTTACTCACACGCCTATATAAGATAATCCATATTCTGATTATTTTTATTCTATTTATGTGTTTATGTTTTTCAAAGCAAAAATTCCCTTAAGAAATCTCCTGGCTTATTTATTTGTTTATTTGCCAATTTTCTCAAACTAGAGTGATAGATCCAGGGACCCTGCCTGTCTTGTTCTCTGTCATGTTCCCCCAGTGCCTAGACCAGAGTCTCACACAGAAATCACTGAATAAATATTACTAAATTGAAGTAATTGTTACAGATTGAACTCACCAGAGAAGACACATATATTCAAAGCTGAGAGGCAGGAACAACTGACAATGAAATTAAACATCAAAGGTTTCAAAATTTTAAGAAGATCTTGTAGTAAATCCATAGCAGTGCTTTTCAAACTTGAATGAGTACCAGAAACAACTGGATAAATTACTAAAAATGTAGCTCCCTCTCACTCCACATCCCTGGTTTTGGTTCAACAGACCTACAGTGAGCCCAGTAATCTGCAATTTTAACAATTTGATGGAATGGATCACACTTGGAAAAATCCTGACGTAAACAGTTCATTTTTGAGTACCATTAATTTAATGCCTTTATGTAGAGTTCTTGGATATCTGGGGTGTTTTTGTTAATGAAAGTACACTGGTTCTTCTCTCCCACCTAAGGCCAGATTGCTTTCCCACATGGGATCACACTTAAACTCCAGAGTACTCCTATTGGTTGAAAGGACTGGGTATTGTTATTTTGCTAGTGGAAGGGTAGTGACTTACTTAAAGTTTCACCATGATGGGACCCTGATCTGTTCACTCTTGTTCAAATAACCTGTATTGCAGACTCCATGTCACACATGGTTCTTCTCTATCAGCTCCTGATTCTAGGGTACAGAGTCCATACCCTTGTCTGATGTCAAACTAGAAGAGAGAGTAAGGGGATAAGAAAATACATGGGATGAGGAGGAAAGTAAGAGGATGAGAAGGCACATTAAATACAGGATGGGGTGATGATGTCTGGCCTATCCCCACTTAGTTAACGGGAAGCTGTGCAATGAAGTTTTCTCTTTTCTGCAGCCCCATCTTACAACTGCCTCCCACAGAACGATGACACTGAAGCTCACATAGAATGGAAGTGTGGGCTTATCCCTGTTTGCTGTTACACTTCCAAGTATTGTCCTTGGTAGTCATGCTGCTATTATGTTAATGCCAGAGGACATTCATTGACAGAATGAAAGAGGCAAACTTGGAATGGGGAACTTACATTTGTTGAGGGTTTACTAGATGCCACATACTGTAGATTGTTACTTTCAGGCTTTTTCTCTTCAAATCCTCAAAGCAATGCTTTGAGGTCGGTACTATTACTTCTTTTCCATAGATGGGGAGATAGTCCATCCCAAAGAGCAAAGTAAATGCTCAAAAAATCCCAGAGAGGCATCAAATGGACACTGAGACCAATTTAAAGGGGGTTCCACTTGCCAATTCTGGGACTATTTGAGCATCAAAATATATAATGATGGTAGCAGATGGTAACCCTTTGAGCCAACTAGAAATCTATGAGTTGTACTGATAAAAATACATGAATGAAAAATAAACAAGAAAGGAAAGCTCTATTCTAAAGTCAAATCCAACTAATAATTCTAGAAAGAATAAAAGAATTGGAAAAGCAACACTTGCACCAAATCCCCCAGCAGTCACTGGGTCACCATGGTAACCATGTTGGCCAAAGAAAGCTGGGAAAAAGAAAAAATTACCCTGGTTTGTTTTTTAATATGTGCTAGGAACTGAATAGGACTCTCTCTCTCTCTCTCTCTCTCTCTCTCTTTCTCTCTCTCTCTTTTTTTCTCTCTCTCTCTCACGCACACACACACACATACACACACACACACAGATATGCACGCACATGCTCTCTCTTTCTCTCTCACCGCCCAGTAACCTATCTTATTTCTGTGTGGTCCCCCCCTAGATGGAATGTAACTCAAGGACACCCCCAGAGCAGGACATCACACTCACTGGGGCCAGGAGGGTCTACAAGGACCCATCTCTCTTCCTCGAGAGACATTGGACACTGAGCCCCAAAGCAAGAATGAGGTGACTTGGATCTGGGATCCCTTCATCTCCCCACACCCCAGGGCGTTTTAGCTCCCATTGCGGGGCACTCGCACTTTCAGCTGAGACAAACACCTGAAGGCGAAACCCTGCTCTTCTTACCAGGACACCAGGACACGTTGGTCTCTATTAAAAATGTATCATGCTTGCCACAATTGTGTCAAATTTCTATGGCAACCCAGATGCACTGGCTTTTCCTTCACAGTGGAAATGCCCCAGTATAGGCATTCCACCACTCTCCTTTTGCTGAAAGCGAAACACCTTTACTCTTCAGGATACAGACTGACAAAACTTACTAATTGAGAGGAACTAGGCTAGGACCCAGGCAATTGGCAGGACTCTGCCCAATTTAGTGCAACAAAACATGTCCCTGTAATCAAGAATTTTGTTTTCCTTAAAAAGAGACAGCGGTGGGGCAAAATAAAAAGAAAGAGAGAGGCAAAGATACAATAGGGGAGTATTACAAAGACCTAAGGAGGTATCCTACGACTCTTGGAGATACACTAGCCCTCTGATGGGTGAACAGGTAAAAATCACAGCAATCTGTGGCAATAAACTAAGAGACTACCTGTAATCATGTAACTCAATTATCTAGGAACACATGAAACTGATTGATGGTTTGATGGAGTCCCTCAGCAAACTCATCTTGCAACACAGAAATTGCCCCCAAATCTTCATTTGTTATGGAAATGTGTGTACCTTCTACTTTCTGATGCTACATTTTCTGGTGGTTTCTATGGTACTTATGCTCTTTGGTTCACATCAAAGTCATCGCTTCTTTGAGAGGTAGAGAAAGGTGGGCCAGGACAAACATTTGTTTCAGTCCTACCACATACCATCTACTCCATACAAGATTTTTCATTTTCACCTCACAAAGTTCTGTAAGATAAGTATCAGGGGTCCTGGTTTACAGATGACCAAAGGCAGACTAACAGAGGCTAAGAAACAATTCCAGTAACATACATGAAGTAAAGGGCAGGAATGGGGCTCTAATTGTTGCCTTCATCACAATATACCATTTATTCTCTCTCTCTTTTTTTTTTTTTTTTTTTTTTGTGGAGGACGGGGTCTCACTATATTGCCCAGGCAGGTCTCGAACTCCTGGGCTCAAGCTATCCTCCTGCCTCTGCCTCCCTAAGAGCTGGGATTACAGGCATGAGCCACCGCATCCAGCACAATATACCATTTATTCTCAACAGAGGCAACATCGCCCCCAAGGGGCTAAAAATTAGTTCTTGAGGGTGTAAAGATCTTAGATAGAATCATGGTTTGTAGCCTTTCAAAAGACCACAGTATATAAACAGATATATTCTACATCTCTGATATCAAACACTTTACGTTCTGTGGATGGGGCTATAATTAGAAAAAATTGTCTAAGAAGCCTCCATAAAGGGGATGAAAATGAAAGGAGGTTGAGAAACATTGTACATACCTAATGACCTCTTATGTAGGTGATGGGCCACAAGGGCTTAGAAACTGGTCACTTTACACTCCCTCATGGATGCTCACTACTAAACAACCACTCTTGATGGTTGTGATGGTGGTGATGATGATGATGGAGATGAAATCCTGTCCCTTATGCCAAAATAACTGGGCGTGTCAGGATTATGTGAATTGAATGTTTTTGTAGGTGGTAGACAGGGTCTCAGTCAGAATAGATGTTTTCTCTGGGAAAGATAATCTAGAAGGTAGAATATTAATGTTTACAAAACTAATGAGAGCAAGTGGTACTCTAAATTGTATCTTCTTTGATCTTTTGATTTATTCAATTTATGTGTAATTAAATCCGTAATTCAGATCAGAGTATAAGAAGCTAGAAAATAGTTAAGTAAATCAGAGAATCCTCTTTGTAAATGCCTGGTTTATAGTGAAAATTGGAATTACTCTCAGGCTTTTCCCAGTGTGTCCTGACACCTCCTTTCTCAATCTCCTTTCATTTTCATCCCCTTTATGGAGGCTTTTTAGACATTTTTTTAAATGCTCTAATTACCCTGGGTCATTGATGCTATCCAAGGTACTGCTTTATTTTTTATACTGAACTGTATTACTTTAAAATTATATTAGTGTTAATTCAAAACACCTTCATATGGCAAAAAATCAGCAAAGCTTGTTTGAAAAAGCTAGAGTAAATATTTGCAGTTTATGTGGTGCTCTCACATTATATAACAAATGATGTGGTAGGCAGCCTCTAAGATGACTCCTAATAATTCATACCTCCTAATATTCACCCCCTTTTGTAATTCTCTATCTTAGAGTGTGGGCTGATTAGTTAGTTGCTTCTAATAAATAGAATACCTGTGAAGTGATGGGATGTCACTTCTGATATTAGTGTCAAAAAAGCTATGGCTTGGTTTTGGGTTCCCTCTCTTGGTCACTCTGAGGAAAGCCAGTTGCCATGCTGTATGTTGCCCATATGCAAAACGATTGATATTGTTGGCTAAAAATTGTTGAGGCTGTAAGGCCAGCAAATAGATGTGTGAGCCTGGAACTGGATCCTCACCCAATTGAGCCTTGAGATGACTGCAGCCCCAGCCTATATCTTAACTGCCCTCTGTGAGAGACTCTGAGCCAGAGGCACCCAGGTAAGCCACATCCAGATTTCTGACCCACAAAAATGATGAGATAATACATGTTTGTTATTTTAAGCTGCTTTTATTTTGGAGTATTTTGTTATGCATCAATAGGTAACTAATACATATAAAAACAGAATTCATGTTAAGAGCAATATACGCGTTCAATAAACATTTTAGATCTGTTTAGCTAATAAAATGTAAATGAAAATCTTGAGATATGTGATTCTAGATGAAAAAAGGCAAGTTGCAGAACCATATAAATAATATTATTTTAATATTGAAAAAAAGTATATATATTTTGCATATCTGTGACTATATGGTAATACTTCACCTCCAAAGAAATGCATTCAGAAAACATGCAACAACCTATTGATACTGGACACCTTTGGGTCAGAGAGTGGGCATCATGCAGGAGGGAGACTCAGGGTAATTTCATTTTATAAATATATATTTCTATATTGCTTGAAATTTTATAAATAAGAAAATATCAATTAAAATACAAATTTAAAAACAGAAATTACATTTAAACAGATTAAGAAATAATGTACTCATGATTTTGTTGTTTTGGAAATATAAGCAAAGAACACCATTTTATTAAGAAAATAATCCAATTAAATGTTTTGACAATGTATCTGTATGGGTATGTATCAGTGTGTGTTACTATTGCTGAATCTTGATATTATCCGTGTACTTCTATGTCTCAAACTCTATCACCCTAAATATTCATGGGCTTAGAGCCATGCTGATTGGGGTCAAATACACAATGCATCACTTTCTATGTATGCAAGCTTAGGCAAATCACTTAACCTTCCTCTCCCTCATTTTCCTTGTCTGTAAAATGAGGATGAACCAACTAACAGTGTAGTCGTGAGACAAATATGATTACTTGATCCCAAATATTAGCTAAATGTAATACTTTCATTTTTTGGGGGGGATTAGTTTTTTTGCAAGCCCTAAGAACTGTCATCTAGATGGCTGTTTATTGGCATTTACTCCTAGTAAATAAAGGGAGCCTACAAAATTATAAGGAAGGCGATATCTTATTTTTTTATTTTTTTATTTTTATTTTTTATTTTTATTTATTTATTTATTTTTTATTATTATTGTACTTTAAGTTTTAGGGTACACGTGCACAATGTGCAGGTTAGTTACATATGTATACATGTGCCATGCTGGTGTGCTGCACCCATTAACTCGTCATTTAGCATTAGGTTTATCTCCTAATGCTATCCCTCCCCCCTCCCCCCACCCCACAACAGTCCCCAGAGTGTGATGTTCCCCTTCCTGTGTCCATGTGTTCTCACTGTTCAATTCCCACCTATGAGTGAGAACATGCGGTGTTTGGTTTTTTGTTCTTGTGATAGTTTACTGAGAATGATGATTTCCAATTTCATCCATGTCCCTACAAAGGACATGAACTCGTCATTTTTTATGGCTGCTTATTTTTTTTAAATAAATATCATGACCATAATTGTACAGGCAAAGCAACAAAAGTGGTAAATATCTAAATAAATATAATATAGCATTTATCCCCATTTGTGAATTTATTAAAATTTTTTAACCATTGAAAGAAAAATATGTAATATTGTTTGATGATATTTCAGTGAATGTAGTTAAGATACATAAGAAAACTAAAGCCTTAAGAGTGGAGGGTAAGGGACTCCATGATGTGGTAAGGTTGCTACATATCATTTGAAGTAGTAAAACACTAATTATATTGTGAAAAGTCAAATACTGTAAGTAGTTTTGGAGCAACCACTAAAAATATTATACAAAAAGATGTAGTCAAAATTAAAACAGAAAACTTAAATGAAGTATCAAATAATGTTCAAATAAGCTAAAAGAAGTAGAGAAATGGGAAACAGAGGAATGAAAACCAGAGGGGACAAACAGAAAACAAATAATAAAATGGTAGCCCTAAATCCAAATATTACAATAATTATATTAAATATAAGTGGCCTAAACACACCAATTAAATCAGATTATCTAGTTCTATCAATTTAGAGAAAGGAATATTGAGGTTTGACTAAATTGTGGATTGCTTTACTTCTTTCAGTTCTGTTTGTACTTCACGTTTTGCACTGCTGTTGTTTGATGTGTACACATTTAAGATTCCTGTGTCCTCTTGGTGGAGTTACACTTTTATAATTATGTAATAGCACTCTCTGTGTCTGGTAATTTCCTTTGCTCTGAAGTCTACTTTATGTGATTAAAATATACCCACCCATGCTTTCTATTGATAAATTTTGCCTGGTATATCATTTCCATCCTTTTACTTTCCGACAACATATATCATTGTATTTGAAGTTAGTTTCTTGTGAAAAGCATCAAGTTGGGTCCAGGAGTTTTTATTTGATCCACTCTACCAATCTCTTTTAATTGGTGGATTTAGACTATTTACATTTAATGTAATTTTTGATATGTAATGGCTTGTCTGTTATTTGTCTGTTTTTGTTTTCTGATTGTTCCCTGTCTTTTTCATTATTCTGTTTTCTTTTCTCTGATATATTGTGAACTACTTAACATATTTTATTTATTTATTCATATTTTCCTGATCAAGGTATTTTTCTGTATTTTAAATTTTTTGTTGTATTTATTTTTATTGATATATCATAATTGTACACATTTGAGGAGTAACATTTGATATTTTGATATACGTATACAATACATAAAATCAAATCAGGGTAATTGAGTTATCCATCACCTTAAATATTTCTCTTTTCTTTGTGTTGGAAACATTACAATTCTTTTCTAGCTATTTTGAAATATACAATAATTTACTGTAAACTATGATTTCTCCATTGTACTACCAGACTTACTCTTTCCGTCTAAATGTATTTTTGTACCTATTAACCAATCAATCTTAATCTGTCTCCTCTCTTCCCTTCCTAGTCTCTGGTAGCCACCATTCTACACTCTACCTTCATGAGATTCAATTTTCTAGCTTCCACATATGGGTGAAAACATGCAGTATTTATCTTTCTGTGTCTGGCTTACTTCTCTTAACATAATGACTTCCAAGTTCATCCATGTTGTTACAAATGACAGGATTTCCTTCTTTCTAAAGACTGAATAGTATTACATTGTGTATATATACAGCACATTTTCCTTGTCCATTCATCTACTTACAACCACTTAGATTGATTCCATATCATGGCTGTGGTGAGCAGTGCTACAATAAATGTAAGAGTACAGATATCTCTTTGATATACTGATTTCCTTTCTTTTGGATGTAGCCCCAGTAGAAGGATTGCTGGATCATATTGTAGCTCCATTTTTAGTTTTTTGAGGAAATTTCATACTGTTTTCCATAATGGCTGTACTACTTTACATTGTCACCAACAGTGTACGAATGTTCCCCTTTCTCTACATGCTTGCCAACATGTTATTTTTGTTTTGTTGCTAACACCCATTTTCTTAATACCTGTGATGAGATAATATCTCATATGTATAGATTTTTTGATGTATGTACATCAAAATTATTATATTTATGTATATGTATATATACACATATATAATATGTATCCCATCACTGTCTATTGTTGAAGTTTTACCAGTTCAAATGAAATGTACAAACCTTGCCACCCTTTACTTTTTACCATTTATATAGA
Source organism: Homo sapiens (assembly GCF_000001405.40). Lineage (NCBI taxonomy): Eukaryota > Metazoa > Chordata > Mammalia > Primates > Hominidae > Homo > Homo sapiens. The sequence continues at coordinate 102,090,880 of NC_000023.11, forward strand.
ATTGTCTAAAATATTTCCTCAATATACCTCAAGAACTACATCAAAGAATGTTATACTTTTTGCTTCATCTCTCAAATATAATTTATAAATTTCAAGAGGAGATGTAAGATCTATTTTTCTTTCATTTTTTGATACTCCTTTCTGTTGTTCCAAGATGTCTTCTTTTCTCATTTCCTTTCTGCTTTAAAAGCCCCAATTAACCATTGTTTTAGGGTGCATCTGGTGACGATTTTTTTTTTTACTTTTCCTTAATATAAAAATATTATTATTTTCCTTCATTTCTGAAAGATAATTCAGGTGAATTTAGAGTTTGGGGTTCCAAATTCTTTTCTTTCACCACTTGAAAAATGTGCCTGACACTTCATTCAGGACTTCATTGTTTTTGATGAAGAATTTTTGTGGTTCAAATAATTTGTCTTCTATAGGTAATGCATCATTTCTCTCCTCCTGCTTTCAAAATTTTTGTTCGCATTTAGTTTTCTGAAATTTGATTATGATTTGTCTTTCTGCAAATTTATTTGGATTTGCTCAGGTTCTTGAACCTCTAGGTTTGTGCCATTTGCCAGATTTGGAAGCTTTCAGCCATTATTTCATTGGATTTTTTTTTCACCTATACCCCTGTTCTCCTCTGTTTCCAAAAACATCAATGCTATAAATGCTGGATCTTTCTTACAGTCCCACAAGTCCCTGTGGTTTTGTTCTGTTTATTTTTGCTCTATTTTTTCTTTATTGTTCAGGTTGTATAATTTTCATAATCTATGTTCAAGTTGACTGATTTTTTTTTCCTTTGTCCTCTACATTCTGTTGAGCTCATTCACTGAGGTTTTGTTTGTTTTGTTTTACAGGGGGATCAGAAAGAGCTGCTTAATTATTTGATACTTACTTTTAAATGAAATTTTACACCCAAATAGTTTAAAGTATTAAACCATTCTGGGATTCTTATTTTAAAAACAGTTCCTACATCCCATTTATTTTTCTTACAGAAAATCTATATAACCATTTGTCACTTATTTTTTAATTAACAACTTTACTTTTAGAATAATTTTAGGTTCATAGCAAAATCAAACAAAAAGTACACAGAGCTCCCATATACTTCTTTTCCTTCAACACACACCCTCCCCTACCAATTAACATCCCACATAAGTGTGGTATATTTGTTACAATCAGCAAACCACCATTCACACCTTATTATCAATCAAAGTTCATTGTTTACATTAGGATTCACTTTTTTGTGTTCTGTGTTCTTTGGGTTTTAACAAATATATAATAACATGTGCCTACCACTATGTTATTATACAGATAGTTTCACTCCCCTTAAAGTCCCCTATGCCCCACCTAGTCAGTCTTGTTTTCCTCTAAACCCCCAGGAATCACTGATCTTTTAACTGTCTCCATAGTACTGCCTTTTCTGGAATGTCATATAATTGGGCTCATATGGTATATAACCTTTTCATATTGTTTGATTTTACTTAGTAATATTCACTTAAAACTCATTCACATCTTTTAATGGCTTGATAGCCCCCTTCTTTTAATTGCTGAATAATATTCCATTGTCTGGATGTATCAAAATTTATCCAATCACCTATTGAAGGATACCTTGGTTGCTTCTAAGTTTTGGTAATTATGAATAAAGCTGCCATAAATATTTGTGTGCAGGTTTTTGTGTGGATATAAGGTTTCAGTTCATTTGGGTAAGTAACAAGAAGTGTGATTACTGGAACATATGATAAGAATATTTTCAACTTTGTAAGAAATTGCCAAACTGTCTTCCAAAGCGGTCATACCATTTTGCATTCTCACCAGGAATAAATGAGTGTTCCATTCCACATCCTCTCCTCCAGCATTTAGTGTTGTCATTGTTTTGGATTTTTGTCTTTCCATGAGGTATATCATGTTATTCCACTGTTCTAAGTTTCAATTCCCTAATGACATATGATGTTGAGTACCTCTTCATATGCTTATTTGCCATCTGCATGTCATCTTTCGGTGAGGTGTCTGTTCATATTTTTATGCCCATGTTTTAACCGGATTGTTCATTTTCTTATTTTTGAGTTTTAGCGTTCTTTGTATAGTCTGGATATTAGTCCTTTATTAGATAAGTGGTTTGCAAATATTTTTCCCAGATTGTGTCTTATCTTTTCATTTATTTGATCCATTGATATTTTACCTCTTCTTTTGTTTCTAAGTGCTTGCCCTTGTTAATTGCATTGCATAATGCCTCCCACACAATATCAAATATCATAGGAGATAAGTTAGCATGTTGTCTTAACCTCGTCTTTAGCAGGAAAGCCTCTAGTTTTTCCCCTTTAGGCAAGAGTCTGGCTTTTTGACTACAGTGTATATACACAGTCATGTTAAGAAAGTGTCCACTGATTTTTATTTTGTTGTGGTTTTTAAAACATGAATGAGTGTTGACGCTTTCAAATGCTTTTTTTTCTGCATCTCTGGAGATAATCATATAATTTTTCCTTTTGATTCTGTTATTATAACAGATCATGGTAATGGCTGTCCTGATATTGAAACACCTCTTTGTTCTTAGAATAAACTTCACAATGTCATGATCTACTTTTTTATGTGCTGTGGGATTGCTTGCTCTTTTACTTAAGAATATTTATGCATATTAATATATGAGACTGTTCAGTAATTTTCATTTTTGATGCAATCATTTTCATGCAATCTCCTACTGGAAGCATTCCTCCCTTTGAAACTAAGATCTCTAGGAGAGCAGAGCATAAGGTCACATTGACAGGAAGCAAAAATTTTAATATTCAGTTGCTAGGGATAATAGTGAGTGGTGCGATTCCCATTTCCATGCCTTTATTTCTGGACCCATTATTTCTGGCTATGAGAGAAAAGGCACCATATATTGGAAACTGATTCAGAGTACATACAGCTTCCTGGAGAACCTTGTTTCAGCCCTGCAAGATATTGACACCTAGCAGAGTTTCCAAAAGGCCATTCTACCATTCCATTAAACTAGTTGCTTCAAGATGGTTGGGAACCATGGTAAGACCAGTGAATTCCATCAGCACAGGACCATTGCCACACCTCTTTTGCTGTGATGTGAGTTCAATGATCAAAAGAAATGTATGGAATATCATGATTATCAATAAGACATTCTCCATAAGTCCAAAGATGGTGATTTTGGCAGAAGCATGCCATGCAGGGAAGGCAAATATGTTTCCAGAATAAGTGTCAATACCAGTAAGAACAAAATATTTTCCTTCCATTATAAAAGTGGGCCAATGTAATTAACTTGTCAGAAGGTTGATCACCCTGGAGAACGGTGTCATATTGGGGATCCAGTGTTGGTCTTTGCTACTGGCAGATTGGGCACTCAGCAGTGGCCACAGGCAGGTCAGCCTTGGCAAGTGGAAGTCCATGATGTCAAGCCCATGCAGAATCTCCAACCTTGCCACCATGGCCACTGTTCTTTGAGCCCATTGGGCAATAACAAGGTTGGCTAGGGAAACAGAGTGGGTTATCCTATGCACTTGATTATTTAAATGCTCCCCTGTTGAGTACACCTTGAATGCATGCAAATTTTGTCAAATATACCTTAATAAAGCTGAACAAATATAAAAAAAGATTCTCCTCTACTGAAGTTACCCTTTGTTGAGCATTCACATGAGACACAAATATATTCATGCCTTTTGCCCATTTAGAGAGGCCTATCCACATGCCTCTTTCCCCAATTTCCCTGTCACCAGTTTTCCAATTATGTTTCTTCCAAGTCCCTAACAGTCTAGACAAACTATTGGCCAGAGCCCATAAATTGGCATTATCATATATCAACCCATTTTTTCCTTCCAAGCAAAATGACCAACTAGGTGCACTGCTCAAGTTCTGCCACCAGGAAGGATGTCCCTTCACCAGTGTCCTTCAGAGACATTCTAGAAAGGGGTTAAAGTACTTCAGCTCTTCACTTCTGGGTGTTGTCTTCATATTATGCAGAATCAACTGGAAATTAAACCCAACTCTGGTTAATGGATACAAAACTGTATATACATACACACGCACACACAGACACAAACACACACATAATATATATATATATATACACACACACATTTACTACAGTCATGCATCACTTAACAATGGGAATATATTCTGAGATATGCATTGTTTGGTGATTTTGTCATTGTTTGAACATCACAGAGTGTACTTACACAAACTTGGATGGTATAATCCACTACACACCTAAGCTATATGGTATAACCTATTGCACTTAGGCTATAAACCTGTACAGTATTTTACTGTACTGAACACCATAGGCAGTTGTAACACAGTGGTGTTTGTGTATCTAAACATATATCAACATAGAAAAGATGCAGTAAGAATACAGTATAAGAGATTTTTTAAATGGCAGACCTGTATGGTGCACTTACGAAGAATAAAGCTTGCAAGACAGGAAGTTGCTCTGGGTGAGTCAATGAGTGAGTGGTGAGTGAATGTCAAGGCCTAGGACATTACCGTACACTACTGTAGACTTTATAAACACTGTACACTTAGGCTATACTAAATTTATTTAAAATTTTTCTTACCACAATGAGATATATCACTTCATTTAGAATGGCTATTATCAAAAAGACAAAAAATAACAAATGCTGATGAGGATGCAGAGAAAAGGGAACTCTTGTACACTGTTGGTGAGAATGTAAATTAATTAGTACAGCCATTATGGAAAACAATGTGGTGGTTTCTCAAAAAACTAAAAATAGAACTAGAATGCTATTCAGAAATCTCTCTCCTGTATATTTATCCAAAGGAAAAGAAATCAGTGTATCACAGGGTTACCTGCACCTCTATGTTTATTGCAGCACGATTCACACGAGCTAAGATATGGAGTCAACCTAAATGTTCTTCAACAAACAAATAGATAAGGAAAATGTGGTATATATTGACAGTAAAATGCTATTCAGAGATTTAAAAAAAAAACCTGTAATTCTGGGCAACATGGAGCCTGGAGAACATTATGTTAAGTAAAATGTCAGGCACAGAGAGATAAAGAGATAAATACTGCATGTTCTCACTAACATGTGGGAACTAAAAAATGAAATCATAGATGTAGAGAGTAGAACTTTCAGTATTAGGGTATGGGAAGCATAGGGGAAAGGGAGGATGGGAACGGGTTGGTTAATGGTTACAAAATTACAGCTAGAGAGGAAGAGTGAGTTCTGGTGTTCTGCAGCAATGTAGGGTGAATATGGTTAACTATAATTTATTGTATATTTTCAAAAAGCTAGAAGAGGGGATTCCGAATGTTCATAACACTAAGAAATAATACATGTTTGAGGTGGGTAATATATATGCTAACTATCCTGATTTGATTATTACATATTATGTATACATATCAAAACATCATTCTGTATCCCATAAATAAGTATAATTATTACATATCAACTAAAGTTAAAAGGAAAAACTTTTTCTTTCTTGATAATAAATTAACCTTAGCTTACTGTAACTTTTTTACTTTATAAATTTTTAATATTTTTTAAGTTTTTGACTCTTGTAATAACACATAACTTGAAAAACAAATGCATTGTACAGCTATAAAAATATGTTTTTCTTTATATCCTTATTCTGCAAACTTTCTTTTATTTGTGATTTTTAAATTTTTTAAAATTACTCTTAAAACTGTCTTTTTTTTTTTTTTGAGATGGAGTCTTGCTCTGTCACCCAGGCTGGAGTGCAGTGGCGCGATTTCAGCTCACTGCAAGCTCCGCCTCCTGGGTTCACGACATTTTCCTGCCTCAGACTCCCAGTAGCTGGGACTACAGGTGCCCACCACCATGCCCGGCTAATTTTTTTGTATTTTTAGTAGAGACGAGGGTTTCACCGTGTTAGTCAGGATGGTCTCGAGCTCCTGATCTCGTGATCCTCCCGCCTCAGCCTCCCAAAGTGCTGGGATTACAGGCGTGAGCCACCGTGCCCCGCCAAAACTTTTTTGTAAAAAACTAAGACAGGAGGCGGGGCCAAGATGGCCGACTAGAAACAGCTGCGATTGAAGGCTGTCACTGATAATAATCAAAACAACGTGTGAATCCTGCACCAGCAATGGAGGTATCCAGGTTCTATCATCAGGACTGACTAGGCAGTTGGCATGACCCACAGAGAGCCCGGAAAAGCAAGGTGGTGTGTTGGCCCACCTGAGAGCCACACAGGGAAAGGGGAGCCTCCACCCCCAGCCAAAGGAGGCAGTGAGTGATTGCACTACCCAGCCAGGGAACCCATGCTTTGTCCACAGATCTGTGCAATCCATGGTTCAGGAGGTCCCACTCGTGAGCCCATGCCACCAGGGCCTTGGGTCCCAACCACAGAGCTGAGCAGATTCTCAAAGGCCACTTGGCTGGAGTCTGCCTAAGACTAGCGAGTTCCTAGGGGGAGGGGCAGCCATCATAACTGTGACTTGCCTGCTGCCTAAGATGTCTGAGCTCCCTGGGAGAGGGGCGACAGCCATCGCTAATACTCCAGGCCTCCATTTTTCCCCTGCTGGTGTCCAAGAGACTGGACTGCTTGGACCCAAGAGGTATTCCCCACAGCACAGCACACTGGCTGTGGCAGATCATGGCCAGACTGCCTCTTCAGGCTGAACCCTGACCTATTTCTCCTCACTGGGTGGGGACTCCCTGCGGAAACTTCAGCAACTCCAGCCAGGGGCTTTGGGACAGAACTCTGATCTACCTGGGCCTGAGCCAATAGGGGAAGGGGTGGCTGAGGTCTCCCTGGACCAGCAAACTTAGTCTCCCCCAGTGCTAGCTCTAAGGAATCTGGGCAGCACAGATGAGTAGGTTTCCCCCAGCACAGTGGACCTCCTCCACCAAAGGGCAGCCAGAGTGCCTCCTTAAGTGGGTCCCAGATCTTGTGCCCCTTAACTGGGTGAGACCTCCCAACAGGGGATTCCAGACACCTTGAACAGAGTTTTCCTGCTGCCATCAGGTCAGTGACTCTTGAGGACAGAGAACCCAGAGAAAGAAGCCAGCACCCATCTTTGCTGTTCTCCAGCCTCTTTGGGTGATATCTCCAGGTGTGGGAGGGACCCAGGTGAATAGGGCCTGAAGTGAACCCCCAGCAAACCACAGCAGCCCTACAGAAGATGGTCCTGACTGTTAAAAGAAAAACAAACAAACAGAAAGCAACAACAACAGCATCAACAAAAAAGTCCAAACAAAAACCCCATCCGAAGGTCAGCAGCCTCAAAGATTGAAATTAGACAAGCTCATGAAGATGAGAAAGAATCAATGAAAAAAATGCTGAAAACTCAAAAGGCCAGAGTTCCTCTTCTCCTTAAAATGATTGCAACACATCTCCAGCAAGGGCATAGAAGTGGGTAGAGGCTGAGATGGATGAGTTGACAGAAGTAGGCTTCAGAAGGTGGGTAATAACAAGCTTCGCTGAGCTAAAGGAGCATGTTCTAACCCAATGCAAAGAAGCTAAGAACCATGATAAAAGGTTACAGGAGCTGCTAACTAAAATAACCAGTTTAGAGAGGAACATACATGACCTGATGGAGCTGAAAAGCACGGCACGATAACTTTGTGATGCAAACACAAGTATCAATAACTGAATCAATCAAGTCGAAGACAGAATATCAGAATATGGAATATATAATTCATTTATTTTAATTTTTTGATTTAGGTATTTAAGGTTATAAAATTTCCTGTGATAACTCCTCTAGCTCTAGATTCTGATGTGTTTTATTTTCATTATCACTATCCTCATTTAATTCTGTGATTTTAATCTATTTCCATTTTATTTCAAATTTGTTTAGCAATTTCAGACACAGACACACACTGCTGAAATAAGGCAGGCAGACAAGATTAGAGGAAAAAGAAAGAAAAGAAATGAATAAAACCTTTGAGAACTTTGGACCTATGTAAAAAGGTTGAACCTATGACTGATTGAAGTACTTGAAAGAGACGGGGAGGATGGAAACAAAGTGGACCACAAAGTTCAGGATATCATCCAGGAGAACTTCCCCAACCTCTCAATATAGGCCAACACTCAAATTTAGGAAATCCAGAGAACCCTAGTAACATACTTGATGAGAAGATCAACCCCAAGACACATAATCATCAGATTCTCCAAGGACAAAAGGAAATACAAAAATTTAAGGGCAGCCAGAAAGGCCAGGTCACCTACAAAGGGAAGCCCATCAGAATAACAGAAGACCTCCCAGAAGAAACACTACAAGCCACAAGAGAGTGGGGGCCAATATTCAACATTCCTAAATAAAAGAATTTCTAACCCAGAATTTCAAATCTGGCCAAACTAAGCTTCATAAGCAAAGGAGAAATAAAATTCTTTTCAGACAATCAAAAGCTGAGGGAATTCATTACCACCATACCTTCCTTGCAAGAACTCCTTCAGGAGGCACTAAATATGGAAAGGAAAACCAGTACCAGCCACTGCAAAAACACACTGAAGTACAAAGACCAATGACACTACGAAGAAACTGTATCAACTATTCTGCAAAATAACCAGCTAGCATCATGATGACAGGATCAAATTCACACATAGCAATATTAACTTTAAATGTAAATGGGCTAAATGTCCCAATTAAAAGACACAGACTGGCAAATTGGATAAAGAGTCAAGACCCATCGGTGAGTTGTATTCAAGAGACCCATCTCACATGCAAAGACACACATAAACTCAAAATAAAGGGAAGGAGGAAAATTTACCAAGAAAATGGAAAGCAGAAAAAAGCAGGGTTTGCAATCCTAGTCTCTGACAAAATAGACTTTAAACCAACAAAGATTAAAAAAGACAAAGAAGAGCATTACATAAAGGCAAATGGATCAATTCAACAAGAAAAGCTAACAATCCTAAGTATATAGGCACACAACATAGGAGCACCCAGATTCATAAAACACATTCTTAGAGGACTACAAAAAGACTTAGACTTCAACACAACAGTAGTGGGAGACCTTACACCCCACTGTCAATATCAGACAGATCATCAAGATGGAAAATTAACAAGGATACACAGGACTTGAACTCAGCTCTGGATCAAGTGAATCTGACAGATATCTACAAAACTCTCCACCCCAAAACAACAGAATATATATTCTTCTCAGTGCCATATGTCACTTACTCTAAACTCAATAACATAATTGGAAGTAAAACACTTCTCAGCAAATGCAAAAGAACTGAAATCCTAACAGTCTCTCAGACCACAGTGCAATCAAATTGGAACTCAAGATTAAGAAACTTACTCAAAACCACACAACTACATGGAAATTGAACAACCTGCTCCTGAATGACTCCTGGGTAAATAATGAAATTAAGGCAGAAATCAAGAATTTCTTTAAAACCAGTGAGAACAAAGAGACAATGTACCAGAATCACTAGGATGCAGCTAAAGCAGTGTTAAGAAGGAAATTTATAGCACTAAATGCCCACATCAGAAAGCTAGAAATATGTTAAATCCACACACTAACATTACAGCTAAAAGAACCAGAGAAGCAAGAGCAAACAAATCCAAAAGCTAGCAGAAGACAAAAAATAACCAAGATCAGAGTGTAACTGAAGGGAGATAGAGACATGAGAAACCCTTTGAAACATCAATAAATCCAGGAGCTTGTTTGTTGAAAAAAATAATATAAAATAAAATGAAATAAAATAGGTCACTATCTAGACTAATAAAGAAGAAAAGAGAGAAGAATCAAATTGATACAATAAAAAATGATAAAGGGGATATCACCACTGACCCCACAGAAATACAAACAACCATAAGAGAATACTATAAACACATCTACACAAATTAACTAGAAAATCTAGAAGAAATGGAAAAATTCCTGGACACATACACCCTCCCAAAACTAAACCAGGAAGAAGTTTAATCCCTGAATAGACCAATAACAAGTTCTGAAATTGAGGCAATGATAAATAGCCTACCAACCAAAAAAAGCACAGGACCAGACGGAATTACAGCCAAATTCTACCAGAGGTAAAAAAAGGAGCTGGTACCATTTTTTTTCTGAAATTATTCCACACAATTGAAAATGAGGGACTTCTCCCTAACTCATTTTATGAGGCCCGTATCATCCTGATACCAAAACTTGGCAGAGATACAACAACAAAAAAAGAAAACTTCAGACCAATAACTCTGATGAACATCAATGAGAAAATTTTCAATAAAATACTGGCAAATCAAATCCAGCAGCACATCAAAAAGCTTATCCACCACAATCAAGTTGGCTAATACCCAGAATCTACAAAGAACTTAAACAAATTTACAAGAGAAAAGCAAACAGCTCCATCAGAAAGTGGGCAAAGGACATGAACAGACACTTCTCAAAAGAAGACATTTATGCGGCCAACAAACATATGAAAAACAACTCATCGCTGATCATTAGAGAAGGAATTGGCTCAGGTGATTATGGAGCCCGAGAAGTTCAAGATCTGTAGTGGGCAAGCTGGAGGCCCAAGAGAACAAGTGAAATATTTCCATTCTAAGTCTGAAGGACTGAGAATCAGGAAAGCCAAAGGCGTACATTCCCATCTGAGTCTGAGTCCAATGGCAGGAGAAGATTGATGTCCCTGTTTAAAGACAGTCAGGCAAAAAAAGATTTATTAGCCTTTTATTCTATTCTGGCCTTCGAAAGACCAGATTAGGCCCACCCATACTGGGGACAATTTGTTTTACTCAGCCTACTGATTCAAGTGCTAATCTCATCCAGACTGTTCCTCACAGACACACCCAGAAATGTTTAATCAAATATCTGGGCACCCTGTGGCCCAGTCAAATTGACACATAAAATTAACTGTCACAGGAATCAATTGTATACTTGATTCATCATAAGAATATGCACATTTTTCTTCTTTCCTTCATGCTTGGAATAATTTAATTCATATTAGGATGATCTTACCTTAAAAGGTTTGGTAGAATTTTTCTTTGGAGATTTCTGGGCCTGGTACTTTTGCATGGGAGAAATTTAACCAATGTTTTAAATGATCTTTGATGTAATTCATCTGTTTGGACTCTCTATCTCTACTGGGATCAATTTTTGCAAGTTGTATTTTTCTAGAAATTATTCATTTCATCCGTGTTTTCAAATGTATGTGAATAGAGTTGTGCAAATTATTAATTTAAGAGTGTTGAAAACTTCCTTTCATTGGATAACTATTTTTCCTTGTCATTTTAAATTTTTTATATTTTCTTGATTAATTTTTAAAATTCATTTTCTATTTTCTTGATTAAATTATCCAGTGGTTTATTCACTTTGCTGACCAAGCCAGTATAAACCTGTACACATATTATTGTCATTTTTCCTAACTCATTCACTTCTACTTTTACATGTTGTGATTATTTCCTTCTGCATTCTTTTAGTTACAATATGGTTCTTTATCAGTATTTTTAATAGAATATATAATTCATTTATTTTAATTTTTTGATTTAGGTATTTAATATTATAAAATTTCCTGTGATAACTCCTCTAGCTCTAGATTCTGATATGTTTTGTTTTCATTATCACTATCCTCATCTAATTCTGTGATTTTAATCTATTTCCATTTTATTTCAAATTTGTTCAGCAATTTCAGACACAGTTGATTTCTATTAATATTTTCTTGATTATCTGAAATGTAGTTGTATTCTTTAATATCAGGCATCAGAGTTAAGTAGGTCTGTAAGATCTACCATTTAAATTATGTTCTTTAGAATTTCTTTATGTTTTCTAAATTTTCACCACTTGAGTATTCTTGGATGGAGGTAAGTGTGGTAGAATCATCTTTTATTAATGTGTTTCTTTTGATTTCTCCTTGCCACGTTTAGTGTTTATGAGTATTTTTTGCTGTGTGTGTAAAAAAGTATTAATAACTCAAATCTTCCTTGTTAAATTTAGCCTTCAGAATTATCAAATGTAAAGTTTCCGGTCTTCTTTAATCTATGTATTTATGTATGTATGTATGTATTTATTTCAATACATTTTTGGGGAACAAGTAGTGTTTGGTTGCATGAATAAGTTCTTTAGTAGTGATTTCTGAGATTTTGGTGCACCTAGCACCCGGGCAGTGTACACTGTACTCAATGTGTAGTCTTTTATCCCTTGTTACCCCCCAACCCTTTCCTCTGAGTCCCCAAAGTCCAATGTATCATTCTTATGCTTTTGTGTCCTCATAGCTTAACTCCCACATATGAATGAGAACGTATGTGTTTGGTTTTAAATTCCTCAGTTACTTCACTTACAATAATAGTCTCCAGTTCCATCCAGATTGCTGAGAATGCCATTATTTTCTTCCTTTTTATGGCTGAATAGTATTCCATATATAACTTTTTTTTTAGATATTCGGGGAAAACACCTATTATCTTTCATAAGACCAGTGGGATAGAGATGACAGTTTTCTTCATTAGTAATGACAGGGGACTTTTTTCTCCATTTAGCAAGCCGCTGCAGAACCACTAGATCTGACATCATATACAGAAGCATAATAGACCTTTTTTTTGAGACAGAATTTTGCTCTTCTCACCCAGGCTGTAGTGCAATGGCACGATCTCGGCTTGCTGCAACCTTCACTTCCTGGGTTGAAGCGATTCTCCTGCCTCAGCCTCCTGAATAGCTGGGATTACAGGTGCCCACCACCATGCCTGGCTAATTTTTTTTTCTTTATTATGGTTTAAGTTCTGGGGTACATGTGCAGAACGTCCAGGTTTGTTACATAGGTATACATGTGCCATGGTGGTTTGCTGCACCCATCAACCCATCATTTACATTTGGTATTTCTTCTAATGCAACCCCTCCCCTAGCCCCCCACCCCCCGACAGGCCCTGGTGTGTGATGTTCCCCTCCCTGTGTCCATGTGTTCTCATTGTTCAACTCCTACTTATGAGTGAGAACATGCGGTGTTTGGTTTTCTGTTATTGTGTTAGTTTGCTGAGAATGATGGTGTCTAGTTTCATCCATGTCCCTGCAAAGGACATGAATTCATCCTTTTTTCTATGGCTGCATAGTATTCCATGGTGCATATGTGCCACATTTTCTTTATCCAGTCTGTCATTGATGGGCATTTGGGTTGCTTCCAAGTCTTTGCTATTGTGAACAGTGCCTCAATAAACATATGCGTGCATGTGTCTTTATAGTAGAATGATTTATAATCCTTTGGGTATATACCCAGTAATAGGATTGCTGGCTCAAAATGGTATTTCTGGTTCTATATTCTTGAGGAATCGCCACACTGTCTTCCACACAATGGTTGAACTAGTTTACACTCCCACCAACAGTGTAAAAGCATTCCTATTTCTCCACATCCTCTCCAGTATCTGTTGTTTCCTGACTTTTTAATGATCACCATTCTAACTGGCATGAGGTGGTATCTCATAAGGTTTTGATTTGCATTTCTCTAATGACCAGTGATGATGAGCTTTTTTTCATATGTTTGTTGGCCACATAAATGTCTTCTTTTGAGAAGTGTCTGTTCATATCTTTTGCCCACTTTTTGATGGGGTTGTTTGTTTTTTTCTTGTAAATTTGTTTAAGTTCTTTGTAGATTCTGAATATTAGCCCTTTGTCAGATGGATAGATTACAAAAATTTTCCTCCCATTCTGTAGGTTGCCTTTTCACTCTGATGATAGTTTCTTTTGCTGTGCAGAAGCTCTTCAGTTTAATTAGATTCCATTTGTCAATTTTGGTGTTTGTTGCCATTGCTTTTGGTGTTTTAGTCATGAAGTCTTTGCCCATGTCTATGTCCTGAATGGTATTGCCTAGGTTTTCTTCTAGGGATTTTATGGTTTTAAGTCTTATGTTTAAGTCTTTAATCCATCTTAAGTTAATTTTTGTATAAGGTAAGGAAAGAGTCCAGTTTTAGTTTTCTGCATATGGCTAGCCAGTTTTCCCAACACCATTTATTAAATAGGGAATCACATTTTCTTTATCAACTCAATTGATGTGCATTTGGGCTGGTTCCATAGTTTTGCAATTGCAAATTGTGCTGCTATAAACATGCATGTGCAAGTATCTTTTTCATACAATGACTTTCTTTCCTCTGGAAGATACCTAGTAGTGGGATTGCTGGATCAAATGGTAGATCTGTCTTTATTTCTTGCAGGAGTGAGGTATCACATTACGGTTTTGATTCTCATTTCCCTGATAATTAGTGATAAGGATTTTTCCATTGCCTGTTGGCCATTTGCATATCTTCTTTTGAGAATTGTCTATTTATGTTCTTAGCCTACTTTTTGATTTCTTTTTTCTTACTAATTTGTTTGAGTTTGTTGTAGATTCTGGATATTTGTCCTTTGTCCCCTAGTACCAGCCTAGAGTTTGGTAGCTGTGCTGGGTGACTAGACCCAGAAAAGCAAAAACAATCATTGCAGTTTGGCTCTCAGGAAGCACCATTCCTAGGGGAAGGAGAAGAACACCACATCAAGGGAGCACCCCGTGGGACCAAAAAGTCTGAAAAGCAGCCCTTGAATCCCAACCTTCCCTCTAACATAGTCTAACCAAATAGGAAGGAACCAGAAAAGAATTCTGGTAATATGACAAAACAAGATTCTTTAATACCCCCAAAAGATCATGCCAGCTCACCAGCAATGGATCCAAACCAAGATAAACTATTGGAATTTACAGGAAAAGAATTCAGAAGGCTGATTATTAAGCTAATCAAGGAAGCAGCAGAGAAAAGTGAAGTCCAACTTAAAGAAATTGAAATCACGATACTGGATATGAAAGGAAAATTCTTCAGTGAAAAAGATAGAATAAACAAAAAACAATCACAACTTCTGGAAATCAAGGGCACACATAGAGAAAAGCAAAATGTACTGGAGAATCTCAGCAACAGAATCAAATAAGCAAAAGAAACAGTTTCAGAGCTTGAAGACAAGGCTTTTGAATTAACCCAATCCATCAAAGACAAAAAAAAAAAAAAAAGAATTAAAACAAAAATGAAAAAGGCCTCCAAGAAGTTTGAGACTATGTTAAACATCCAAATCTAAGAATAATTGGTGTTCCTAAGGAAGATATCTAAAAGTTTTGAAAACATATTTTAGGTCATAATCAAGGAAACCTTCCCTGGCCTTGCTAGAGATCTAGACATCCAAATCCAAGAAGCTCAAAGAACTCCTGGGAAATTCATTGCAAAAAGATCATCACCTAGGCACATAGTCATCAGATTATCTAAAGTCAAGACAAAGTAAAAAAAATCATGTAACCTGTAAAGGAAAACCTAGCAGATTAACAGCAGATTTCTCAGCAGAAACCCTACAGGCTACAAGGGATTGGGGTCCTATTGTTAGCCTTCTTAAACAAAACAATTATCAGCCAAGAATTTTGTATCCAGAAAAACTAAACTTCATAAATGAAGGAAAGAGACAGTCTTCTCCAGACAAACAAATGCTGAGAGAATTTGCCACTACCAAGCCAGCACTGCAAGAACTGCAAAAAGGAGCTGTAAATCTTGACACAAATTCTCAAAATACACCAAAATAGAACCTCCTTAAAGCATAAGTTTCACAGGACCTATATAACAATAACACAATGAAGAAAAAACAAGTTATTCAGGCAACAAATAGCACAATAAATAGAATAGCACCTCACATCTCAATACTCACATTGAATGTAAATGGCCTAAATGCTCCACTTAACAGATACAGAATGGCAGAATGGATAAGAATTCACCAACCAAGTTTCTGCTGTCTTCAGGAGACATTATATAATGATAAAAGGACCAGTCCAACAAGAAAATATCACAGTCCTAAATATATATGCACCTAACGCTGGAGCTTCCAAATTTATTAACCTATTATTGCTAGACTTATGAGATAGATGACAACACAATAATAGTGGGGACTTTAATAGTCCCCTGACAGCACTAGACTGGTTATCAAGACAGAAAGTCAACAAAGAAACAATGGACTTCAACTATACCCTACAACAAATAGACTTAACAGATATTTAAAGAACATTCTATCCAACAACTGCAGAATACACATTCTACTCATCAGCACATGGAACATTCTCCAAGATAGAGCATCTGATAGGCTATAAAACAAGACTTAGTACATTTTTAAAAATTGAAGCTATATCAAGTACTCTCCCAGACCACAGTGGAATAAAATTGGAAATAAACTCCAAAAGGAACTCTCAAAACCATGCAAATGCATGGAAATTAAATAACCTGCTCCTGAATAATCATTGGGCCAACAATGAAATCAAGATGGAAATTAAAATTTTTTGACTGAATGATAATAGTGACACAACCCGTGGGATACAGCGAACAGAGGATATGTAACCTCTGGGATACAGGAAAAGTGGTGCAAAGAGGAAAGTTCATAGCATTAAATGCCTATATCAAAAAGTCTGAAAGAGCACAAATAGTTTAAGGGCACACCTCTCAGAACTGGAGAAACAAGAACAAACCAAACCAAAATCCAGCAGAATAAAAAAAATAACAGATCAAAGCACAACTAAATGAAATTGAAACAGAAAAATACAAAAGATACATGAAACAAAAAGCTCTTTCTTTACAAAGACTAATAAAATTGATAGATCATTAATGAGATTAACCTAGAAAATTCACACAGTTTCAGGATACAAAATTAATGTACACAAATCGGTCACTCTGCTATACACCACCAGTGACCAAGATGAGAATCAAATCAAGCTGAAATCCAGCTATTGTGAAATCAGCTTTCACAGTAGCTGAAAAAAAAAACTTATGAATATACCTAACCAAGGATGTGAACAACCTCTACAAGGAAAACTTCTTTAATCTACTTAGGTCTCTCTTCTACCCTCATAAACAGAAAGATTATAACCCTGGTTATTTTTATTTGTAGCTGACTGAAATGTTCTTGTTTATTTAAAAAAATTTAACCTATCTTGAGTATATTTGTTTTAGGTATATCTCTTGAGTTAACCCATTTACTTGTATTTAATACGATTCATTTATTTAGTTATTTAGGCTCAATTCTGTCATAACTTCTAGAAATGTAAATTTCTTATATATACACACACATCTGTATGTATTCAAAATGAATAGAGAGGTGGGGATATTTGACATCAAGAGATGATTCACATAAGAAAACAGTAATATAAGCATAAACTTTCTAAAATATGCAAAATTACAATAGCTAAAGAGTGAAAAGGGGAGATACTGAAAATTACACATAATGTTTCAATTTTGCAAAACACATATGTATACACATTGTTGTATGCATATAAAGACAACATAATGGAAGGAAATGCCAGATATAATATATTTTTTGAAAATAATGTGTGGTAGAGTTGTTGGTTGATCACAAATTTAATTCTGGACTTGACTATGTTTCCCATATTTGCTAAATTAGTATGGACTCTTTTTAAAATTACAGTTAAAGCTTATAAAAACATTGTTATTAAATATTTCAGACATACAAAAAGTTATGGAAGATAATATAATAGGCTTCTATATATTAGAATTAAGAAATAAAACATTACATATGCTGTTGAAACTCTCTTTGAAGTTTTCTCTGATTACATTAGACTTCTTCTTCCCCAGGGGTAACCACTATCAAGAATTTGGATTTCTCATTCTTAAGACCATTCTTCATACTTTTATTACATATATATGTTCATAAGTGAAAAACAGTATTGTTTTATTGCATGTATTTATCTATAAATGCCTGGCTATATGAGGGAAAAGAGGAAGAAAAAATGCATGGAGGACAAATACACATTCACTTGTGGGAGGAACCCGGTGGGAGATAATTGAACCATGGGTGCAGTTTCCCCCACATTTTTCCCATGGTAGTGAATAAGTCTCATGAGATCTGATGGTTTTTTAAGAGGTTCCCCTTTTGCTTGGTTGTCATTCTCCCTTGCCTGCCATTATGTAAGACTGACTTGCCTTTTGCCTTCTGTTCTGCCATGATTGTGAGGCCTCCTCAGCCACGTGGAATTATGAGTCCATTATACCTGTTTTTTTTTTTCAGTAAATTACCCAGTCCTGGATATGTCTTTAACAGCAGTGTGAGAACAGACCAGTACAGTAAATTGGTATGGGAGTGGGGCACTGCTGTAAAGATTCCTGAAAATGTGGAAGCGAATTTGGAACTGGGTAACAGGCAGAGGTTGGAACAGTTTGGAGGGCTCAGAATAAGACGGGAAAATGTGGGAAAGTTTGAAACTCCCTAGAGACTTGTTGAATGGTTTTGACCAAAATGCTGATAAAGATATGGACAATGAAATCCATGCCAAGGTGGTCTCAGATGGAGATGAGGAACTTGTTAGGAACTGGAGTAAAGGTGATTCCTACTATGTTTTAGCCAAGAAACTGGTGGCAGTTGGCCAGGTGTGGTGGCTTACGCCTGTAATCCCAGCACTTTGGGAGGCCGAGGCAGGCAGATCATGAAGTCAGGAGATCGAGACCATCCTGTCTAACACGGTGAAACCCCGTCTCTACTAAAAATACAAAAAAATTAACCAGGCTTGGTGGTGGGTACCTGTAGTCCCAGCTACTTGGGAGGCTGAGGCAGGAGAATGGCATGAACCTGGGAGGCGGAGCTTGCAGTGAGCCAAGATTGCACCACTGCACTCCAGTCTGGGCGACAGAGTGAGACTCCATCTCAAAAAAAAAAAAAAGAAAAAGAAAAAAGAAAAAGAAAAAAAAGAAAAAAAGAGAGACTGGTGGCAGTTTGCCCCTGCCCTAGAGATCTGTGGAACTTTGAACTTGAGGGAGATAATTTAGGGTATTTGTTGGAAGAAATTTCTAAGCAGCAAAGCATTCAAGAGTTCACTTGGGTGCTGTTAAAAGCAGTTTGGTTTAAAAGGGAAACAGAGCATAAAAATTTGGAAAATTTGCAGCCTGAAAATACAATAGTAAAGAAAATCCCATTCTCTGAGGAGAAATTCAAGCCAGCTGCAGAAATTTGCGTAAGTAACAAGAAGCCAAATGTTAATCTCCAAGACGGTGGGGAAAATGTCTCCAGGGCAAGTCAGAGAACTTTGAGGCAGCCCCTTGCATCACAGGCCCAGAGGCCCAGGAGAAAAAATGGTTTCCTGGGCCAGGTCCAGGGTCCCCTGCTGTGTGTTGCCTAAGGACTTGGTGCCCTGAGCCCCAGCCATTCTAGCCATTGCTAAAAGGGGCTAAGGTACAGCTTGGGCCATGGCTTCAGAGGATACAAGCTCCAAGCCTTGGCAGCATCCTTGTGGTGTTGAGCCTGAGGGTGCACAGAAGTCAAGAATTGACTTTGGGAACCTCTGCCTAGATTTCAGAGGATGGACAGAAATGCCTGGGTGTTCAGGAAGGAGTTTGCTGCAGTGGAAGGACCCTCATAGAGAACCTCTGCTAGGGCAGTGCAGAAGGAAATGTGGGGTTGAAGTCCTCACACAGTCTCCACTGGGGCACTGCCTAGTGGAGCTGTGAGAAGAGGGCCACCATCCTCCAGACCCCAGAATAGTAGATTCACTGACAGCTTGCACCATGCAACTGAAAACAGACACTCAACACCAGCCCATGAAAGCAGCTAGGAGGTAGGCTTTACCCTGCAAAGCCACAGGGGTGGAGGTGCTCAAGACTATGGGAACACACCTCTTGCATCAGCATGACCTGGATGTGAGACATGGAGTCCAAGGAGATCATTTTGGAGCTTTAAAATTTGACTGCCCCACTGGATTTCAGACTTGCCTGGGGCCTTTAGCCCCTTTTTTTTGCTAATGCTGAAATGAGCTAAAACTTTGGGGGACTGTTGGGAAGGCATGATTGGTTTTGAAATGGGAGGACATAAGATTTGGGAGGGGCTGGGGCAGAGTGATATTGTTTGGCTCTGCGTCCCCACCCAACTCTCATCTTGAATTACACCTCCCATAATTCCCACATGTTGTGGGAAGGACCTGGTGGGAGATAATTGAATCATGGGGGCAGTTTCCCCCATACTGCTCTCATGGTAGTGAATATGTCTTATGAGATCTGATGGATTTATAAGGGGTTCCCCTTTTGCTTGGTTCTCATTCTCTCTTGTCTGCCACCATGTAAGATGTAACTTTTACCTTCCACTATGACTGTGAAGTTTTCCCAGCCATACAAATCTGTTAGTCCATTAAACCTATTTTTTTAAATAAATTACCCAGTCTTGGGTATGTCTTTATCAGCAGCATGAGAACAGACTAATACACCTTCCTTGCAATATGTATCTTCTTTCAGAGCTTCTAAATTGGACACACCAATTTTCTCAGTTTATATGCTCTAGGAAACACTGACAGAATCTGCAAATACCATTTTTGCCACTTTGTTCCCTGATGCATTCAAAGCCTTACAATTTCTCTGGTTCCAGCTATACCAAAACAATGTCTCAGGAAATCCTGAATGTGAAACATTTTCCCATTTGTCTGGGCCTAATATTCTGTCTTTTACTCACACTATTACTCATCTACACCTGTACATCCATAATCCAATTTGGACCATGCTAGTGAAAGAAGACAACACTTTCTGTGAGTTTGTTTTAATGTGTCCAGACACAAATACCTTTCTTGGTTTAGGGATGCATCCCATTCAGAACATGATCTGATTTTGTATTACAGTTGCTGGGCATGCATGTATTTTCCTTTCCTTTTTTTTTTTAATTTTATTTTATTATACTTTAAGTTTTAGGGTACATGTGCACAATGTGCAGGTTAGTTACATATGTATACATGTGCCATGCTGGTGTGCCGCACCCATTAACTCGTCATTTAGCATTAGGTATATCTCCTAATGCTATCCCTCCCCCCTCCCCACACCCCACAACAGTCCCCAGACTGTGATGTTCCCCTTCCTGTGTCCATGTGTTCTCATTGTTCAATTCCCACCTATGAGTGAGAATATGCGGTGTTTGGTTTTTTGTCCTTGCGATAGTTTACTGAGAATGATGATTTCCAGTTTCATCCATGTCCCTACAAAGGACATGAACTCATCATTTTTTATGGCTGCATAGTATTTCATGGTGTATATGTGCCACATTTTCTTAATCCAGTCTATCATTGTTGGACATTTGGGTTGGTTCCAAGTCTTTGCTATTGTGAATAGTGCCGCAATAAACATATGTGTGCATGTGTCTTTATAGCAGCATGATTTATAGTCCTTTGGGTATATACCCAGTAATGGGATGGCTGGGTCAAATGGTATTTCTAGTTCTAGATCCCTGAGGAATCGCCACACTGACTTCCACAATGGTTGAACTAGTTTACAGTCCCACCAACAGTGTAAAAGTGTTCCTATTTCTCCACATCCTCTCCAGCACCTGTTGTTTCCTGACATTTTAATGATTGCCATTCTAACTGGTATGAGATGGTATCTCATTGTGGTTTTGATTTGCATTTCTCTGATGGCCATTTAATAAATGGTGCTGGGAAAACTGGCTAGCCATATGTAGAAAGCTGAAACTGGATCCCTTCCTTACACCTTATACAAAAATTAATTCAAGATGGATTAAAGATTTAAATGTTAGACCTAAAACCATAAAAACCCTAGAAGAAAACCTAGGCATTACCATTCAGGACATAGGCATGGGCAAGGACTTCATGTCTAAAACACCAAAAGCAATGGCAACAAAAGCCAAAATTGACAAATGGGATCTAATTAAACTAAAGAGCTTCTGCACAGCAAAAGAAACTACCATCAGAGTGAGCAGGCAACCTAGAAAACGGGAGAAAATTTTCACAACCTACTCATCTGACAAAGGGCTAATATCCAGAATCTACAATGAACTCAAACAAATTTACAAGAAAAAACAAACAACCCCATCAAAAAGTGGGCGAAGGACATGAACAGACACTTCTCAAAAGAAGACATTTATGCATCCAAAAAACACATGAAAAAATGCTCACCTTTTATTGTTTTTAATTGCACAAGGAAGGTGCTTCAAAGATGTTTTAATTCACATGTGCTGATTGATCCTGGGACCTGGGCTGAATGAGACTGAATGAGCAGGGCCTGAATCCTTCTGTGTCAGTATTCTCCCCTGTGGAAACTGTAGTGCTAAACCCTGGGTAGTTTCCTGCAGTCCCTTCCTCTTTACCTCCCTGGTAGCATTCACAACTTAGCTAAGTAGGTGAGTAAACAGAGGAGCCTACTGTGAGTTCAAGGGGCTTCATTTGGGAGAGTGCAGAGAGAAGTGTGCTGTGAAACTACTTTCATCTCATGACTTTCACTAAAATCTTGGGACGTGAAGACATGGTCTGACTTACAAATATAAGGTTCACCTGAGAGACAGCTTGCCCTTCCCTTAGCCTTCTGTAATTTCCCTGAAGCTTCTCAATTTAGACTGTCATGTGAGTATATTCATACATTTGTTCTGTGATGACCCTATTACTTGATTTTCTTTGAGTAGGGATGTTCCCCTTTTGGATGCTGAGCCACTTTTTTAAGGTAAAGGTCAGGGATTTTTATTTATTCTTATTATATTTTCACTTCCAAAGCCAAGATATTGTCACTATAGATAAAAATGAAATACGTAAGAAAAAATATAGAGATATATATTTTTTAGAAATTCTACTATGCAGATATAAACACCTATATTTAAGAGTAGCAATTAGATGATATCCTATTTACAGATCTATAAACTGATTTATTTAGACCAACATCATATTATGAAACTCAACACATGCCGATAAATACAAATATACATAATTAAAATGGCAATAGAGGTATAACAAGTCCCTGGCGGATTCAGAGGCCTGGATGGTCGGGCTGCCCCTGTTGTGGGTACAGGCCCCAGCTCTCTCCCTGGCAGCAGCAGCCCTGTTGTGGAGGCAGCTGTGGCTGCCACACACCCTGCCAGGTTCTGGTTGCCTGGCCCTGGGAGCTGTTGTGGTGGGCCAGAACAACACCCACATCACAGGATTAATTTATTTTTCTCCCTCCCCTCTCTTCAAGTGGAAGAAAGGAGTCTTTTTTAGAGTCATGAGCTGTGCAGCCTCGGGTCAGGGGACGAGTGACGCCAGCAGTCCCCAGGCTGCCCCAGCTGGTGTCTCAGCAGTTCACATACCTCACCAGTTTACTGTCTCTGGGTATAGCTCAGCACTAGGACTCACCTAAGAGTTGCAGTCTTTATGGCCTAGGTTGCCTTTTAAACTTATTTGGAAACCCAGAGTGCTGAAGGCACTCAAGTCTGACCATTAGGATGGGTGATTCCCCTCTGGCTCAGGCTTACATGGCACATGTATACATATGTAACAAACCTGCACGTTGTGCACATGTACCCTAGAACTTAAAGTCTAATTTTATATATAGATAGATAGATAGATAGATAGATAGATAGATAGATAGATAGATGGATAGATAGATAGATATATAGATATATATGTTGTGCACATGTACCCTAGAACTTAAAGTCTAATTATATATATATATGTGTAATAAATGCTCCCTCTGTGGGCAGTTGTCAACTGAGTTTGCTCTGGTTTTCCTTTCTGCTCTAACAGTGCAAAACTGAGTTTGATGCCTCACAATTGCTGTGTACTCTGTGCCCCAGCAGCCAGAGATGCTCTCTGCACCATGGCACCACTGCAGGGCATGGGGGAGAAGTGACATTGGCAATTCAGGGCTGTTTTTTCTATCTCTTCAGTGCCTCTTTCAGCAATATGAAGAGAAAACCAGGTACTATGAGTGCTCACCTGATATTTTGTTCTTATGAAGGTGTTCTTCTGTGTACATAGTTGTATAACTTAGTATCCTTGTGAGGGAAGACAATTGGTGGAGCTTTCTATTCTGCCATCTTGCTCTGCTTCTCTCCACTTCTGCGTTTTTAAATGCATTCATTTTACTATTGATTTTGCATAAGAGGTAGAAATAAAAAATGAAAATTCAAGTGAAAGTCTTTTTATCTATTAATGCAACTATATTAGAATAAGAACTTAAATTTTGTCATAGGTGATAAATAATTAAAACTATTTAGAGGCTTTGAGTTTCAATTTTTAAATTATTAGTGAGCTAGAATATTTTCCTGTGATAATTATCCATTTGCATTTCTTCCTTTATGCACTGTTTACATATTTTGTCCTTTTTCCCATTTTGTTATAGGGGCTCTTAATGCATTAAGGCTAATACCTTTCACTGATTGATAGATCAATTATTTCAACAGATATTTATTGGGTGTAGATTATTTTCCAGACACTCCAGCTATCATCTGTATCCCAGATCTTTCTTTTGGGATCTAGATGCTTATATTTACTGGAAATGTCCACTTGGATAAATAAAAGTATTGAAAATCATCCATACATGCATGAATTGTCAAGAACATCATACATAGTTCAAAAACATTTGTCCCTGTTTTAGAAGGTTAAATGGATTTTTTTTTGAGACAGGGTCTCATTCTGTTGCCCAGTTGGAGTGCAGTGGTGCAATCATGGCTCACTGCAACCTCGACCACAGGGGCTCAAGTGATGCTCCCACCTCAGCCTCCTGAGTAACTGGAATTATAGGTGCACACCACCATGCCTAGGTAAATTTTGTAGATATGGGGTTTCACCATGCTGCCCAGGCTGGTCTCAAGCTCATAGACTCAAGCTATTCTCCCACCTCAGCCTCCCAAATTGTTGGGATTACAGGCATGAGCCACTGCATCTGGCCGAAATTAAAATGTTTAATAAAAAGGAAATGTACAAGTTTTCATTAGGTATTTGTCATTTCTTTGTCATTTCTATGTGCTGAAGTAATTTCTCAGATAATTTAGAAAAAAATGAAGCAACCGGCAGGCAACTCTTGCTAGAGTCTCTGGCACAGCAGTCTTGCATCCGTGTGAACCCAGCCAGATGGTGCAGCCTCCTGTTTCCCAGGAAAGCCCCAAATGGCAGGGTTTGTGAGCCCACCCACCTCCACCATTAGTAGTCAGGCAGGCAACACTTGCTAAAGTTTCTTGCTCAGTGGCCCTGCTTCTGTCTGAACTCAGCCACCAGGCACAGTTTCTTGTTGTCCTGGGAACAACACAGTCTTTTGTTGTCCTGGGGAAACCCTGCTCACCTGTGCTGCTGGTATCCAGGTGGGCAATGCCTGCTAGAGTTTCCAGCCTAGGAGTCCCACTTCTGCCTGAACTCGGCTGGTGAGTGCAGCTTCCCGTTGTACCAGGAGGCACCTGGATGACAGGGTAGGTGACCCCACCCATCCCCACCACTGGTAGCCAGGCAGACAAAGCCTGCTAGAACTTCTGGCCCAGTGGTCCACTTCTGTGGGAACTCAGCCAGCAGGTGCAGCCTCCTGTTGCCCCAGGAAGCACCTGGACTGCAGCCAGGTGACCCCACCCTACCCCCCACCACTGGTAGCTAGGTGGGAAATGCCTGCTAGAAATTTCAAGTCCAGTACTTTTGCTTCTGCCTGAACTCTGCAAGCAGGTGCAATCCCATGTCCCCTGGGAAGCACTCAGGCAGCAAGTTATAGCTGAACCAGCAAGTATATGGCCTGTCTGCTAACTGCAGCCCCTGCCTAGACCGGAACACCCAACAGAGGAAACAGGGGCACAAAGAGAGTAATCAGAAAGGGTTCCTGCAAGACCCAGGAGTGGACTAGAATTGAAGCCAGTTGACTGAACCCACCATATACCACAATCAAAACCTCAAGGGCATCAAAGAAGATAAAAGCAAAATTAAAAAAATTCCAAAGGACAACAACTCCAAAAATTGGAGGAACATCAGCCCACACAGATGAGAAAGAACCAGCACAAAAATTCTGGCAACTCAAAAAGCTAGTTCTTCTTACTCCAAATGACCCCACTAGTACCCTAGCAATGGTTATTAACCAGAAAGAAATACTAAAATGTCAGAAATAGAGTTCCGGCATATGAATAGCAATGAAGATCATTGACGTTCAGTAGAAAGTCAAAACTCAATCCAAGGAATATAAGGAACACAATAAAACAATACAGGAGATAAAAGATGAAATGGCCATTTTAAGAAAGAACCAAACTAAACTTATAGGGCTGAAAAACTCACTTCAAAAACTGTGTAATACAATCATCAGTGTTAACAGCAGAATTGACCAAGCTGAGAAAAGAATCTCAGAGCTTTAAGGCTGGTTCTCCAAAAAACTCAGTCAAGCAAAAAGAAAGAAAAAGCAATAATGAAGAATGAACAAAGCCTCCACGAAATATGGAATTACATTAAGAGAACAAATATATAAATCATTGGTATCCATGAAAGAGAGGGAGAGAAAGCAAGCAACTTGGAAAACATATTTGAGGATATCAACCACAAAAATTTTCCCGACTTCACTAGAGAGGCCAGCATTCAAATTCAGGAAATGCAGAGAACCCCTGTGAGAAACTATACAAGATGATTATTTGCAAGACACATAGCCATCAGATTGTCTAAGGTTGAAATAAAATAAAAAATGTTAAAGGCAGCTAGAGAGAATGGGCAGGTCATCTACAAAGGAAACCCCACCAAGCTAACGTGGACCTTTCAGCAGAAACCCTAGAAACCAGAAGATATTAGGGGCCTATACTCAGCATTCTTAAAGGAAAGAAATTTCAACCAAGAATTTTATATCCAGCCAAACTAAGCTTCATTAGTGAAGGAGAAATAAGATCCTTTTCAAACAAGCAAATGCTAAGGGAATCTGTTACCACTAGACCTGCCTTATAAGAGGTTTTAAAGGAAATGCTAAATATGAAAAGGAAAAACAATTACCAGTCACCACAAGAACATATTTAAGTACATGGACCATTGACATTATACAGAAATGACACAATCACGTTTCCGTAATAATCACCTAACAACATGATGGCAAGATCAAATCTGCACATATCAATATTAACCTTGAATGTAAATGGGCTAAATGCCCTAATTAAAAGGCACATAATGGCAAGTTAGATAAAGAAATAAGACTCCACAGTTTTCTGATAGTTCAAGAGCACTATCTCACATGCAATGACACCCATAGACTCAAAGTAAGGGGGTGGAGAAAAATGTACCAAGCAAACAGAAGATAGAAAAAAAAAAGCAGGGGTTGCTATTCTAATTTCAGACAAAACAGACTTTAAATTGACAATGATAAAGAAAGACAAAGAAGGGCACTAAATAATAGTAAAGAGTTCAATTCAAAAAGAAGACCTGACTATTCTAAATATACATGCACCCAACACCGGAGCATTCAGATTCATAAAGCAAGTTCTTAGAAATCTAAAAAGAGACTTAGATAACCACACAGTAAGAGTGGGAGACTTTAATACCCCACTGACAGTATTAGACAGGTCATCAAGGCAGGAAACTAACAAAGGTATTTGAGACCTAAACATGACACTTGACCAAAGGGACCTAAAAAAACGTCTACAGAACACTCTGCCCAACAACAACAGAACATAAATTTGTCTCATCTGCACATGGCACAGACTCTTAAAATCAACCACACAATTGGCCATAAAGCAATACTCAGCAAATTTTTAAAAAACTGAAATCGGCCGGGTGCAGTGGCTCACGCCTGTAATCCCAGCACTTTGGGAGGCCGAGGTGGGTGGATCATGAGGTCAGGAGATCGAGACCATCCTGGCTAACACGGTGAAACCCCGTCTCTACTAAAAATACAAAAAATTAGCCGGGTGTGGTGGCGGGTGCCTGTGGTCCCAGCTACTCGGGAGGCTGAGGCAGGAGAATGGCATTAACCCGGGAGGTGGAGCTTGCAGCGAGCTGAGATCATGCCACTGCACTCCAGTCTGGGCAACAGAGTGAGACTCTGTCTCAAAAAAAAAAAAAAAAAAAACAACAACAACTGAAATCATACCAAACACACTCTCGAACCACATTGCAATAAAAATAGAAATCAGTACTAAGAAAATTGCTCAAAACTATAAAATCATATGAAAATTAACCTTCTTCTAAATGACCTTTGGGTAAACAGTTAAAGTAAGGCAGAAATCAAGAAATTCTTTGAAACTAATGAAAACAAAGATACAACATACTGGAATCTCTGTGATACTGCTAAAGCATGGTTAAGAGGAAAGTTTATAGCATTAAATGCCCACATCAAAAAGTTAGAAAGATTGCAAATTAACAACCTGACATCACAGCTAGAGAAACTATATAAACAAAAGCACACTAACCCCAAAGCTAGAATAAGAATATAAATAACCAAAATCAGAGTGCAACTGAAGGAAATTAAGACATGAAAAAAACATACAAAAGATCAACAAAATTAGCAGTTAGTTCTTTGAAAGAATAAATAAGACTGATAGGCTCCTAGCTAGACTAATGAAGAAAAAAGAGAGAAGATTCAAATAGTACAATCAGGAATGAGAAAGGAGACATCACCAGTTATCCCACAGAAATTTAAAAGAAAAAAACCTTCAGAGACTACTATGAACACCTTTCTGCACACAAACTAGAAAACCTAGAAGAAATGGATACATTTCTGGAAACATACAACCTCCCAAAATTGAGCCAGGAAGAAACTGAATTCCTGAACAGACGAGTAACAAGTTCCAAAATTCAATTAATAATAAAAAGCCTATCAACAAGAAAAAGCCCTGGACTAGATAGATTCACAGCTGAATTCTAGCAGAAATATCAAGAAGAGTTGGTACCATTCTACCGAAAGTATTCCCAAAAATTGAGACGGAGGAACTCTTCTCTAATTCATTCTATGAGGCCAGTATCATCCTGACACCAAAAACCTGGCAGAAGTACAACAAAAGAAGAAAACTTCAGGCTAATATCCTTGAAGAACATAGATACAAAAATCCCCAACACAATACTAGCAATCTGAATCCAGCAGCTTATCAAAATGCTGATCCGCCACAATCAAGTTGTTTTTATGCCTGGGATGCAAAATTGGTTCAACATATACAAATCAATATATATGATTCATCACAGAAAGAGAATTAAAAACAAAACCAACATGATCATCTTGATATATGCAGAAAAGACTTTCAATGAAATTCGACAGCCCTGCATGTTAAAAACCCTCAATGAAGTAGACATCAAAGGAACATACTTCAAAATAATAACAACCATCTATGAAAACACCACAGCCATTATCATATTGAATGGGCAGAAGCTGGAAGCATTCCCTTTCAAAACCAAAACAAGGTTAGGATGTCTTCTCTCATCACTGTTATTCAACACAGTACTGGATGTCGTGTCCAGAACAATCAGGCAAGTAAAAGAAATAAAATCCATCCGAATAGGAAAAAAGGAATTCAAACTACCTGTCTTTGCAGATGAAATGATTCTACACCTAGAAAACCCCACAGGATCTGCCCAAAAGTGCCTTGATTTGATAAACAACTTCAGCAAGGTTTCAGGATGCAAATCAATGTACAAGAATCAGTAGTATCCCTATACACCAACATCATCCAAGCTGAGAGCCAAATCAAGGATGCAATCCCATTCACAATTGTCACAAAAAGAGTAAAATACCCAGAAATACAGCTAAGTACTGAAGTAAAAGATCTCTACAAAGAGAATTATGAAACACTGATCAAAGTAATCAGAGATGACACAAACAAATGGAAAAACATTCCATCCTCATGAATAGGAAGAATCAGTATTGTTAAAATGACCATACTATCCAAAGCAATTTATAGATTCAATACTATTTCTATTAAACTGGCAATGACATTCCTCACAGAATTAGAACAATCTATTTTAAATTTTATATGAAACCAAAAAAGGCCTGAATAGCCAAAGCAATGCTAAGCAAAAAAACAAAGCTGCAGGTGTCATGTTACCTGATTTCAAACTATACTACAGGGCTACAGTAACCAAAATAGCATGATATTGGTACAAAAACAGACACATAGTCCAATGGAGCAGAATAGAGAGCAGAAATAATGCCATGCATCTACAACCATATGATCTTTGACAAAGTCAGCAAAAACAAGCAATGGGGAAAGGACCCCCTATTCAATAAATGGTGCTGGGATAGGTGGCTAGCCATATGCAGAAGACTGAAACTGGATCCCTTCCTTTCACCATACAAAAATCAACTCAAGACAGATTAAAGTCTTAAATGTAAAACCTGAAAGTATAAACACCCTGGAATATAACCTAGGTAATAGCATTTTGTGCATAGGACCTGGCAAAGATTTCACAATGAAGACACCAAAAGCGATTACAACAAAACCAAAAACAGACAAATGGGACCTAATTAAACCAAAGAGCTTTTGCACAGCAAAAGAAACTATCAACAGAATAAACAGACAACCTCCAGAATGAGAGAAAATTTTTGCAAACAATGCATCTGACAAAGGTGTAATATCCAGAATCTATAAGGAACTTAAACATATTTCCAGGAAAAAAATCTCATTAAAAATTGGCAAAGGACATGAGCAGACACTTTCAAAAGAAGACATACAGGCAACCAAAAAGCATATGAAAAAAATTTTCAACATCACTAATCATAAGAAAAATGGAAATCAAAACCACAGTGAGATACCATCTCACATCAATCAGAATGGCTATTATTAAAAAGTTGAAAAGTAACAGATGCTGGTGAGTGTGTGGAGAAACAGGAACACTTATACACTGCTGGTGTGAATGTAAATTAGTTCAACCACTGTGGAAAGCAATTTGGCAAGTTCTCAAATAACTTGAAACAGAATTACCATTCAATTCAGCAGTCCCATTACTGAGTACATACCCAAAGGAATATAAATTATTCTACCATAAAGATACATGCAGGTGTACATTCATTGCAGCATTATTCACAATAGCAAATATATGGAACCAACCTAAATGCCTATCAATAGTAGACTGGATAAAGAAAATGTAGTATATATACACCATGGAATACTATATAGCCATAAAAAAGAATGAGATCGTGTCCTTTGCAGCAACATGGATGAAGCTGGAGGTCATTATCCTAAGTGAACTCACACAGGAACAGAAAACAAAATATCACATGTTCTCACATACGTGCATGCTAAACATTGAGTATATATAGATGCAAATAAGGGAACAACAGACACCAGGGCCTACTTGAAGGTGGATGGTGACGACTAAAAAATTACCTATCAGCTACTATGCTTATTACCTGGGTGATGAAATAATCTGCACACCACAACATGCAAATTACATGCAGCATGCAAATTACCCTTAAAACACACTTGTACATATACCTCTGAACCTAAAATAAAAGTAATTAAAAAAAGAACAATCACTGGACCAGTTCCACTGAATTTGTAAAATAAAACCGTCACTTCATTTCACTTTATTTCATATACTTCATCATTCATTTTGTATATTTTATGTTAAATTCTCAAGAAAAATATGTGCAATTGACCCCGAAAGAAGAGGCTTTTCAGAAGAGCATTGCAAGAAGAGGTTTTTCAGAAGAGCATTGCAAAAGAACATTGAGAGCCAGTTACATCATAGGGCTTGGATAGGTCATTTCTCCTGTGCTAACCATTTTTTTTAATAACACCTTTCATATCTATGTGGAGGTTATTGAGATTCCATCTGGGAAAAAATATGTGATAAAATTGCATATAACTAACATGCACACTCTCACACAAATAGATGTGTGTTAAACGGTGAAATATGAAAAAGGTTGTTAGAGTATATCAATATTAATTTTCTGTAGTGATACTCTACTGTAGCTACAAAAGATGTTGCCATTGGAGGAAAACAGGTAAAAGAATAAGAGAGATCTCTATTATTCCTTATAATTACAAATAAATCTACAATTATGTAAAAAAGTTTTTAAAAATGCATTGCATTCTTGTCCAGGGAGCTAAGAAAACTCACCCAATTGTACTCTTGCTATGTTCCAGTCACTGTGCCAGTGACTTTACATAAATTACCTCTAGGATAAAAGTATCTCCTGGCTTTCCCTGAACAGTCCTAATTATTTTTACCTGTTGACCTAGGATCCCATCTAGCTTAACGTTTTCCAAAATTTGTCATTTTTAAAAATGTACTCTTATTACTGATATTTATGTTAAAATAAGCCAGAATGGGTTTAGGAAACCTTTAGTTCTTAGGGCTGCTGTGACAAATAACAATTTTGTTAGCTTAAGATGATACACATTAATTCTCTTACAGTTGTGGAAGTCCAAAGTCCAAAATTAGTTTTACTAGGCTGAAGTAAAGATATTGGCAGAGCTTTGCTTCCTCTGGAGGTCCAAAAGAGACTCTATTTTCTTACATTTTCCATCGTCTGGAGTTTGCATTCCTTGCCTTTCTTGGCTCATGGCCTTTTCCTTCATCTTCTAAGTCTGTAGTGTAGAATCTTGTTTCAGTTTTCACATTGCCTTCTTCTTCCGTAGTAAAATCTCTCTCTGTTTCCCTTTTATAAGAATACTTGTTATTACATTTAGGGTCTTCCTGGATAATCCTTGGTAATCTTCCTATCTCAAGATCCTTAATGACATTTGCAAAGTCCCCTTTTGCCATATAAGGTAAAATTCACAGGTTCCAGGCATTAAGACCTGGATATCTTTGAAGGCAATTATTAAGCCTACCACAGATCTCCACTTTTTACTTCCATTTTTGCATTGTTTTTGTCTGGTAGTGTGTGAGACATCCTTGTCTTGTTCTGGTTCTCAAGGGGAATGCTTCCAGCTTCTGCCCATTCAGTATAATGTTGGCTGTGGATTTGTTATACATGGCTCTTGTTATTTTGAGGTACATTCCTTCAACACCTAGTTTATGGAGAGTTTTTAACATGAAGGGATGTTGAATTTTATCCATAGCCTTTTCTGCATCTACTGAGATGATCATGTGGCTTTTGTCTTTAGTTCTGTTTATGTGATGAATCACATTTATTGATTTGTGTATATTGAGCTAAACTTGCATCCTGGAGATGGATCCTACTTGATCATGGTGGATACATTTTTTGACATGCTACTGTATTCAGTTTGCCACTATTTTGTTGAGGATTTTTGCATCCATGTTAATTAAGGATATTGGCCTGAAGTTTCCTTTTTGTGTGTGTGTCTCTGCCAGGTGTTGGTATCACTTAGTGATTTTATAGTGTTAATATATGTCTATATTTATTTTACTGATGGGAATGATACTTTTATTCTGCAATAAGAAACAAAAGGTCTCTAGTGAATGGTATGTTCAGTAATGTTACTTTTCTAAGAAAGTGGATGACAAACATTTAACTTAAAATATGTTTAATCAACATATACTATGCATCAAGAGAACTGTCATTATATCTTCTTCCAAAGGTAGTAATTACTTGAGGAACAATGTGTCAATTTATTACATGCAAATGCAAAAGTTGTGTTGACTTCTCATTTTGTGAACAGATCTTTTAATTTAGATAAAATGACATTTCTTCAAATTTAATGATACTAATTTTGAATCCCACATTTTTGTGTATATGTTTTAAAAGAGGAGAAATAGTTGTTAATACTTTGGCTCCATTAGCAAAATAACTTAGCAAATAGTTACTGAAGACAGCTTAAAATCACTATAATTAGATGATTAAAACAGAAAATCAGTTCTTTTCAACTGATTTGATATTATTTTCATCAAATTCTTGAATAATTATAATAATTTTATGGAAGTTTATACTGATGAAATTGAAACACCTAGCCTCGATAATTCAGGAAAAAAATTCAACATTGAGGACAGAATTATTGGTGATGTGGTGATAATGACGAATACACATATTGATAGAGCAAAATACTGTAGGAAGATCAAGGTTTTACTAAATGAAGAAAGATGTGTAGCAGAAATATAATCAGAATTGCTTGTGTAACACACATAATTCATAATCCTGTAATCATGATAAGGTATTTTGCAAATCAAAATAAAAATAGTTGTTGCCCAGATATACACAAGACATACACATACATATGTACACACATATACATCTATACATATATGTGTGTATAAATAAACATGTGTATATATACATATACATGTCACTATACTGTAGAAGCTAAAATATTGGTGATTCTTAGTTTTTGTGGGTGGTGGCTTCACGAATGTGAAAGAAAAGGAAAGAAAAAAAAGACAAAGGATGGGAAGGGGAGGAAATAATAGGACGGGAAAGAAAAGGGAAGGAAGAGGGACAAGCAGGGATCGATGATAAGGGTGTGTTGTAAACCAAGGACTATGATGAATTTGTGCATCTGAAATTCATATTTAAAATGTTTTAATGCTTTCTTTTCTACCTGTCTGACATTCTCTCTCTATGAAAACTGATCAAATGTTGGAAGGTAAGTTTCAAGTGTGGAGAGAGACCAAGGGAGATGGCAAGAAGGAAGTTGGTAAATCAATTTGGGGTACACGGGCTTTGGGGTCCCTCAGGGACACTCAGGCGGTGATGTCCAATAGACAGTTGGCAAAGCTGATATGAGACACGGAGAAGGGAACAGCCTGGAGCTGTAGATCTGGGAGTCATCGGTGTTTACTGGAAATGAATGAGATCACACAGGGAGAGACAACTTGAGGACTGAGGAGAGAGGAGGCCCAGGACAGAACCCCAGGAACACCGCCACTCAAGGTGGCAGCTCAGCTTCCTGGCAGGCACCACTACCCCCCGGGCTCTGGAGTCAGGCAGAGCCGGTATTGAAAGTGGGCTGTGGAGTTCTGGGGCTGAGCGCTCTTGGCAAAGTCCGGTACCTCTATGATCAGCTGTCACACCTGGCGATAATGGGCATCAGAGAGATATGCCTTGCGAGGATGCTGTGAGCTGCGTCAGGTAAAGCACCTAGGGTCAGAAAGCCACCTCTCCTCCTCTTCTCCGCGACCCCACTTTGCTACACAAACGCACCGAGACTCCGACCGTCCCCAGCCTCCGGTCCCTCAGGGATGGAAGGTGAGGTATGTCAGGAAAGAGAGGGGGGCCCAGCTCCAAGGTGAGGTGTGTCAGGCAAGAGCGGGGGCAGAGCTCCGGTGACGCGGTGCTCACGTGACCCGCCCGGCGCCTACGTGGGCACCAGCCCCCGCGCCCGCCCGCCAGCCCGCCCAGCGGTCGGGTCCGGGCGCCCGCGCAGAATCAGCTGTCTGAGCTGCCCAGGCGGCGGGGGAGCAGCGAGCGGGCTTCAGCGAGCCGCAGGAGGCACAGGCCTGTCCTGGGTCCCCGCAGGTCAGTGTGAAGGCGTGCGCTGCCGGCGGACCCTGGGACAGGGGTGGAGGGGGCTGGCAGTAGGATTGGGGAGGGGGCGGAGAAGGGATCCGGTAGATTGGGGAGGAGGGGGATGCGGAGTCGCGGGGGCGGGGGCAGTGGAGGGAGAACCCCCGAAGCAAGCCTGGCTCGCCTTCTCGACGCCCCCTTGCACTGAGTCCTCCATCCATTTTAGTGCTGGAAATGGGGGGTGGGGGTAGCGACCCCGCAGTGCGACAGTGAAACGTAGACATATTCTGGAAATAACCCCTTCTCACAATCTACACCCATGGAAACACTTGATCTCCGCAAAAATGAGGTGGCGCTGGGGCAGGTTGCCTCCGGGGAAGGGGGACACAGAGACAAACGCAGTTTGGAAAGCATCCTGGTTTGGTGCCCGAGGCCTGGAAAGAAATGGCGGCTGGGGTGCGGGGGAGGTAGGGGAGGAAAACGGTGGGTAAGCAGGGCCTGGACTCAGGAAAGGGAACCGAGTCCCTGTGAGCCCGCTAAGCGCGCAGCCCCTGCCCCTGTCTCCTGTCTGTCCGCAGGTCTGCGCGTCTGTTGTTCCCAGCGCTCTGAGAGGCCTGAAAAGGAAGAGCAACCTGTCCAGAATCCCCGCAGGTCCGTGAAAGCAGGGGGCTGCATGGACAGGGGCCCACAAGGGTTGAGAGTGTGGAGGGCACAGTCAGGGCCGAATTGGGGCCCCTGCCCATCCCCTTACCTACATGAACACACACCTTACCAGGCTGAACCAGTGCAGAGAAGGTGGCAGGGCCTGCCAGGGAACAGCTGGCTCACGTGTGTGGGAGGAGTGGTGGGCTACGTGGTGGGCAGAAGGCCCTCTTGGAGGCCCAGTCAGCTTAGGGGAACCCTCACCAGGGGTGAGATGCAAGTAGTATCCAGACCTGCATTCCACCCCATGCCCTCAGTCTCCCATGTCTCCTCTTTGTCTCCTCTTCCCTCCACACCCATCCCCCAGGAAAGGAAAAGGAGGGGAAATCTCGACATGGAAAAACTCTTCAATGAAAATGAAGGAATGCCTTCGAATCAAGGAAAGATAGACAATGAAGAACAGCCACCGCACGAGGGAAAGCCAGAAGTAGCTTGTATTCTGGAAGACAAGAAGTTAGAAAACGAGGGAAACACAGAAAACACGGGCAAGAGAGTTGAGGAACCGTTAAAGGATAAAGAAAAGCCAGAGAGTGCGGGAAAGGCAAAAGGAGAAGGAAAGTCAGAGAGGAAGGGAAAGTCAGAGATGCAGGGAGGATCAAAGACAGAGGGAAAGCCAGAGAGAGGGGGAAGGGCAGAGGGTGAAGGAGAGCCAGACAGTGAAAGAGAGCCAGAGAGTGAGGGAGAGCCAGAAAGTGAAACAAGGGCTGCAGGAAAGCGCCCAGCTGAGGATGATATACCCAGGAAAGCCAAAAGAAAAACCAACAAGGGGCTGGCTCAGTACCTCAAGCAATATAAGGAAGCCATACATGATATGAATTTCAGCAATGAGGACATGATAAGAGAATTTGACAACATGGCTAGGGTGGAGGATAAAAGGAGAAAAAGCAAACAGAAATTGGGGGCGTTTTTGTGGATGCAAAGAAATTTACAGGACCCCTTCTATCCTAGGGGTCCAAGGGAATTCAGGGGTGGCTGCAGGGCCCCACGAAGGGACACTGAAGACATTCCTTATGTGTAGTGTCCCTGGCAGGCATTTGTCAGGCCATATGTTTTAACCTTATGGTAATACTTTGCTTTAGTCGTTCCTCCTGCTACCAGTAGCGTTTTGACCCACCTGCCAGTGTTTGCTTGCTCTATGTTTCAGTAGCAGATTTTCACACATGTGCATTGCAGAGACGTCATGATTCGTGGAAAAATAAAGCAGCTTATAATATCATCTACAGAATCTGTCTGTTTTTGTTAAATACATGAAAGGTTAACAGTGGTTTTCTGAGTTGTGAGCTAGCAGGTGATTTCATTTCTTTGTTTTCTTTCTACTAATCTTTCTTTTCCCAGAGAACACAAATTACTTTTCTCACAAAAATAATAAAATATTTTTAAAAAATCAGAACAGTATGTAAAAAGCAAAGAGAATAACTGTCCAGTGAACTTATGAAGTTCAGTAGAGACACTTAACGTTCTTGTTGTCAGAACTTAAAATGATAGGTAAAATTCACATTACCTACCTGTGGGACTCATCTGGAGAAGTCAATCTGGGGTTATTACAGATCCATTGCTCTAACGGACAGTCTTTTCATTTGTCAAATAGAGATAATACCTTGCTTTTCAGAACTGCTGAGTGGGTTGGATAAGGTAGAGAATATATTTGTTGGGTTGGCATCTACCTTCTCCCCTGCTCTAGCAGAAAAAAATACCCCCTCAGACACTTGGAAGAGGACTAGGGTAAATCTTACCTGTGTCCAGGAATAAGTCTAGGAAACTGAAAGGTGGGTGCCATCCTCTTTTAGACAATGTCATGTCCACTGGGCACTGTGCTCCTTCTCATAAATCTTGCACCCTCCTAAAGCTCACATTGATGCCGATGGGCTGAAGTTCTCAAGGTAACAAGGTCCAGTTGATTTCCAGTGAGCCAAGCCTACTGACCCCATTCCACAACAACTATGAAAATGTGGATAAAGTCCCTTTCCTCACTTTAGAGTTATACTCGCCCAATAGGGTAACACCTCAGTGATGCTTCAGCCCCTGGGGGATTTCAGATTTTTAGTAAAACAATTATTTCTATGCTTGTTGGTTTGTAAGTGTTTGCATACAGCCATCTCTCCACCAAATTCAGAGATAGAGGCTGGGGTAAAATTTGAGTGGCACACACTCATCTGTTCTCATCTGTCAGTGACTTGTATGCTTGACTCATCTTTCCTTAGAGTAAATTCTCTTCTAGGAAAGTCCTTCCAGGTCCCACCTTACCAGTTTAACACCCCTACCCACATTTGTAATTTTTAGAGCAATGCTACTCAGATAGTGGTTCATGGACTAGCTGCATCAGCATCAACTGAAAGATAGTTAGAAATGTAGAATCTCACAGCCTCACCCCAGACCTACTGAATAAGAATCTTTTCTAGTTTTAACAAGATCTGCAGGTGATTCCTGTACACCTTAAAGTTTGAGAAGCAAGGTTAATGAGGAAACTCTTAGCCTCCCCAATTCCACCTTCTCATGATATATGTGCCTAGAAGGATAAATACATGTGCTTCATAGGATGCACATCACAGATTTTTAAATAGACCTGTGTTTGTCAAACTGAAGTTTCACCTTCCTATATTTGCAGAGTTTAAAACAAATTCAGCAGGTCAAGACCTGCAATATTTTTAAATGAAATAGGATATAGTAGATTCAACCAGAACCAGATAGTAAACATCAGATTATATGGCAAGTAGGTAGGATTAAAATTATTTTCTGAAATTTGTATTTCAGTTATGTATATTTGAACAATATGTTTCTGACTGTGGGGTGAGGTTTTTTAAAACTGAGGAACATTGGACTTTGCTTGTCAAAGCACAACCTGTTCTTTATCCTGGTACCCCAATACCTAGCACAGTGCCTGATTGATAAGTAATAGGTTCTTGATGAATTTGTAAATAATAATACCTGAGTCAAGAATTCTTGTCCAAAATCATTCCCTGTCTACATAAATAACTGTGGACTCTATATCTCTAGCAGCATTTACTTGCAATTCCAAAAGAAACACCATGGAGAAGGGTTTGTACCATGAATTTAACCTTATCTCATTTATTAATGCATTTTTAAAGTGTCCTAGTTTGTCACATGTCAGAATCACCATAAGACTTCATCAAAACTGTGAATTTATAATCCCCATGTCAGATCCACTAGGTGGAGCTCTATAATTTCCATCTTAAACAGGCTGCCTGGGTGATTCTGATTCATAATAAAGGCTAATCACCACTGATTTATATATTCATTATGATCTCCATTGTATTAACTGTAAACCATAAGGTAAGCAGAAAAAAGAATTACACTGTCTCTTTTTCGGTGGGGAAGGTGAAGTCTTTTCTAAGTTCTAAAACAAAGGTTAAAAGTAAAAATCCATAAAGTCAAGGTTTAATATATTTATTGCTTAGAACCCGAAAGTATCTTTAGAGCAAACCACACTTATAAACAAAGGCAAAGTCAAAGCATATCATAGTATAGTGTATTTCCTCCTCCAGATGCCATGATAACTGTGGCAGCTGAACAGTTCCACCGCTAAAGAAGACTCTTGGGACCCCAAATGGTCATGATTGCAAATCTACAGTTTGTTGGAGAAAAAAATGGATGCAACATAGCAACAGCATTAAGGAGAAACATCATAGTCAAAAGCTGTCTAATAGTAAGGGATCTGGAGTGGCCAGGTATGAGCTTTGATTATCTTCCCTCTTTATAATAGCCCTGGCAGGATGCACTTCTCTTTTCAGATAAGGAACCATTAATGTATGCATAGAATACCTTGAAACCAGAGAACGCAAAATAGTCTCAGTCAAGGTTTCTGGTACACTGCTGGTTATGTAAGCATATTCTTGCTATGTAGCCAGTCTCAACGGCAGAGCCCTTGGCAATGAGGTTCACTGAGACTAGGTTTAAATGATCAATCTCACTGTTATCAATAAAGCTAACAGGCTGGTAAAAATCATCCCAAATTCCTCAGACCCATGATTATCAAACAGCACTCTTAATCAATGTTTTGTGCCTTTACCATGGGTCAATGCCATGCAGGCACATTTCTTATTTTGATAAAAAGCTCAGGCAAATCTCAGCCCTACTGGAGTTCACTTTCACAAAATAATATGCTTTTTATCCTCCTCCTTACGATATGCATAAAGCTGCAGGCACAATTCCTAATGAGTACTATTAACATGGCCCTCACTCATTTGTGGATATCTCCCCATCTTCCCATCCCAATTCACTCTACATTCTTCTTTACCCTGCTCTGTCTCCCAAAGTACTCTGACCTATATGGACCACATCAAAGGGCTCCCTTGTCCTCTGGGAGCCAGCAGTGGTGAGTGCAGTCAGGAAATTTGTTTCCCAACTTGTTCCCTGCAGTGTTGTCAGATGCTGGTGGGGTCCCTTCTCCCAAGGTTCCTAGAAGGTAACCCTCTCCACATAGGCTCTGCACCTCCAACTTTGAGTTACCCCTCTTTGCCTCTGTCCCTCAGGCCTACCTCTGGTAATCTCACCTTTAGTAGCCATGGTGTATTGCACTACTCATTTTGGTTCTCTAATACCCTTCCCATACCTTTGTCTATTCTCCTTTATTAAGAACTGCCCTCAAATTTTCCACTGCAAATGTACCCCCTATTTCCTGCAATGCACTTTTCAGGTACAGTAACAGATACAGGAAGTCACTCCAGGAATTGGGTTCCTTGTAAATTTGAGGGAAAAATATAACCTACTGACAATAGGGTTGAGAACAGTAGGGGGAAGCTGTTAGGAGAGGTTCACATGTACACGGTATGTAGTAGTATGACGATAACTCATACACCACTGGTGGCATGGAATGAAGTGCGAGTGGAATCCAAAGGTTTGAGAAATCAAGTGGTTATGTTACTTAAGTACTAAAACAAAAATAATTACCAAGAAGTTTCTGGAGTCATCTGTGTTCATCTGACAACCCTAGAGAGTATGCATAGAAAAAAGAGGACATTGGAAGCTACAAAAATACAGCAGAGAACATATTTACAGCACCAGAAAGTCTCTAAGGCATTGTTGAAGGAGTCCCTCATCTTAGGGTAGATATAGCTGTGAACCAAGGCTAGGTCCTCATGGTGTTGTGGTTCCGCTGCCAATTAAATGCTCTAAATGCAGTTGCTTTTACAATAAAGTAAGGACACTAGTAGAGAAGGAATAGAACTGTGATATATGGGATAGGGACATTTGTGCAGACATACTCTGAGGCATTAAGAAATGCATTTGTGAGAGGGTCAAGAGCATCTTTGAAGTTTCTGTGGGCCTGTGCTTTGTAGGCTGGAGATGATGGTGCAGAATGCTGCAGTAGAATTGTCCTACCTCATCTTAATGTGAATTATGGAATCCCAGAGTGGTGGAAGTCAGGTGACAGGGCTTAATTATCTGAGACAAGGTGAGTGGAACTACCACAATAAGCCACAGGAATTGAATGGTAATTAGTGAATTTATGGCCCACAGGGATTTGTGGTGATAGCTAATCAGAGCATTCCTTAAAATGAAATAATTGGGCAGCCTATTGGATGCTGCTTGACATATTCAGGCAGAAAAAAATTTCTAGATCTGCAAGAAAGTCTAACTCAAGATGCTGTAGCATGTTTTCTAAACTTCTTACCCAACTGAGGGGAAGGAAGGGTACGTCCAAGGTATGATCTTGCAGCCACTGGTGTATACTGTGACTCTTACATCAAACATTTCCCAGTGGGACCTACAGACACTTTTCAGAGTGACTGTGCACTAAGGAAAATAAAATACCAAAATCTTCTGGGAGTTATTAGCTAAAGGCTCAGGATTGAGGCTAATTTCTGGAGACCTCAAACTGTATCATAACATAATCAGATTGGGGAGCTTGTGAGATGCTGTGTAGAGGAAATAAACCAATAACTGATCTATATTTGGAAAGTAACTGCTGGGTGCTGGCTGGTACCCAACATCTGACTATGTTATTCCAAGTAACTATGCACCTAGAAATGTTATCATGAACTAGCTACTGTTTAATTCATCAAACCACATAACTAGAAATGCACAGCAGAATTCTATTTTAAGATGAGAATTATACATAACTGACTGAATTTAAATGTAACTAAAAGGCACAAGAAAACTACATAAGCAAGAAGTTCAGACTCTCAAGGTACTGTCTGCTACTGCTTGGCCACCTCCCTATCAACCCACATTTGTGGCCTAATGGAACATTCCCTGTAACTAGAGAATAGAAAAGTATAGGTCTGTTTTATAGATGAATGTACATGGCATGCTGGAACCCACTGGAAGAGAAAGGCTGCTCTACTACAATCTCACTCAGGAAAGACAGCAGCAGAGGGAAATCTTACTAATGGGCAGAAATTTCAGTGATATAACTTGTTGCTCACTTGGCATGGAAAGAGAGACAGCCTGATTCATGAGCAACAGCACGTGAGTTGGCTGGCTTTTCAGGGACTTGGAAAGAACAAACTTGGAAAATTAGTGATGAGGAGGTTTAGTGGGGAAGTATGTGCATGAACTGTTCACAAGGTAAACAGCGTGCCAAAATATTTGTTTCTCAATTAAATAATCACCAGAGGGCATCTATTATGGAAGAAGTTCTTAATAATTAGGAAA
The DNA here is from genome assembly GCF_000001405.40 of Homo sapiens. Taxonomy (NCBI): domain Eukaryota; kingdom Metazoa; phylum Chordata; class Mammalia; order Primates; family Hominidae; genus Homo; species Homo sapiens. The sequence goes on from NC_000023.11 coordinate 102,133,112, forward strand.
AAAAAATAACGTTTTTAGCAATGGTAGATCACCTTGTTTCAGAGCAAACCCTCCCATGAAGAACTACTAGAAAAGCCGAACAGAAAACAAACAATCTGTTTGAAGACACTGGGGAGATAACAAAGCACTGAAGACTTGTGTGACCAAAATTTTAAAGAGAAAATAATTCCACAGACATGAAACCTAGACTTGGTAGAACTTTTTTGCTTTGAGACATTTGTTGATAGGAAAGTTAAGGATATTAGGCTGAGAAGCAGTAAAGTTTTCAGCAGTTTTAAAAGGCTGGGACACAGAAATTGAAGTTCAGGTTCCAAGGGAGGAAGGGTCCTGGTATACGTCCTTGAATTTCAGTTGGTACCAGGTAACATTATGCTCTAGAAATAAAGGTAAATGGAAAATAAACCTGTTTTCACAATATCTAAAGCCTAGCTTTAAATAAGGTCAGTCCCAACTTGAATTAAGATGATCTGTTTCTGTCCTAACTGGGGACCTCAGACCTACAGTATATTGACTTAAAAATGACACAATTTGTAAATTTAGAAAGGAGATTTTATTTTTTATAAAGAGTTACAGCCTTCAAGGTGGTCATTTTGACAGTCTGGGAAGCATAGCCTCTGGCAGAACCTGGAAACAGGCACTTCGAGGGAGAAAGGGGTAAGACAGGAATTTATGCTGGATAGGTTGGCTAAGCATACATATTCAACAGGTTATAGGAGGAGATATGAATATAATTCAGTGAGTCCTAATGCATGCCTATTGAATAAACATCCATGTTATATATGAACCCCGTTCACATTGGGGTGGAAACTTAACATTTAAATATATTACAATTAGTCTCTATAAGTTAAAAGGTAAAGCAGGGACATGAAGGCACTCAAGTTCTGGCCTCTGTAAACTGGCCTAGAACCAGCCCATGGTCAGTGGTCTTCTTATCAGGAGAAAGTTACTGAAATCTGTCTCTTGTCCAATCAAAGCTGTAGTTATGGCTTGTGGAACAGGGAGTCAGTTACTCCGTGTCTGGTAGTGAGCTACAATTGTTTTAATATTGCTTATCTCAAGGCCGGTGTTTGTGTAGCTGTTAGACAAAAAGAAAAATCTTGTAGCAGTTAAAACATAGTTTACTCTTTAAGTCCAGGCATGCATGACTTAACCCTTACCTGCTATGGCCTTAGGTCCTGTTTATAATTTTGTATCTTATTGCCACAAAGAGTCCATTCTATTAGCATTAATGATATATATTTTTACATTAACTATGGTCAGTTGTTTTGTCTAAATTGTAAAAGGGAGGGGGTATAATGAGGCGTGTCTGACCTAGCATCCTCTCACAGCCAGGAACTCAGTTTTTAAGGTTTCTCTGGAGTCCCCTTGGCCAAGAAGTGGTCTGTTCAGTCGGTGGGGGGCTGAGATTTTATTTTTAGTTTACAATACAAGAAACTAAATTTTGCCAAGAGGAATTAGCTTGGTAATACATTATTTTTTGTCAAGATCCCCAGATACGATCTCAGTGTAGCTGACACCTTGATTTTAGCTTTGTGAGACCCTGATTAAGGAATTCAGCTGTGAATTCCAAAGTTCTGACCTATAGAACTGTCAGATAATAAGTAGGTGTTGTTTTAAGCTGCTACATTTGAAGTGATATGTTACACAGTAACAGAATATTAATAAAAATTTTGGTACTGAAAGTAGTGAATGCCTAAATATATGAGAGTGGCTGGGGAAACCGGCAGTTGATGGAGGCTGGGAGAATTTTGAGGAACACGACGATGTTTATCCAACTGTCAGTAAAAACATATACCCTAAAGATTCTGCTGGTGAGGGGCCAGTAGTATGTGAGGAGCAAGTTACTAGAAATTGGAGGAAAAAGATCCTTATATTTAGTGGCATGGAAATCTGAGAAATAGTCTCCAACACTTATGTGGAAAGCCGAACTTGCAAGTGATGCACTGGGACATTTAGCTGTGATGATTTCCAAGCAATGTTTTGAAGTGTAGCCTGGTTTCTTCCTGCTGCTTATGGCAAAAGGTGACGAGAAAGATATATTGAGAGAATAGCTGTTAAACAAAAAGGAACTAAAACTTGAGGACTGGGAAATACCCATCCTACCCAAATGGAAAAATACACAAAATTAAGAGATTCCTTCTGAAAGTATGACACAGAGAAAAAGCTGAGGATGTAGTTGTTACAGTCTTTCTCTGAAACCTTAGAAAAATAAGAAAGTCAGAGCACTCAGTCACACAAAGGTCATTTTCAAGAGATTGAAAGCATGACTCAAATATGCTCTCAATCGAACTAGATGGGCCAAGTCTAGAGGTCAGAGGCAGAGAAATCAGAGATTCAAAGCATAAGAAGGATTCAGTGTGCTGCTGCTGCTGCCTTAAAGCTGGAGGGTACCATGTGGCAAGGAATGAACGTAGCCTTTAGGAGCTGAAACCAGCCACGCTCAGCTACCTCAGCAAGAGACAAAAATAGAGAAAGATGATTTCAAAAATATCTGTCAATGTGAATTTTCTTCAATGGAGTAAAACCTACTGTAATTTATGCAAGACTCACCTCACAAGATTTTAAAGAAAATTATATCAGTAGAAACACTGCCAACTCTAAATGAAAGTGATGGAGTACAACATGAGAGAAGGTTGTGAGATCCCCAAAATTCTCTTGAAGAATGGTCTGATAAAACTACTCAGCTGAGAACACATGCTGCATCTAATGAAAAAGGAAGGATTACTCAGATCACAGAACCAAGAGCTCGGAGCACAGACCTGACAGTCCAGAGGACACATCCAGAGAGTGAAGCTGAGTGCCACAAAAGATTTTTCCCAGGCCTTAAAACCTAATAAAGAATTTTTTTGAGCCAGTGACCTCTTTTTATCTTCCATTTTTACCCGCTTTTGTCTATAACTGTTATCCTGTGCTTGTCACATCATCATAGGTTGGGAATTTTATGGGCAAATAATTTGTCTCCTCAGTTTTACAGATCTGCAGATGGGATGAAATGTCTTCAGGAGCTTTACTTAATGGATTATGCCCAAGATCCTCATCCACATCTGGTTTATATAATTTAGATGGTGACATGTTTATTTTTGAGCTCATGCTGTAATGGGATGAGATTTTGGCGAATCTTGGGAGAAGTTGACAGTATTTTTACATTTGGTAGGGAAATAAATTTGGGGGACCTGAAGGCAGACTATGGTAGGCAGAATTCTAAGATGGTTCCCACAAGTTACCAGCCCACAGTGTATTATACATATCTTCTTCCAGTTACTCAATCCAATGCTAATCTATGTGTTGCTGTGAACAGATTTCGCAGATATAATTAGGTTCCCAGATCTGTTGATCATAACATAGGAGACAATCTGGGTGAGCCTAACCTAATCACATCATCCCTTTAGATAAGGGTCTAGAGTCAGAGACAGAAAAGTCACAGGTTAGAAGCTTTAGAAAGAATCAATGTGCAGTTACACAGTGAAGACTGGAGGGGTTCACATCATAAGGAATGCAAATGGCCTCTAGGAGCTGAAAATGGCTTGCCTGACAGCCAGAAAAAAAAAAAAAAAACTGGGACCACACTCCTACAGCTGCAAGGAAGCAAATTCTGAAAACAACATGAAAGAACTTGGGTATATATTTCCCCCAGAACCTCCAATGAGAACTCAGTCTGGCTGAAATTTTGAATCCTCCGCAAGACATCTAGGACCTCTAAAATCCTCCTCATCATTAATTATCCAAATAATTCTCTTCAAGTCCCTGACCAGCCGATTGCTGGTTTTAGTCATTGCTCATGAGACAGGGTAGATCCATACCTCCAACCATTAAGAGTTCTATACAAAATGGACAATCATATGATTCACTCAAAATCGTACCCCAAATCCTAGCATGTCTTTTTCCTACTATTCTGGGTTATCCCTGAGTGGGACTATAATGAGGCAGCCATCCACTTGTACCTACTATCAATATACCAGGAAGATACAACCAGGAACTGATACATTGTTTCATATCTCTTTTTCTAACTGGTCACAAGGATGAAGAATTCACCAAGATGCCATATATGATATATGTTGGTTGAGAGAGAGGCAATGAGGTCTGATCAAACTGCACATGAAATTTACTTGTGCCTTCTTGGTTTACTCAGGTCTGATCTTGTAAAGCCATTTGCAATTAACGGTTGAAAGCTGATGTCCACACAAAACTTTATTATTCAACAGAGTAGACAGCAACACATTCATTAAGAGTAGCTTGTTAGTATGGAAAATTAATACCTCATGGTCAGGTGTTAAGTCTCTACTGGGTTTGATAGCAAGCCAGGAGCAGATTCTCAAATGTAGACTAGTTGCCAAGAAAAGAGGGAATGATTTTGCTTAAAAAACCCTAGAGGCATATACTTTAATCTACTACTGGGGCTTTCTAAAACTCCATGGAGCCTCTCTTTCTAGCATGGACACAATACAATTGGATCTGCAGGGTCATGAGGCTGAAGTGTCAGAGAAGCCCGCACTACAGTCTGGAACTACTGTAGATCTTTTACTTGCTCTGGGTACCACTTAAAACTGGAAACCATATGGAGTCCAAGAACAAAATCAGTATGATATATATTGTCTCTAAAATCTAAGGTCTTAATTCTTTCAAGGTAAGTGTAGTAAGATCATCTGCAGGAATGTACTTAACTGCTACCCATCTAGGGCAGCTTACCACCCACGGTTTCCCACTATGGCATTTCTTCCGTTCCTTTGTGAGGCTGTGCTCCTGTGGCACATACAGAACCCTCCACTGGGTTTTTGTTGTTGTTGTTTGTTTTGTTTTTTTTTTTTTAAATGGCACAATCTCAGCTCACTGCAACCTCCACCTCCCGGGTTCAAGCAATTCTCCTGCCTCAGCCTCCAAAGTAGCTGGGATTACAGGCACCCACCACCACACCCAGCTAATTTTTTTTTTTTGTATTTTTAATAGAGATGGGGTTTCACTATGTTGGCCAAGCTGGTCTCAAACTCCTGACCTCAGGTGATCCACCTGCCTCGGCCTCCGAAAGTGCTGGGATTACAGGCATGAGCCACTTCACCCAGCCCTGGGTCCTTTTATAGCACAGATTCCACAGTTGTTTAGTTTCACTTTGCAGAGCCTGTCTTCCAGGGGCTAAGAAGTTTCACCCCTTACAGTGAGGGAGCTCTCCTTGGTGCTGCTGAATATGCGTTCTTTAGTAAGCGAAGCTTTTACTGTGAACTATATATAGTGAACTAATATCTCTGCTGATATTCTGCTATATATAGAAGGTCCTATACAGCCTGTAAAGCCCATTACTCCTCATTACTTTGGAGAATGTAAGTAAATCCTGTTAGACAATTTAAGTTATTTGTCCAAAGTTATTTAGGTAGACAGAGGCTAAACTTGGAGTCTCAGTCATTATTATTTACATTTTTATTAAGTGCTTACTACTTGTCAGTTACTTGTGTTGGGCACTAGCAATACAAATATAAAATGGACATGCCATACTTTGAGATGCAGAATCCAGTGCAGTCTTTCTCAATTTTTTTGCTGCAGCCCACAGTCAGAAATTTATTTTCATCATAACTCATGGTGCACACACATACATACGTACGTAACTGAAACACAAATTTCACAAAAAATATTCAGTCTATTTACAATGCTATTTGCTATTTGATATTTTCTGTTTGGCTGTATTCAAGTCTATTCTATCCTATTTCATTTTTAAAAAATTACCTATCTTGACCCATTGAATTGATTTCAAGATCTACTTTTCATGGGGGAAGGACAACTTCATTTTGAAAAACATGGGCTTATTTAATAATCTGTGATGTGTGTCTTATATAGCACATATATTTATATTTTTAGGCACATATTTTATGTAAAGGTGGGAGTGGGGAGCCTGAAGGGTCTCTTTCTAAGCCAGTGCTTCTCAAACTTCAATGTGCATAGGAATCTTCTTGGGATCTTGTTAAAATGAAGATTCTAACTTATTAGGTCTGAGGCAAGACCTGAGATTCTGCGTTTCTAATTAGTTCCCCAGGTGATGACTATGCAGCTTTTTCATGGACCACAACATGTTCATTACAAAGGATTTAAAACTCAAATGTATTGATGGGTCTGCCGAACTGCTAAAGTGTTACCTGACAAGTTTCCTGAGAGTGAACTCAACAGAGAAAAGAGCATCTGCAGACAAGATATTAACCCATGAGAACAGCACAACCACTATCATGCAGGTATTTTTTCCTGGCCTAGCCTGCAATATCTCAGTTTTGTGAGGACAATATTTATGTATGCAAAACAAAGAAATAAGGAATACACATAAATGATTATTTTGGCAAAAAGAATTTGGAAGATATTAATGAGAGGCCCAAGCAGCACCAAGGTGATATCCATGTGTACCTGGTTACTGTAACTATAAAGTGGAGAGAGGGCTTTATCCACTTCTACGGGGGTCATGGGTTGGTGGACATTGCTCACCAGTGACTCCAGAGAAAATGACAGGGCTTTGACACCATAAATCCTCTATCAGTAAAGGGTGCAGGACCCGGGAAAAAGGGCATAGTGCCCAGCAGACATGGAAGTATCCAGGAGAGAGTGGCATCTACTTCTTAGCTGCCTGGAAATATTCCTAGACATGGTGAGAACTCCCTCAGTCCTCCTCCAATGTGTCTGATTCCATCGACTTTCCTGCCACTGTATGGGAATAGTTTAGGAGCCATTCCTCCCCTGAGTGCCTAGTGGGGACCAGGTCACAACACAGCTCACATACTTAGTATCTCATCTGATCCACCAGGCAGTCCTGTGAGGCAAGTATTACCCTTATTTTACAAATGACAAGATTGACTCTTACAGCAATAGATCTGTTAGAATTTCCAGGTTGATTCCTTTAGCTTTTAGTCCCAGAGATAATATGAATTTTACCTGTCATCTTATGTTCTGATAACAGGAATTCTGAGTGTCTTTATTGCCTTTGTAAGCGCACCAAACAGTTCAATTTCTTAGTATGTATTGTATTCAGCTTTTATTTATTTTTCAGTATGACAAATATTTAGTATTATATTTTAGTATGGGTCTGAGTATGCAGACCCAGCACTCATGTTAGAAGACCCAGGAACATGATAGAGGACCTAGCAACAGTGCCCACTGACCTGGCTCGACCTAGGGAAGACATAGGGATGTGCACAGCAGCAGAGGAATATCATGGAGGTACATACAAGAGGTGGTAGGACTCATTTTTGAATACAGGTGAGACCTATTCTTGGCTACCCTTCAGGAATAACCATTGCCTGCTTTTTAGTGTACATGCTTTCAGGGTTTTCTTTGCGCAGAAATGCATTATACAAACATTTACATTTTTATAAATATTGGCTGATAACCGTATACGAGGTTCTGCAAACTGTTCTTTATTTATTTATTTTTTACAATGTGTCATGAACATCTTTTCCATGCACATGGGTGAAAATCCTCTACTAAAATATAGAGCGCTGTAGTTGGGTCAAAAGGCTGCTGGTAACGAGATTGACATCTAAAGCAAAAATATCAGCTTAAGGTTAAAGCATTGGGCCTGGCAAATATCTACCAGGGAAAGCAGGGTTGACAATAATCTCATCAGAGAAGTCAGAATGGAAGGCCAAAGGCATTAAAGGTATGGGATATCGTGTAAGCCTCTTTGGCCCCTACCTCCACCCCTCACTCCCCTGACACCCCGTTGTCCCCTTGGGCGAATGGATCCTGTACATCTCTTTGCATCCAATGAAAACCACCCATTTTCTGTTTTTTCCTTAGCTCCTCCTGAGCCCTTGACACATCTCCACATTCTCTCATCATCTCCTCACTGCTCAGATGCCTTTCCTGTAAGTCCTCCTGAGAGTCCTTGGGGGAATCGTCCGTCCCCCTGTCTGTTTTTCTTTTTGCTTTCCGGGGCACATAATCTCCAGCCGGGCGCTTTTCGGCGGCCCGCGGCTGGCCCTCTGGCTTTGCCTGGGAGGCTGGCTTGCCCTCGCCTTGTGGCTTGCCCTCACCTTCGGACTTGCCCTGCTTTTCCTGGCTTCCCTTATCTTCCAGTTGTCCCTCATCACCTGGCTCTCCCTCAGCCTTTCGCTTTCCCTCGCATTCTGTCTTCCCCTCCGCGTCTGGCTTTTCTTCCTCGTCTGACTTTCCTTCATCATCAGGCTCTACTTCATCTTCTGGCTTTCCCTCGTTTTCCAGGTTTCCTTCATTTTTATTGTAGGGTTTTTCCATGTCGAGATTTCTCTTTTTCCTGTCCTGGGGGATGACAGTGGAGGGAAGAGGAGACAAATAAGAGACATGGGAGACTGAGGGCATGGGGTGGAATGCAGGTCTGGATACTACTTGCATCTCACCCCTGGTGAGGGTTCCCCTAAGCTGGCCGGGCCTCCAAGAGGGCCTTCTGCCCAGCACGTAGCCCACCACTCCTCCCACACACGTGAGCCAGCCATACCCTGGCAGGCCCTGCCACCTTCTCTGAACTGATTCAGCCTGGTAAGGTGTGTGTTCACGTGGGTGGGGTTATGTGCAGGGGTCCCAATTTGGCCTTGGCCGGGCCCTCCACACTCTCAACCCTTGTGGGCCCCTGTCCATGCAGCCCCCTGCTTTCACGGACCTGCGGGGAGTCTGGACAGGTTGCTCTTCCTTTGCAGGCCTCCAAGAGCGCTGGGAACAACAGACGCGCAGACCTGCGGACAGACAGGAGACAGGGGTAGGGGCTGCGCGCTCAGCGGGCTCACAGGGACTCCGTTCCCTTTTCTGAGTCTAGGCCCTGCTCACCCAATGTTTTCCTCCCCTACCTCCCCCGCACCCCAGCCGCCATTTCTTTCCAGGCCTCGGGCACCAAACCAGGATGCTTCCAAACTGCGTTTGCCTCTTTGTGCCCCTTCCCCCGGAGGCAACCTGTCTCAGCGCCACCCCGTTTTTGCGGAGGTCAGATGTTTCCATGGGAGCGGATTGTGAGAGGGGGTTATTTCCAGAATAAGTCTGTGTTTCACTGTCGCACTGCGGGGTCGCTACCCCCAGCCCCCCATTTCCAGCACTAAAATGGATGGAGGGCTCAGTGCAAGGGGCGTCGAGAAGGCGAGCCAGGTTCGCTTCGGGGTGCTCCCTCCCCTGCCCCCGCCCCGGCCCGCTCAGCATCCCCCTCCTCCCCAATCTACCGGATCCCTTCTCCGCCCCCTCCCCAATCCTACTGCCAGCCCCCTCCACCCCTGTCCCAGGGTCCGCCGGCAGCGCACGCCTTCACACTGACCTGCGGGGACCCAGGACAGGCCTGTGCCTCCTGCGGCTCGCTGAAGCCCGCTCGCTGCTCCCCCGCCGCCTGGGCAGCTCAGACAGCTGATTCTGCGCGGGCGCCTGGACCGGACCGCTGGGCGGGCGGGCGGGCGCGGGGGCTGGTGCCCACGTAGGCGCCTGGTCACTCACGTGAGCACCGCGTCACGGGAGCTAGGCCACCACCACCCCCTTCCCGCCCACCTCACCATCCATCCCCGAGGGACCAGGAGGTTGCGGAAGGTGGGAGAGGGTGTGTGTAACAAAGGAGTGGGGGTCATCAAGAAGAAGAGGAGGAGGGGGTGGCTTTCTGATCTCAGGTGCTTTACCTGACGCAGCTCACAGCATCCTCGCAAGGCATCTCTCTCTGATGCCCATTATCGCCAGGTGTGACAGCTGATCAGAGAGGGTACCCGACTTTGCCAAGAGCGCTTAGCCCCAGAACTCCACAGCCCACTTTCAATACCGGCTCTGCCTGACTCCAGAGCCCGGGGGGTAGTGGTGCCTGCCAGGAAGCTGAGCTGCCACCTTGAGTGGCGGTGTTCCTGGGGTTCTGTCCTGGGCCTCCTCTCTCCTCAGTCCTCAAGTTGTCTCTCCCTGTGTGATCTCATTCATTTCCAGTAAACACCGATGACTCCCAGATCTACAGCTCCAGGCTGTTCCCTTCTCCGTGTCTCATATCAGCTTTGCCAACTGTTTATTGGACATCACCGCCTGAGTATCCCTGAGGGACACGGTATGTAAAAACCCTGTACCACAAATTGATTTCAAAAGCCCATGTACCCCAAATTGATTTACCAACTTCCTTCTTATAATCTCCATTGGCCTTTCTCCACACTTGAAAGTTACCTTCCAACAGTTGACCAGTTTTCATAGAAAGAGAATGTCAGACAGCTAGAAAGGAAAGCATTCAAACGTTTTTAATATGAACTGCAGATCCACAAATTCATCATAACCCTTGGTTCACAACATGCTCTTCTCATTGACTACTCTTCTCTCCCCTGCTTTCCCTTCTTTTCCCCCACTGTTTACTTTCGTTCCATTGTTTTTCTCTTTCACATTTGTGAAACCACCACTAAACCCAAAGAACTAGAAAATTGCTAATAACTGTTTACTTTCCTTCCATTGTTTTTCTCTTTCACATTTGTGAAACCACCACTGAACCCAAAGAACTAGAAAATTTTTAATATTCTTGTCACTACAGTGTAGTGTCATATATTTGGGTTTTGACAAGATACTTATAACATGTTTTTGTTTGGATCTCTTTCAGATTATCCTGTTTGGAGTGTATTGAACTTCTTGGATACATCGATTAGTGTCTTTCCTCAAGTTTGAGTAATTTGCAGTCATTTTTCCTTTGAAAATTCTTTCTTCTCTATTCTGTTTCTCTCCTTGTTGAACCCCCATCATGCATAGGTGTGCTCTGTTCATTTTTCACATTACTTTTATTTTTCTGCTCCTCGGACTGAATAATCTCAATTGACCTATTTTAAGTTCACTGATTCTTTTGCCTGCCCAAACCTACTGTTGTACCCCTCTAGTGACTTTTAGTTATTGTACTTTTCAAATAAAGAATTTCTATTTATTTTATAATTTCTACATCTCTTTGTATTTTTACATCTTTACTGATATTGTGTATTTGCTGAGACATTCTTCTCTTTTTCTTTAGTCCTTTGTTTACGATTTCCTTTAGTTCTTCGAGCATATATAAGACAGTTGATTAAAAATATTTTCTAGATATTCTAATACACGGGCTTTTTCATGATAGTATCTAATTATTTCTTTCCTGTGTATGGGCTATGTTTTCTTATTTCCTTATATGCCTCACAAAGTTTTGTTGAAATCTGTATATTTTGATTCTAATATGTTGACTCTGGAAATTAGATTTTCCCTCTTCCTTGGGTTTTGTTGTTACTCTCTCGTGGGTTATTGTTTACTTAGTGACTTTTTAAAGTATTTTAGCAAATTATGTATTCTTTGTCATGTGTGGCCACTGAAGTCTGTGTTTTATTAGCTTATTAATCAGCTGGTGTTTGGATGCCGTTACTCTAAGTACCTAAAGCCAACAAAAGAAAAACAATAAATAAAAAAATAATTTCCTGGCCTGGCGCGGTGGCTCACACCTGTAATCCCAGCACTTGGGGAGGCCGAGGCAGGTGGATCGCCTGGGCTCAGGAGTTCAAGACCACCCAGGGCAACATGGTGAAACCCCGTCTCTACTAAAAATACAAAAAAATTTACCAGGTGTGGTGGCGCACGTCTCTAGTCCCAGCTACTTGGGAGGCTGAGACAGGAGAATCACTTGAGCCCCAGAGGCGAAGGTTGCAGTGAGCGGATATCATGCCACTGTACTCCAGCTTGGGCTAGAGAGTGAGGCTCCATCTCAAAAACAAAACAAAACAAAACAAATTTCCCAGTCTTTGCAGATGAACTCTGAGTTGGAGTACCTTTTTAATGCTTTGCATTTTTCTTATGCAGAGCCTGAAGCTCAAATTCAATGAAGTTGAATGCTTGCATTTTCTCTGGTCTTTTCTGAGTATGTGTCCCACCCTTGGCATACACATGGCCTTCTTGATTTTCCAGTATATATAAAGGGTTTTTTAAAATGCTTGTTCTTCCACATATCTTGTTTCCCTAACTCTTCCTTCTCAGGCTTCTCGGTCTGTTCATTGCTTATTCTGAGTGTTGTCCTTTGCTCCAGACTTCTTTGGTCAATACCTGTGATTTTAAATGCTTCTGGCAAAAGCCAACTGGAGAGCCAATGCAGCCCAAGCCCTGGGAGTCCTCCCAGTCTGGTGTAATGAAAGAAGCCTTAGTGATGAAAGTGCTGCCAGGCAGGCTGATAGCCATACCACACTTCTATGAGAATACGGTCCAAATTCCTACCACTGGTACTAGCTATCTAAACCAGGATAGTGGGCTATCATCAACAGATCACTGCTAATCTGGGGCATAGAGAATGGTAGATAGGCAATTGAAAATTTCTTTCTTACCACAAATTAGCAGCTTTTATTCTTCACCAAATTTTCCTCTCATTGTTATAATTTTTTGACTGGATTCCAGAGTTCTGAGAAAGCTGATGGTAGCAGTTTTTGCCAGCTCACTAATTGCTCATTATGGAGTTCCGGAGTTCCATACACTACCATTTTTAATGATGTTACTTGTGTTTCTATTTCTTTTTAAGTCAATTGGGTAGGTTGTGTCTTTTTTGGAATTCATCCCATTCATCTACCTTGTCTCATTTTTTTGTCATGCAGTTGTTAATAGTATTACCTTATAATCTTTTTTTATATATCTGTAGAGTTGCTAATGATGACCCCTCTTTTATTCCTGATTTTAATAGTTTCAGTCTTCATCATTTTTTATTGGTGAGTGTAGCTAAAGTTTTGTCAGGTTTTATATATATTTTCAAAGAACAAACTTTTAGTTTCATTGATGTTCTATTCTGTAATTCATTTATTTCCACTCTAGTGGTTACTATTCCCTTCCTTCTGATTTCTTTGATTTAAGTTGCTCTTCTTTCTGTAGCTTTTTAAGATGAAAGTTTACTGATATGGGATTTTCATCTTTTCAAAGTAAACATTTACTGTTACACATTTCCATCTAAATGCTGCTTAACTATATCCCATAACTTTTGATGTGTTGTGGGGTTTTTTTTTGTTTTTAAAGTATTTTCCAATTTCTCTCATGATATTTCAGGTTGAATTGAAGTACATTGTTTAATTTCCACATATTTGCAGGGTTTTTGAATTTCTTTATGTTGTTGATTACAAATTTAATTCCATTATGATCATGGAATATTATTTTTATAATTTCAATACTTTTAAGTGTATATAGGATTTTATTATTTATTATGTAGTCTTTCCAGGAAAATGTTCCATGGGTGCTTGACAAGAATGTGTATGCTTATGCTGTTTGGAGTGTTCTATACATGTCTGTTATTCCAGTTGGTTTTGTAGTTTTGTTTAAGTCTTCTGTTTCCTTGTTGATATTCTTATTTGTTTCATTTATTTTTGAATGTGTGGTTTTGAAGTCTCCAATTACTATTGTTAAATTATCTTGATTCTCTTCTAATTTTTTCCTTCTATTCTGTAAGTTTTTGCTTTATGTATTTTGGAAATCTGTTTTATGTTCATATATGTTTATAATTTTTGTATAGTCCTGAAGGATAGGACTTGTTATATAACACGTTTTTATTCTACGATAACATTTTTTGTCTTAATGTCTTTTTCATCTGACTCTTTTGGTTATTCTTTGCATAGTATATATTTTCCATCCTTTCACATTAATTTTATTTGCTTATTTAAATATATTCTCTTTTAGATAGTGTATAGTTGTATCATGCTTTTTTTTTTTTACCCATTCTGCTACTTTCTGCCTTTTGACTGAAGTGTTTAATCAACTTATATTTAATGCAATAATGATAAGGTGATATTTACATTTGCTGTTTTGCTATTTGTTTTCCATTTGTTGTGTGTTTTTGTTCCTCTATTTCTCCATTATTGAATTACTTTTAAAAGGATATTTTTTTGGCCTACCATTTTAATTCTCCTTTTTCTTGTACAAAGTTTTTGAATAATTTTCTTGTGTAGTTGGCCTAGGGATTAAAATTAGTATATTAATTTAAAACAAGTGAATTTGTATCAATAATTTTAATGGGATGCAAAACTATCTCCATTTCCTCTTTCCTCCTTTGTGATTTAGGAAGAGTGTCATAGAAATTACATCTTAGCCATTATATCTGTTTTGTAATTATTGTTTTATCAAGTTTTCTTTCTAATCTAATAAGAGAAAAATGAGTTACAGACAAATATACGTTTATAACTATTTGTATTTATTTCCTATTGTTGCTGTAACAATTACCACAAACTTAGTGGCTTAAAATAGGAAAAACTTATTCTCTTACAATGCTAGAAGTAAGAAATTAAAATGCCTTCATGGGGTTTTAACCAGAGTCAGCAGGTATCCACTGCCTTATTTTTTTCAACTTCTGGAGCTGAATTTCTTGTATTCCTTGGCTTACGTCCCCTTCATTCATCTTAAAAGCCAGCAGCATAGTATCTTCAAATGTCTCTCTGCTTCCATCATCACATACCTTTCTTTCTCCTTTGTGTCAAATTTCCCTGTGTCTCCTTATAAGAACACTTGTGATTGCATTTAGGGCCCACCTAGATAATTCAGGATAATTAAGACACTTAATAACATCTCAAGATACCTAATAACATCTTCAAAGTCTCTTTTTGGCATAAAAAGTAACATTCACAGGTTCCAGGGGTTTGGACATGCATAACTTTTGGAAACCCACTATTCTGTCTACCACACTGTCTTTTATATTTACCTATTTAGTTACCTTACTAGTGTTCTTTATTTCTTCATGTGGATTCATGTTACCATTTAGTGTTTTCTAATTTCAGCATGAAAGACTCATTGGTATTTATTGTAGGACAGTGCTGCTGATTAAAAATTACTCACTGTTTGTTATTTGAGAGTGTCTTAATTTATCCTTAAAGTTTTAAGGAGAGTTTCCAGACTAAGAAGTGTTAGTTAAGTCTTTTTCCTTCAACTTTCTGAAAATGTCATCTTACTGTCTTCTGGCCTCCATGATTTCTGATAAAAAGTCAGCTGTAGATTCGTGCTTTCCATCAAGTTCAAAAAGTATTTTGTCATTATTTCTTCAAATACATTTTCCTGAAACTTTTCTTTTTCCCCTCTTTATGGAATTCCCTTCGTGCCTATGCTTGTACGCTTGATGGTGTGCCATGGTTCTCTAATGTCTCTATATTTTTCTCCATTTTTCTTTGTTTTTTTGTTCCTTATACTCATAATCTTCATTTATCTATCCTCAAGCTCACTGATTCTCTCTTCGTTCACTTCAGACTCATTATTGAGCTGCTCTAACAAGTTTTTCATTACAGTTGTTTTCCGTTCAATGGAGAAAAGGTAGTCTTTTCCACAAATGATACTGGAAAAGTTGGATATTCTCATGCAAAAGAATGAACTTGTACTATTATCTCATATCATTTATAAAAATTAACTAAAAGTTGATTAAAGACCTTAATGTAAAATCTAAAACTATGAAAACCTTAGAGAAAAATAGGAGAAAGC
This sequence comes from Homo sapiens, assembly GCF_000001405.40. Taxonomy (NCBI): domain Eukaryota; kingdom Metazoa; phylum Chordata; class Mammalia; order Primates; family Hominidae; genus Homo; species Homo sapiens. The sequence continues at coordinate 102,148,478 of NC_000023.11, forward strand.
TTGATGACATTGGTCTTGGCTGTTGCTTCTTCAATATGACACACAAAGTATAGGTAAAAAAAAATAGAAATTGATCAATATTTAACACTTTTGTGCATCACAGGACAGTGTCAAGAGAATGAAAATGCAACTTACAGGACAAAAGGAAATATTTGCAGGTCTATATCTGAAGAGGGATTAAAATCCAGAACATATTTTAAAACTTTCATAAGTCAGTGACAACAACAAAAAAAACCACATAGAACCCAATTTAAGAATGGGCAAATAAATTGAATCAACATTTCTCCAAAGATATACAAGTGGCCAATAAGCACATGAAAAGATGCCCAACATCACTAATCATTAAGGAAATGTAAATCAAAAGCCCAGTGAGATACCACTTCATGCCCATTAGGATCATTGTTATCAAAAAAATAAGCATTGGTGAGTGCTATGGTCTAAGTTTGTTCCCACCAAAATATATGTTGATATTTCATCCCCATTGTGGTGGTGTTGGAACATGAGGCCTAGTGGTAGATGTCTGGATCATGGGGATGGATCACTCATGAATGGCTTGGTGCTACTCTGGAGGTAGTTAGTGAGTTTACACTCTGATGAGACTGGATTAGTTATCACTGGAATGGGTTAGTTCCCTGGAAAGTGGGTTGTTGTAAAGCCAGGACACTCCTTGTGTTTTATCTCTTTGCACATCTCTGCTTTCCCTTTGAACTTCTCTGCAATGTTTTGATCTAATTCATGGCTTACAATAGAGGAAGAGCAGATGTGGGTGCCATGCTTCTTATATTTCCCAGCCCACAAAACCATGAGCTAAATAAACCTCTTTTCTTTATAAATTACCCATCCTCAGGTATTCTGTTTTAGCAACACGAAATGGACTAAGGCAAGTAGGGTGTGGAGAAATTAGAACCCTCACACACTGCTGGTAGGAATGTAAAATTATACAGCCACTAGGGAAAACATTATGGCCTTTCTTCAAAAAATTAACATAAAATCACTATATTTCATTTCTGGGTATATGCCAAAAATAATTGAAAGCAGACTCTGGAACAGGTATTTATACACCCGTGTTCCTAGCAGTATTATCAACAGCAGCTAAAAGGTGGAAGCAAGCCAAGTGTACATCAAGAGATGAGTGGATTAACAATATGTTATATGTACATACAAAAGAATATTAGTCAGCTTTAGAAAGGAATAAAGTTCTGCTACATGCTAAAAAATTAGTGAACCTTAAAAACATTATACTAGGTGAAAGAAGCCGGACATCAAAGGGCACATACTGTATGATTCCATTTATATGAGATACCTAGAAAAGTCAAATTCATATAGACAGAAAGTAGAACAGTGGTTACCAGGGGACATAGGGAGAGGAAAATGGGGACTAGGAAGTTATTGTTTATGAGTACAGGGTTTCAGTTTGTAATGACACAAAATTTCTGGAGATGAATGCCGGTGATGATTCTAAAACAGAATGAATGTACTTAATACCAATAAATTGTACATTTACAAATGGCTGAGGTGTAAACTTTATATTATGTATATTTTTCCACAATTAAAAATATCCGAAAACTTAACTACTTTAAAGTGAACAATGCAATGACATTTACCACATTCACAATGTTGTGCAACTACCACCTCTATCTAGTTCCAAACCATTTCCATCACCCCAAAGTAAAACCCCTCACCCACAAAGCAGTTTTTGATCGTTACTGTCTCCCCTAGTCCTTGATAACCACCAATATGTGTTATATCTTCTATCAGTCTACTAGGACTGCTATAACAAAATGCCACATACTGGGTGGTTTAAATAGTAGAAGTTTATTTTTCACAGTTCTGGAGGCTGGAAGTTCAAGATCATGGTGTCAGCAGGCTTGGTTTCTCCTGAGGCCTTTCTTTTTGGCTTGCTGATGGCTGCCTTTGCTCTTCGTCTCATCTTCTATTTTAATTTACGTTTTTAGTTGAGAAGTAAAAATTGTATATATTTATGGTGCACAAAATGATGTTTTCATATCCTTATACATTGTGGAAGTACTGAATTAAGCAATATAATACATGCATTAACTCACATACTAATCAATTTTTGTGGTGAGAACACTTAAAGTCTACTCTCCTAGCAACTTCAAGTAGACAATATTATGTTATTAACTATAGTCACCATGGTATAATTGATTTAGTGAACATATTCCTTTCTAACTGAAATTCCTTGAAGTTCCTTGAACTTTATTTACAGTCTTGCTTTACTTTGCAGAAGATTTAATATTTTTTACATGGTGAATGTCAATCTTTCCCTTTATGATTTAATGTTTTAAAATTTTTATTTTAGCTTTTTATATTATTTTTTGTGCCCATATACATCTTCTCCTTGCTACTCCTTTCCCTGAATTTGGGCGAACATTTATATTTTATTTTAGTTATTTTATTGGTTTGTTTTTAACATAATCTGGATAAAAATGTACGCACAAGTGATCCAACAAACTCTAATGTGCATCAGAATCACCTAAAGATTGTTAACAATGTAGCTACCTGAGTACCATTGCCAAAGAGTGGATTTTGGATGGTGCCAGAATTATGTATTTTAAACAAGCTCCAAGTGGAATTCTGAAGTATTTGATAGGCTAGCGAAGCTGGACGAACACTGGCAAATATTTTCTTAAAAGGATGTTTTTGTGATTTGGGGGTATAATTCCTCCCCTAGGGTATTTCTTTCACAAGATATAAATTCTATATAAACAAATTAACCTGCTTAGGGTAACACAATCAGGGATAGTACAGAGAAAATAAGCCAAAGATATTTTAGCCACAAATTTCACTCACTTCTCAACTCTACTCTACATCGGAATCACCACGGGATCTTTCACACTAAGGATCTGTTGGTCTCACTTTTAATGAGTCTGACTCAACTGGTTGGAATTGGGTACTGAGCTCCACTTTAAAGTATCCTCAGGTATTTCAAATCTGAAGCAAGGATTGAGAACTTATGCAGTAAAGACAATAGCATTAAAAAATAAAAAGTAGTTGTCTCTTTAAGAAGGGCACCGTCTGATGGGAAAATAATGCCTGATGTATATAGATTAATTAAATTCTATGTAGTGTTTTCACAGGTCTCAGATCTACCAATCAACTAACCACCCATTTCTATAAAATATAAGGTGGGGAGAGGGGTGTCTGAGATTGACTAAAGCTGGGGCCTCCACTTTAATTTATGTAAGTCCAGAGATGTCTGATTAACTATGGTACAGTGAGTATGGACTGAAACACATTTTTTTCTGAATTTTTAGCCAGTTCTTCAGGCAATTTTGATGCAGCTGGTCTATATAGCACATGCTGATAAACACTGACATATATAATGTTATGATAAGTGCATTTTTTTTGGAAATTGGCGTATAATGCTTCTTCTGCTGTGTTCCTTTTTAATTGCAAGCTACAGTGTGTAGGGAAAAGAAGCACTTGCCCATAAATAATCAGAAGCAACCCTGGGTCCAGATTGCAGGATTCAACTCAGCTATAATTAACTGTTGTGCCCTACAACTTATCAGGCCCTGTACTAAACACTAAGGGTACCAGTATAAATGAGACAAAATATTTACTGTGAGAAGGACACAGTTTAGTGGGGAACAGTGATGACTGTGAACAATGTTTTAAAATTGGGATTCACCTACCAGATCCCCAGTTCCTGCCATTATTTCCCATCAATCTGTAATTACGGGTTTATTTGGCACAGAAATCTCAAAGCAAAGGAAGAGGGAAACGTATCTGGATCCGTGTAAGTTAGTGTAGACTACTGGGGACTCCTGAGGTCAGGGTGGTGTGAACCAGAACAGTCTTGGGAACATAAAATTATCCCTACAACTCCTGTGTATGTGCAGAATGAAACCTGTAGCAATGTCTGCACAGAAAATTGATAGTCAAGGAGACTAAGCTATATTCATCAGAGGATGGAAGAGATAGTCCAATTCTGAGCACACTATCATGAGTGTCACTCAAATTTGTCTGGGAGAAGGGGATGAGGAAGGAAGTGGGAGAAAACCATAAAGGGCTGCTTGCATTTATAAGCAGTGTTGGTGAAGTATCTGCCTGGTTTAATTATAACTCTAAAGCAGGGAGGGACACTCTATACATTTTTGAAAAGGCAAAATGGGGATTCGGATTACTGAAGGTTCCAGAGAAATCGGTGGGTCTTTGTCATCTTTAGAAGTCCAGTACATCTGCAGTGGTAGAAGCCAGTGGAGGGAGCAAAACGCAAGAGAAGAGGAAGATGTGCCTAATAGTTATGGTATTATGCAGGAAAGAAAGCCAGAGTAGCAGATGAATAGAAAAGCATTTACAGTTGAGCATCCCTAATCCAAAAATCCAAAATCGAAGTGCTCCAAAATCCAAGGCTTTTTGAACATGACATGATGCTACAAATGGAAAATTCCACACCTGACTTCATATACGCAAACTTTGTTTCACACACAAAATTATTAAAAATATTGTATAAAATTACCTTCAGGCTATGTGTTTGAGGTGTATATAAAATTAAATAAATTTCATGTTTAGAGTTGGGTTTCATCCTCAAGACAGCTCTTTATGTACATGCAAATGCTTCAAAAACAGAAAAAAAACCCCAGAAATCTGAAATCTGAAATGCTAGTCCCAAGCATTTCGGATAATGGATTTTGAACCCGTACTCACCTGGAAATCAACTGGACTTGCTGATAGGCACTCTCCTTGGAATCTTCCCTAAATATGAAGGGCACTTAGAGGGCTGGAGCCTTGCATGTATAAATAGAGCAAGACACAGAGCTCAGTCATCACCTCATTTGATTCCCACAGCAGCCGTCTAAGGCATTTATAATGTAACGTACCTGTAATTATCAGGTACATGTTTCTAAATGAGAGATCCATAGGTAATATAAGATTTATATGTCTTTAAACTGTGTTTCAAGTGTTTATTAATTGCCCCCATTTCCTATATAAGTTGATTGGCAAGTTCCTTGCTTCTTACTTTTTTTTTCCCTGAAACATAGGAAACACATGTATTCATTTTGGAAAAGTGAGAAAAAGTGGATAACCAAGAAAAAAATAAAGAAATTTAAAAGTACCAGTAACTATACAACATAGAAAAAGCACATTCTGGTTTTCATTCATTCATATATATATATATATATATATATATATATATATATATATATTTCATATATATTATATATAGTGTGCATACGTACACATCTAAATGAAATAGTCTATCTGTAGACTGCTTTTAAATTGCTTTATTAACTTTACAGTATGCAATAAACATCTTTCCATGAAAGTTGATGAAAGTCCTCTTCTGACAGAAAAACTTACAGACTAGGTCAAAATGCAATCTCCAATCAGAAAATTGCAGAAGAATGCCAAAAGGTTCACATTAAAGGTACACCAGGAAAAATGCGAATTTAGAAAGCAGGGATTTTATGATTATTAACCTCAAGATTCAAGGCATAAGGCAAAACTCATCATGATGATCATGGTGAGGAGGGTCCCCTATAAGAATGCGCAGACTGTACCTCAACTGAAGTTCCCTAATTTTCCTCCTTAGCTCTCTCATCTCCTCCATGAACCGTTCCATATCATCTCCATCTCCATCTATCATATCAATGTTATCGACAAGCCTATTGGGCACATCCTCTCCAAAACCCGGGGCAGGTGGAGCCCAAACCCCTTTAACATTTCCTCCAGGCTCCTGGTATTCACCACCTCCTAAAGCGGGGGCTTCATTCTGCACTGGGGCCTTCTCCACAACTTTGTTTTCCTTGGGGACATTTTCCATGTTGAGTTTTTTTCCTGTTTTTTTTTTTTTTTTCTTCCTAGAAGATAAAAAGCAAGAAGAGGGAATGAATGCTTGATAGGATTCAGAGCTCTGTTTGGCAAAGGTTTTCCCACCTGAGAAACTTTATGAACCCTGTAGGGGGCGCCCCAGACCCAGCGCTGCCCCAAAGCCCATCATTTTCCCTGAAAATCCCTTCCCCAGGCCACTCCTACCGCCAAAATGCAAGACGACTTAGCGGAGGGGGACGATCATAGAGAGACCAGACTTCACCTCCCTGGGATCCTAATAAGCTCTCCAGGAGCGCCCCAGATCTCGCCCCTCTACTCCCTTCTTCCCTCATCAGATACAGGCTGTCATTTTATGAAGACTCTCCTAAGTTTCTCCTGCACTCAACTCGGGCAGGAAGGGCTGTGAGTCACCCAGATTCTGCTCTGATCCTTGATACCCCTACACCAGAGGGCCCCAGGCAACCTCCTACCTTCAGGGATCAGAGGCAGTCTTTCTCTCTTAGCCTTGAAATCGGCTGCACAAACGCACTTAAAGACCTGCAGACAAATGTGACAATTACCAGGACTGATCTTTTAATCAAAGGACCGGTAATGGGAGTTGATTTAGGGTTCTCCTAGTATTAGCACCTTCTGTTTCTCCTCCATCCTGTCTCACGGCTTCTTTTCCCACCCTGTGACAGGCTATCCCACCTTCCAGAAATAGGCATCAAAGATGATTATTTCCAAAACGTTTTAACCTCTTCTTTAGGCGCCCATCTCTACTGTTTCCTCTTACCTGTCATCTAGTTACCCTTTCTGCAACGCAGGCAACTTGCCTGGCGGGGGAGTTAGAAGAGCTTGCTGAATGAATACGTAGTTTATTCACAAAGAATTTCAATCTAGATATCCATCAGGCCCTCTCTCCACCCGATCCCCACTCCCATGCCCACCATTTTATGCATCAAGATGGACGATGAGTGAAGAGGTATGTGGGCATTGAAAACTAGGACCTGCTGCGGTCTCTGCGCTTTGTCATTCTCACTCCAGGATCTACAGGTAGCGCCCACGCTTACACCGACCGACCTGCTGAGACCAAAAACAGTTTCTCGCTCCTCGCCTCTGTCCCTCAGTCAGAAGCTCGCCCGCTCAACTGCCGCAATAGGGACCTGCTTTCCAGACCTAATCTCTGTCCCCCTCCTCTGCAGCAATTCCTCTCCTCGGCCCCCGCAGCCTATCATTTCCAGCTCTAAATGGGTAGAGGGTGAAGAAAAGATACCTAGAAGGCAGGCCTAAAACCTTGGCAGGGTCCGCCCTCCCCAACCCTTGGTTGCCGGCTGTACCTCCCTCCCGCGGACCTGCAGGAAGCAGGCTGTTTCCTTTCAGTCTCCTCCACCGGCTGGACTCCATCAGACATTGCCCGATGGCCGGCCTCCTAGGAGATCTCAAATGGTACCCATTCTCAATCCAGCCCCCTCGGGAGATCCTCTCCCCAACCGCTCCATTTCTCGCACTAAACGGGTGTGTATCTGGAAAGGGTGTGTATCCAGTCCTAGACCCGCTCTGGTCTTTGCCCTCTGCTGCTCACACACCGGTCAGCGCCACCTACCTGCCAGGGCTCAGGGGTCAGCTTCTACCACTTTCCACCTTTCCTGGGCAGCTGGCTCGCCTGCCTTCAGGGCAACAGCGAGCCGTCACACGGCCAGCGACAACTACCAGACTGCAACTAGGAGGAGGGACTAATCCACGCATTGGCTCTGGGTCTCCTAAGGGTCACGTCACTGTGAGCTCAGATTTCCAATTACCATTCACACCCGCAGTGCGGCAGGAGGGTGGGGGCGGGACTGTGGGCGGGGCCACCTTTCTCTTCATTCGTGCTTTCTCCACCACTACCACAGGCTACTATCCACCCCTCTATTTTTTTATTTAGCGATCCCCACGACCAAACGGGTCATAATATTTTGTATTTGGCTTGCTCTGGTTTCTGCTGGAGCTTTTAAAAAATCGCTTCTTCCTCTTCTATACACCTAAACGCACACTTCTCTCCCCTTCACGTCCAGCAAGTAAAGCCCTAACAGTCTTGTAGGGCTTGGTCCCAGATTGGAACCCGGAGAAGGGGTGGGGAGCGAGAGGCTAGGAAGTCTGGAAAATAGGCAGGAAGTGGTATTCAAATTTTTTTTTCACTTCAACTACTTTCCTTTTTGTTTGTTTATTTGGGAAGGGGGTTCCTTTTATTTTTCATCAGCATGCATTCATTTTGTTGTTGTTTTTATAACTAGACAATACAATTATTTTCAGTTGAAAAAACAGGATTCGAGTTGTAAAAACATGGCAATCTGTTTCTCCTGCTGAATCATATTATAAATATAAACCTTCCAGAAAGCATTCCCCTGCCTCCTTTAAGGACTTTGAAATAAGGCCGGGAGCGGTGGCTCGTGCCTGTGATCCTAGCACTTTGGGAGGCCGAGGTGGGTGGATCACGGGGTCAGTAGTTCAAGACCAGCCTGGCCAAGATGGTGAAACCCCGTCTCTACTAAAAATACAAAAAGTAGCTGGGCGTGGTGGCAGGCGCCTGTAATCCCAGCTACTCGGGAGGCTGAGGCAGGAGAATTGCTTGAACCTGGGCGGCAGAGGTTGTAGTGAGCCGAGGTAGCACCATTGCACACCAAGCCTGGGCGATAGAGTGAGACTCTGTCAAGAAAGAAAGAAGGAAAGAAAGAAAGAAGGAAAGAAAGAAAGAAAGAGAAAGAAAGGAAGAAGAAAAGAAAAGAAAAGAGGAAGGAAAGAAGGAAAGAAGTGATTTTCTCGTGAAGGATCTCTACATGTCCTTCCGTGAAATGATGCATTGAGTCTAATAGAGCCTCTCTGGTGGATTTTCATGTCTTGAGAACCTGTGACAAACTGATGATCTCCTCTAAATTGTATTAGTGTAACCACAATTTACAATAACACCTAGCCCTGATGATTCAGGACAATAATTTGGGGAAGCTACCCTGACAGATGAAAATGTATTGTGATGGACACATAGAGGGGAACAACACTGGGGCCTACAGGAGGGTGGAGGATGGGAGGAGGGAGAGGATCAGTTTACCTATATAACAAAGCTGCACATGTATTCCTGAACTTAAAATAAAAGTTTAAAAAGTATTGTGAAATTACAATGTTAAGATAATAGTGTACCAGAATAAATTTAGAACAAATGAACCAGAAAAGAAATTCAATTATCAAACCCAAATATGGAAAAAATGCTAGTAAATGCATTGAAATATTTTGAATCAGTGGGGAAAGGTTAGATTGAAGAAATTGTATCGGGATAATTGACTATTTTCAAAAACAATGAAGTGCCTTATCATTCTCATACACTTAAAAATAGACACTAAATGTTTGCATAAAAGACATTAAACCATTAAAAATAGAACTTAGCATGTTATTTTTTATATAATAGAATGGAAAAGTTGTTTTAAATACAGCACCAGATCCTGACAAGACCAAAAGGCAACTGGCTCAAATCTGCTGGGGACCCTCCAAGTCTCAGAAATGATTTAGAGTGCTCCTCAGAATTATCCTAACTAGTGATGAGAAGTTGGGGTATTTTTCTACAGACTTGGCCCTCTATTGGTGGATGTCACGCTGAGGATGTTAAAATCTCTGGCACTTTTAAGTTGTCCTACACCTGGGCTGAGCAAGTTCCCAAGGTACCAGAAAAAGCCCTCAGCAAAATTAGAAAACACAGGTAAGGTAGAAGGATAATATCAGTTTTATCCCCGCTACAGGAAATATACTATTCACATTTTACTCTAAATCAGTCCAAATATCTCCCTTCAAAAACAAAGATAATACACACATATTCATTTTCTTCTTCTTCTTCTTCTTCTTCTTCTTCTTCTTCTTCTTCTTCTTCTTCTTATTATTATTATTATTATTATTATTATTATTATTATTATTATACTTTAAGTTCTGGGATACATGCGCAGAATATGCAGGTTTGTTACATAAGTATACATGTGCCATGGAGTGATTTGCCGCACCCATCAACTCATCATCTACATTAGGTATTTCTCCTAATGCTATCCCTTCCCTTGCCCCCCCACCCCCAGACAGGCCCCAGTGTGTGATGTTCCCCTCTCTGTGCCCATATGTTCTCATTGTTCAACTCCCACTTATGAGTGAGAACATGTGGTGTTTGTTTTTCTGTTCCTGTGTTAGTTTGCTGAGAATGATGGTTTCCAGCTTCATCCATGTCCCTGCAAAGGACATGAACTCATCTTTTATATAGCTGCATAGTATTCCATGGTGTATATGTGCCACATTTTCTTTATCCAGTCTATCATTGATGGGCATTGGGTTGGTCCCAAGTCTTTGCTATTGTACACACATATTCATTTTCATATTTATAGATGTTTGGGTTGTTTGTAGTGTTCATTATCATAGATGATGTTGATTGAACTTCTGTGTACATAAAATTTTCATACTAATATCAAATTTTGAAATTTCTAGAACAGTCGTTTCTATATATGTGTGGATATTTTTCAGTGTCATAGAAGTCAATCCTGAAAAATGTCCAAATTTGGTATCTATAATGTATGAGAATTCCTGCTTTTTCATGTCTGCCAATGCTTAATATTGCCTGGCGTATTAATCGTTTTCACACTGCTGATAAAGACATACCTGAAACTGGTCAATTTACAAAAGAAAGAGATTTATTGGACTTACTTTCATGGGGCTGGGGAGGCCTTGCAATCATGGTGGAAGATGAAAGGCAAGGAGAAGCAAGTCACGTCTTACACGGATGGTGGCAGGCAAAGAGAGAGCCTGTGCAGAGAACTCTCGTTTTTAAAACCATCATATCTCATGATTCTCATTCCCTATCATGAGAACAGCGCAGAAGAGACCCACTCCCGTAATTCAATCGCCTCCCACTGGGTTCCACATGGGAATTGTGGGAGTTACAATTCAAGATGAGATTTGGGTGGGGACACAGCCAAACCATATCACCTGGTTTATTTTTTTTAACTATTATTGTATTTTATTTTTTCTTTTGTTTAATTTTTTATTTAAATACACTTCTCAAGGTCACCAGGTAATGTTTTCTAAACTTAACACATCATAAGAAGCACTTGGGGTTAAGATTTTTAGGCTCTTTCTCTAAAGATCCTAGTTTAATAGATTAGAGTCAGGTGTGAAAACCTGCATTTAAGAAGCTCCTTTGACATAATTTTTAATATCAGATAGAGTTGGGAAACCCTGTCACAGTTAAAAAACAAAATGAAACAAAGAAAAAAGATCTCCCATCATTATGTAAGTGATCTTTTTTTAAAAAAATTATTATGAAATAATTTCAAACTTATAGAATGTTTTTGAGAAAAACCCCACATGCCCTTCACTGCATTTCCCAGTTCTCAGTTTTGCTATATTTGCTTTCTCATTCTCCCTTCATATTGAAGAATACATTATTATTTTTTTCTGAACCATTTGAAAATCAATTGAAGACCAAATGGTCATTTAAAAATATTTAGTGCAATTGAGTCCATATTATTATATCATTAATTAATATAAACTGAAAAAACTGAAGTAATCACAAATGGTGGAGCAGCCATACATCAGGAATTTTTAGCTCAGTTAAAAATTTATAAGATAATCTGGCGCCATGAAAATGCACCACTTAGATCTCCTGCTGTGGGAAGTATTGTTGATTGATGGTTCTAGTTGCTGACCCTCTGAATCCACTAGCACATTCATGCTGAGGTCATGAATCCCATGGGCTGATCCTTGCCAATAACTAGCACTATTCAGTTGCATTTCTGTAAGTTACAGGGCTTCTGTAATTGAAGTCTTTGGCTCCACAGCTCCCCTTCAGCCTAGCTGAAACCTTAGGATTATGTGACAGTCTAGGGCTCTTCCTGTCAAATCTTCCTCCTTTCCCTGCTCTCCTTCACCAATGTCAGATCTGCATTACCATCTGAACACTCTCTCCACCTTCTCCCACTCCTTCTCCTTTATCCTTCACAGGTGTTGTCCCCAGTTAAACTCTTGCTCATCTATTCCCATTTGAGTTGTTACTTCTAAGAGGATAAGAGCTAACATAAGTGGTGACAGGAGCTGTCCAAGAAAAATTATGATACAGTGGAGTTTGGGATCTGACTCACTCGCTACCCACTGGGCAAATAAAACAACATCTTGAGTGGTATGTGGACACAGAGAGTTCCTGGCACAAGATAGTGATCAAATAGCTAAAAATTTCACCAGTCCTGACCTGGAAACATATCCTGTAGATGGAGAACACCCTTGCTAGCATTCAGGCATTTGAAAAATAAGAGAGAAATAATGCCTGTCAGGCAGCCAAGTAGGCTAGCTAATAGTTGGATAATTTTTATTGCTACTCTGAAGAGATATAATGAAAAACTGAGGGTTGGGCTGGGTGCAGTGGCTCACGTCTGTAATCCCAGCACTTTGGGAGGCTGAGGCGGGCAGATCACAAGGTCAGGAGTTCAAGATCAGCCTGGCTAACATAGTGAGACCCCGTCTCTACTAAAAATACAAAATAATAATAATAATAATAAGCCGGGTGTGGTGGCAGGCGCCTGTAGTCCCAGCTACTTGGGAGGCTGAGGCAGGAGAATCACTTGAATCTGGGAGGGGGTGGTTGCTGTGATCCAAGATTGCACAACTGCACTCCAGCCTGGGTGACACAGCAAGACTCTGTCTCAAACAAAAACAAAAACAAAACAAAAACAAAAAACTGAGGATCATCACCAAGCAACTAGAGCTAAGTATTAAAATCTAAGAGTCTTTCTGGTAGCTTAGAAAGAGGCTCGTACTTCCTGCAGTGGAAAAGCAGAAACAGTTGAACAGCAGACTTGGGACAGTTGCAGAGCTTCAGAGATATTTAAATACTGAGTCAAGACAGGTATGTTATATTCATGTTATGACCTAGGTCGAAAAAATCTGGGATCCAGAAACATGGGATGGTGTATTAGTCCATTTGCATTGCTATAAAGGAATACCTGAGACTCGTTAATTTATAAGAAAAAAAAAAGAGGTTTATTTTGGCTCACAATTCTGCAGATTGTACAGGAAATATGGTGCTGGCATCTGCTTCTGGTAAGGGCCTCAGGAAGCTTACTTTCATAGTGGAAGTTAAAGGGGGAGCAGGCATATCACATGATGAGAGTAGGAGAAAGAGAAGTGGAAGGTAAAGGGGGAGCAGGCATATCACATGATGAGAGTAGGAGAAAGAGAAGGAGGAGGAAGTTCCAGGCTCTTTTAAAAAACTAAATCTTGCATTAATTAATAGACTGAAAACTCACACATTACTGCAAGAATGGCGCAAAGTCATTCATGAGAGATCCACCCCCATTATTCAAACTTCTCCCACCAGGCCCAACCTCTAACATTGGGATCACATTTCAACATGAGATTTGGAGGGGAGAAAACATCCAAATCATATCATTCCACCCCTGGCCCCACAAATACCATATCCTTTTCACATTGCAAAATACAATCACTCCTTTCCAGTAGTCCCTAAATGTCTTAGTTCATTCTAGCATTAACTCAAAGTCCAAAGTCCAAATTCTCATCTGAAACTCAAGGCAAGTTCCTTTAGCCTATGAGCCTGTGAAATCAATACAAGTTATTTATTCCCAAGGTACAATGGTGGTACAGGTATTGAGTAGACATTCCCACTCCCAAAGGGAGAAATTGGCCAAAAGAAAGGAGCAACAGCTCCCATGTAAGTCTGAAACCCAGCAGGGGACATTTAACCTCAGATTTCCAAAAATATTCCTTGGTTCCATGTCCTACATCCTGGGCACACTGGTGCAAGGGGTGGGCTCCCAAGGGCTTGTGCAACCCTTCCCCTGGCTTTGCAGGGTGTAACCTCCATGGCTGTTCTCATGGTCTGAAGTTGAGTGCCTATGGCTTTTCTAGGCTCAACGGGCATGCTGCCAGTGGCTCTATCATTCTCAGGTATGGAGGGTGGCAGCCCCCTTCCTAAAGTTCCTGTAGCCAGTTCCTAGGTGGAGACTCTGTGTGGGAGCTCCAATCCCACATTTCCCCTCTGCATTGCCCTAGTAGAGTCTCTCTGCAGGGGCTCCACTGCTGCAGCAGACTTCTGCCTGGGCACCCAGGCTTTCCTATACATCCTCTGAAATCTAGGTAGAAGCTCCAAAGGCTCCTTCATGCTCACATTCTATGCACCTGTATGGTAAACACCACATAGGAATCACCAAGGCTTATGACTTTTGCCCTCTGGAGCAATGGACTAAGCTGTACCTGGAGCCTTTGAGCCAAGGCTGGAGCCAGAGGGTCCTGAATGCAGGGAGCAGTGTCCTGAGGCTATGTGGGGCAGTTGGGCACTGGGCTCAGCCCCTGAAACCATTCTTTCATCCTAGGCCTCTGGGTTTGTGATGGAAGGGACTGTCCCAAAAACTTCTGAAATGGCTTTTAGCCCTTTTCCCCAGTATTAGCACCTGGCTCCCTTTTAGTCATGTAAATCTATCTAGCAAGTGGTTGCTCCATAGCAGCCTGCTTGGATTCCTCTCCTGAGTATACTCTTTCCTTCTCTACCACATATCCAGGCTGCAAATTTTCCAAATTTTTACACTCTGCATTCCTTTTAAATATAAGTTCCAAATTTAAGTCATTTATTTGCTCTGGAATCAAATCACAAGCTGTTAGAAGCAGCCATGCCACATCTTGAACACTTTGCTGCTTAGAAATTTCTTCCACCAGATACCCTAAATCATCACTCTTAAGTTCAACCTTCCACCAATCCCTATGGCATAAGCACAATGCAGCCAAGTTTTTGCTACCATGTAACAAGGGTGATCTTTGCTCCAGTACTCAATAACTTCCTCATGTTCATCTCAGACCTTATCAGCCTGGCCTTCACTGTCCATATTTCTATCAACATTTTGGTCACAACCAATTAACTAGTGTCTAAGAAGTTCCAAACTTTCCCTCATCTTCCTGTCTTCTTCTAAGCCCTCCAAACTCTTCCAACCCCTGCTTGTTACATATTTCCAAGGTGACTTCCACACTTTCAGGTATCTTTATAGGAATGCTCTACTACTCCACAGTACCAATTTTCTGTATTAGGCCATTTATGTTGCTGTAAAGGAATACCCAAAACTGAGTAATTTATTAAAAAAGAGGTTTACTTTGGCTCACAATTCCACAGACTGTACAGGAAGCAGGGTGCTGGCATCTGCTTCTGGTGAGGGCCTCAGGAAGCTTACAATCATAGCGGAAGGTGAAGGGCAAACAGGTATATCACACGATGAAAGTGGGAGGAAGAGAGAGAGGAGGGAGTTCCAGGCTCTTTTAAACAACTAGATCTTATGTTAACTCACAGAAGGAGAATTCATTCATTACCACAAAGCCATTCATGAGAGATTCACCCCCATGATTCAAACATCTCCCACCAGACCCCAACTCCAACTTTGGGGATAACATTTCAACCTGAGATTTGAAGGGGACAAAATATCCAAACCATAGCAGGTGTGGACATTCTGGATAGATGGTCCTGAGAATGTTGGTTCCGCAGATTACTCTGAACCCTCAGAAGTTGCAGAGGTGGCCCATGATTGTCTCATAAGAATAAACACTTTCCTCATGTTACAGAGGCCTCACCCAGCAATGCAACAAGTGCCACCCTCAGAAACTGCCCTTACTTCCTTGGAAAGGTTACCAGACCATTAATTAGGGCTAAGTGACAGCAGGATGCAGCCAAGGACATTCTGAGCCTGATAAGGAAGGAATGAGATTATATACTGAAGTTGTCGTATGTAAGAATTACATAGCATGTACTGGTAGGAGCCGGGGAAATAGCCTTGATATCGGGTTTTAATGATACTTGATCAAGGTAACCAGAATATACTGGATAAGCAATAATCATTGAGTTGAAAGCACTTTCTGGGAACATGGGATTTAACACTCTAGCAAGGACCCTAGGAAGTGAAGTAAACTTGCTGCTAGTGTGGTTCTTCAAAGCCTGGAGAAAGCAATGGCCCCTGCTGAGTGAAGTAGAGATGACTGAAGTACCCTGGCATCCCATAGAGGAAGAAATACAAAGTTCCAGGGCAGCCTAGAATGACTATATTATGGAAAACCAGAAAACCCAGCCAAAGATAGTGTTTCACAGCTATCACCAGCCCTTGATGATCAGCCAACATGGGTGTTGCTCAACATATACAAGCTGAAAAAGACAAGAGTGTAAGACTAGGAGGCTGAGAGAGGTTTCCTCAATAAGAATTCATGACCCTTGTTCAGTTGCTGAATCCAAGCTAATTTTTAGATCCAGAACACATTTATTAAAGGAGGAGCCAGATCTCTAGAAAAAAGAACCTTGTAGCATCTCAGTAAGTATGTAATTACAATAATTCTTTCAGTCCTTCCACAAAGGGAATTATAGCCATTCATTAGATGACTGTGTACAAGGGGAATAAGAATACCCAGACATTTCAACAACTATTGAACACAGTGCCTGAGTTTGACATTGATACCTAGAGACCCAAGGCATCATGATGGCCTGACTATTATAGTGGGAGTTTACAGAGGCCAGGTAATAAACAAATTTCTGTGTAAAGTCTGGCTCACTGTGGATCTACAGCTTCTATATTCTTTTCCCTCACATCCTGATTGTATAATTAGGATTTATATACTTGGCATTTGGAATAACTACTTATTGAGTCATTGTCCTGTGGGATGTGAAATCTCATAGTGGGAAAGGTTAAGTGGAAACTTATGGTGATGCCCTTACTTCTGGGCAAGGCAATAAATCACAAATAATATAGCATTCTCAAGGTGGAGAAAGAAATTACTGTCACTGTTAAAGACCTAATAGATACAGGAGCTGTGGTCTCTATCATATTTTCACTTGCTTTGCCAATCTTGCTTTTGCAGAACCTAATTGGATTCTGGAGAATAATAGCATGCTACCACAAGTCCAGCCATGGAGTATCCTTGATAAAAGCTGCTGTACTGTATGTGGTAGCATTGCCAGAGTAGATTAAAAAAGCCTAATTACGTGGTATGTAGCTTTTGATGTGGTTAATGTATTCTTTTGCATTTACTTAAAAAAAGGATCAGAACATTTACTTTCACATGGAGATAACATATTCATTTATAGTTTTGCCTCAGGGCAAACAAAATATACACTCCCACAGGGCTTCACATTGACCCATTATATCCATGATATGCTGATTGGACAGGAAGAGCAAGATGTGGTTATTACACTAGAGGCCTTTGTAAGACACATGGGCTCTAGACTGTGGAAGATAAGCCCATTACTTTACAGAAATTATAACAGGTTCAGTGGTTGTAAGAATGCCAGGATATCTCCTGCAGAGTTAAAGACAAGTTACTGCATCTTGTATCGTCTCCCACAAAGAAGGAAGCACAGCATCTGGCAGGCCTCTTTGGGTTTTTGAAGCAACACATTTTATACCCTCTAAGTCATAAAGTAAGATGAATCCAGCAGTAGCCCATAATACGGTGGAAACAGAATATCCTAGATTAAGTCCGAGGAAAACCAGAGGACACAGGTTAGGTATATGAGCAGATAGCCCAGATCCCCATGCTATCCACCACAGTTGCACCAGTGCCTCTCCTTTGGTTTGAACCTATAGCCATATTAAAGTATGTGGTCCCATATAACCAGTTGAAGGAAAGCTCAAGCTTGGTTTACAGGATCAGCTTGGTATGTGAACGTAAGTCAAAATACGTGGTGACTGTATTACAGCCCCATTTAGAGGTGGTCCTGAAAGGCAGCAGGGAGTGAAAATATTTTCCCAGTGGGTAGAACTGCAAGCAGTGCACCTGATTATCCACTTTTTGTGGAAAAAGAAGTGGTCCAAGATGGTAATATATATGCATTATTGGACAGTAGCCAAAGGTCTGGTGAGCTGGTCAGGAGCTTGGAAGGAAAAGATCAGAGAAAGGGAAGTCTAGAGTAGAGGCATGTGGATAGACATATTGGAAGTGATATGAAATAGGAAGATTTTTGTATCAATCCTATTTTAATGTTCACATGAAAGCATCAATTGTGAAAGAGTAACTGAAGAACTAAGTAGACAAAGCGACTTTGACCACTGACATTAACCAGCATTCATTCTGGCCTTCTCAGGACTGGTCCAATAGACATCTCAAAGAACTAGCCATGGCAGAAGAAATGGAGGTAATATATGGGCCCAATATCACAGACTCCTGTGTACCAAGACAATTTAGCTGCTTCCCTGTATGAATATCCAACCTGCAGCAACAGCGACCAAGGCTCTATCTCAAATACGACACTATTTATGAAGACCACTTAGCAGTGAATTGACTATATTGTATGCTTTTTATCCTGGAACAGTCAGTGGTTCATGCTCACAGAACTATGTACCTATTCTGGGTATGGATTTGCCTTTTCTGCCTGCACAGCCTCATTAAGCATCTGAGGGATTTGGGGGTTCTTGAGCCATAGTCTCGGAATCCCACACAACAGAGCATCTGGACAGGGTAGTCACTTCATAGTAAAGAAGGGGCACAAATGGGTCCAGAACAAGAGGATCCACTTATCATATCAAATACTGCACCATCCAGAAGGAGCTGACCTCACAGAACACTTCTGAAGGCAAAGATAAAGCACCAATAAAAGTAAACCCTGAAAAAATTGGGTGCCGTTCTCCAGGATGCAGTGTATACATTAAATCACAGACCTATACGTTAGGCTTTAGATCTAATTGGAAGAATGGGATTAGGAATAAGAGGTGAAAGCAGGAGTGTGCCTACTCCCCATCGTAGTGGCCCACAAGGATCACAGCAGTGGTTTGAACACGGATTGGACTACTGATATCCAGGAATCGCCGCACAAGAAGGGGAATCCACATGTGGCAGGAGTAATTGACTATGATGTGTAGGAGGGGTAGGGCTGCTTTAGTAAAATGAGTAAGAAAGGAATACATATGAAACCAGGTGATCTACTTGAGTGCCTCCTGGTATTCTCTTGCTTCATTTAACTGTGAATGGATAATGTCATTGAAAAGAGTTTGGACACCTCCACAATGAAAGTTTGGTTCACATGGCTAAGTAAGCTTCCAAGACTTGTCAAAATAATAACTGTGTGAGGGACATTTCAAATAGGTAGTGGAAAAGGAAGATAATAATTACCAGTTCTGGCCCAGAAACTAAATGCAGCAAGGGGGGCTGTAGTGTGTCCCACTATCCTCCCTCTTCAAAGTTTGGCTTCATAAAGAGAAGCTTAAAGGAATAAGGAAGGAACTGTTCCATGAACCTGAATGGAGAAATAGATCTGTCGAGTACAAAGGTGGACTGTGGTGACTATGAAAATGTGCTGCTCAGATCCCTGGCTATAGAGAGCATAGTTACTTGATGGCCCCAGCTGCTGTCCCTCGGGACCAACTATTGCATTTGCACCAAAGCCATGCTTCCCTCAGACTTCTCCTAGATAATCACTGAGTGGGAAATAGTAGTGCGGGTCAATTCCTCAGAGATGAGGAACACCTCCAACAGGCAACTTTGACTCGTGGTATCCCTATCAACCTTTAAGAAATCTTAGAACTGTGGGGCAGTCTGAAAGTATTCCTACCTATCTTTATTTTTTCCTTCCTCTTCTCCTTTCACAGACATCATTTCTGCATTATGATCCAAAGGCTCTTCCTGACTTCTGCTCCCTCCCCTTTATCCCCTTTTCCCATAATTAATCTCTTTCACAGGAGTCTTATCTTGGTGTCTGCCTCTCAGGGAACCTGAACTAACATAGGTACTAATAAAAGTATTGTTTAGAATCACTTGATTATATATCGAGAAGCATAGCGTCCAAAGAAAATCCACCAAATATCATGGCTATATTAAAAATAAAGCAGTAATAGTTGTTTATTTTATTTAAAAGCTTACTGAATATAGGCCAGGCACAGTCGCTCATGCCTGTAAGCCCGGCACTTTAGGAGGCCAAGCCTGGCGAATTGCTTGAGCCCAGGAGTTCGAGACCAGCCTGGGCAGTATGGTGAAACCATGTCTGTACAAAAAAATACAAAAATTAGCCTGGCACGATGGTGTGTGCCTGTAGTCCCAGCTACTCGGAAGACTGAGGTGGGAGGGTCACCTGATCCTGGGAGGTCAAGGCTGCAGTGAACAGAAATCACGCCATTGCATTCCAGCATGGGCAACAGAGTGAGACCCTGCTTCAGAAAAGCAAAACAAAACACAAAAAGCAAAAAAAAAAAAACATGGTTACTGAATAATATGTTTTCTTTCATTTTCCTTTTTTAATTTATCTTTTATTCTAAGTTCAGGGGTACATGTGCAGGTTTGTTATATAGTTAAACTTATTTCATGGGAGTTTGTGGTACACATTATTTCCTCACCCAGATATTAAACCTAGTGTACATTAATTATTTTTCCTGATCCTCTCCCTCCTGCCAACCTCCACCCTCTAATAGGCCCCAGTGTGTGTTGTTCCCCTCTATGTGTCCATGCGTTCTCATCATTTAGCTCCCAGTTATAAGTCAGAACATGTGGTATTTGATGTTCTGTTCCTGCATTAGTTTGGCTAAGGATAATGGCCTCCAGCTCCATCCAAGTTTCTGCAAAGGACATGATTGTGTTCTTTTTATGGCTGCATAGTATTACATGGTGTATATGTACCACATTTTCGTTATCCAGTCTATTTTTACTGATGAGTATTTAGGTTGATTCCATGTCTTTGCTTTTGTGAATAGTGCTGCAATAAACATACGTGTGCATGTGTCTTTATGATAGAACAATTTATATTCCTTTGGGTGTATACCAAGTAGTGAGATTGCTGGGATGAATGGTAGTTCTGTTTTTAGGTCTTTGAGGAATCGCCACATTGTCTTCCACAATGCTTGAAGTAACTTACACTCCTCAGCCGCAGTGTATAAGTTTTCCTTCCCCCACATCCGCACCCCCCCACCCCGAGCCTCACTGCCATCTGTTATTTTTTGACTTTTTAATAATAGCCATCCTGACTGGTGTGAGATGTTATCTCATTGTGGTTTTGATGTGCATTTATCTAATGATCAGTGATGAGATTTTTTCATGATTGTTGGTTTGCATGTATGTCTTCTTTTGAAAAGTGTCTGTTCGTGCACTTTGCCCACTTTTTAACAGGTTGTTTGTTTTTTCTTGTAAATTTAAGTTCCTTGTAGATGCTGGATATTAGACCCCTGTCAGATGTGCAGTTTGCAAAAACTTTCTCCCATTCTGTAGGTTGTCTGTTCATTCTGTTGATAGTTTCCTTTGTTGTGCAGAAGTTCTTTAGTTTAATTAGATCTCATTTGTCAATTTTTGTTTTTGTTGCAATTGCTTTTGGCGTCATCATCATGAAATCTTTGCCTGTTCCTATATCCGGAATGCTATTGCCTAGGTTATCTTCAAGGGTTTTTATAGTTTTGGGTTTTACAGTTAAGTCTTTAATCCTTCTTGAGTTGATTTTTGTATATGATATAAAGAAGGGATCCAGTTTCAATCTTCTGCATATGACTAGCCAGTTCTCCCAGCATCATTTATTAAACAGGAAATCCTTTTCACATTGCTTGTTCTTGTCAGCTTTGTAGAAGATCAGATAGTTGTAGGTGTGTAGCCTTATTTCTGGGTTCTCTACTCTGTTCCATTGTTCTGTGTGTCTGTTTTTGTATCAGTACCATGCTGTTTTGTTTACTGTAGCCCTGCAGTACAATTTGAAGTTGGGTACTGTGATGTCTCCAGCTTTGTTCTTTTTGCTTAGGATTGCATTGGCTATTCGGGCTCTTTTTTGGTTCCATATGAATTTTAACCTAGTTTTATCTAGTTCTGTGCACAATGTCAATGGTACTTTAATAGGAATAGCATTTACTTTATAAATTGCTTTGGGCAGTATGGCCATTTTAATGACAGTGATTCTTCCTATCCATGAACATGGATTTTTTTTTCACTTGTTTGTGTCATCTCTGATTTCTTTGAACAGTGTTTTGTAGTTCTACATGTAGAGATCTTTCACCTCCCTGTTTAGCTCTATTCCTGGATATTTTAATTATTTTCTGGCAATTGTGAGTGGGATTGCATTCCTGATTTGGATTTCAGCTTGACTGTTGCTTGTGTATAGGAATGTTAGTGATTTCTGCACAGTGATTTTGTATCCTGAGAATTTGCTGAAGTTGTATATCAGCTTAAGAACTTTGGGACTGAGACTATGGGGCTTTCTAGATATAGGATCATGTCATCTGCAAACAGGGTAGTTTGACGTCTTGTCTTCCTAGTTAGATGATCTTTATTTCTTTCTCTTACTTAATTGCCTGGCCAAAACTTCCAATACTATGTTGAATATGAGTGGTGAGAGAGGGCATTCTTGTCTTGTGCCGGTTTTCAAGGGGAATGTTTCCAGCTTTTGCCCATTCAGTATGATGTAAGCCGTGGATTTGTCATAGATGGCACTTATTATTTTGAGGTATGTTCCTTCAATGCCTAGTTTGTTGAGAGTTTTTAACATGAAGGAGTGTTGAATTTTATTGAAAGTCTTTTCTGCATCTATTGAGACGATCATGTGGTTTTTGTCTTCAGTTCTGTTTATGTGATTTATCACAATTACTGACTTGTGTATGTTGAACCAACCTTGCATCCCCTGGAAGAAGCCTGTTTGATCATGGTGGATGAGCTTTTTGATGTGCTGCTGGATTTGGTTTGCCAGCATTTTGTTGGGAATTTTTACATCAATGTCCATCAAGGATATAAGGCTAAGTTTTTTTTGTGTTGTTGTGTTTCTGCTAGGTTTTGGTATCAGGATGATGCTGGCCTCATAGAATGAGCTAGGGAGGAGTCCCTCCGCCTTAATTTTTTGAAATAGTTTCAGCAGGAAGGGTACCAACTCTTCTTTGTATATCTGATAGAATTCAGCTATGAATCCCTCTGATCCCGGGCTTCTTTTGGTTGGTAGGCTGTTTTTTTTACTGACTCAATTTTGGAGCTTGTTATTGGTCTGTCCAGGAATTTAATTTCTTCCTGGTTCTGTCCTGGGATGTGTATGTGTCCAGGAATTTATTCATATCTTCCAGATTTTCTAGTTCATAATGTGCACAGGGGTGTTCATAATATTGTCTAATGGTTACTTATGTTTCTGTGGGGTCAGGAGTAATATCCCCCTTGTTGTTTCTGATTGTGTTTATTTGAATCTTCTCTCTTTTCTTCTTTATTAGTCTAGCTAGAGGCCTATGTATTTTATTAATGGTTTTCAAAAATAGCTCCTGGATTGGTTGATCTTTTGAATGGATTTTTGTGTCTCAGTCTCCTTCAGTTCAGCTCTAATTTTGGTTATTTTTTTTCTTCTGTTAGCTTTGGGATTGGTATGCTTTTGAGTATCTAGTTATTTTAGTTATGATGTTAGGTCATTAACTTGAGATGTTTCTAACTTTTTGAGGTGGACATTTAGTGCCATAAATTTAACTCTTAACACTACCTTAGCTGTGTCTCAGATATTCTAGTATGTCATATCTTTGTTCTCATTAGTTTCAAAGAACTTCTTGATCCTGACTTAATTTTGTTATTTACCCAAAAGTCATTCAAGAGCAGGTTATTCAATTTCCATGTAATTGTATGGTTTTGAGTGAATTTCTTAGTCTTAATTTCTATTTTGATTGCACTGTGGTTCACGAGATTGTTATGATTTCAGTTCTTTTGTATTTGCTGAGAAGTGTTTTACTTCCAATTACATGATTGATTTTAGAGTATGTGCCATGTAGAGGTGAGAAGAATGTATATTCTGTTGGTTTTGTATGGAGATTTCTGTAATGTCTATCAAGTCCATTTGATCCAGTGCTGAGTTCAGGTCCCGAATATCTTTGTTAATTTTCTCAGTCTTTGCTCTGTCTAATGATGTCAGTGTGGTGTTAAAGTCTTCAACTATTATTGTGTAGGCATCTAAGTCCCTTTGAAGGTCTTTAAGAACTTGATTTATGAATCTGTGTGCTCCCGTGTTGGGTGCATATATATTTAGGGTAGTTAGATCTTCCTTTTTAATTGAACTCTTTACCATTTTGTAATATGCTTCTTTGTTTTGTTTTGTTTTTTTCTTCATTGGTTTAAAGCCTGTTCTGTCTGAAGGAGACAGTTTTGGGCTTGCTGAATTTAAAGCATCTCAAAAGACCTTCAAGTATTATCAAGAGGTAAAATCCTTTCCTAGATTTCAGGCCTGAAGGAAAAATAGCATCTGGTTCAAAGGTTTAAGTCTATGGCAGTGGAAACTAAGTCACACATCCAGACTAGATGCAGAACTAGGGTTAGAAGTCGGGGTCTCTACTTCTAGTTTATGGTTCTTCCTGCTGCAGGAAGAGAGTGTCTCTGGAACCATGAGGTACCCTTCTAAGAGAATTTAGCCAACGCTTTTTCATCTGAGACTAACTTCAGTTTATTCAGCCCTTATCAAGTCTAAACATAGGTCCTCTTAGCCTGTCAATTTAAAGGTCTTTCATTATTTTAAATGCTGTTTGGGAGATTATGATCCTGTATCAATTATCTAGGTAAAAAGCAATCTACTCATTTAACCCCCCCTTTTTTTTTTGACGGAGTCTCAGTGTGTCGCCCAGGCTGGAGTGCAGTGGCACAATCTTGAATCACTGCAACCTCTGCCTCCCGGGTTCAAGCAAGTCTCTGCCTTAGCCTACCGAGTAGCTGGGATTATAGGCATCTGCCACCACGTCTGGCTAATTTTTGTATTTTTAGTAGAGATGGGATTTCACCATCTTGGCTAGGCTGGTCTTGAACTCCTGACCTCGTGATCCACCTGCCTCAGCCTCCCAAAGTGCTGGGATTACAGGCATGAGCCACTGCTCCTGCCCTCATTTGACCCTTCTTATAGTGTGGAAGGCAGGTTTACAGGGGCAATGTACAAAGCTTTTTGGAACCATCTGAAAGAACAGCTATTGAGTACTCCTCCTGACTTCACTTGTGCTCTTGAACTTCTAAAAGAAGTTAAGGAGGTGAGTAACCAACCTCCCATTTGGAGATGGGAAGTTCCTGGGCATCTCAGAACCTTGGATTGTCAATGGCTATTAATATCTTAAGTAGCATACTTTTTTAACGTGGCCTGCTACTTAAATAGATAGGATGAGGCAGCTTCCATTTTATTTGTGTAAGACGAAACTTGACAGTTGGGTGATTATTATAAAAATATGTAATTCAATTAAACAAATTATTACTGAAATCCCACTATGGTCTGTGTGTTTCAGAAACCCAAAGATGAATAGGACAGCCCTTTCCCACAAGGAACTTACATGTTTGAGTCAAAAGGCTATTTCAAGTGGCCCATAAAGATTCCAAATTTGCTATTTTATCCTCATGCTTTGGAGTAAAACTATCTAAAAATGTCCTTATCCTTTATTAAGAATAAATAATCTTATTTCCTTTATTAGCGGTGGCTCACATCTGTAACCCCAGCATTTTGGGAGGCCGAGGCGGGCAGATCATGAGGTCAGGAGATCGAGACCATCCTGGCTAACATGGTGAAACCCCACCTCTACTAAAAAAATACAAAAAATTAGCCGGGCGTGGTGGCAGGCACCTGTAGTCCCAGCTACTCAGGAGGCTGAGGCAGGAGAATGGCATGAACCTGGGAAGTGGAGCTTGCAGTGAGCTGAGATATAGCCAGTGCACTCCAGCCTGGGAGCCAGAGCAAGACTCCGTCTAAAAAAAAAGAGGAAAAAAAAAAAGAATAAATAATCTTATTTTCCTTCCACTGACTACCCTTTTTCCCACTGACTACCTCATCTTCTTGTGGTGGTGTGTATATCATATTTCTTATATCCCACACATTTAAAATCACATTCTTGTTTTTATTTATATTTTTAGCTCATTCTACCTAAAAAATAATAATAACTCCTACTATAACTGATCCCAATGAAACCTTGAATGGTAATTGTCCTCTAAACAGAAAGAAATAATACTTTCTAAGAAACTTAGATACTCAGTTTTCTGACCCACAGAAGACATGATCTGGGATGCCTTCGGCCTAACATAGTTCACTGGAGAGAAAGTTTGGGGTTCTAAAGAGAACTTGGCTCCTTTGATATCCTTTGTTGGGCAGATCTTGTTATCACTGCTATTACCATGGCAGAACCACCTAAGAAATGAGATAGAAGAGCTCTGGACACAGATCTCCTCAAGCAGGAAGCAGAACATGGGGCCCTGGATGTCCCTCATCTTTCTAACTACATTCTCAATTTGATAGCCTTGCTATGTGCACCAGTTCGAGATGAAGTGATACAGAAACTAGAGACCATAACAGATCCGGTGCAGTTACTGAGGTGAGAGTTTAGATGTGCTGTCCCCCAAATCTGCCTTAGACACTGTGCCGGAGAACTCTGAGCCAGCCGCTGTGGATATAGCCCCTGTCTTATCTAGCTCTTGTGTACTGACGACCTGACTAACACACCTTTTCTCCTTTCTGGATTATTGGCTTTATTTTCCAAGGACAGCCTCTCAGGGTTCCTTTGATGATCTGTAGATCAGTTGGGTCTCCTTTATGTCATGATACTGTTAAGACATTAAGGTACAGTAATTCTTTCTCCTATAGATTGCAAATTGCCTTTTCCCAGATGTTGTCCTGTTTGTCCCAACTCAAACCTTGTGAGGGGACAGAAAAGAGGATTATCCGTGTTTCACAGCTGGAAGAACCAGGACCCGGAAAAGTAAAATGATCTGCTCAATGAGTTAGAAATTCAGTCACCCACATCCCAGCTACCCACATATAATTGCTAGCACCTTGGTGATTTTCCTTTCACTGACTACCCTTTTTTCAAGGTGACAGAATGATTACAGGCGAAAGAGCTCTAATTTGGTAGTTAAAGTGTCAGGAGGTATAACTATCCTTAGTTTTGCCATCAACTCACTCTATGGCCTTGGGTCACTGGCTACAGTACCATTATTAATAAGTTGATGTAGGACTGTGCTGGGGTCTGACCTGCAGATCCAGGCGGCATGATGGATCAATAACATACTCAGACACCAATATTCAGTGAAAGAGTGGCTAGGGTCCAAGGCCACTCACAGAAAGAGATGTAGCAACTGCACACACTGAATAGCTGGCCCGTGGGCATTTATTCAGCACGGATTTAATGACAAAAAGCTTTGAATCAACACACCTGTGGGTAATTAATCTGGTCACCCTCCCCTGGAGAGAGCAGTCCTACGAATGATCAAAGGCCAGTCTTAGGACCACATGAGTAAACAAGCTCTTTAGATAAACTCCCTTACACTCCTTTGTACCTACTCTAAGCTATTAACTCAAGGTAAGAGAATTAGGCTGCCTTCAGCCAAATTTTTAACTGAAGCTACGCAAACCTTCCGGCCTTCCAAGAAGGTTTGTGTCTATTTCCTATAACTTTATCTTTATAATTTTTTCTACCACCCAGACTGAACCCCTAAATCTCCCCCTTTTCTGTTTTTTTGCATCAGGCTTTGTTGATTGAAGAGTGCAGATATGTGCAGCAACAGGTCTGTCAGGTGTGGTGGTCACTGCTCTTATTCCAGCTTTGCATCCTATAATTAGCAAATGACATATGACAAACATGTGTATAATGAACAACATTCTTTTCCAATCAAGGAGTGGTGCCCAAGAGCGGGGGTCTATCCGGGAGAGATGATCTTGCACACGCTTCCATATGGCTGTTTGTTGGATGTGTAGGGTAAATCTATCCCTCCCAGCCAAGAAGTTAAGTTATTAAAGGCTGAGAAGGGGGTGTCTGTCAGGTGACAGGGTGAAAGAAAGGCGGATCTAAGATATAAGCCCAATAGAGCATAGCAGATACAGGTTGCAGACAAAGTGAGAGCATGAAAAGGATCAATACCCTACGCGAGTTGCAATGTACAACAGAGAGCATGGCAAGGAACAAATTATCTGGAGTAAATGGTGTCTGTATCCAGAGTAGGATTTGTTCAGCCTCTTGAGTTGTCTTCTTTAGCATCCCCCAGGTAATGTCCGGGGCTTGTGTCATCCAAGGAAGCCACATCGTCCAGGGCTGTGGGTCCTATAGGGTCATTTTCTTCATTTTTGATACCAGGTTGGGCCCTAGCCATGCCACGGTATGGTTTGATGCATCATGCTGGAATCCAAAGAGGACCTGAGGGGGTGTGAACACAAGCATATCCTCTTCCTCACGTTAACAATTCATTTGGACCACACCATACATTACTGTTTACACCTTTCCATAAAACTGCGGGTTTTATGTCTTGAGAGGTTTTAGCAAAGTGCTTTTCTATAGCCAATTGAAATTTGTCATCTAAATTTTAAAAATTAAGGGTAAATAAGACTTGTGTTAGTAGTGTTGCAGGGTCCTTACTCATTCTCCCCCTTTTTTGTTTTTAGAGAATATTTCTAAGAGTGGAGTAGGCGTGCTCTACTATGCCCTGTTCTTAGGGGTTATACAGGATGCCTGTGGAATGTTGGATATTCCACGTGTGACAAAATTGTTGAAATTGTGAGCTGGCATAAGCTGGACCATTATTAGTTTTAATTTTTGTGGGCCGCCCCATAAACACAAAAGTTAAAAGATGTTTATTGACATATCGGTTGGACTCTCCAGGAAAGGCCTATGCACTAATTAAGTGGGAATTGGTATTAATGGACACATGAACATATTTGAGTTTTTCAAATTTAGGGATGTGTGTAACATTTGTTTGCCATAAATATTAGGTTTTAGTCCTTTAGGGTTAACACCTATTGAAGGAGGGGACGATGTGCCTGTGAGCTGGCAATTTGGGCATTGCAGGGTAATTTGTTTAGTCTTTGGGTAAGTTGAAATTGTTTAGATAAGTTTCTCCAGTTTTGGTGAAAAAAATGATGCAATTCAGTGGCTTGGTTAAGTAGTGATGTTATAACCTAAAGGTTTGCTTGATTATTGCCATAAGCCAGTGGGCCAGGCAGTGAGCTGTGGGCTTGAATGTAATAAAAATAGGATGTGTACATTGATTTAGCAATTGCTGAAGTTGGAGAAAAAGAGCACACAGGGTGGGCTCCACAGTGGACTTAATT
This sequence comes from Homo sapiens, assembly GCF_000001405.40. NCBI lineage: Eukaryota > Metazoa > Chordata > Mammalia > Primates > Hominidae > Homo > Homo sapiens. Next base: position 102,177,270 of record NC_000023.11, read on the forward strand.
AGGGCTGTTCTAAGGTTCTGCAGTAAACAAACAGAGTAGGCAGAGTTACTGACAATATTGATGGGCTGAGAGGAAAATGTCTCCAGAGCCAATATTAAGGCTCCAACCTCAGCTTTTGGAGTGCTAGTAAACCCAGATCGAGTGAGGGAATTATGTGGTCTTTACCAAACGGCCGCTTTTCCATGTTTACCAGAGTCATCAGTAAACAGTGTTAAAGCATTAGGTATGAGGGAGTGAACTATTTTTGTAAGTAAAACCACAGAAGTGCGAGATAAGAACTGAAGAAGTTTATCAGCAGGAAGGACATGCTTTAAATGGCCGGTGTAATTAGGGAGATGTATTTGCAGGTTTATAGATAATGGCAATACTGCTTTGAATTGCTTTTTACTTAAAGGATTCCTCATGATATCAGGATCATAACCTAGCAACTGATTGCATCATCTGTGGCCTGAATATATGACTTTACTGATTAACTCGATATAGGGAGAGAGTGTTTTAGTCCCAGTATGTGAGTAAAAACCCATTTTAGAAAGCGCAGTCCTGGGGTTATCTGTTCTATTAACCCTATAGGGGAGTGTTTAGTGGGAAAGATAAACAATTGAATGGAATATTGGGTGTCTACGCAATCTAGTTGCCTTTGGGAACTAGCTTGTTCTATTTTTTTAATTTTTTTTTTTTTTTTTTTTTGCTGCAGGGGTTAAATACCTGGAAGTATCCAGGACTGTGTTGCCCTTTAAGATAGAAAACAGGTTTTAAAACTTATTAGTAGGAATGCCTAAGGTGGGGCGAAGCCAGTTAATATCACCTAGTAATTTTTGATAATTATTTAAGGTGTGTAAGTTGCTAGTATTTAATTTAACATTTTGATGTCTTACTGACCGGGAAGTTAGTACGTATCCAATATTATTTCCAAGGAGAAGACATCTGTACTTTTTCAGGTGCTATGATTAAACCTCTTAAATGTGTATTCTTTACGACAGAGGTATATAAACTTAAAAACATTGGCTCTGTTGGGGCTGCTAGTAAAATATTATCTATAAACTGAATAACCTTGCAATTAGGAATTTTTTTTTTTTTACTGGGGAGCAAAACTTGATTCACATGATACTGACACATGGTAGGACTGTTTAGCATCCCTTGAGGAAGCACTTTCCAATGAAATCGGCAAGGTGGCCTTTTATTATTGATAGCTGGCATTGTAAATGCAAATTTTTCTCTGTCTTGTTTTGCAAGAGGAATCATATAAAAACAGTCTTTTAAGTCAATAATAATTATAGGCCAATCTCGAGGAATCGCTGCGGGGGAGGGAAGGCCCTGTTGAAGGGGCCCCATAGGTTGCAAATTAGCATTAATAGCATGTAAGTTATGCAAAAGTCTCCATTTACCAGACTTTTTGGGAATGAAGAAAATAGGCAAATTCCAAGGGCTGTTTGATGGTTTTATATGGCCAACTTTTAATTACTCCTCACTAATTCATGGTCTTTTTGTAATTTATCTTTCTTCAGAAGCCACTGTTCTATCCAAATTGAATCTTGATAGAGCCACATCAGGGGTAGGGGAGGGAAAATAACAGTGGCCATTATTAGAAAGGGGTCTGCAAAGTGACCCCCATTGGGCTAATAGGTCCCATCCCCAAAGATTAACAGGGATGGGCATGATTAGAGGTTGTATAACTGTCTTTCTATCCTTTGAATCACAACAGATTAGGGGGAGCATGCTCTGCTTGGCTGTGTGTGCTTTCCTGATGCCGCCAAATTTTTGTTTCTGAGTGACCCAAGGCCAAGTTTCTGGCCAGTTTTGATCACTCATGATTGAAATGTCCACTCCTGTTTCCAATAAGCCAGTAAAACTCTTATTTTTAATTTTTAGGGTAATCACGGGTCTCTGATTAGTGATTAATTGATTCCAATATACTCCTGTGGCTCCTGTGTTTCCAAAACTCCCTTTCCCCTTTCCTTTCCATGGGCATGGGGGACTCAGTATGGTAAAAGCAGTAGCTGAGCTATCTTTGATCCACGGGGAAGAATATGCAGACATTTACATTCCATCATAACTAATATCTCACCTTGATAATCACCATCAATTACCCCAGTGAGCACATTAATTCCTTTACTGGATAGGCTAGACTGCCCTAGGACTAACCCCACTGTTTCCAGAGGCAGCAGGCCCCAGATCCTGGTTGCAACCCTTTTAGGGTATTCTCCTTCTTTTAGCACTAATTCGTTGGGGCAGAGTAAGTCCAGTCCTGTGCTCCCAGTGGTGGCTGCTCTGAGAGGGAGGACTGTGGGCTTTCCATCTGACCGAGGAAAGCCACTGTCATTGCCCCAGTTTGAAGCAGGGCCTGGGGCCGGCCCCTCATGAAATTTTCCACCTGGTTACTTATGGGGTTGCCGATTTTATCAAATTTAGACCTGCATTGATTTGCCAAATATTTCCCTGTTTTACATCGGGGGCATATAGAAGGGGGTTCTTTTCCTGAGTTACCTTGGTCTCTATTATTGGGGCATTCCCTCTTCATATGAACTGGCTCTCTGCATAGAAAACAATTTGGGTTTCTCTTCCTTTTCACTTTAGGAGGCCTTAATACCATAGCCAATATTTTGGCTTTGTGTGTTTCAGTCCCCACCAGCTGACATGCTTTTGTAAGTTCCCCAACTGTGGCTGCCTTTCCTCTGATTGCCTGCATTGCTTGCTGGCAATCCACATTAGCGTTTTCAAAAGCCAGTGGCAACAATAAGATATCAGCAGCCTGGGTGTGACAAATTTGTTTCTTAATTGCCTGGGTTAACCAATTGATAAACTCAACAAATGGCTCCTGAGGCCCTTGCCGAACATTTATAAAAGATCTCTGTTGAACTCCGCTTTCAGGAACTAGATCCCAAGCCCTGAGAGCCCACAAGGCACTTGAGCATAGGCCTAGGGATCAAAATCTGGTTGTTGTTGTACATCAGCATGGGGAACCCCTCCCCTGGAGCATAGCAGCTGTTATGTCTTTCCCGGCCACCTGATTCTGGTTGGCTTGTTGTTCGCACAACTCATCGTATTCTGCCTTCCAGAGGAGGTATTGGCTAGGCTCCAAAGTTGTTTTAGCTAGCACTGACCAGTCCCATGGGGTCATACAGAAGTTGTCTACCAAGACTTCAATCATTCCTTTTGTAAATGGGCTAGTGGCTCCATTTTCTTTAATGCATTTTCTTAGCTCTTTTTAAGCATCAAAAGAAATGGGTTCATGTACCTGATTGCCTTGTCAATCTTGCAATACCAGACAGGATAAGAGCTCCACTTCTAATGCCGCTTGCCTAAGATAGGGTCCCATAGCTGTAGCATATCCCTTGTCTTTTTCCAATTTATTGGAGGAGGGGGCTTAGACAAAACCTCTGTTTCCTCTTTGTTATTTTTGCCTGGAAACGGTGGAGCTGAGGGAGATGGAGGCAGTAAGGTAGGTGATGGTTCTTCCTCCCTCCCCTTTTTAGGCTCTTCTGTGTATAATGGGACAAGGGCTGCCCTAACAAAAACCCATAACTTTAGAGATGATACTGGGATTGGTTGCCCTCATGCATGATGTTGTTTAATATTTCTCCCCACTTGTTCCCAGAGCTCTACGTCTAGCATACATTTTCCCAGGAACCATGGGTTATGGAATACAACAGTTTTCATTAGGTCCCTTAATTGAGCCTATGAAACTGAGGCTCCACTAGCTTTAAGCAGCTGTTTCAATACTTTTATATATTGTTTCTGTTGAGCTGATAACTGTTGTCCCATCATGAAACCCCAGCCTGAACAATCCCCCTGAAACTTGGAAATCCTGAGCAGGCGCCAATGACTTACTGACTCACTGACTGCACAGTCCTTTTCACCTTCATTTTTGAGGGTTCTGTTGTGATCCTTTGTAGCATTCCTCACACAGGGCACCATCTGCTGGGGTCTGACCCACAGATCCAGTCTGCATGATGGATGAATAACATACTCAGACACCGATATTCAGTGAAAGAGTGGCTAGGGTCCCGGGTCACTCACAGAAAGAGATGCAACAGCTTCCCACACTGAATAGCTGGCCCGTGGGCACTTATTCAGCACAGATTTAATGACAAAGGCTTTGAGTCAACACACCTGTGGGTAATAAATCTGGTCTCCCTCCCCCGGAAAGAGCAGTCCTACGAATGATCAAAGGCCAGTCTTAGGACCACATGAGCAAACCAGCTCTTTAGATAAACTCCCTTATATTCCTTTGTACCTATCCTAAGCTATTAACTTAAGGTAAGAGAATTAGGCTACCTTCAGCCAAATCTTTTACTGAAGATATGCAAACCTCCCGGCCTTCCAAGAAGGTTTGTGTCTATTTCCTATAACTTTATCTTTATAATTTTTCCCACCAAAAGATCCGAACCCCTACAGGACTGTTTCTTTCTAAGGCTTCTTCCAACTCTGAAATACTCTGCTTTTATGGCTCCTTGCTTGGATTCCACCCTTCCAGACTAGATTTCCTTTAACAGTGTAAATGTTCTGTTTCTCCCTATGGCAGGGGCATCTTCCATGTTCTGGGCCTAATGAAAATGGACATGGTGAACTATACCATTCAGAGCTTTCAACCCTACCTGCAGGAGCATTCCATCCAGTATGAACAAGATAAATTCCAGGAACTCCGTGATAAACAGCCCAGTATGTTTAAAATTCAAGGACAGGAGAGGGGAGATTTGACCTCCGGTTTTATAGCAATAGAGCTATTTTCTATATTCTGAATAGAAAGTTTCTTCCTTGGGCAAGGGTTAGGGAGAAGGAGTGTTTCTCTAAGACAGAAAGATCTACAAAATCACTTATTTATAGATGAAAACTATGTCTCAAAGACTTCGTCCTTAAGCCTTGGAATTTTAAGATGCATTCCCTTCTCATCATAGGTCTCCTCAATTATACCACAAAATGGCTAACCAAGGCAGCCACAGACATCACTACACTGTGTCTGAGTTCTCCTGACTCACCTAGCTCCTCCTGCAGCATGGCATGTTCACTTCCAAACTGGGGAGGTAACAACTCAGAGCCCACCAGTCCAACAATGGTGCTATACCAAGGCTACCTGAACCTCCTCCTCTGGGATCCTGAAAATGAAGAATTATCTGAGGTAGGGATGTGTGCTGGGGCATTCCTTGTTCTATTGTATTAGTGCCTCTATTCAAGCCCTCCTCTTCTGATGGGCTGTCCTTCGCTCCCTCACCAGACTCTGCTGATGGACAGAATCTGGCTCCAGGAACTGGCATTCCAGTTGCACCAGTTAACTGTCCTGGCCTCAGTCTTGCTAGTGGCCAGAAGCTTCTCTGGTGAAGTTTTATTCAGATCACCTGAATTTGTGGATATACTGAAATGCACCACCAAGGCCCTAACTGAGGAATTTATCTCCAGGTAAGATTCATAGATCTCTGTTACAAAGGAAAATGTGTGGTATTTGGGACATAGGCAGGTAATATCAATACTACTATTGCTTATACTTCATCACAAATGACACAAAGGCCCTTGGGAACCATCTCCAAAGATTTTGGTATCTTCGATAAGTTGTATTGAGGTTTGGGATACAGAAAATAAAATTTATTTTTCCAAAGAGGAGAGTGTGGAAGCCAGTTTGCTAAAAATATTCCTTATGTGTTTGCTAAAAATGAGTCATTATATACTTGATTGAATGACAGTGGATTTCTGCTATGTATATCCAGAAGTTGATCAGTTGGTCAGTGATATTGACCATTCACTGCATGTAGGGGCAGGGATATTATATCAAAGTACAAGGAGGAGTAGGAAGTCCAAGCCTCTTAATATATTTGCAATTTAATTGGTGGGGTAGGAGAAAAACCATGAAAAATATCCAATAGAGTCTTAAAACAATATTTAAATACAGTTGATGGGACTGGAAAATGCTGAGTAGATCCAAGGATGGAACTGAACCCTTGCCCAATTTACTTTGTTTTTGTTGAAGTGGCATATGGTACTGTATGTTGGGATCAGGTGGTACCTTGCGGGTAACAATGAGTATATTTCACTGGCCCAGTGGCTAATGCTGTCTTCTGGTGGCAGAGAGATGGAATTCTTCCTGGAATAGGCCTGGCTTGTAGTATGAGGCTCTCTGGGCTTTGCCCCTCTGCCAGGCCCACTCTGCATTCTCTCCTTCATTATCTAAGCCTAAAGAAGCTATGCTGAGTGTGAATGAACAGGTGTCTCAGGAAATCTATCAAGGCCTTAAGGACATGGGCCTCACTACTCTGAGCAGTGAAAACACAGCATCTCTTCTAGGCCAACTCCAGAACATCACCAAGGAAGAGAGTGGCATTCGTAGCATCGTTGGTAAGAATCCCCATGGTCATGGTGCAGAAAAGTGGCAAGAATGTGGGAGGTGGGCAGGTAGACCTTACCCTGAATGTGAGTTACCTAGCCATTTAAAAATGAAAGGCATGATCACTTGGAAATTTTTTTAGCTTTAGTTTCCTCATCTATAATGTGCATGGTTCAAATAGATCTTTTTCAATTTGAACAATGCATGTATGGTTTGAAGGTGGCTCTGTACCCAAGATATGTCATTCATGGGTGTTGGATACTGTCGCACTAATCCTATGAAGTCATTCCTGGTCATTTTCTAACTGTCCGCCAAGATATATGTAGAAACCCTTTCTCTATCCTATGCTTTAAGCCACCATGTGGGCCCCTACTCCTCTCCATGGAAGTGATGTTGAGTTAGGCTGTAGGACATGTTCCGTGCTGGAATGGAAGCAGTGAACTTGGACAGCTTGCTTTGAACTTTAGCATCTGATCATAGTCTGGATTGGGTGTATAGGCCTGAACTTGGTGCACTGGCTGCAACACATATTGTTACTTTCACGTACCGGGTCTACGGTCCTCTTGTTAAGTTAAACGTGCACTTGGATCTCACGTACAGCTACATAAAGTAATCTTATGAACCGCCAGGAATTTACTACCTCAGCATCTTTTGATCATGCACTGTCCTTTGGGAGCCTGATGGCATTCACTTCCCCAAAACAAACAAAAATCTAACTTATACGGTTTACCCAAATGAGCGGAGAGGTCAGTGAATAAACTGGTTAACGTAAAACTTTGGTGAGCAGATAGTGCAAAGACATTGTGAATTTCTTTAGTTCATGTCCTTTGTAGGGACATGGATGGAGCTGGACACCATCATTCTCAGCAAACTATCGCAAGGACAAAAAACCAAACACCGCATGTTGTCACTCATAGGTGGGAATTGAACAATGAGAACACTTGGACACAGGAAGGGGAACATCACACACTGGGGCCTGTTGTGAGTTGGGGGAGGGAGGAGGGATAGCATTAGGAGATATACCTAATGTAAATGATGAGTTAATGGGTGCAGCACAACAAGATGGCACATGTATACATATGTAATAAACCTGCACGTTGTGCACATGTACCCTAGAACTTAAAGTATAATTTAAAAAAAGAAAAGAAAAATGAGAACAACAAAAAAAAGAATTTATTCTGAACCCTCTTTTTTCCTCTCTTCATTGTTTTTCCCTGCTCACGGATCAGCGGATCTGTTTGTTTCTTAAATGCTGTTTGCTTCATGGCATGCAGGAGTCTCTGCTACACTTTCCTGGAGGCCTCATTCTCATTGAAGGGGAGCTGGCAGAACTGGGTTGGAAGTTTGTCATTCTGAAGTATCATAATCAGCAGGTATTTGGCCCGTACTATGCTGAGATCCTAAAAAACATCATCCATCCAGCTCAAGCACAAGAAACAGATAGTGCTGCACCCCAGCCATGGCAACAGGAGAGAAAGGTCAGTATGTTTCTGGAATGACATCACCTCCTCACTACAGCCAGGACACAGGGATGCAGGGGTCAAGCATGTAAACACCAACTGGCCCAATCCCCTTCACTAATAAACTTCTGAGCTGCAAGAAAATTTCAGTTCCTCCTGTGCTCTAGCTGAAGCCAGGTTCTACACCCTCATCCCCTAACTAGCTGAATGAGAATCCAGTGGGCCCTCCGGTTTCCCTTCACTGGCTGATCATTCTTCAGTATGCTGGCCTGAGCCAGAATCAGGGCATCAGGTACTGATAAGGGAAAATACTGGTACTGTATAGAATAATGCCTCCCCAAAACTGCGAAGGAGCTAAGAGACCAAAGAATGACCCAGACAAGTTCAGCTTGATAAGCAGATGAATTTATTGGGACTTACGGATAGGACATTCCTGGGTGGCAGCAGGACAGCTCCGGGGATCTGCCCTGACACTCCTCTGCAAACTGCTTTTAAGCTAATTTTCTGGCTCTTGCCTTCCACATGCAATGAGACTCTTTTTCTTGGTATGTTTCCCGGTATGCTCTGGGATGTTTTGATGTTTTGATTCTCAGGGACACCTCGGCTTCTAAGCTGGGCACCATGCATGGCCTTGGATCACCACCTGGCCTTCAGGGTTCAGGCAGCAGATGTACAGCCTTAAGTAATCTGGTGGAGGAGGGGGGATCTCATTAAACTACAGTCACTAGCATTATTTTCTCCATTGAAAAATCATTTTCTTGACGGACGGTGAAAACTCTTTGTGGGATTATCCAGAGAATGAATATAAGGGCTTCTGGAAGTCAGAAATTCACTGAATTGCAGATGAAGAGAAGACAAAACTCCATTTCTAGCACCATATTTCCCTTAAATTTTCAAGGATACAGCAATAGTAAGAGTTCTCAACTCCTGTCCTAGTGTCTGGTTTGAAGCAGTATGAAAAATGGGGATTGGTTGAAAATTGATATTGTGAATATCAACTTTGTGCCAACAGGCATTCAGCTAAGGACAGGTCTCAGCTTCCACGGGATTTCTCTTTCTTTCAAGTGATTCTAGGAGTCACTCCTAGTCTGGGGCTCCAACTGCCAGGTTATGAATATCAGCTGACTCAGCATCACAAATGATAAAAATGTTCTTGGTCCACAGGGACTTGGGTTTATTTTTAGAGACTGTGGAGGTTCACCCATCATTCTCAGGCCAACTGCAGCAGTCAAGCAGCAATCTAGAAAATTAGGAAAAAAATTAGGTTCGGAAGTTTTGGATTTAGAATGGACAGGGGAAAATAGAAACTTACTTATGGGATAGAACCAAACTGGGTGAAAAAAATCATGTCCTCATTATTTTGGGGGTTCAACTATGAGTGAGAACACACGGTGTTTGGTTTTCTGTCCTCGTGATAGTTTGCTGAGAATGGTGGTTTCCAGCTTCATCCATGTTCCTGCAAAGGACGTGAATTCATCCTTTTTTATGGCTGCGTAGTATTCCACATATGTACATGTGCCACATTTTCTAAATGCAGTCTATCATTGATGGACATTTGTGTTGGTTCCAAATCTTTGCTATTGTGAATAGTGCCTCAGTAAACATACATGTGCATGTATCTTTATAGTAGCATCATTTATAATCCTTTGGGTATATACCCAGTAATGCGATTGCTGGGTCAAATGGTAATTCTAGTTCTAGATCCTTGAGGAATCGCCACACTGTCTTCCACAATGGTTGAACCAATTTACACTTCCACCAACAGTGTAAAAGCATTCCAATTTCTCCACATCCTCTCCAGCATCTGTTGTTTCCTGACTTTTTAATTATTGCCATCCTAACTGGCGTGAGATGGTATCTCTTTGTGGTTTTGATTTGAATTTCTCTGATGGCCAATGATGACCAGCATTTTTTCATGTGTCTGTTGGCTGCATAAATGTCTTCTTTTGAGAAGTGTCTGTTCATATCCTTCGCCCACTTGTTGATGGGTTTGTATTTTTCTTGTAAATTTGTTTGAGTTCTTTGTAGATATTAGCCCTTTGTCAGATGGGTAGATTGCAAAAATTTTCTCCCATTCTGTAGGTTGCCTGTTCACTCTGATGGTAGTTTCTTTTGCTGTGCAGAAGCTCTTTAGTTTAATTAGATCTCATTTGTCTATTTTGGCTTTTGTTGCCATTGCTTTTGGTGTTTTAGACATGAAGTCCTTGCCCATGCCTATGTCCTGAATAGTATTGCCTAGGTTTTCTTCTAGGATTTTTATGGTTTTAGGTCTAACATTTAAGTCTCTAATCCATCTTGAATTAATTTTTGTATAAGGTGTAAGGAAGGGATCCAGTTTCAGCTTTCTACATATGGCTAGTCAGTTTTCTCTGCACCATTTATTAAATAGGGAATTCTTTCCCCATTTCTTGTTTTTGTCAGGTTTGTCAAAGATCAGATGGTTGTAGATGTGTGATGTTATTTCTGAGGCCTCTGTTCTGTTCCATTGGCCTATATATCTGTTTTGATATCAGTATCATGCTGTTTTGGTTACTGTAGCCTTGTAGTATAGTTTGAAGTCAGGTAGCATGATGTCTCCAGCTTTGTTCTTTTGACTTAGGATTGACTTGGCATTGCGGGCTCTTTTTTGGTTTCATATGAACTTTAAAGTAGTTTTTTCCAATTCTGTGAAGAAAGTCATTGGTAGCTTGATGGGGATGCCACTGAATCTATAAAGTACTTTGGGCAGTATGGCCATTTTCAGGATATTGATTCTTCCTATCTATGAGCATGGAATATTTTTTCCATTTGTTTGTGTCCTTTTTTATTTCATTGAGCAGTGGTTTGTAGTTCTCCTTGAAGAGGTCCTTCACATCCCTTGTAAGTTGGATTCCTAGGTGTTTTATTCTCTTTGTAGCATTTGTGAATGGGAGTTCACTCATGATTCGGCTCTCTGTTTGTCTGTTAATGGTGTATAGAAATGCTTGTGATTTTTGCACATTGATTTTGTATCCTGAGAGTTTGCTGAAGTTGCTTATGAGCTTAAGGAGACGTTGGACTGAGACAATGGGGTTTTCTAAATATACAATCATGCTGTCTGCAAGCTGGGACAATTTGACTTCCTCTTTTCCTGATTGAATACCCTTTATTTATTTCTCTTGCCTGATTGCCCTGGCCAGAACTTCCAACACCACAATGAATAGGAATGGTGAGAGAGGGCAGCCTTGTCTTGGGCAAGTTTTCAAAGGGAATGCTTCCAGTTTTTGCCCATTCAGTATGATATTGGCTGTGGATTTGTCATAAATAGCTCTATTATTTTGGGATACGTTCCATCAGTACCAAGTTTATTGAGAGTTTTTAGCATGAAGGGCTGTTGAATTTTGTCAAAGGCCTTTTCTGCATCTATTGAGATAATCATGTGGTTTTTGTCAAAGGTTTTGTTTATGTGATGAATTACATTTATTGATTTGCATATGTCGAACCAGGCTTGCATCCCAGGGATGAAGCCGACTTGATCGTGGTGGATAAGCTTTTTGATGTGCTGCTGAATTCAGTTTGCCAGTATTTTATTGAGGATATTTGCATGGATGTTCATCAGGGATATTGGTATAAAATTCTCTTTTTTGTGTGTGTGTCTCTGCCAGGCTTTGTTGTCAGGATGAGGTTGGCCTCATAAAATGAGTTAGGGAAGATTCCCTCTTTTTCTTTTTTTTATTTTTATTTTTTATTATACTTTAAGTTTTAGGGTACATGTGCACATTGTGTAGGTTAGTTACATATGTATACATGTGCCATGCTGGTGCACTGCACCCACTAACTCGTCATCTAGCATTAGATATATCTCCCAATGCTATCCCTCCCCCCTCCCCCCACCACACAACAGTCCCCAGAGTGTGATATTCCCCTTCATGTGTCCATGTGATCTCATTGTTCAATTCCCACCTATGAGCGAGAATATGCGGTGTTTGGTTTTTTGTTCTTGCGATAGTTTACTGAGAATGATGATTTCCAATTTCATCCATGTCCCTACAAAGGACATGAACTCATCATTTTTTATGGCTGCATAGTATTCCATGGTGTATATGTGCCACATTTTCTTAATCCAGTCTATCATTGTTGGACATTTGGGTTGGTTCCAAGTCTTTGCTATTGTGAATAATGCCGCAATAAACATACGTGTGCATGTGTCTTTATAGCAACATGATTTATAGTCCTTTGGGTATATACCCAGTAATGGGATGGCTGGGTCTAATGGTATTTCTAGTTCTAGATCCCTGAGGAATCGCCACACTGACTTCCACAATGGTTGAACTAGTTTACAGTCCCACCAACAGTGTAAAAGTGTTCCTATTTCTCCACATCCTCTCCAGCACCTGTTGTTTCCTGACTTTTTAATGATCGCCATTCTAACTGGTGTGAGATGATATCTCATTGTGGTTTTGATTTGCATTTCTCTGATGGCCAGTGATGATGAGCATTTTTTCATGTGTTTTTTCTATTGATTGTAATAGTTTCAGAAGGAATGGTACCAGTTCCTCCTTGTACCTCTGGTAGAATTCTGCTGTGAATCCATCTGGTCCTGGACTTTTTTTGGTTGGTAGGCTATTAATTATTGCCTCAATTTCAGAGCCTGTTATTGGTCTATTCAGAGATTTGACTTCTTCCTGGTTTAGTCTTGTGAGAGTGTATGTGTCCAGGAATTTTTCCATTTCTTCTAGATTTTCTAGTTTATTTGCGTAGAGGTGTTTATAGTATTCTCTGATGGTAGTTTGTATTTCTGAGAGATCGGTGGTGATATCCCCTTTATCATTTTTTGTTGCATCTATTTGATTCCTCTCTCTTTTCTTCTTTATTAGTCTTGCTAGCACTCTATCAGTTTTGCTGATGTTTTCAAAAAACCAGCGCCTGGATTCATTGATTTTTTGAAGGGTTTTTTTGTGTCTCTATCTCTTTCAGTTCAGCTCTTATTTTAGTTATTTCTTGCCTTCTGCTAGCTTTTGAATGTGTTTGCTCTTGCTTCTATATTTATTTTAATTGTGATGTCAGGGTGTCGATTTTAGATCTTTCCTGCTTTCTCTTGTAGGCATTTAGTGCTATAAATTTCCCTCTACACACTGCTTTAAATGTGTCCCAGAGATTCTGGTATATTGTGTCTTTGTTCTCATTGGTTTCAAAGAACATCTTTCTTTCTGCCTTCATTTTGTTATTTACCCAGTAGTCATTCAGGAGCAAGTTGTTCAGTTTCCACGTAGTTGTGTGGTTCTGAGTGAGTTTCTTAATCCTGAGTTCTAATTTGATTGCACTGTGGTTGAGAGACAGTTTGTTGTGATTTCTGTTCTTTTACATTTGCCAAGGAGTGCTTTACTTCCAATTATGTGGTCAATTTTAGAATAAGTGTGATGTGGTGCTGAGAAGAATGTATATTCTGCTGATTTGGGGTGGAGAGTTCTGTAGATGTCTATTAGATCTGCTTTTTGCAGATCTGAGTTCAGGTCCTGGATATCCTTGTTAACCTTCTGTCTCGTTGATCTGTCTAATATTGACAGTGGGGTGTTAAAGTCTCCCATTATTATTGTTTGGGTGTCTAAGCCTCTTTTTAGGTCTCTAAGGGCTTGCTTTATGAATCTGGGTGCTCCTGTATTGGGTGCATATATATTTAGGTTAGTTAGCTCTTCTTGTTGAATTGATTCCTTTACCATTATGTGATGGCCTTCTTTGTCCCTTTTGATGTCTGTTGGTTTACGGTCTGTTTTATCAGAGACAAGGGTTGCAACCCCTTCTATTTTTGCTTTCCATTTGCTTGGTAAATCTTCCACCATCCCTTTACTTTGAGCCTATGTGCCTCTTTGCATGTGAGATGCATCTCCTGAATACAGCACACTGATGGGTCTTGACTCTTTATCCAATTTACCAGTCTGTGTCTTTTAGTTGGAGCATTTAGCCCATTTACATTTAAGGTTAATATTGTTATGTGTGAATTTGGTCCTGTCATGATGATGTTCACTGGTTATTTTGCCTGTTAATTGATGCAGTTTCTTTTTTTTATTATTATTATACTTTAAGTTTTAGGGTACATGTGCACAATGTACAGGTTAGTTACATATGTATACATGTGCCATGCTGGTGTGCTGCAACCATTAACTTGTCATTTAGCATTAGGTATATCTCCTAATTTTATCCCTCCCCCATCCCCCGATCCCACAACAGTCCCCAGAGTGTGATGTTCCCCTTCCTGTGTCCATGTGTTCTCATTGTTCAATTCCCATCTATGAGTGAGAACATGCAGTGTTTGGTTTTTTGTCCTTGTGATAGTTTACTGAGAATGATGATTTCCAATTTCATCCATGTCCCTACAAAGGACATGAACTCATCCTTTTTTATGGCTGCATAGTATTCCATGGTGTATATGTGCCACATTTTCTTAATCCAGTCTATCATTGTTGGACATTTGGGTTGGTTTCAAGTCTTTGCTATTGTGAATAGTGCCGCAATAAACATACATGTGTATGTGTCTTCATAGCAGCATGATTTATAGTCCTTTGGGTATATACCCAGTAATGGGATGGCTGGGTCAAATGGTATTTCTAGTTCTAGATCCCTGAGGAATCACCACACTGGCTTCCACAATGGTTGAACTAGTTTACAGTCCCACCAACAGTGTAAAAGTGTTCCTATTTCTCCACATCCTCTCCAGCACCTGCTGTTTCCTGAATTTTTAATGATTGCCATTCTAACTGGTGTGAGATGGTATCTCATTGTGGTTTTGATTTGCATTTCTCTGATGGTCAGTGATGATGAGCATTTTTTCATGTGTCTTTTGGCTGCATAAATGTCTTCTTTTGAGAAGTGTCTGTTTATATCCTTTGCCCATTTTTGATGGGGTTGTTTGTTTTTTTCTTGTAAGTTTGTTTGAGTTCATTGTAGATTCTGGCTATTAGCTCTTTGTCAGATGAGTAGGTTTTGAAAATTTTCTCCCAATTTGTAGGTTGCCTGTTCACTCTGATGGTGGTTTCTTTTGCTGTGCAGAAGCTCTTTAGTTTAATTAGATCTCATTTGTCAATTTTGGCTTTTGTTGCCATTGCTTTTGGTGTTTTAGACATGAAGTCCTTGCCCATGCTTGTGTCCTGAATGGTAATGCCTAGATTTTCTTCTAGGGTTTTTATGGTTTTAGGTCTAACATTTAAGTCTTTAATACATCTTGAATTAATTTTTGTAGGAGGTGTAAGGAAGGTATCCAGTTTCAGCTTTCTACATATAGCTAGCCAGTTTTCCCAGCACCATTTATTAAATAGGGAATCCTTTCCCCATTGCTTGTTTTTGTCAGGTTTGTCAAAGATCAGATAGTTGTAGATATGCAGCGTTTTTTGTGAGGGCTCTGTTCTGTTCCATTGATCTATATCTCTGTTTTGGTACCAGTACCATGCTGTTTTGGTTACTGTAGCCTTGTAGTATAGTTTGAAGTCAGGTACCGCAATGCCTCTAGCTTTGTTCTTTTGGCTTAGGATTGACTTGGTGATGCGGGCTTTTTTTTGGTTCCATATGAACTTTAAAGTAGTTTTTTCCAGTTCTGTGAAGAAAGTCATTGGTAGCTTGATGGGGATGGCATTGAATCTATAAATTACCTTGGGCAGTATGGCCATTTTCACGATATTGATTCTTCCTACCCATGAGCATGGAATGTTCTTCCATTTGTTTGTATCCTCTTTTATTTCATTGAGCAGTGGTTTGTAGTTCTCCCTGAAGAGGTCCTTCACATCCCTTGTAAGTTGGATTCCTAAGTATTTTATTCTCTTTGAAGCAATTGTGAATGGGAGTTCACTCATGATTTGGCTCTCTGTTTGTCTGTTATTGGTGTATAAGAATGCTTCTGATTTTTGTACATTGATTTTGTATCCTGAGACTTTGCTGAAGATGCTTATCATCTTAAGGAGATTTTGGGCTGAGACAATGGGGTTTTCTAGATATACAAGCATGTCATCTGCAAACAGGGACAATTTGACTTCGTCTTTTCCTAATTGAATACCCTTTATTTCCTTCTCCTGCCTAATTGCCCTGGCCAGAACTTCCAACACTATGTTGAATAGGAGTGGTGAGAGAGGGCATCCCTGTCTTGTGCCAGTTTTCAAAGGGAATGCTTCCAGTTTTTGCCCATTCAGTATGATATTGGCTGTGGGTTTGTCATAGATAGCTCTTATTATTTTGAGATACGTCCCATCAATACCTAATTTATTGAGAGTTTTTAGCATGAAGCGTTGTTGAATTTTGTCAAAGGCCTTTTCTGCATCTATTGAGATAATCATGGGGTTTTTGTCTTTGGTTCTGTTTATATGCTGGATTACATTTATTGTTTTGCATATATTGAACTAGCCTTGCATCCCAGGGATGAAGCCCACTTGATCATGGTGGATAAGCTTTTTGATGTGCTGCTGGATTCAGTTTGCCAGTATTTTATTGAGGATTTTTGCATCAATGTTCATCAAGGATATTGTTCTAAAATTCTCTTTTTGGGTTGTTTCTCTGCCCGGCTTTGGTATCAGGATGATGCTGGCCTCATAAAATGAGTTAGGGTGGATTCCCTCTTTTTCTATTGATTGGAATAGTTTCAGAAGGAATGGTACCAGCTCCTCCTTCTACCTCTGGTAGAATTCGACTGTGAATCCATCTGGTCCTGGACTCTTTTTGGTTGGTAAGCTATTGATTATTGCCACAATTTCAGAGCCTGTTATTGGTCTATTCAGAGAGTCAACTTCTTCCTGGTTTAGTGTTGGGAGAGTGCATGTGTTGAGGAATTTATCCATTTCTTCTAGAGTTTCTAGTTTATTTGCATAGATGTGTTTGTAGTATTCTCTGATGGTAGTTTGTATTTTTGTGGGATAGGTGGTGATATGCCCTTTGTCATTTTTTATTGCATCTATTTGATTCTTCTCTCTTTTCTTCTTTATTTGTCTTGCTAGCGGTCTATCAATTTTGTTGATCCTTTCAAAAAAACAGCTCCTGGATTCATTAATCTTTTGAAGGGTTTTTTGTGTCTCTATTTCCTTCAGTTCTGCTCTGATTTTAGTTATTTCTTGCCTTCTGCTAGCTTTTGAATGTGTTTGCTCTTGCTTTTCTAGTTCTTTTAATTGTGATGTTAGGGTGTCAGTTTTGGATCTTTCCTGCTTTCTCTTGTGGGCATTTAGTGCTATAAATTTGCCTCTACACACTGCTTTGAATGTGTCCCAGAGATTCTGGTATGTTGTGTCTTTGTTCTCATTGGTTTCAAAAAACATCTTTATTTCTGCCTTCATTTCGTTATGTACCCAGTAGTCATTAAGGAGCAGATTGTTCAGTTTCCATGTAGTTGAGCGGTTTTGAGTGAGTTTCTTAATCCTGAGTTCTAGTTTGATTGCACTGTCGTCTGAGAGACCGTTTGTTATAATTTCTGTTCTTTTACATTTGCTGAGGAGTGCTTTATTTCCAATTATGTGGTCAGTTTTAGAATAAGTGCGATGTGGTGCTGAGAAGAAACTATATTCTGTTGATCTGGGGTGGATAGTTCTGTAGATGTCTATTAGGTCCACTTGGTGCAGGGCTGAGTTTAAGTCCTGGATCTCCTTGTTAACATTCTGTCTCGTTGATCTGCCTAATGTTCACCGTGGGGTGTCAAAGTTTTCCATTATTATTGTATGGGAGTCTAAGTCTCTTCGTAGGTCTCTAAGGACTTGCTTTATGAATCTGGGTGCTCCTGTATTGGGTGCATATATATGTAGGATAGTTAGCTCTTCTTGTTGAATTGATCGCTTTACCATTATGTAATGGCCTTCTTTGTCTCTTTTTATCTTTGTTGGTTTAAAGTCTGTTTTATCAGAGAGTAGGATTGCAACCCCTGCCTTTTTTTGTTTTCCATTTGCTTTGTAGATCTTCCTCCATCCCTTTATTTTGAGTCTGTGTGCATCTCTGCACATGAGATGTGTCTCCTGAATACAGCACACTTGAGTCTTTATCCAATTTGCCAGTCTGTGTCTTTTAATTGGAGCATTTACCCCATTTACCTTTGAGGTTAATATTGTTATGTGTGAATTTGATCCTGTCATTATGATGTTAGCTGGTTATTTTACTTGTTAGTTGATGCAGTTTCTTCCTAGCATCGATGGTGTTTATAATTTGGCATGTTTTTGCAGTGGCTGGTACTATTTGTTCCTTTCCATGTTTAGTGCTTCCTTCAGGAGCTCCTGTAGGGCAGGCCTGGTGGTGACAAAATCTCTCAGTATTTGTTTATCTGTAAGGGATTTTATTTCTCCTTCACTTATGATGCTTAGTTTGGCTGTATATGACATTCTGGGTTGAAAATTCTTTTCTTTAAGAATGTTGAATATTGGCCCCCACTCTCTTCTGGCTTGTAGAGTTTCTGCTGAGACATCAGCTGTTAGTCTGATGGGCTTCCCTTTGTGGGTAACCTGACCTTTCTCTCTGGCTGCCCTTAACATTTTTTCCTTCATTTCAACTTTGGTGAATCTGACAATTATGTGTCTTGGAGTTGCACTTTTTGTGGAGTATCTTTGTGGTGTTCTCTGTATTTCCTGAATTTGAGTGTTGGCTTGCCTTGCTAGGTTGGGAGAGTTCTCCTGAATGATATCCTGAATAGTGTTTTCCAAGTTGGTTCCATTTTCCCTGTCACGTTCAGGTACACCAATCAGATATAGATTTGGTCTTTTCACATAGTCCCATATTTCTTGGAGGCTTTGTTCGTTTCTTTGTACTCTTTTTTTCTCTAAACTTCTCTTCTTGCTTCATTTTATTCACTTTATCTTCAATCACTGATACCCTTTCTTCCACTTGATCAAATCAACTACTTAAGCTTGTGCATGCGTCACATAGTTCTCATGCCATGGTTTTCAGCTCCATCAGGTCATTTAAGTTCTTCTCTGCACTGTTTATTCTAGTTAGCCTTTTGTCTAATCTTTTTTCAAGGTTTTTAGCTTCTTTGCAATGTGTTCAAACATCCTCCTTTAGCTTGGAGAAGGTTGTTATTACTGATCGTCTGAAGCCTACTTCCATCAACTTGTCAAAGTCATTCTCCATCCAGCTTTGTTCTGTTGCTGGTGAGGAGCTGCGTTCGTTTGGAGGAGAAGAGGTGCTCTGATTTTTAGAATTTTCAGCTTTTCTGCTCTGGTTTCTCCCCATCTTTGTGGTTTTATCTACCTTTGGTCTTTGATGATGGTGATCTGCAGATGGGGTTTTGGTGTGGATGTCCCATTTGTTAGTTTTCCTTCTAACAGTCAGGAGCCTCAGCTGCAGGTCTGCTGGAGTTTGCTAGACGTCCTCTCCAGACCCTGTTTGCCTGGGTATCACCAGCCAGGGCTGGAGAAAAGCAAATATTGCAGAACAGCAAATGTTGCTGCCTTATATTTCCTCCAGAAGCTTTGTCTCAGAGGGGCACCCGGCTGTATAAGGTGTCAGTTGGCCCCTACTTGGAGTGTCTCCCAGTTAGGCTACTCTGGGGTCAGGGACCCATTTGAGGAGGCAGCCTCTCTGTTCTCAGATCTCAAACTCGCTGTTGAGGGAACCACTACTCTCTTCAAAGCTGTCCAACAGGGATGTTTAAGTCTGCCGAAGTTTCTGCTGCCTTTTGTTCAGCTATGCCCTGCCCCCAGATGTGGAGTCTTCATAGGCAGGCAGGCCTCCTTCAACTGCGGTGGGCTCCACCCAGTTCGAGCTTCCTGGCCGCTTTGTTTACCTACTCAAGCCTCAGCAATAGTGGACGCCCTCCCCCAGCCTCACTTCCTCCTTGCAGTTTGATCTCAGACTGCTGTGCCAGCAGTGAGCAAGGCTCCTTGGGTGTGGGACTCTCCGAGCCAGGCACAGGATATAATGTCCTGGTGTGCCATTTGCTAACACCATTGGAAAAGAGCAGCATTAGGGTGGGAGTGTCCCAATTTTCCAGGTACCATCTGTCACCGCTTCCCTTGGCTAGGAAAGGGAATTCCCCGACCCTTTGCACTTCCCGGGTGAGGCCATGCCCCGCCCCCGCCGCCCGCTTCAGCTCACACTCCGTGGGCTGCACCCACTGTCCAACAAGCCCCAGTGTGATGAACCTGGTACTTCAGTTGGAAATGCAGAAATCAGAAATCACCCGTCTTCTGCATCACTCACGCTGGGAGCTGTAGACTGCATCTCTTCCTATTCGGTCATCTTGGAACCTCCTCCCTCAGGAATTTCTTTATAGCAGTGTGAAAACAGACTAATACAGGCGGTAAGCTAGAAAGGAATAGTATCTGGCTGCATTGGTTTAAACCATTTACTGATCCTAAGCACAAAGCATTGTTATGTTCTACCCCCAAATATACTTTGTAAAAGTACTAACCTGCAACATAAATACAAGAAATCAATTCTGAATCTTTGCATGATTGCAACTTTCTCACTTTTATCAAAATATCAAATTCTTTAAAAACTAAAACACACATCACCTGTCTCCTCCTTTCCTTTCATTTCCTTCCTTTCTCTCCTTTCTCTTCCTTTTCCTTCACTCTCTCTGTTATGCTTGTTCCCTGAGCACATGTTTAGAATGTTTACTGGGAGAATTAATAAGGGTATAAAGATAATCATTACAAAATCAATTAAGAGAGAAATTAAGCTGATTTAGGATATGCTGTACATATTGGCATCTAGAAAATCTCTGATGTCCTTAACAAAAACATAGGCAGAAGAGGAGCAGAGCAGGTCATCACACATTTATGGGAGTGTAAACAGGGGAGGAGGAAATTGATACATCACATACAGGTGATTATGATAATTAATCTCCACAGACAGTTAATATGGCAGGGGGGTAGGCAAGTACCGGGCTTTATTGCAGGGATGGGAGAGGGGTAGGGTATGGTGTCCCTATTATTATTCCAATTTTACAGATGAGGACAGTTGAAGCACAGAGGTATTAGGTCACTTAGCTAAGTGGTCACCGAGCTTGTATATAGTGAAATGATGATTTGTCTCTGTCAGTCTCACTCCACATTCTGTGTCCTAATCACTAAGGAGGTAGCCAAAAGTAAATTGACATTAATTCAGACTTAACTAATTACCAGCCTTCCAGAGCCCTGCCACAGACAGATGATCTACAAGTCCATGACCTATACCTCTCATAGTGTTTCCCCCCGCTAACACCACATCCCTCTCTACCAATAACAGCCAGGGCCCTTATCAGACACTGAATCTGCCAAATTTGTCCACAAACCCTGAGGAAGTCTCCCTCCCTCCACCAACCCTCTGTGTCCCTCTGCCACTTGGACCCATTTGGCTCCCTCAGTGTCCAATTTGCTGAGTAAACTTCTAATATTTGCTATCACTCCTGATACCCAAGTACTGTCCACTGAGGCAGGATGTAAAATTTGGTAGAAAGGTTGGGATCTGAGCCACAGTCCGATCAAAGTTTTGCCTGAGCATGGACTACAGTTCTGACAATTTTCTGCATCTGTAGGTCTGAATTTACAGAGGGCTAAAAGATTAGATCCAGTTCAGAAGTTTCTATTAATGGGCTAGGCATGGTACATGGCCATAGGACTGTGACCATGCCCACAGGATTCATGTGACTTCACCTGGATGAGAGAGCTGAACCTGCCACACAATAGTGAGGGCCATAAGGGGGGCAATATTCACATGACTCATAGGGTTCCAAAGTCTACAGTTTTTACACAATACAAAGAGTTTAGCCTGCCTAATGACTATAAGGGAGCACATGATCAGAGTGCTAAGGTCTGAATATTTGTGTTCCCCCAAAATTCATATGCTGAAATCCTAAACCCTAAGGTGATGTTATTAGGAGCTGGGACTCTGGGGAGTTGATTAAGTCATGAGGGTAGAGCCCTCATGAATGGGATTAGTGTCCTTTCAAAATAGGCCCAAGAAAGATCCCTTTCCCCTTCCTCCATGTGAGGTTAGAGTGAAAATATGGCCAGTGCCCTTATCAGACACTGAATCTGCCAGTGCCTTGACCTTGGACTTTCCAGCCTCCAGAACTGTGAAAAATAAATTTCTGTTGTTTATAGACTACACAGTCCATGGTATTTTGTTATAGTAGCCCAAACAGACTAAGCCACATGGTATCCATGTGACCAACAGCAGTAGAGTACCTGTGGTGCCCACATAATTATGAGGGCCTCATTGCCACATGAAAGTAGGAGGCCACATGATTGTAGTATTCACATGAGCCATAGCATTAGAAGCCTGCAATGTTCACTTGCCTGGAAGGGCTATTTCTGCCTCATGACAATAGAGTTCATTGGCAGTAGTGTCCTAGTGTTCTGCATGCTTCAGGGGTCTATCTGATTCATGACACATGGAGATCCGGGATTGCCTATGTTCCTGGGCTCCACAGTGAAGGTGGTGCCTCCAGGTGGCCTTCACAGCACATGAACTTCGCCTTTAGCTACCCCATCCCTTTTTATTGTGATCATTTAATATGCTGTTTTCTACTAACACATTAAATTTAATACATAACAAATTAACACATAACAGTAAAATAGGTCCTTCATAAAACTATAACCACAGTCATAACATAGGGAGTGCTGCAAGAACCTAGGCATGGTATTTGGTACAGATTAAGTACTGTTGATTTAATGCAGGCTTAAAGGAAATTAAAGCAAACCAATTAAGTCTGTTTTAATTATTATGTTGATAAAAAGTATAATGATTAAAATGTTCCAGGTACTTTAAAAGGTTAACACATTTAATTGTCATAACTTTATGACATTTGTGCTATTATTATTCCAATTTTACAGATGAGGACAGTTGAAGCACAGAGGTCACTTGGCTAAGTGGTTACTGAGCTTGTATATAGTGAAACGATGATTTGTCTTTGGTCAGTCTCACTCCACATTCTGTGTCCTAATCACTCAGGAGGTACTCAAAAGTAAATTGATATTAATTCAGACTTACTAATTCAAACTTACCGGAAAGCCAGTCCCAGTCACTGAAAATTTGAGGTCATGAAAGATTTCTTTGAAATGCTGTTTTAATAATTTCAACTACTGTCAAGAATTAGGACCAATCAAAGGTGAATCTAATTAAAGATCTCAGGAGATTTACTTTAATGTCTGGATATAATTTTATCATTAATATATAAAATATTTGTATATTAAGGGAGTATAAAATGCTTGATGTTAGTTAAAATTTCTTTTCTAAAATTAACATTAAAATGGGAAATATTGCAAAGTTTAAACATCATACCTAGCTCACATCACAATTACAAAGTTATAAAGGAATGAAATCTGAATTAATTTTATTTTACCATGTTTATATTCCACTTGTGCCTCTCCAGAAAGGACAGAGAAAGAAGAATATACATTGCTGAGTTTTTTTGAAACTGCAATTGCAACAATACCTGTTTTACTAACTTTCTTGGGAAAACACAGCTTTGTCTGTGTATCCAAAATAAATTTGATGTGGTCTTTCTGATTTGCTGCCGTAGGCAAACCTAATGCTGTAAAAGTGGTGGGATTATTTTGTCAGGTCTCTGCAATGTGGCATAGCTGCACACATAGCTGCAGAAAACTCAACAGACAAAAGTTTGAACCGTGGATAAATTTCACTATATTAATAAGGACAACAGACTGTGTTTGTTGTACTAAATCTATTGAAGAAAGTCTCAATTTTTTTGGAGTAAAGCTTGGAAAGTAAGACGGTATTCTGGAAATCTGTGTGTCTCATACAATTTTGGAACATTATTTATGGAATACATGTAAATACAGGATATAAAATTAGAGCCACACATTTACAACAAAACCTATTGTGAAACTTCAATTTGGATTTGGAAAGTATCTATATACAGTCGTAGTATGGAATCCGACATCAAGATCCAGTGTCTGTCCAACCTTCATTTCTATAATTACATGCAGATAGATCAACAGTGAAAGACACAGAAGAATTGTGGCTATGCCACCGATGCCCAGTTGAGCCTTATAGTGTATTGATGGTGATTGGGATTAACTTTTTTAAATTGAGAAATTATTCATATGTCATTAAATTTGTTATTTTAAAATGTACAATTCAGTGGGTTTTAGTATGTTCACACAATTTTGCAGCCATCACCACTACTTAATCCCAGAATATTTTTATCACCCCAAAAAGAAATCCCGTACTTGTTAATAGTCCCCCTATTGCCCTTTCCCCACAGCTTTTGGCAACCACTAATCTAGTTTCTGTCTCTATGGTTTAGTCTATTGTTAACATTTCACATAAATAGAATCATACAATATGTGGCTTTTTATGACTGGCTTCTTTCACTTGACGTATAATTTTTTAAGGTTCATCCATGTTGTAGCATGTGGCAGAATTTCATCCCTTTTATGGTAAATAATATTGCGTTGTATGGATATATGACATTTTAATTATAAAATCATTAATTGATGGTTATTTGTGTTTGTTTCAGTTTTAGATTATTATGAATAATGTTACGGTCAACATTCGTGTACAAGTTTTAGTGTAAACATATGTTTTCAGTTCTGGATATATGCCTACGAGTGAAATTGTTGGGACCTACGGTAACTCTATATTTAATCATCTGAGGAACTTCCAGACTGTTTTCCTGAGTAGCTGCACCACTTTACATTCCTACCAACGGTATATGAGGGCTCCAATTTCTCCACATCCTCATCACTATGTGTCATGTCTGTCCTTTTGATGATAGCTGTCTTAGTGGGTAAGAAGTAGCATTTAGTTGTGGTTTTCATTTGCATTTCCCTAATGACTAATGATACTGATCCTCTTTTATGTGCTTACTGGCCACTTGTGTATCTTCTTCATAGAAATAGCTATTCAAATTATTTTCTCAGCTTTAATTGGGTTTGTTTTTATTATTGAATTGTAAGAGTTCTTTATATATTCTGGATACTAGATTTTTATTACATAAAATATTTGCAAATATTTTCTCCTCCTCTGTGTTATCTTTTCATTATATTTTTTAAATTTAAATTTTTATTTTAAGTTCTGGGGTACATGAGCAGGATGTGCAGGTTTGTTACATGGATAAACATGTGTTATCTTGATAGTGTCCTTTGATGCACAAAAGTTTTAAATTTTGATGATGTCCAGTTTACTTTTTCTTTGGTTGTTGCGTTTTGATGTCATATATGTTATGGACTGAATGCTTGTGTCCTCCCAAATTTATATGTTGAAATTCTAATTCCCAGTGTGATGTTATTGGGATGTGGGGCCCTAGGGGGTAATTAGCTCATGGGGGTGGAGCCCTGATTAATGGGATTATTCCCCTTGTAAGAAGAGACACAAAAGCTTGCTCTCATTCTCTCTGCTCTCTCCCACGTGATGATACAATAAGAAATTGGCAGTTTCCAACCCACAGGAGTGCCTTTGCCAAAATCTGACCATGCTGACACCCTGATCTTAGACTTCCGGCCTCCAGAACTGCGAGAAATAAATTTCTGTCGTTTATAAGCCACCCAGACTATGGTATTTGTTATATAAGCCTGAACTGACTAACAAAATATCAAGGAAACCATTTCTTAGTCCAAAGTCACAAAGATTTACATCTTTTTCTTCCAGTAGCTTATAAATTTAATTCTTGCATTTAGGTCTTCCATCCATTTTAATGTTTTTTTTTTTTAATGGAATGTGAGGAAAGTGACCAAATTCATTATTTTGCAACCACTATGTGTATAACCATTTGTCCCAGGACCATTTTTGAAAAGATTATTGAAAACCAATTTACCATAGATGTATGGGTTATATCTGGGCTCTCAATTTTATTTTACTTATATATATCCTTATGGAAACATCAGTATCACACTGTACTGATTACTACAGTTTTGAAATCCAGGAGTGCAAGTTCTCCAAATTTGTTCTACTTTTTAAAGATTGTGTTGGTTATTCAGGGCGCCTTCTATTTCCACATTGTGATGATTTGGCTCTGTGTCCCCACCCAACTCTCATAGAATTGTTCAGTGTTGGTGAGAGGTGATTGGAGCTGGGGGTAGTTTCTAATGGTTTAGCACCATCCCTCTAGTGCTGTCTCATGAAAGAGTTCTCACGAGATCTGGTTCAAAGTGTATAGCACCTCCCCCTTCCCTCTCTCTCTTCCTCCTTCTCCAGCCACGTAGGATGTGCAGGCTTCCCCTTCCCCTTCTGCCATGATTGTAAGCTTCCTGAGACCATCCAGGCTATGCTTCCCATACAGGCTGTGGAACTGTGAGCCGATTGAATCTCTTTTTTTTTAATAAATTACCCAGTCTCAGGTAGTTCTTTATACCAATGTGAGAGCAAACTAATACAAACATGAATTTTAGCTTTCCCATTTCTGTGAAAATGCAGTTGGAATTTTGAAAGTTATTTTATTAGATCGGTAGATCAATTTAGGGGAGTAGCAACATCTTAATGATATTAATTTTTCCAATTAATGAACACAAATGCCTTTTCATTTATTTAGGCCTTCTTTAATTTCTTTCAGCAATGGTTTGTACTCTTTGGTGTGCAAGTTTTTACCTTCTTTTCTAAATTTTTTAGTGATTTTATTAATGTGATGCTATTTTAAATAAAATTGGTTCCTTAATTTCATTTTTAATTGATTATTTCTAGTATATAGAAATACAACTGATTTTTGTATGTTAATTCTGCAACCTTACTGAACTCGTTTATTAGCACTAATATATCTTTGTGGATTTTTTAATATAAAATCATGTTATCTGCAAATAGAGATAATTTTATTTCTTCCTTTACAATCTGGATGACTTTTACTTTTTTTCTAGTCTAATTTCCCTGGTTAGAATTTCCAGTACATTATTGAATAGAAGTGGTGAAGGTGGACATCTCTGTCTGGTTCCTGATCTTAATGGAAAAGTATCCAGTGTTTCATTAAGTATGAAGTATGCTATTGGTTTTTTACAGCTGCCCTTTATAATGTGGAGAAAGTTCCCTTCTAGTCTTAGTTTGTTGATTATTTTTATTATAAAATAGTGTTGGATTTTGTCAAATGCATGTGTTGAGATGATCATGTCGTTCTGCCTTTGTGTTATTTATATTGTGTATTAAATTGACTGATTTTCAGATGCTGAAACAACCTTGCATTCTTGGGATAAACTGCACTGGGTCAGAGTGTATACTTATTTTTCTATGATGCTGGATCTGTTTTGCTATAATTTTGCAGAAGAATTTTTATCTATATTCATAATACGTAGGTCTTTTACTTCTTTTCTTGTAATGTCTGTCTGGCTTTGATACAAGAGTGATACTTGAATCATAGTGTTCCCACTTTTTTTATTTTTGGAAAAGTTTGTGAAGTATCGGTGTTATTTCTTTTTAGAACTTTTGGTAGAATTAAGCAATGAAGCCACCGTGTCCTGGGTTTTTTTTTTTTTTTTTTTTTTTGTGGTAAGGTTTTTGAGGAGTGACAGAATCTCTTTACTTGTTCTATGTCTATTCACATTTTCTATTTCTTCTTGAGTTAAACTGGCTGAGCCAGGGGGTGGAGCTGTGGGAAGTGCTTGCGCTTTAGGCATTGCTGTCTGGAGCCCCCAGGGAACTAGTGTCTGCTGGGCCCCATCAGCTTTTAGAAACAGGAGAGATAGAAGCCAGTCCCTTGGGTAATACATGGGAAAATTGGAAATCCAGATGTGTGGTGTGACTCCTCTGCTCTTTGAGGAGACACTGAGAACCTGGACTTCTCTCATGTCATACGATGCTGTGCCTAGAGTGGGGATTATGGTGCGAGGGTCTCCAATTTTCCTTCTCGTTTTGATGTGGCTGGTTTCAAACTCACTCAGGGTGCAGGAGCCTGTCAACTAGTTTCTGGATTTCTCACAAAAGAAATTGATCCATTTCTCACGAAAGAAATGGATCAATCATCTTGCTATTGAATCAGTGTGTCTATTGGGGAAGGAGAGTCCAGGACTTCTTATTCCACCATCTTGCTAACGTCATCCCTTGATAACAGGATAGTTTATTTTATTTCTTATTGTATATGTTGAGGATGTACAACATAATATTTTAACAGGTGTAAGATGACATCTTGTTGTGGTTTTAATTTGCGTTTCGCTGATGATTAGTGATGTTGAGCACCTTTACATATACTTACTGGCCACTTTTATGTCTTCTTTGGAAAAATGTCTATTCAGGTCCTTTACTCATGTTTTAAAGGGACTATTTGTGTTTTTTTTTTTTTGCTATTGAGTTGCGTGTGTTCCTTATATATTTTGTATATTAACTCTTTATCAGATATATCGTTTGCAAATATTTTCTGCCAATCCATAGACTGCTTTTTCATTTTGTTGATGCTTCCTTTGCTGTGCAGAAGCTTTTTAGTTTGATGTAGTCCCACTTATTATTATTCTTGTTGCTTGAGCTTTTGGTGTGATAACAACAAAAAAAAATCACTGCCAAAGCCAATGTAAAGGAAGTTTTCCTATATGTTTTCTTCTGGGAGTTATATGGTTTCCTGTTTTACATTTCGGCCTTTAATCCATTTTGAGTTGATTTTTGTGTATGATGTAAGAGAAGGGTCCAAGATAACTGGACATTGTAAATTATATAATTGTGGGGACCTTGGAAATCAGATTCTCCTTTCTTTCCAGGATATTTTTTTGTTCTGTTTGTTTTTATTGCTTGTTAGGGACTTTCTTAAATTAATTCTGTTGTGTGTGTGTGTGTTGTTTGTCATTTGTGGCCACTAAAGTCTCTACTTGGGTAGCTTAATGGTCAGGTAATGATTGGACATAGATTTCCTGAAAAGCCATTAACCAACAAGTCTCCCAGACTTGTTTTCAAGGGAGCCTGTATGTATTGTGGATAATTCCTTCAATGTTCAGGCAAGCAGTTTACAACTCTCTCTTAGCCTTCAACTTGTGCTGGGTCTCAAGATCACCCAGAGGCGAAAATTTAGAGCCTTCTTAGATCTTTTCTAGATGTGCACACAGCCCTGCACATGTGAGTGGCCTCCCAGATTCATGGGTATTTTAAAGGCCTAAGCTTTTCAGAGTCCCCTATAAGTATCTTATTCCCCAGTTTTACCTTTTAAGCTTTTTGTTCAGCTTCTTGTTTGTCTTAACTCTTATTGCCACCTTAGGGAGCTATTGTGTTATATGATTGCTACCGTTTTCTTTAAATCAAATGCCCCTGTGAAAAAGACTGTTCATACGGAGTGAGATCTGGGTCAGGTGAAATAAAGACAAGACTTGAAATGAGTGTTTCCAGGAAGCTGCCAAATAGTTCCTATGATGATGTTTCTCTAAGAATGATGTTTTGGACAGCTTCAAACCCTCTGCTCCCTCCCTTGGCTGTTGGTTTTCACAGTGATTATATAGCTGTTGAGTTTTATGACAACTTTGGACCTGAAGAAAAAGTGGTGGAAATAGAACAAGTTGAAATACCACAATGCTTGCTGTTGTCTCTGAAATTCAAACATTTTTCTTTAATAAACTCACCTTGAATTTTTCAAAGCCTTGGTTAATTTCCATAGTTCCGAAAAAGTTGACTTTTACAATACTTGCCAGTGTACTCACTGTTTTTATGGAGAGAAGAATTTTCCAAGGTCCTTCCTCTGCCGTTCTCACTAACATCATCCCATATTGGCCTTTTATGACAAGTGTGTCTTTACCGGAGTCAAGAAAAACAAGAAAATCTACAGACCACCATCTAAAAGGGTCTTTGTTTAGGAAAATCTGCTGTGTAAAATCTCAGGTTTAGGAAACAAATTAGTGGATAATTATTTCCTTTATGAAAGAAGATTTGCTCAATTAAAGAACTAATTTAAAAGTTCCTTTAAGTTGTGAATCCCATGGTTCATTTAATGAAATTATTGGAGCAAAAAAAATGTCCCTAGCCTTTCAAGAATACCCACTCTGTAAATATATAAATGCATTACACTGTGTTTTAAGAGTGAAAATTGGTCGGACATGGTAACCCATGCCTGTAATCCCAGCACTTTGGGAGGCTGAGGCAGATGGATTGCTTGCACCCAGGAGTTCAAGACAAGCATGGGCAACATGGCGAAACCACATGTCTACAAAGAATAAAAATTAGTCAGGCATGATGGCGCACGCCTGTAGTCCCAGGTACTTGGGAGGCTAAGATGTGAGGATCTTTTGAGTCCAGGAGGTTGAGGCTGCAGTGAGCCATGATTGTGCCTCTATTCCATGCTAGCTGGCAGAGAGAGGCCCTGTCTCAGAAAAAAAAAAAAAAAGAGTAGAAATAAAGGAGATGGGAATTAAGAAGTGGGAATTAAAGGAATTTATCCATTGACAAATGGATAGTTTTAGATTAGTTAACACAGAGGTAGCAAGGTGAGTTTTCTTAGCTTTAACCCCCAAACAACTTTCTTCAAGAGCTCCCACGGTTCATATGATTTATTTAAGACCAGAAAAGCCTAAGGCCTTTGATGTACTTATTTTGAGAAAAGGCATATACCAACTTTGAATCAAAATTCTAACTTCTCCAACACCTTCCATAATTATGAAGGCATTCAGATATGTACAGTTGACCCTTGAACAACAGAGGTTTGAACTTTATGGGTCTATTTATGTGCAGATCTTTTCAACCAAACGTGGATTTAAAATGCCATATTCACAGGATTCAAAACTTGCATATATACGGAGAGCCGACTTTTAGTATAGTCGAGTTCTGCAGGACCAACTGCTGGACTTGAGTATGTGTGGATTTTGGTATACGTGGGTGCTGGGGGAGGTCCTGGAATTAATATTCCATGGATACCAAGGGAATACTGTACTCGATTCCATTATGAGATGTCAGAAAATATTACCTGCTGCCAGAAAGTGGATTTTATTTTCTAAGTAAAGATAATTTTAAAAATTTTTGGCCAGTAAAGATGCATTCTGGGGTCCACAAAAAATCTCTCTAGTTAAAAACAACCAAGCAAAAAACCCCATAAATAAGCTACCAACTTTTGCCAGAATTCAAAACCAGCTGAGTGTATTTTTGTTGAAACTGCTCTAAGTGTGTAACTCATTCATGTCCTGGAGCACCAGGTACAATTGTGGTGATGCAGCTCTTGGTAGGGCTTTAAAATCAGCCTGGTATCTTTGGGCTGAGGTTGCCTCTAACACCATCTTATAAACAAGCAGGACAGCGAATGAGAAAGAGCAAGAGTGAGGGTAATAGTGAGAGATCCCTTACCCAGGAATAGGCCTCTCTGAGTCACTTCTGGGATGCTGCTGCCCTCTGCTGCCACATGTCCTGGGAAAACCCCTGTGGTCTCAGGACCTAAAATGTTCTCTCTTTTTTCCCAAGCTGATGCTTTATTCGTTCTCGGCTTTAAAGACACTTGCTGGCATGGAAATAAATGAAAAGCAACCAAATGAGAATAAGCGAAGACTGTTTATTCGGAACTTACTATAGCAAATGAGTCAGCCATCATCATTTGTGTTTTGGCAGAGACTCAAAGGCAGGCAGAGAAGTGGGAAAACTTTATAGTGGAAAAAAGGGAAGACTTCAGGTATTCCCTGATTGGAGCTTTTTCGCATAGGGAAGCTGTAGGTGGGCTAACTAGAAGCAGAACAATTTATGTGATTGGTTAGGAGGTTCATATTTAGTTTGTTAGGTGGATGCAGGAACAAAAATTGGAAAAGCTGTCAACTATTAATAAAGTACTTGCCATTTGGGGCCAATTGTTACAGAAGTTGTTTAGTTTCTTGGATTGTTACTAGAGAGAGCAATCTGACTTCCTGCAAATCTGATTTACAGCATGCTGTCTTCTTTGGTAATTATAGATAAGGGGATTAGTTTCCTGGGAAGGTTGTGGATCAGAGTTCTGAAGCCAAGAACTGAAAGAGACACAGAGAGGAAACATGTTTATAACACAAAGAAAGAAAGGCTGACTCTGGGAACTAAGATGAGTCCAGCACATTTGGCAGGGAAGGATGTTCCATTTTATGTCATTCTCCCAACAGTGTTGTTGCCCTGTGGGGTTAGGACATTTATTCATATTCCACACTTTATTTATTGAGTATCCATTATGTTCTAGGCACAGTGAAGAGCCAAATGCACAGCCCCTGCCCTCAGAAAGCTTAGACTCATGGTGAAGTTCAATATTCAGTAAATACTAATTATGCAAATAAATGTATAATTACAAACTGTGGTAATTCCTATTATTAAAAAGTACAGAATGTTAAGAGAAGGGTTAATAGGGAACTCTTGTTTAGATTGGAGAACCATAGAAAGTTCTCTGAGGAATTTAGAATTTGAAAGCTGAGATTTGAGCAATGAGGAATCAGTTAGTCCTGGAAAAGTGGGTAAAGAAGGAAGAAAGCATCATAGGGGGAAAAAATAGCATGATTAAGATCTTGAGGTGGGAAGGCACGTGGCCTGTTAAGGAAAAGGAAAAAAAGGTCAGTATTGCCATGCGCTAGGAATGAATGGCGTGAGATGTGAATGTAGAAGTAGACACTAAATGCTGCTGTCAGAAGTTTCATCTTCCATTGCTCTGTATCTCTCCTTTCCTTGAAGATCTATACTGGTTTCTCCACCCATCATGCCTCACTTTTAGCTTGGAAGCCCCCAGATTACCTAGAACCTTCTCATACTCCTTTTGTGTTCTGTGAAGAAAACACATTGGTAAAAGATTAACATGGATAATGTTGATATGTAGTTTTGTACTGTAAAGGAGAAGTGTAATGAAATAAATCTATTTTATGACTCTGTGTGGTTTTATTTAAAGCTGGATATGGTGGTGTGCATCGTGGTCCCAGCTACTTGGGAGGCTGAGGAAGGAGGGTTGCTTCAGCCCAGTAGTTTGAGTTTAGCCTGGGCAACATAGCAAGACCTTCATCTCTAATAAGACAAAATAAATAAAGGCGCCATCCTGTATTTATGTGTCCCCACCACTTTAGTTAGCTGTTTATCTTCCACTACACTATACTGTATCTTGGGCCCCAGGATAGTCAATATCAGGTGTGAACTTGATTGAATTGAAGGATGTGGCTGGTAAAGTATTGTTTCTGTGTGTGTCTGTGAGGGTGTTGCCAGAGGAGACTGACATTTGAGTCAGTGGACTGGGAGAGGAAGACCCACCGTTAATGTGGGCAGGCACCATCCAATTGGTTGCCAGCATGGCTAGAACAAAGCAGCCAAAAGAAGCTGGGATAAGTTTGCTTGCTGAGTCTTCTGGCTTCCTTTTCCCATGCTGGAAGCTTCCTTCCGCTCCTACTGCCTTGGACATCAGACTCCAGATTCTTTGGTCTTTGGACTCGGGGACTTGCACCAGTGGCTTGCTGAGGGCTCTCAGGCCTTTAGGCACAGACTGCAGGCTGCACTGTTGGCTTCCCTGGTTTTGAGGCTTTTGGACTTGGACTGAGCCACTACTGCCTTTTCTCTTCCACAGCTTGCAGGCAGCCTATTGTGGGACTTCGTCTTGTAATTATGTGAACCAATTCTCCCTAATAAACTCCCTTTCATGTATACATATAGCCCATTGGTTCTGTCCCTCTGGAGAATCTTGACTAATAAAGTCCCATTTAACTTCACCTCTTGGTTTTACAATCCATTGTGTATCATTTTATCATTTACATTTTTTTCTTTAGCAAATGTGTATACTTAGTTAAATTGCTGTTGCATGGCTCTATATATTGTGGAATAAACAATCTGAGATATGGGTTCTAGTCCTGACTTTTCTGTAAACTGGTGGCAGTCTTAGAGAAGTGATTTAAGTTCTCTGAGTCTCAAATGGTTCTTTCTGAAAATGAAATGTTTAAATTTTTATGTGTTAACTAAATTATTTTTACCCAGTATTCCTCTTAAATTCTGTAATTTTATACCACTTATGGACATCTATGAATATCTTTTACGTAGTCTTCTTTTGTGTCCTTATGGATAAGATTGACTCTCAGGATAATTTTCTTTTTTGGAGTAGTATACATAAAGTATAATTTAACAAATGGTAATTGGTCACAGTATTGAGGTAGAGTTAAGGCACATCTGAAGGGTAAAAATTCCCTGCTGAAGGCATAAAATTCTCATAAATGACTTTGCAAACTGTGATATGTGTACTCAGAGTGGGTAACCCCAAGTGCGCCAAGAAATAAAAGAAGCCAACAAATATATATTGAGGAGTGCAGATATCTCTTCAATATACTGATTTTCTTTCTTTTAGAAATATACCCAGGAGTGGTATTGGTGGATCATACGGTAGCTCTGTTTTTAGTTTTTTGAGGAACTTCCAAGTGTTCTCCATAGTGGTTATACTAATTTACATTCCTGCCGACAGTGTACAAAGGTTCCCTTTTGTCCACAACTTTGCCAGCATTTGTTATTGTCTGTCTTTCGGATATAAGCCATTTTAACTGGGGCGGATGATACCTCACTGTAGTTTTGATTTGCATTTCTCTGATGATCACTAATGTCGAGCACCTTTTCATGCGCTTGTTTGCCATTTGTATGTCTTCTTTTGAGAAATGTCTATTCAGATCTTTTGCCCATGTTTTAATTGGATTATTAGATTTTCTCCTATAGAGTTGTTTGAGCTCCTTATATATACTGGTTATTAATCTCTTGTCAGGTGGGTAGTTTGCAAATATTTCTCCCATTCTGTGTGTTGTCTCTTCATTTTGTGATTGTTTTCTTTACTGTGCAGAAGCTTTTTACTTGATGTGATTCCATTTGTCTATTTTTGCCTTGGTTTGCCTGTGCTTATGGGATATTACTCAAGAATTTTTTGCCCAGACCAATATCCTGGACAGTTTCCCCAATGTTTTCTTGTAGTAGTAGTTTCATAGTGGTGAAACAACAGGAGTGAAAGTGGGTATCCTTGTTGTATTCCAGATCTTACAGGAAAGACTTTCACTTTCTACTCATTCTTATGATACTAGCTGTGGATCTCTGTTTTTTATGGCTTTTATTATGTTGAGGCGTGTTCCTTCTATA
This sequence comes from Homo sapiens, assembly GCF_000001405.40. NCBI lineage: Eukaryota > Metazoa > Chordata > Mammalia > Primates > Hominidae > Homo > Homo sapiens. Next base: position 102,211,869 of record NC_000023.11, read on the forward strand.
CACAGTGTTTTGGGGGCTTTTATGATAAAGTAATGTTGAATTTTATCAAATGCTTTTTCAGCATCACTTGAAATGATAATATGGTTTTCGTCCTTCATTCTGTTGGTATGATGTGTCACACTGATTTATTTGTGCATGTTGAACCATCTTTGCATCCCAGGGATAAATCCTTCCTGGTCATGATTAAAGATCTTTCTAGTGTATTGTCGAATTGGGTTCACTAGTATTTTGTCGAGGATTTTTGCATCAATATTCATCAGAGACATTGGCCTGTAGTTTTCCTTTTTTGATGTGTGTTTGTCTGGTTTTGGTATCAGGGTAATACTGGCATTGTAGGATGAGTTTGAAAATATTTTCTCCTCCTCTATTTTTCAGAGTAGTTTGAGTAGGACTGGCATTAGTTCTTCTTTAAATGTTTGGTAGAATTTAGCAGTGAGGTCATAAGGTCTCGGGCTTTGCTTTACTATAGACGGAGACTATTTATTAAGGCTTTACTGTGTTACCTGTTATTGGTCTGCTCAGGTTTCGGATTTCTTCGTGTTTCAATCTTGGTAGATTGTATGTGTCTAGAAATTTATCCATTTCTTCTAGATTTTCCAATCTATTGGCATATCCTTGCTCATAGTAGCCACTGGTGATTCTTTGAATTTCTGTGGTATCAGTCGTAATGTCTCCTCTTCCATCTCTGATTTTATTTATTTGGGTCTTCTCCATTTTGTTCTTCATGAGTCCGGCTAAACATTTGTCAATTTTGTTTACCTTTAACAAAAAAGCAACTTTTTGTTTCATTGATCTTTTGTATTGTTTTCTTCATTTCAAATTCATTTATTTCTGCTCTGATCTTTATTGTTTCTTTTCTTCTAATTTGTTTTCCTCTAATTTACTCTTATTTTTATAGTTCTTTATGATGCATCATTAGGTTTTTTATTTGAAGTCGTTCTTCTTTTCAATGTAGGCATTTACAGCTATAAATTTTGATATCAGTACTGCTTTTTCTGTATCCCATAGGTTTTGGTATGTTGTGTTTCCATTATCATTTGTTTCGTAAAAGTTTTCAGTTTCCTTTTTAACTTCTTTTTTGATCCACTGTTCATTTATGTGCATATCGTTTAATTTCCTAGGAGTTGCCTAGGAATTGCAGTCTTTGTGTCCTAGGCATCCCTTCAAGTTTACCTGGGACCCCAGAGCACTTTGGCCTGTAGTGGTGTGGATTGCCGAGAGACTCAAGTTCTCCGCCCTGGGATGGGTGAATCCCCTCTAGCTAGGTCTGGTCCAGATGCTCCCTCTGTGAGTGGGCACTGGCTGAGCCCAGCACGGCTTTGCTCTCTGGTATGGCAGGGTAGCACTGAGTTCAATGTGAAGTTCCCCAGTCACTGCCTTCTTCTTCTCCCAAGTGTACAGACTCTCTGGGCTGCACAGCTGCTGCCAGGATACGGGGGAGGGGTGGCATCGGCGATTTAAGACTGACTGTCTCTGTCTGACCTCTTGAATGTCTGTTCCAACAATATGAATTTAAAACCAGGCACTGTGATTGCTCACCTGACTTTTGGTTCTCATGATGATGCTTTTCTGTATGCAGATAGTGGTTGCAATTTGGTGTTCCTGCAGGGGGTACACAAGGTATAGCCTTCTATTCCACCATCTCTCTCTGTTCCTCTAGTTGGTTCTTGACAACTCTTGATAATACGTATTATTAAATACAGTATCTGGGCCATCCCTAGGCAAAATGTGATTTGCTGTTTTCCACTAGTTCTCTCCCTTTATTTTTCCCACACTTCTATTTCCCCTCATTACCTCTCCCAGGGGATTTCAATATTAAAAGACACTTCAAAAGACTATTTCACTATTTGAATGAAGAGCTGATAGAATTTTAGGTTATCACTGCGTAGAGTTTTTTTTTTTTTTAACAATGCAATTTTGTGAGAAGATGAATTGGTGTCATTCTGGAAGGTTTTCTTAGAAAGAAATACAATAGAATTCTGATTTTTTTAATGAGAAATGAACTTCTGGTATAGTGAAACATATGCCTTATGAATGTATAATTTTATGTTCAAATCAAGAAAAATATATTTAAACATTTATCCTGGGGTTGATATGAGAGCAATTTGTTTCACAGCTGATATTACTGAAGGAAATACTAGGAGAGGATGAGGAGGGAATTCAGATTTAGTATTCATTAGTAAAATAAACTCTTTAGCTAAGCGCTAACTTTACTAGCCAAGTCCCCTCATATCCTCCTGTGCCTGGAAGTTAAGGTGGATTTTTCCTAGGCTGGAAAGTTCTTGGACCTCTTCCCCATAACTTTCTTCTTCAAAATCCCCATGTTGTGCAAGATATTCACACGGTACTGTTGCCACTAACAAGGCGAGGATTGTGGTGAGAATCTGGTCAAAGTATAGTCTTGATTTATAAAAGAAACAAGTTAATGTGTTAAGAAATTAAGTCAGGGTAAGAGAGGGATCAACTAGTATAGTGTGGAAATGTATATATGCTGGAAATAGGCCAATCCAGGGGTCCTCATATCACTGTGGTGACTGGCCAGTGGAGTGACAAAGTAGACTAGGACTGAAGAGTGAGCAACATGAGGCCCCTTAGGATCGTCCGTTCCAGTGCCCTCAGTTTACAGATGAGCTCCAAAGCTCACAATTGGATTGCAATGAAGAACATGCCAAGAATTGAGCTGAAAGAACCCAAACCAAAATGTAGGATTCCTCTCAGGCTTATGGTCTTGCCCCTTTACCACACAGCTTCTGTGGCTAGCCCTTTAAAATGATTCTTGATTTGCATATTTGTAAAATGAGAGTTTAACAGTTCATGTGTCTCTCCTTACTTTGTGTGGAGGATTCACTTATACAAAAGATAAAAGAAAACCCAAAACAGACTTCTGGAATTTTGTAGCCCTGTTGGTTCTTCATTTGTAGGGGCTGTATGAACAGCATGAAGTGAAACAAATAAACAACAAACGCTTATTTTTTCCCCCTAAATAGTTATTTAAATGCTATTTTTGTTTCTGGGGCAGTAAGGATAAAAGCTTTGAACAGTTCGTTCACGAGGAGCAGGGCTTGAGAAGATGACTTCCAAGCTCCTGAGGGGTTCCGAGCCTGGGCGGGAGGGTTTGGACATGAAGCCTCCTTACGTCTATCTCAGCCTCCTGCCTTTGTCACCCAATGGTGAGGCTCTGCTTGCGTTTCCTGCCGTCTTGGTTTCCAAGGCACCCTGGGCAAGTGATACCACCCCGCTACCCTGGAAACGGATCACCCTTTGTTTTCATGTTTGGACTCTCCTATCTTGTGTCACAGGTAGGGGTGCGCTCCAGGTGGACCTCATAATCTCCATGGTTCCGTCCTACTCCTCCCTGATGATCTCCCCTCTCTTCCTGGCTACAATGGTACTTCCCAGACCAGGTTGGGGAGGCAGAGGGGCTTCGCTAGCAGACGCAGAGGCGAGGCCGCCAGTCGAGGACGAGGAGGAGGTGAGGGACCAGGGTCGCGAGGGCTGTGGGGGATACCCTGCTGCCTGAGTCCAGGCCGGCAGAGCCCCTTCAGGAAGGTCTGGAGCAGTAGCTAAGGAGTTAGAAGGTATTCCAGGACCAATGAAAGGTAGCCAGAGCCGAGGAAGATTCCTTTCCTAGCTTGGTCAGTAATGTGCAGTGTGCCCCGCTTCTGGCGAGTTAATTGTCCATCTCTGGGCCTTGTTTTCCTCTTCTGCTTGCCCAAGACCAGACTTCTTTGATTTCAGTAAAGGAAGTGCCACTAATTCCCCTTCCCCTCGAGGCCTGTTTGAAGACCCTAGTTGTTCCTTTGAGAACCTTTGAGCCCTGGTACTTAATCCTTTCAACTGACGGCAGCGGGTTCAGTCACCAGGACACACAATTGTAGTTGAAGAGCGCTCTTTCTTTTTGTCCCTGGGCGAGAGTCAGGTCTTACACAGCTTGCCTCTTCTTTTCTCTCCAATTCCAGATAACATCAAGATGCCGAAGACTGAGGAAACTGTGCTCCAGAATGATCCCAGTGTAGCAGAGAATGGGGCCCCTGAGCCTAAAACACCAGGGCAGAGCCAGAAAAGCAAGAGTTTCTGTTTAGATGACCAGTCTCCTGGTAGGTCTAGAATCATGTCATCACTTCTATGGACAGCAATTAGGCTAAAGGAATAGACAGCCTGTGATTTAAGGGCCTTTAAGGGATATAGAAGGCTCTTGCAACCTTGCATTTTTCCTTACTAATCCTTCTGTTAGTCCTCTTTTGGATTATTCTTTCTCTTGTCTTTCTGCCCCCTCTAATTTTTACATGCAGGACTTAGGCCCCTAATTGGTAAGTAAAATTAAAAGATTTTGGTTTTAGAGAAAGAGACCGACAAAGCAAGTTACTTGTGTTTGACAACAGTCGAGAGTGATTTAGTCAGTTCAAAGCCTGGGAAATAAATAGCATTCTTGTATTTTGATTTTGTAAAGTGCAAATGGTAGATCTAGGACAGATCGAAGTGATCCAAATTATCTGTTGCTTCAGTTGTGTTCTGTCCTTTTCCAGGGGTGCTTTGTTGACATAAAAATTACCACTGCTCTGGGGTAAAATTATTTAGGTCTTTAATAATAGCATTTTTATGTGAACATTGGGACTTTAAGTCTTTTTCACACCTTATGTTAGGCATTTGAAGCTTTGGCTTGACTAGTCCAACCTCACAGGAACTCAAATTGCAGTTCTTTTACAATAATCTCCAGTGAATTTAACCAAAGGTTAATCTGCAGACCTCTCCAGATGTAGCAATTTGATCCAACCTCTTGAACACTGAAACGGGGAAAAAATATGAAGTTGAATTACGTGTGTTTCTCTGGTGGCCACTTGGGGTCACTGCTAGTAAGCAGAATGGCACAATTCATACTTCATAATATCTCTCAAAGAAATGATGTCTTAATGAATTAATTAGATGGTATATTTTAACATATGTAGCTTTTTAGTTAGTATAGAAGGGAAATACCAGTTGATGGACCAACTTTTCAACAGAAGTCTTATCAACGGTTTTTTAAATGAAAAATAAATGGGCATAAATGGACCATCTTCTTGGAGTGAGCTTTAGGATTCTTATATGTGAGTTTTATTATATCTTAAGGATAAATCGTTCTCTCTGACCAAGTTATGAAACTACATTAAAATTGAGTTACAAAATAGTTTTATTGCATATTTTATTTTACATATCAAGTAATAATTGTGACTACTATATATACTTTGTTTTACTACTGAAAGTACTCTGTATGATGAATTTAGAACACTGGTTCCCAAATTCGAATGCTGGGCTAGGACATAGTTCTTACCAATATTGAATGAAATAAAACAATAAAGAGGTTGTAATGAGTTTTTAAAATAATATTAAATTGATTCAATTTAAAAGAGTACTCTTAATGCTGACTGTGTTTTCTTTATACTTTCTGAGGTGTTAAAATATGTTTTCTTTTTATGAAGTGATTATTTTGATGATGGTAGGGTAGTTTCATTGTTTGCTTGTTTGCTTTCATGTCCATATGTGGAAAAATAAAAATTGTCAAATCATTATCTGTCACTCATGTTGTTTTGAAGTGTTGTCTGTTGAATACCCAGATTTGGAAACTACTGTTTTAGGAGCAGGTTTCAGCTTTAGAGCCATCTAGTAAGATTCGTGTGGTATCTATAAGGAGATTTTAGCCTTCATCTTGTGTGTAGCCCCTGAGGTAGGAAGAGAACAGTGGGAACACAATAACTTTTAGATACACATTAATTTTACAAATCACAACTTATTCATTGTTTGCTGTGTTTTGCTTATGGTTTTACATTTCAAGTGGAAGGTTTTCAAAACTGTTTTATGTTTTTCAAAAACTAATTTCTTCCTCCCATGCCTGACTTCTCTGAGATGTTCAGTGTTACTGAAGAGCAAAGAGTTCAGAAAACTTCTGGTGGTAAAATGATTGAATAAGTCTGTGTAAGATCCGTTTGATGAATCTAAACTTGGGAGCCTTACTTGGCAGAGTGAATCTCTAAATAAAATAAAAATTCTCTTTGTGTGGGTTCCCTGTTGATGATGGCTATGCTTTTTTTCTTTCTTTTTCCGGAAAGCAGACCTGATGTCTTTTCTGTCACAGATCTGATAGAGACAGTTAATGAAGTTTCCAAGCTGAGCATTTCACATGAAATTGTAGTAAACCAAGATTTCTATGTGGAAGAGACCATTTTGCCTCCAAACAGGTACAGATTATTCAGTTTTTTTCCATTTTACTCTTCGGGGCATAGGTACATAGCACAAATGACTTTTGGTCAGACTTGAAGCATCTTATTAATAAATTTAATGGTTGAGTGTGTCTTATATAGTACCGACAAATTAGTGTAAGTATTACTTTAAAAGTGTCAAAGCAGCAAATTATATTTAAACAGGTAATAAACCAATGCAGTTACAGGTTGAACATCCCAAATCGGAAATCCACGATGCTCCAAAATCCAAAACATTTTGAGCGCCAACATGATGCTCAAAGGAAATGCTCATTGCGGTATACAAGTATGCTGCAAATATTCCAAAATCCAAGAAATCCGTAATCTGGCTAGGCGCAGTGTCTCACGACTGTTAAGTTCCAACACTTTGGGAGGCCGAGGCAGGTGGATTGCTTGAGTCCAGGAAGTCAAGGCCAGCCTGGGCAACATGGCGAAACCTTGTCTATGCAAAAAATACAAAAATTAGCCGGGCATGGTGGTGCATGCCTGTAGTCCCAGCTACTCAGGAGGCTGAGGTGGGAGGATCCCTTGAGCCTGGGAAGCAGAGGTTGCAGTGAACTGAGATCGCGAACACGCCACTGCACTCCAGTCTGGGCGACAGAGTGAGACCCTGTCTCAAATAATAATAATAACAATAATAATCCGTAATCCAAAATACTCCCGTCCCAAACATCTTGGAAAAGGGGTATTCATTCTGTATTGTCAAAATGTTCATTTCAGGATCTTAGTTAATAATGAAACGTAGAGTGATTTTCAGATCTTTTCAGACAGACTTGGAAGAGGTAACTCCTAGCCGTTCAACTTTTAATTATCTGCAGATTAAACAGGCAGAGATGAGCAGATTTTCTAATAGTGGTTTTGTTCACTCTTCAGGAGTAGGAAATTTCAGGGGACACTTCTGCTTCATAATCAGTGTAATAAAGATTCTGTGAATCAAGATTAGAACCCCATCGATAAATAGTGTGCTTCTACAATTAGGCTTTATATTGGTTTCTCTTAATTATATTGATATAACAATATATGATTAAGAATCATCCAGCATTTATGGATTGAATGCTTCTAGTGTTTATTAAGAGTTAAATGGGTTGATTTCTTTGTCAGAATCTATATTTTACGGTATTTCTAATTTCCCACCTTAAATGCTTCTGTTATTTTGCCACTTTTGGGATTCTGTTACGTAAAGCCCCTTGCTTTGTCAGTGGTTCTCTTGATCTTCATACTTCTTAGATTTTCCTTTGTCTGTTGCCAAGGATGGGTTACCTGAAGGAAGTTTTTACCAAAACACAGGTCTCGTAGCATCTCCCTCATTGCCTTTATAGTCCCTGCGGCCCGAGTTAGATTTGTTTTTCTCCTGGTAGGGGTGCAGAAAAAAGTGAAGCTAAGAGAATGAAGGTCTGTTAAAGTGGCTAGGGATCTCAGGGGGTGGATAGATGAAGCAGGAGGAATAATATTATTTAGGGCTTGGATTTCACTGTGTTTTTTAAATTAACAGGCTTTTTCAAATGTAGTAATACAAAATGTATACTGGATAAGAGGTTGAAATAGAGTTTGGGGTTATCCATTATCTACAGATAATTGACAGTTTTCCCTTTGGACTTATAAAATTATACTAAGCACAGTTACCGGTTTTTAGGGGAAATCTCATAATAAGACATTTATTCAACAAACATTTATTGAGTACTTATTAGGTGGAAGGCAGAATGTTGAAAGCTGAAGACATATAGTTGAGTGAGTCACTGTCTTTGCCATCAAAAAGCTTCTGTAGGGAAGATAGTCAAATAGCTACTGTGCAGAGTGATAAGTTATCTCATATCTAGTGTGTGGAGTTCTATGCAGTGCTCAGCTACCTGGGGAAGGTCAGCGAAGACTTTCCTAATAAGGTAACACTTGAATTGAGTCTTTTCAGGTGGTTTAGGGGAGAAGGGACTCTCCTGGAAGAGGAAATGTCATTTCAGAGCCATAGAGGGATGGAAGACAATTATATATTAATTATAAGTGGACTGTGATTGTTAGAGCACAGGATGTAGGAGGAGAAAGAAGGTTAAGGTAGGAGAAGTGGCAGAATAGGATCGTGAAGGGACTTAAAGGCCACGTACACTGCTAGAGATAGGTAGCGTCTGAAGAACTTTAAATGAGTATACTATTATGATCAGATTTGTATCTTAGAAAACTCATTGATTTTTATCAAAAATATGTACCATTGTTGGGGTAAGGTTTTGTGGGTGTAAGGTGGCCATTTAATAGACTATAGCAATAGTTCAGGAAAGAGATGACAGTGGGTGGGGGCCGATTCCAGAGATATTTAGGAAGCAAAATCTCTGGAATTGGGTGACTGAGTGGATAAAGGACATGAGGGGAAAGGAATTAAGAAGGACTACAGTACACACCAGATAGATAATAGTTGAACTTTCACAGGTTAGATTGTTGTGTTGGAGGAGAAACTTTGAATTTTTGTTTCATATATTTTTTAATCACTTGTATTTTTGTAAACAGAAAACATACATTACTATTATATACATACACGTATATATACACACGTGTGTGTATATATGTGTGTGTGTGTATATACATATATATATATATATATATATATATTTTTTTTTTTTTTTTTTTTGAGACCGAGTCTCGCTCTGTCACCAGGCTGGAGTGCAGTGGCACTATTTCGGCTCACTGCAAACTCTGCTTCCCGGGTTTAAGCAATTCTCCTGCCTCAACCTCCGGAGTAGCTGGGACTATAGGCACCCGCCACCACGCCCAGCTAATTGTTGTGTTTTTAGTAGAGACGGGGTTTCACCATGTTGGCCAGGATGGTCTCAAACTCCTGACCTCGTGATCCGCCCGCATCGACCTCCCAAAATGCTGGGATTACAGGCGTGAGCCACCGCGCCCGGCCTACTATTATATTTTTTTAAAGAGAAAAAGTCTCAGATTTCTGGTTACAGAACTAAGTATACATGAGGAACAAATTTAAAGAAGGAAGATAAGGAGTTCAGTTTTGGGCTTGCTGAATTTAAAGTGTCTCAGAAGACCTTCAGGTATTATCAAGAGGTAAAATCCTTTCCTAGATTTCAGGCCTGAAGGAAAAATAGCATCTGGTTCAAAGTTTTAAGTCTATGGCAGTGGAAACTAAGTCACACATCCAGGCTAGGTGCAGAACTAGGGTTAGAAGTCAGAGTCTCAACTCCTAGTTTATGGTTCTTCCTGCTGCAGGAAGAGAGTGTCTCTGGAACCTTGAGGTACCCTTCTGAGAGAATTTAGCCAATGCTTTTCCATCTGAGACTACCTTCAGTTTATTCAGCCCTTCTCAAGTCTAAACATAGGTCCTCCTAGCCTGTCAAGTTAATGGTCTTTCATAATTTTAAATGCTGTTTGGGAAATTATGATCCTGTATCAATTTTCTAGGTAAAAGAGCAATCTGCTCATTTAACCCTTCTTATAGTGTAGAAGGCAGGTTTGCGGAGGCAATGTACAATGCTTTTTGGAACCATCTGAAAGAACAGCTATTGAGTACTCCTCCTGACTTCACTTGTGCCCTTGAACTTCTAAAAGATGTTAAGGAGGTGAGTAACCAACTCCCATTCGTGGATGGGAAGTTCCTGGGCATCTCAGAACCTTGGATCGTCAATGGCTGTTAATATATCAAGTAGCATACTTTTTTTAACGTGACCTACTACTTAAATAGATAGGATGGGGCAGCTTCCATTTTATTTGTATAAGATGAAACTTGACCATTGGGCGATGACTATAACAATATATAACTCAATTAAACAAATTCTTACTGAAACCCCACTATGGTCTATGTGTTTCAGAATCCCGGAGATGAATAGGCGAGCCCTTGCCCACAAGGAACTTGCATGCTTGAGTCAAAAGGCTATTTCAAGGGAACCTTAAAGATTCCAGATTTGCTATTTTATCCTCACACTTTGGAGTAAAACAATCTAAAAATATCCTTATCCTTTATTAAGAATGCCTCATCTCCTTGTGGTGGTGTGTATTTCATATTTCTTATATCCCACACATTTAAAACCACATTCTTATTTTTATTCATATTTTTACCTCATTCTACCTAAAAAATAGTAATGACTACTACTATAACTGATCCCAGTGAAGCCTTGAATGGTAATTGTCCTCTAGACAGAAAGAAATAATACTCTCTAAGAAATGTAGAGACTCAGTTCTCTGCCCCCCCAGAAGACATAATCTGGGATGCCTTTGGCCTAAGAGCATAGTTCATTGGAGAAAGTTTGAGGTTCTGAACAGAACTTGGCTCCTTTGATTTCCTTTGTTGGGCAGACCTTGCTATCACTGCTATTACCATGGCAGAACCGCCTAAGAAATGAGATAGAAGAAGCTCTGGACACAGATCTCCTCAAGCAGGAAGCAGAACATGGGGCCCTGGATGTCCCTCATCTTTCTAACTACATTCTCAATTTGATGGCTCTGCTATGTGCACCGGTTCGAGATGAAGCGATACAGAAACTAGAGACCATAAGAGATCCAGTGCAGTTACTGAGGTGAGAGTCTAGATGTGCTGTCCCCCAAATCTGCCTTAGACACTGTGCCGGAGAACTCTGAGCCAGCCACTGTGGATATAGCCCCTGTCTTATCTAACTCTTGTGTACTGATGACCTGACTAACACACCTTTTCTCCTTTCTGGATTATTGGCTTTTATTTTCCAAGGACAGTCTCTCGGGGTTCCTTTTGATGATCTTTAGATCAGTTGGGTCTCCTTTATGTCATGATACTGTTAAGACATTAAGGTACAGTAATTCTTTCTCCTATAGATTGCAAATTGCCTTTTCCCAGATGTTGTCCTGTTTGTCCCAACTCAGACCTTGTGAGGGGACAGGAAAGAGGATTATCCGTGTTTCACAGCTAGAAGAACCAGGACCCGGAAAAGTAAAATGATCTGCTCAATGAGTTAGAAATTCAGTCACCCACATCCCAGCTACCCACATATAATTGTTAACACCTTGGTGATTTTCCTTTCACTGACTACCCTTTTTTCAAGGTGACAGACTGACTACAGGCAAAAGAGCTCTCATCTGGTTGTTAAAGTGTCAGGAGGTATAACTGTCCTTAGTTTTGCCATCAACTCACTCTATGGCCTTGGGTCACTGGCCACAGTACCATTATTCATAAGTTGAAATAGGACTGTTTGTTTTTAAGGCTTCTTCTGACTCTCAAATACTCTGCTTTTATGGCTCCTTGCTTGGATTCCACCCTTCCAGACTAGATTTCCTTTAATAGTGTAAATGTTCTGTTTCTCCCTACGGCAGGGGCATCCTCCGTGTTCTGGGCCTAATGAAAATGGACATGGTGAACTATACCATCCAGAGCTTTCGACCCTACCTGCAGGAACATTCCATCCAGTATGAACAAGCTAAATTCCAGGAACTCCTTGATAAACAGCCCAGTATGTTTAAAATTCAAGGGCAGGAGAGGGGAGATTTGACCTCAGGTCTGCCTTCTTATAGCAATAGAGGGTATTTTCTATTTTTTGAATAGAAAGTTTCTTCCTTGGGCAAGGGGTAGGGAGAAGGAATGTTTCTCTAAGATAGAAAGATCTACAAAATCACTTCTTTATAGACCAAGAGTATGTCTCAGAGCCATCATCTTTAAGCCTTGGAATTTTAAGATGCATATTCCCTTCTCGTCGTAGGTCTCCTCGATTATACCACAAAATGGCTAACCAAAGCAGCCACAGACATCACTACACTATGTCCGAGTTCTCCTGACTCACCTAGCTCCTCCTGCAGCATGGTGTGTTCACTTCCAAGCGGGGCAGGTAACAATTCAGAGCCCCCCAGTCCAACAATGGTGCTATACCAAGGTTACCTGAACCTCCTCCTCTGGGATCTTGAAAACGTAGAATTCCCAGAGGTAGGGATGTGTGTTTGGGCATTGCCTTGTTCTATGGTATTCAGTGCCTCCATTCAAACCCTCCTCTTCTGATGGGCTGTCCTTCGCTCCCTCACCAGACTCTGCTGATGGACAGAATCCGGCTCCAGGAACTGGCATTCCAGTTGCACCAGTTAACTGTCCTGGCCTCAGTCTTGCTAGTGGCCAGAAGCTTCTCTGGTGAAGTTTTATTCAGATCACCTGAATTTGTGGATAGACTGAAATGCACCACCAAGGCCCTAACTGAGGAATTTATCTCCAGGTAAGATTCATAGATCTCTGTTAGAGAGGGAAATGTGTGGTATTTGGGACATAGGTAATATCAATACTATTATTGCTTATTCTTCATCACAAACCACACAAAGGCCCTTGGAAATGATCTTCAAAGATTTTGGTATCTTTGATAATTTGTATTGAGGTTTGGGATACAGAAAATAAAACTTATTTTCCAAAGAGGAGAGTGTGGAAGCCAGTTTGCTACAAATATTCCTTATGTGTTTGCTAAAAATGAGTCATTATATACGTGATTGAATGACAGTGGATTTGTGCTATGTATATCTAGAAGTTGATCGGTTGGTCAGTGATATTGACCATTCACTGCATGTGGGGGCAGGGATATTATACCAAAGTACAAGGAGGAGTAGGAAGTCCAAGCCTCTTAATATATTAGCAATTTAATTGGTGGGGTAGGAGAAAAACCATGAAAAATATCCAATAGAGTCTTAAAACAACATTTAAATACAGTTGATGGGACTGGAGAATGCCGAGTAGATCCAAGGATGGAACTGAACCCTTGCCCAATTTACTTTGTTTTCATCGAAGTGGCATATGGTGCTGTGTGTTTGGATCAGGTGGTACCTTGCGGGTAACAATGAGTGTATTTCATCTGCCCAGTGGCTAATGCTGTCTTCTGGTGGCAGAGAGCCAGAATTCTTCCTGGAATAGGCCTGGCTTGTGGTATGAGGCTCTCTGGGCTTTGCCCCTCTGCCAGGCCCACTCTGCATTCTATCCCTTATTATCTAGGCCTGAAGAGACTATGCTGAGTGTGAGTGAACAGGTGTCTCAGGAAGTCCATCAAGGCCTTAAGGACATGGGCCTCACTACTCTGAGCAGTGAAAACACAGCATCTCTTCTAGGCCAACTCCAGAACATCACCAAGAAAGAGAACTGCATTCGTAGCATTGTTGGTAAGAATCTCCATGGTCGTCGTGCAGAAAAGTGGCAAGAATGTGGGGCATGGGTGGGTAGACCTTACCCTGAATGTGAGTTACCTAAGCATTTAAAAATGAAAAGGCATGATCATTTGGGAAGTTTTTTAGCTTTAGTTTCCTCGTCTATAATGTGCACTGTTCAAATAGATCTTTCTCAATTTGGAGAATGCATGTATGGTTTGAAGACAGCTCTGTACCCAAGATATGTCATTCACAGGTGTTGGATATTATCACGCTAACCCTATGAAGTCATTCCTGGTATTTTCTCTTTTCTTTTCTTTTCTTTTTTTTGAGACAAAGTCTCACTCTGTTGCCCAAGTTGGAGTGCAGTGACACGATCTAGGCTCACTGCAACCTCCACCTTCTGAGTTCAAGCGATTCTACTGCCTCAGCCTCCCGAGTAGCTGGGACTACAGGCACGCGCCACCATGCCTGGCTATTTTTTTTTGTATTTTTAGTAGAGATGGGGTTTCACCATGTTGGCCAGGCTGGTCTCGAACTCCTGACCTCGTGATCCGCCTGCCTCGGACTCCCAAAGTGCTGGGATTACATACGTGAGCCACCACGCCCAGCCCATTCCTGGTCATATTCTAAATGTCGGCCAAGATATATGGAGGAACCCTTTCTCTATCCTATGCTTTAAGCTACCATTTGGGCCCCTACGCCTCTCCATGGAAGTGATGCTGAGTTGGGCTGTAGGACATGTTCCATGCTGGAATGGAAGCAGTGAACTTGGCCAGCTTGCTTTGAACTTTACCATCTGATCATAGCCTGGATTGGGTGTATGGGCCTGAACTTGGTGCACTGGCTGCAACATGTGTTGTTACTTTCAGGTACCGGGTCTACGGTCCTCTTGTTAAGTTAAACGTGCCCTAGGATCTCACATACAGCTACATAAAGTAATCTTATGAACCCCCAGAAATTTACTACCTCAGCATCTTTTGATCATGCATTGTCCTTTGGGAGATTGATGGCATTCCATTCCCCCAAACAAACAAAAATCTCATGTATACGGTTTACCCAAATGAGCAGAGAGGTCAGTGAATAACTCGGTTAATGCAAAACTTTGGTGAGCAGATAGAGCAAAGGCATTGTGAATTTCTTCTGTACCGACTTCGTTCCTCTTGTCATTGTTTTTCCCTGCTCACAGATCAGTGGATCCGTTTTTTTCTCAAATGCTGTTTGCTTCATGGCATGCAGGAGTCTCTGCTACACTTTCCTGGAGGCCTCATTCTCATTGAAAAGGAGTTGGCAGAACTGGGCTGGAAGTTTCTCAATCTGATGCATCATAATCAGCAGGTATTTGGCCCATACTATGCTGAGATCCTAAAACACATCATCCATCCAGCTCAAGCACAAGAAACAGATGTGGAGCCTAACTGATAGTGCTGGACCCCAGCTATGGCAACAGGGACTCAGGAGAGAGAGGTCAGCATGTTTCTGGGAGGACATCACCTGTGGTTAGTCGAACAGTCAGCCCTCTTCCTCGCTATAGCCAGGACACAGGGATGCAGGGGTCAAGCATGTAAGCACCAACTGGCCCAATCCCCTTCACTAATAAACCTCTGAGCTGCAAGAAAATTTCAGTTCCTCCTGTGTTCTAGCTGAAGTCAGGTTCTGCAGCCTCATCCCCTAACTAGCTGAGTGAGAATCCAGTGGGCCCTCTGTTTTCCCTTCATTGGCTGATCATTCTTCAGTATGCTTGCCTGAGCCGAATCTGGGCATCAGGTACTGATAAGGGAAAATCCTGGGACTGTATAGAATAATGCCCCCTGAAAACTGGGAAGGAGCTAAGAGACCAAAGAATGACCCGGACAAGTCCGGCTTGATAAGCAGATGAATTTCTTGGGACTTACGTATAGGGCATTCCTGGGTGGCAGCAGGACAGCTCTGGGGATCTGCCCTGACACTCCTCTGCAAGCTGCTTTTAAGCTAATTTTCTGGCTCTTTGCCTTCTGTATGCAATGAGACTCTTTCTCTTGGTATGTTTCCCAGTACACTCTGGGATGTTTTGGTTCTCACAGACACCTCGGCTCCTAAGCTGGGCACCATGCATGGCCTTAGACCACCACCTGGCCTTCAGGGTTCAGGCAGCAGACATACAGCCTTAAGTAATCTGGTGGGGGAGGGGGGAACTCATTAACCTACAGTCACTAGCATTATTTTCTCCATTGAAAAATCATTTCCTTGAGGGCTTTGAAAACTCTTTGTGAGATTATCCAGAGAATGACTATAAGGGCTTCTGGAAGTCAGAAATTCACTGAATTGCAGATGAAGAGAAGACATAGAACTCCATTTCTAGCACCACATTTCCCTGTAGTTTTCAAGGATACAGCAATAGCAAGAGTTGCGAACTCCCGTTCTAGTGTCTGGTTTGAAGCAGTATGAAAACTGGGGATTGGTTGAAAGTTGATATGGTGAATATCAACTTTGTGCCAACAGGCATTCAGCTAAGGACAGGTCTCAGCTTCCAAGGGATTTCTTTCTTTTAAGTGATTCTAGGGGTCAGGCTTGGAATCTCTGATAATGACAGTAAACCGAAGCAATTAGGTCAGTGAGTATCATATCAAGTTCACCCCGATCCTATTTCTACAGCTGAATTAATCTTATCTGGCCACATCTCTAGGCTTAGAACATCTCCTTCTTCTTGACAGAATCGATGTGCGTATTCAAGCGTGGGGCAGCTGCCATGCTTTTTCCCACTCCTAGTCTGGGACTCCAACTGCCAAGTTATGAATATCAGCTGACTTGGCAACACAAATGATAGATGTTCTTGGTCCACAAGGACTTGGGCTTGTTGTTAGAGACTGCAGAGGTTCGTCCCATCGTTCCCAGGCCAACTGCAGCAGACAAGCAGCAATCTAGAAAATTAGGAACAAATTTAGGTTTGGATTTGGACTAGGTTTGGATTCAGAATGGACAGGGGACAATAGAAACTTACTTATGGGATAGACCCAAACTGGTTGAAAAAAATCATGTCCTCATTATTTCGGCGGATGGAAGGAGCTGAGTACAATTTACTCAGCCCAAGAAAAACAACAGATGAGATTGGAGTTCCATTACTCCCCAGGGAACCACGTGATTGATTTCCCTAGAGGGTGGATACCAGATGGGTGACATAGCTGGGTAAACAGAGTGCTACTTTTACTTTGGCTGGAGATGAGGCACACAGAAAAGCTGTGGAATGGATCATTCACGTGTTCTAATCTTGTGACTAGATAGTCTCAGGACAGAGACCATGGCAGATGAATGTTTTATAATTAATAAATAGGCAGTGAGCCTGGCCTAGTTAAATTTTCTAATGTGATTAGACAATACGAATACAATTTTTTAAAAAAGTATTAATTTTGGGAGCCAGATTATCTTACAGACAAGTGTGTTCTGAAGTGATCCCTGTGAAGATGACGGAGTAGTTGACGGATACTGACTTTGGGCTGCAATGAAACTTTGCTTTATACTTTATAATTAAAATCTGACTTGTGTTGATTTCTTGGAGATTTTGAGTTTATTGATTCTCTTGTGCTTCTACGTGGAGGAAATGGGAATCCTGATCCTAAACAAGGAAAGATAGCTCACTCAATTCTGTTCACCATTTAGGGATGGATGGATGCACAGTTAGATAGATAGGTGGAACATGCACATGGTTAAAAATGACATGCAGTACAGAGAAAATTCGGTTTTTTCGCCACCCCTGTATCTCATTTATCCTACTTAGAGGAAACTATATCCAGGTCTTTGTGCATACTTCTAAAGATATTCTGTGCATATGCAAGTACATATTATAATTATAACAAATATTTGTGAGTGTGTATGCACCAGGCACTCTTTTAAGCACTCTACATATATTATTTCAATTATTCCTTAACAATTTATCTCCAGTCTACTTTTCCAATTCTAGAACAATGTTGTACAGAAAGCTCTAACTGAGGGTAAGAACCGGTGTTTGTTTGTTTGTTTATATATTTATTTATCTGGTCTTCTTTGAGTGAGTAAGGGAAAATCATTTCACTTTCTTGGGCTTTGTCTTCATCGATAAAATTCTATACTTGACTAAATTACTGATTTTCTTGTTCAATTTTATAGAGTCATTTTTCACAAAACGAAATCTTTCCAGAAGATCACGAATAAGAGAGATCAAAGCTAGGCAGCTTGAGTTGAAGTAGAGCTGGAAGAAGGAGTTTTGAGGACTGTTTCAAAACCACTGGACTAGATGATCTCTAAAGGTTCCTGTATTATTTTCTTCTTTTCTTATGGCTGTTGTAACAAATTACCCCCTGAACTTTGTGGCTTAAAATAACATGCATGTATTATCTTATCATCCTGATTGTCAGAAGACCAAAATCAGTTTCAGTGGGTGAAAATCAGGGAGTCAGTAGGGCCAGGCTCCCTCTGGAAGCTCTAAGGGAGAATCCATTGCCTTGCCATTTTTAGCTTCTGAAGCTGTATTCTTTATTCCTTGGCAAGGCAATGGATTCTTCCCTGGAGCTTCCAGAGCTCCCATTCCTTTATCATCGAAGCCAGCATCATAGCTTCTTGTGTCAGTCATCACATTGCCTCCTTCTATGTGAAATGTCCCTCTCCTTCCCTCTTAATAAGGAAACGCTCTTACATTTAGGGCCAGGCAGGATAATCTCCCCACCTCAAGATCCTTAGTCACATTTGTAAAGTCCCTTTTGCCATATAAGGTGGCAGTCAGGGGTTCCAGAGACTACAACATGGATATCTTTGGAGGCCATTATTTAGCTTACCACAGCCTACCCTCTAACTCCCCAAAATTCATGTTCATTCTACATGCAAAATATATTTGCCTCACCTCAATATCCCCAAAAGTCTTAACACCAACGCGAGTTGAAAATCTCATCTGTAAATCATCTAAACCAGGTATGAGACAGACTCTGGGTATGATCCTTCTTGAGGCTAAATTTCTTTTCATCAGTGGCCCTGCGAACTAGAAAATAAAGTTACCTCTTTTTTATTACAGTGGTGACATGGACATAGGATAATGGTTATAGACAGTCCCCCTCCCAACGGGAAAAAATGAAAGCAAGCAAAAAGTTACCAGCTCCAAGCCAACTTGAAATCCAATCAGGTAAACTCATTTAGGTTTCAAGGCCTGGGAATATTCCTCCGTGGCTAGAGGCTCTGCCCTCTATGCCCGAGGCTCCACCCTTTAAGTGAACAGAGCCAGGCTCTGTCCTCAGAGTTATCTTGTTTTTGTTTTTGTTTTGAAGAGTAATACATGTTTGCAGCAGAATACTTTATTATTATTATTATTATTATACTTTAAGTTTTAGGGTACATGTGGACAATGTGCAGGTTAGTTACACATGCATACATGTGCCATGCTGGTGTGCTGCACCCATTAACTCGTCACTTAGCATTAGGTATATCTCCTACAGCTATCCCTCCCCCCTTTCCCCACCCCACAACAGTCCCCAGAGTGTGATGTTCCCCTTCCTGTGTCCATGTGTTCTCATTGTTCAATTCCCACCTATGAGCGAGAATATGCGGTGTTTGGTTTTTTGTTCTTGCGATAGTTTACTGAGAATGATGATTTCCGATTTCATCCATGTCCCTACAAAGGACATGAACTCATCCTTTTTTATGACTGCATAGTATTCTATGGTGTATATGTGCCACATTTTCTTAATCCAGTCTATCATTGTTGGACGTTTGGGTTGGTTCCAAGTCTTTGCTATTGTGAATAGTGCCGCAATAAACATACGTGTGCATGTGTCTTTATAGCAGCATGATTTATAATCTTTTGGGTATATACCCAGTAATGGGATGGCTGAGTCAAATAGTATTTCTAGTTCTAGATCCCTGAGGAATCGCCACACTGACTTCCACAATGGTTGAACTAGTTTACAGTCCCACCAACAGTGTAAAAGTGTTCCTATTTCTCCACATCCTCTCCAGCACCTGTTGTTTCCTGACTTTTTAATGATCGCCATTCTAACTGGTGTGAGATGGTATCTCATTGTGGTTTTGATTTGCATTTCTCTGATGGCCAGTGATGATGAGCATTTTTTCACGTGTTTTTTGGCTGCATAAATGTCTTCCTTTGAGAAGTGCCTGTTCATGTCCTTCGCCCACTTTTTGATGGGATCGTTTGTTTTTTTCTTGTAAATTTGTTTGAGTTCATTGTAGATTCTGGATATTAGCCCTTTGTCAGATGAGTAGGTTGCGAAAATTTTCTCCCATTTTGTAGGTTGCCTGTTCACTCTGATGGTGGTTTCTTTTGCTGTGCAGAAGCTCTTTAGTTTGATTAGATCCCATTTGTCAATTTTGGCTTTTGTTGCCATTGCTTTTGGTGTTTTAGACATGAAGTCCTTGCCCATGCCTATGTCCTGAATGGTAATGCCTAGGTTTTCTTCTAGGGTTTTTATGGTTTTAGGTCTAACATTTAAGTCTTTAATCCATCTTGAATTAATTTTTGTATAAGGTGTAAGGAAGGGATCCAGTTTCAGCTTTCTGCATAGGGCTAGCCAGTTTTCCCAGCACCATTTATTAAATAGGGAATCCTTTCCCCATTTCTTGTTTTTGTCAGGTTTGTCAAACATCAGATGGTTGTAGATATGTGGCATTATTTCTGAGGGCTCTGTTCGGTTCCATTCGTCTATATCCCTTTTTTGGTACCGGTACCATGCTGTTTTGGTTACTGTAGCCTTGTAGTATAGTTTGAAGTCAGGTAGAGTGATGCCTCCAGCTTTGTTCTTTTGGCTTAGGACTGACGTGGCAATGCGGGCTCTTTTTTGGTTCCATATGAACTTTAAAGTAGTTTTTTCCAATTCTGTGAAGAAAGTCATTGGTAGCTTGATGGGGATGGCATTGAATCTATAAATTACCTTGGGCAGTATGGCCATTTTCACGATATTGATTCTTCCTACCCATGAGCATGGAATGTTCTTCCATTTGTTTGTATCCTCTTTTATTTCATTGAGCAGCAGTTTGTAGTTCTCCTTGAAGAGGTCCTTCACGTCCCTTGTAAGTTGGATTCCCAGGTATTTTATTCTCTTTGAAGCAATTGTGAATGGGAGTTCACTCATGATTTGGCTCTCTGTTTGTCTGTTATTGGTGTATAAGAATGCTTGTGATATTTGCACATTGATTTTGTATCCTGAGACTTTGCTGAAGTTGCTTCTCAGTTTAAGGAGATTTTGGGCTGAGACGATGGGGTTTTCTAGATATACAATCATGTCATCTGCAAACAGGGACAATTTGACTTCCTCTTTTCCTAATTGAATACCCTTTATTCCCTTCTCCTGCCTGATTGCCCTGGCCAGAACTTCCAACACTATGTTGAATAGGAGTGGTGAGAGAGGGCATCCCTGTCTTGTGCCAGTTTTCAAAGGGAATGCTTCCAGTTTTTGTCCATTCAGTATGATATTGGCTGTGGGTTTGTCATAGATAGCTCTTATTATTTTGAGATACGTCCCATCAATACCTAATTTATTGAGAGTTTTTAGCTTGAAGGGTTGTTGAATTTTGTCAAAGGCCTTTTCTGCATCTATTGAGATAATCATGGGGTTTTTGTCTTTGGCTCTGTTTATATGCTGGATTACGTTTATTGATTTGTGTATGTTGAACCAGCCTTGCATCCCAGGGATGAAGCCCACTTGATCATGGTGGATAAGCTTTTTGATGTGTTGCTGGATTCGGTTTGCCAGTATTTTATTGAGGATTTTTGCATCAATGTTCATCAAGGATATTGGTCTAAAACTCTCTTTTTTGGCTGTGTCTCTGCCCGGCTTTGGTATCAGGATGATGCTGTCCTCATAAAATGAACTAGGGAGGATTCCCTCTTTTTCTATTGATTGGGATAGTTTCAGAAGGAATGGTACCAGCTCCTCCTTCTACCTCTGGTAGAATTCGGCTGTGAATCCATCTGGTCCTGGACTTTTTTTGGTTGGTAAGCTATTGATTACTGCCTCAATTTCAGAGCCTGTTATTGGTCTATTCAGAGATTCAACTTCTTCCCGGTTTAGTCTTGGGAGGGTGTATGTGTCGAGGAATTTATCCATTTCTTCTAGATTTACTAGTTTATTTGTGTAGAGGTGTTTATAGTATTCTCTGATGGTAGTTTGTATTTCTGTGGGATCGGTGGTGATATCCCCTTTGTCATTTTTTATTGCTTCTATTTGATTCTTCTCTCTTTTCTTCTTTATTAGTCTTGCTAGCGGTCTATCAATTTTGTTGATCCTTTCAAAAAAACAGCTCCTGGATTCATTGATTTTTTGAAGGGTTTTTTTGTGTCTCTATTTCCTTCAGTTCTGCTCTGATCTTAGTTATTTCTTGCCTTCTGCTAGCTTTTGAATGTGTTTGCTCTTGCTTTTCTAGTTCTTTTAATTGTGATGTTAGGGTGTCAATTTTAGATCTTTCCTGCTTTCTCTTGTGGGCATTTAGTGCTATAAATTCGCCTCTACACACTGCTTTGAATGTGTCCCAGAGATTCTGGTATGTTGTGTCTTTGTTCTCATTGGTTTCAAAGAACATCTCTATTTCTGCCTTCATTTCGTTATGTACCCAGTAGTCATTCAGGATCAGGTTGTTCAGTTTCCACGTAGTTGAACGGTTTTGAGTGAGTTTCTTAATCCTGAGTTCTAGTTTGATTGCACTGTGGTCTGAGAGACAGTTTGTTAGAATTTCCGTTCCTTTGCGTTTGCTGAGGAGTGCTTTACTTCCAACTGTGTGGTCAATTTTGGAATAGGTGTGGTGTGGTGCTGAGAAGAATGTATATTCTGTTGATTTGGGGTGGAGAGTTCTGTAGATGTCTGTTAGGTCCACTTGGTGCAGAGCTGAATTCAGTTCCTGGATATCCTTGTGAACTTTCTGTCTTGTTGATCTGTCTAATGTTGACAGTGGGGTGTTAAAGTCTCCCATTATTATTGTGTGGGAGTCTAATTCTCTTTGTAGGTCACTCAGGACTTGCTTTATGAATCTGGGTGCTCCTGTATTGGGTGCATATATATTTAGGATAGTTAGTTCTTCTTGTTGAATTGATCCCTTTACCATTATGTAATGGCCTTGTCTCTTTTGATCTTTGTTGGTTTAAAGTCTGTTTTATCAGAGAGTAGGATTGCAACCTCTGCCTTTTTTTGTTTTCCATTTGCTTGGTAGATCTTCCTCCATCCTTTTATTTTGAGCCTATGTGTGTCTCTGCACGTGAGATGGGTTTCCTGAATACAGCACACTGATGGGTCTTGACTCTATATCCAGTTTGCCAGTCTGTGCCTTTTAGTTGGAGCATTTAGCCCATTTACGTTTAAGGTTAGTATTGTTATGTGTGAATGTGATCCTGTCATTATGATGTTAGCTGGTTATTTTGCTCGTCAGTTGATGCAGTTTCTTCCTAGCCTGGATGGTCTTTACAATTTGGCATGTTTTTGCAGTGGCTGGTACCGGTTGTTCCTTTCCATGTTTAGTGCTTCCTTCAGGAGCTCTTTTAGGGCAGGCCTGGTGCTCACAAAATCTCTCAGCATTTGGTTGTCTGTAAAGTATTTTATTTCTCCTTCACTTATGAAGCTTAGTTTGGCTGGATATGACATTCTGGGTTGAAAATTCTTTTCTTTAAGAATGTTGAATATTGGCTCCCACTCTCTTCTGGCTTGTAGAGTTTCTGCCGGGAGATCCGCTGTTAGTCTGATGGGCTTCCCTTTGTGGGTAACCCGACCTTTCTCTCTGGCTGCCCTTAACATTTTTTCCTTCATTTCAACGTTGGTGAATCTGACAATTATGTGTCTTGGAGTTGCTCTTCTCTAGGAATATCTTTGTGGCATTCTCTGTATTTCCTGAATTTGAATGTTGGTCTGCCTTGCTAGATTGGGGAAGTTCTCCTGGATAAGTCCTGCAGAGTGTTTTCCAACTTGTTTCCATTCTCCCCGTCACTTTCAGGTGCACCAATCAGATGTAGATTTGGTCTTTTCACATAGTCCCATGTTTCTTGGAGGCTTTGTTCGTTTCTTTTTTTTCTTTTTTCTCTAAACTTCTCTTCACGCTTCATATGATTCATTTCATCTTCCATTGCTGATACCCTTTCTTCCAGTTGATTGCATCGGTTACTGAGCCTTGTGCATTCGTTACGTAGTTCTCGTGCCATGGTTTTCAGCTCCATCAGGTCCTTTAAGGACTTCTCTGCATTGATTATTCTAGTTATCCATTCGTCTAATTTTTTTTCAAAGTTTCTAACTTCTTTGCCAGTGGTTTGAACTTCCTCCTGCAGCTCGGAGTAGTTTGATCATCTGAAGCCTTCCTCTCTCAACTCATCAAAGTCATTCTCCGTCCAGCTTTGTTCTGTTGCTGGTGAGGAGCTGCGTTCCTTTGGAGGAGGAGAGGCACTCTGATTTTTCGAGTTTCCAGTTTTTCTGCTCTGTTTTTTCCCCATCTTTGTGGTTTTATCTACCTTTGGTCTTTGATGATGGTGACGTACAGATGGGTTTTTGGTGTGGATGTCCTTTCTGTTTGTTAGTTTTCCTTCTAACAGCCAGGACCCTCAGCTGCAGGTGTGTTGGAGTCTACTGGAGGTCCACTCCAAACCCTGTTTGCCTGGGTATCAGCAGCAGTGGCTGCAGAACAGCAGAT
Source organism: Homo sapiens (assembly GCF_000001405.40). Classification (NCBI taxonomy): domain Eukaryota; kingdom Metazoa; phylum Chordata; class Mammalia; order Primates; family Hominidae; genus Homo; species Homo sapiens. The sequence goes on from NC_000023.11 coordinate 102,235,796, forward strand.
ATTGGTGAACTGCAGATGCTGCTGCCTGATCGTACCTCTGGAAGTTTTGTGTCAGAGGAGTACCTGGCCGTGTGAGGTGTCAGTCCGCCCCGACTGGGGGGTGCCTCCCAGTTAGGCTACTCGGGGGTCAGGGACCCACTTGAGGAGGCAGTCTGCCTGTTCTCAGGTCTCCAGCTGCGTGCCAGGAGAACCACTACTCTCTTCAAAGCTGTCAGACGGGGACATTTAAGACTGCAGAAGTTATTGCTGTCTTTTGTTTGTCTGTGCCCTGCCCCCAGAGGTGGAGCCTACAGAGGCAGGCAGGCCTCCTGGAGCTCTGGTGGGCTCCCCCCAAGTCGAGCTTCCTGGCCGCTTTGTTTACCTACTCAAGCCTGAGCAATGGCGGGCACCCCTCCCCCAGCCTCGCTGCCGCCTTGCAGTTTGATCTCAGACTGCTGTGCTAGCAATGAGTGAGGCTCCGTGGGCATAGGACCCTCTGAGCCAGGTGCGGGATATAATCTCCTGGTGTGCTGTTTGTGAAGCCTGTTGGAAAAGTGCAGTATTAGGGTGGGAGTGACCCTATTTTCCAGGTGCCCTCTGTCACCCCTTTCTTTGACTAGGAAAGGGAATTCCCTGACCCCTTGCACTTCCCGGGTGAGGCGATGCCTCTCCCTGCTTTGGCTCATGCACGGTGCACTGCACCCACTGTCCTGCACCCACTGTCCGACACTCCCCTGTGAGATGAACCCGGTACCTCAGTTGGAAATGCAGAAATCACCCGCCTTCTGCGTCGCTCACGCTGGGAGGTGTAGACTGGAGCTGTTCCTATTCGGCCATCTTGGCTCCACCCAGTTTTTAATATTTAACTTCACCACTGAGTCAGAACTGAAACAGTTGGTACGGAGGCCTGTGTTAGTGAGACTTTGGCTTGCCACAAAACCACCCTAATTGAAGAAATGAAAATCTGATGTCCAAGTAAGTAATGAAGCCAATTTGAATAAAGTTATTTATGTGATTGCAAATTTTAAAAAGAACCTACGAACGAATACTTAAAAAAAAATTTAAGGTAGTGCTGTGCTTTGAATATGTCCTTCAAAGTTCATGTGTTGGATACTCAATTGCTGTTGTAACAATGTTGAGAGTTAGGACCTTTCAGAACAGATTAGGTCATGAGGGCTCTGCCCTCATGAATGGATTAATGCTGTTATTGTGAGACTGTGTTAGTTATCATGGCAGTGGGCTCCTGATAAAAGGCTAAGTCCAAACCCCATTTTCTCTTTGTCTCACACACTCTATCACCATGTGACACCTTCAATGTACCCTGCCAGATACTGGTGCCATGCTCTTGAGACTTCCCAGCCGCCAGAACAGTGAGCCAAATAAAATTGTCTTCTTTATAAATTGCCTAGCCTGTGCATTCTGTTATAGCAGTAGAAAACAGACTATGGCAGGTAGGTAGACATATTACCCAAAGAGAAACACATCTGAAAAATATACACCAATCTTTTTACATTGAATATGTATGCATCACAGTGATGGGATCATATAGATGGAAGATGTAGAATGATTTCATCTTCTAAATATACATTTATAATGTTTAGTATTTTTTAATTAGGAAAATTTCTTGAGAGAAACACTTGAAAATATGTAACAGCAAATTAACAAGAAAACACATAAATATTTTTATTTTAAGAAGCGTTCATGCTATGCTGTTTTTTTTTAAAAGAAAGATTATAATAACTCTTGACTTGAGAGTTACCCCTATCTGTGTAGGTGTGTGATTTGTATATTACAGTTCCATCATTTAGAATGTTCAAACTCTCAATGTGCAGACTTATCTTCTGCTCTCTCAGGGGTTGGATGTCCTCTCTCAGGGCATAGAGACACAATAAGGGATTGCTGTTAAGGGATGGACAATTATAGAAATTTCTGGTTGATGCACTGCATATCAGTCCCTTTTATCACTCCCTTCCCCTTGCAAGCTGATCTGTCCTGAGACTTTTGGGGTTATAAGTCTGACTCTGACAAACAAATAGCATCTTTGTACATTCAATACTTTAAAAGGAAAAGGTGTGATTCTTTTTTTCTACTCCCATTCCAGTGGCCACTAAATTATCTTTCCTATTTCCTTTATACTTTCCATGTCTGTCTCTAATATGCCCTCTCTGAGATGGACTGCACTTTTTTTTTCTGTCATTCAGTTATTTTCAGATATTTTTGATAACTTTGTCCTTCCTTAAGAATATGTGATGCGCAAGAGTTTATTAAAACTATGTGTGGTGAAATCATGCCCATCCAGTAGAGCTCAGTTCTAATGCTGGCAATTTCATGTAGCATCTGAATGAACCCTGACAAGCTTCTACAACTCATTAAGTCTCAGCAACCTAAGACAGGCCAAGAAGCTGGTAATTCTGCCTACCAGAATCCCGTTATGAGGAACACATGGAGGAAGAAAATGTAATGTAATGCAGCAAGCACAGAGCATGGCATGCAGCAGGCCCTCAGAGTTCCCCCATGTCCGTAGCTACGAGTACCTGGGTTCCGGGTCTCCCGACTATAGTTAGCTTGCTCTGCAGGGGTGACTCAATTGGAAACAGCTCCCTGGGTGTTGGTGGCAAACTCAGGGGGCACTAAGAACAGGAAGTAGAGTCTCTTCTGGCTCCCAGGGCTCTCCTCACTATGCCCTTCGGGAAAGGACTTATTTTGAAAACTCCACCTTGCTCACGTGAGCCTGACAAAATGGTCTGAGGCCTACTCTTGCCTCGTTTGACAGATCCCCTCAATTTTCTCTGAACCCCAGCTCCAGATCTCACAGATTCTCCTCACAAACACCATGTGAAGACAGTGGTGACAGGTCACTACCCACATGCCACACCATGGGTGAATTGGTCAGTGCCAATCCTTGGCCTCAGGATCTCACAGGGCATGAAGGGTTCTGGGCCCCCTCTCCCACTCCAACCCCCAGGACACCCAGCAGACTCACTTTCAGTTAGAGCTGGTAGGTGGCAAGGGCCCAGGCTGAGTGTTTTCCATTGTCCTGAGGATGAGGGCAAAGTGAACCCTGAGATACCTGTCTTAGTCCATTTTGTGCTGTTATAAGAGAACACTCAACACTGGGTGTGTTAGTCTGTTCTCACACTGCTGTAAAAATACTGCCTGAGACTCGGTAATTTATAAACAGAAAAGGTTCAATTGACTCACAGTTCCACATGGCTGGGGAGGGCTCAGGAAACTTACAATCATGGGAGAAGGCGAAGGGGAAGCAAGGCTTGTCTTTCATGATGGCAGGCGAGAGAGAGAGCGAGGAAGCGCCACACTTTAAAACCATCAGCTCTCGCGGGAACTCCATCACTATCGTGAGAACAGCACGGGGAAAACCGCCCCCATGATCCAGTCACCTCCCACCAGGTCCCTCCCTCCACACGTGAGGATTACAATTCAACATGAGACTTGGGTGGGGACACAGAGCCAAACTGTATCACTGGGTGGTTTATAAAGAACAGCAATTTGTATCTTACAGTTCTGGAGGCTGGGAAGTGCAAGGTGGGGGGGCTTGCATCTGATGAGAGCCTTCTTGCTGTGTCATCCAATGGCAGAAGGTGGGAGGGCTAGAGTGCACAAGAGAGAGAAAGCAAGAGATCAAACTCATAGACTCAAGCCCTTTTATAATTGGTATTAATCCATTCCTCAAGGTGCAACCCTCATATGACCTAAACACCTCCCATTAGGAGGGAGGGTTGCACTGGGGATTAAGTTTCCAACACATGCTTTTTTGGGGACACATTCAAACCAACCATTGCATCCTGCCCCTGGCCCCCCAAATTTATGTCCTTCTCACATGCAAAATACATTAATTCCATCCCAGTAGCCCCAAAGTCTTAACTCACTCCAGCACCCAAAGTCCAGAGTCTCATCTAAATTAGAGATGGGTGAGACTCAAGGCAGGATCCAGACTGAGGAAAATTTCCTCTAGCTCTGAGTCTGTGAAATCAAAACAAGTTGTCTATTCCCAAAATACAGTGGCGGGACAGGCGTAGGATAGACATTCTCATTCCAAGAGGGAGAGACAGGCAACAGAAAAGGCATAACTGATCCTAAGAAAGTCCAAAACCCATCAGAGCAAACAACATTAAATTTTGAGGCTTGAGAATAATGTTCAAGTTCTGCCTTCTGAGGCAGGGATTGGGCCCCCAGATTCTCAGGCAGCCATGCCTCTATGGCTTTGCTAGGCTCAGTCCACCCAGCAGCTCTCACAGGTTGGAGTCTTGTTCCTCCAGCTCTCCCAGGGTATCATTAAATGCCAGTAGCTCTGAAATTCTGGAATCTTAGTAGCAGTCCAGCTCCCACACCTCTACTAGACATTACCCGAATTGGGACTCTCTGCAACTGACTTGTTCCCACAGCCCCATCAGGTACTGGCCTGATGGGGACTCTCTCTGGCAGCTCTGCCCCTGTGGCAGGTCTCTACATGGGTCCTCAGGCTGTCTGCAACATTCTGCGAAATCTAGGTGGAGGCCGTCACAGACCCATAGCTCGTGAATGCTGTGCACCTGCAGAATCAGCACCATTTGGATGCCGCCAAGGTCCACCGCTTGAGCCTTCCAGACCGGCAGCCTGTTCAGCACCCGGCCCCCCTTGAACTATGGCTGGGACAGCCGAGGAGTGCTGCACGAAGGTGCGGGCAGCAGACACTTAAAAGCATCACGGGGCAGCAGATGTTGAGGTCCCGTGGGCGTCTCTCTGGAAACTTTGCCTTCGCATTGTGCACTGGGCATGTGACTGGAGGAGCAGCCTGGAAAACTCTGAAATGCCGTCAGGGCCTTTCTCCAGTGGTCTTTGTCTTACTGAATAGCACCTGTTTCCCTTCTAGCCATGGTAATCTCATTAGCAAAGTGGTCACTTGGCCATGTCTGTAGTTTGCACTCCTAAACACGCTTTTTCATTCTTTACATGGCTAGGGTGAAATTTTTCAACATATTTACCTTCTTCCTATCTTTTAATTGACAAATTCCATCTTTAAAGCATTTCTCTCTTCTCTCATTTTTGTCTAAGTGGCCGAACAAAGTCACGCAGTACCTTGAATGTTTTGCTGTTTAGTTATTTTTACTGCCAGATATCCTAGTTCATTACCCTGAAGTTCTTTTAATTTTTTTCATTTTTCCATTTTTGTGGGTACATAGTAGGTGTATATATTTATGGGGTATATGAGATATGTTGGAACAGGCATGCGGTGTGTACTAATCACATCACATCCCCTCAAGCATTTGTCATGTGTGTTACAAACAATCTGTATCCTCTTAGGTACTTTAAAATGTACAATTCAACTATTACTGACTTTAGGCAGCATGCTGTGATATCCCACCTTATTCATTCTTTCTGTATTTTTTTGCATCCATTAACCATCCCCACCTACCCCCTGCCTCCACACTACCCTTCCCAGCCTCTGGTAACCATCCTTCTACTCTCTATGTCCACGAGATCAATCGTTTTGATTCTCAGGTCCTACAAATCAGTGAGAACATGCGATGTTTGTCTATCTGTGCCTGGCTTATTTCACTCAACATAAAGATCTCCAATTCTATCCACGTTGTTGCAGATGACTGGATCTCATTCTTTTTACGACTGAATAGTACTCCATTGGGTATATGTAGCACATTTTCTTTATCCACTCATCTGTTGATGGACACTTAGGTTGCTTCCACATGTTGCTATTGTAAACAGTGCTGCAACAAACAGGAGTGCAGATATCTCTTCCATATGCTGATTTCCTTTCTTTTGGGTATATACTTGGCAGTTGGATTGGTGGATCATGTGGTAGCTCAAATTTTAGTTTTCTGAGGAACCTGCAGAGTGTTCTCCATAATCGTTGTACTAATTTCATTCCCACCAACAGTGTACGAGGGTTCCCTTTTCTCCACACCCTCATCAGCATTTGTTATTGCCTGTCTTTTGGATATAAGCCATTTTAACTGGGGTGAGAAGATATCTCATTGTGGCTCTAAAGATCAGTGATATTGAGCACCTCTTCATCTGCCTGTTTGCCATTTGTACGTCTTCTTTTGAGAAATGTGTATTCAAATCTTTTGCCCATTCTCTAACCGGATTATTAGATTTTCTCCAATAGAGTTGTTTGAGCTCCTTGTATATTTTACTGGTTATTAATCCCTTCTCAGATGGGTAGCTTGCAAATATTTTTTCCCATTTTGTGGGTTGTGTCTTCACTTTAGTGGTTGTTTCCTTTGCTGTGCAGAAGCTTTTTAACTAGTCATGCATGATCCCATTTGTCCATTTTTGCTTTGGATGCCAGTGCTTCTCGGGTATTACTCGAGAAATTTTTGCCCAGAACAGTATCCTGGAGCGTTTCCCCGGTGTTTTCTTGTAGAAGTTTCATAGGCTGACATCTCAGATTTACGTCTTTAATCCATTCTGATTTGATTTTTATATAAGATGAGAGATAAGGGTCAAGTTTCATTCTTCTCCATAGGGATACCCAGTTTTCCCAGCACCAGCGCCATTTATTGAAGAGACTGTCCTTTTTCCAGTGTATGTTCTTGGCACCTTTGTCAAAAATGAGTTCACTGTAGGTGTGTGGATTTGTTCCTGGGTTGCCTATTCTGTCCCATTGGTCTATGGGTCTGTTTTAATGTCAGTACCTTGCTGATTTGGTTACTATAGCTCTGTAGTATAATTTGAAGTCAGGTAATGTGATTCCTCCAGTGTTGTTCGTTTTTGCTCAGGATAGCTTTGGCTATTCTGGGCCTTTTGTGGTACTATATGCATTTTAGGATTGCTTTTCCTATTTCTGTAAAGAATGTCACTGGTGTTTTTGTAGGGATTGCATCAAATCTGTGGATTGCTTTGGGTATGATGGACATTTAAACAATATTGATTCTTCCAACGCATGAACATGGAATAACTTTCCATTATTGTGTCCTCTTCGATTTATTTCATGAATGTCTTCCAGTTTTCATTGTGGAGATCTTTCACTTCTTTGGTTAATTCCGAGGTATTTAATTTTATTTGTGTCTACTGTAAGTGAGATTAATTTTGATTTCTTTTTCAGGGTGTTCACTATTGGCATATATAAATGCTAGTGATTTTTGTAGGTTGATTTTGTATCCTGCAACTTTACTAAATTGGTTGATCAGTTCTAATAGTTTTCTGGTGGAGTCTTAAGGTTTTTCTAAATATAAGATCGTATCATCAGCAAACAAAGGTAATTTGGCTTCTTCCTTTCCAGTGTGGATGCTCTTTACTTCTTTCTCTTACCTGATTGCTTGAGCAAAGACTTCCCGTACTATGTTGAATAACAGTGGTGAATGTGGGCATCCTTGTCATGTTCCAGATCTTAGAGGAAAGGCTTTCACTTTTTCCCCATTCAGTATGATACTAGCTGTCAGTCTGTTGTATATGACTTTTATTATGTTGAGGTATGTTCCTTCCATACCCAGTTTGTTGAGGAATTTTATCAGGAAGGAATGTTGGATTTTTATCAAATGCTTTTTCAGCATCAGTTGAAATAATCATATGGTTTTTATCTTTCATTCTGTTGATGTGATGTGTCACATTGATTGAGTTGCATATGTTGAACCATCCTCGCATCCCAGGGATAAATCCCACTTGGTCATGATGAACGATCTTTCTGATGTATTGTTGAGTTGGGTTTGCTAGTATTTAGTGGAGGATTTTTGCATCGATATTCATCAGAGATATTGGCCTGTATTAAGAAGTCACTGTAAGAAGATGCCTGAGAGTGGATACTTGGTCAGTGTAATGATTTTAATATGCGCCTTTTCTATTCTTCAGAAAATAGTCTCCTTTCTTATTTACTTTAGAATGTCATGACCCCCAACCTATGGAATTAATTAAACAAGAAACATTTCCAATACACTATTTCACATTCAGAAGGTTTCACAGTCTTTCAGTGTCAAACCTTGTGAGCAAAGCCAGGGCAACAGGCTCTAAGCTGACAAAAAAGTTTACCAGTATCTTCCATAGAGATGGCCTTTTCATTCATATAGATTCCATCGGCAAGTCAGGCCAGACCTTTCAGACTCTGACTTGTAAAAAAGTCTTGTGTAAGGAAAACTTACCAGTTTGCAACTAGTGTTTGGTCACTGCTGAGAGAAACAAATATTAAAAAATAAATAAATATGTCTCAGAGAGTTAAATAGGCATACTTGGAAACACGAAAGCTTGGAAAATGAATTTAATATGGCAGATTTTATTGAGAATGCATCATGAGTCATAGGAGTTCAGAAATCAGGAAGTTCAGGAAGAAGAAAAAGATCACAAAGGCAAGTTTATGATTACACCTACTAATCGAGGAACTGCTTGCTCTGCAACCAGTAGATGATCACGAGATGGTCAGATCTTGGTAGGCCCACAAGAGATGTCAAAATAAAATTCTCAAAAATAAACATCCTAGAGACCTCCAGTTCTGGCCAAGCTGGAGTTTGCCCTTTCCTCCCAGATGGTCCCTCTACATCAGAACACCCTGAATATAACAGCAAACCAGCAAAGAAAGCTCTGAAACGTGGAAAGGGGAAAGCAGACCGACTCGTGCTCTCAGGACTCGAGCAAGAACACAGGCAGCGCATTCCCTTGGTTTTTCTATTTCCACCCAATATCCCAGACAGGGCACCGCAGAAGCCCCCAGTCCAGAACCACCAACAATGGCAGACACAAAGCTCCAAGAAAAGCCTATTTCCTCTGCCAAAAGACCATAAAAAACGTGATCTAAAAACTGAAAAACCTTTGTGACAAATTCCCCTCCCCTACACTAGACAAACAACAATGGAAAAACCTTATCTCCCCCACCCCCCAAGGTTTCAGGGAACAAGAAGGAAACTTGTCTTCTATCCTGCCTCTCTGAGGCAGATGGTGATGATCCAATTCACCTGTCAGGGTAGTGTCAGTGGTGTCCAGCAGCAAGATGAGCCTTCACCTTCACCTGACATCAATAACACTGAACAAGGCAGTCCAAGTTGGGACTAGTAAGCATTCCATTTATCCCCATCTCTGGTGTCAGTGATGCCCAGTGGAAAGTTGAACCTTTACACTCATCCAAACTCAATGAAGTGGTGTGAGGCGGGGCTAATCGACACTCTGCTTTCCCGCTCAGGCATTCTGTGCAAGCTAGGCCCTATGGAGAGCTGTGCCTCCTCATCCACCCATCATCAAGATGGAATCAGGTGGTGGGAGGCAGGGTTTGTTGGCAGTCTCCTTTCCCCCTCCTTCCCCTGATGTTCTCAGAGACCAGTGGGGACCTAGGCTTCTGCCCCACCACACTGCAGCAACAAAACTTTGAGTCAGCCATCCAGTTCCCCTTTCCCTAAAGCCTAGCAAAGAACTGTGCCTATACTCCCCGACCCCACCTCTGAGGTAACAAAGTGTGGTGAATTGGTGCCCCCTTTTTTATTGGAAATGTTCTCAGGGGGGCTAGGGTAGAAGTTCAGCTCCCACCCCCAGCCATCTGTGAAGAGGCAAGGTGAACCAGCAATCTAGTTTGCTAGGATGGTATCAGAACAGGAATCTGCACTTATCACCTTATGATATGATGGGACCACCATCATATATGTGGTCTATCATTGAACAAAAAGTCATTATGTGGTGCATGACTGAATATGGACTATCTTAATGAAATGTCATCACAGCCTTATGAGGTTAAATTTTTTACTATTCCCAGTTTAAAGATGGATAATAAAAGCTTGGAAGAGTTTACCTGGCCAAGGTTATTTAGCTACAAAGTGGTAATGCCACGGATTCAATCCTAAGATACCTGATGCCCATTACCCCATCTACTGAAAGATGACACTGTACTGCAAAAATTAAAACAGACATAGCTGATCTGCTTCTTTACCTGTAATTAGAGTAAAAGAAAACAACAAAAGAAAACAAAAACAACACAGTGACATGCTAACTGTCATGAAGAAAAGTACCACATGTCTGATAAGGTGATCAGAGATGTACACTAAGTAAGGAAGGTAGCTATAGGGATATCTAAAGCCAGGCTGTTACAGAAAAACACTCAACGGTATGGGAGTATGCTTGCTGAGCTAGTGTTAGAGCAACAAAAAGGAGGCTAGTGTGGCTGGAGAAAAATCCATTTATTCATTCAAAGTATCCACTGAAGCAGGCATTGTTATAGGCACTTAGGGTACATTAATGAGCAATAGACAAAGATATTTGCCCTTCTGGAATTTTTATTTTTCCACCATGGGAGACAGACAATAAAAAACAAAAACAGCATATGATTAAAATATATTGCATTCCAGAAGATGACTGCGGGGGGGAAAAATCAAATAGGGAAGAAGTGGAATCAGGAGTGTGGGCTGAGGGTTGGACATTCAAACAAATATTGGCTGCTTTGCAATTGATAGTATTATTAGATGGGTGGAAGTCTTCTCCTTTGTGCCGCCTTTGCCAGGCATCAGTGTAAATGCTCTGTTGGCTTCACTGCAGAGGACAACACATTTTTCCTATCTTTGGTCAGGACTCAGTTCCTTCTTTAATATATCAGAGAACCAGAGACACTAATATCTGACAGCCTTTTGCCATCAAGTGGCCATGCGTTTTTTAAGTAAGCATCCCCTGCTACACGTCCACTAAATTTGAGCTTTTAACTGTCTGTGTTGAGACGTGGCCTGGTAGAAACCCTCGCTGGGGCCAGGCGCGGTGGCTCACGCCTGTAATCCCAGCACTTTGTGAGGCCGAGTCGGGCGGATTACGAGGTCAAGAGAGGGACACCATCCTGGCTAACATGGTAAAACCCCGTCTCCACTGAAAATAGAAAAACCAGCCGGGCGTGGTGGCAGGTGCCTGTAATGCCAGCTACTCGGGAGGCTGAGGTAGGAGAATTGCTTGAACCCGGGAGGCAGAGGTTGCATGAGATGGGATCCCGCCAGTGCACTCCAGCCTGGGCAACAGAGCGAGACGCCGTCTCAAAAAAAAAAAAAAAAAAAAAAAAAAAAGAAAAGAAAAGAAAAGAAAAAAAAAGAAAGAAAGAAAGCAAAGAAACCCTGGCTGGCCAGTGCCCAGGCCATACACAATGGCATTGTGCCTCACTTTTCACCTAAGACGAAATCAGCGGGTGGGGCAGGCTTATAATCAGAACACCCCTCCCTTTCCACCTCACACACTCCCACCCGCCTGTCCCACAATCCTTCCTGCCCCTCCCGCTCTCCCACCCTTGGTTTCTCGAAACCCCTTCTCCTTCCCTGCCCCCCGTCCCCCGAGCCCCAGGAGGGGGAGGGGCAGGAATCTGGCTCCGCCTCCCAGTATGGAGATGATTGGTCAAAGGAGGTCACCTGACCAAGCTGAGCCAATTGAAGTCCTCTCCCCACTGCTTTGAGAAGGAACCGTTAAGACGCTGGGCCCCACCCACAAGATTGCGTCTTGTTTGTGGCAAGATTCTGAGGGGAAGTGTAGCTCCCAGGTTGGTTCCAAGTCTTCTTCCAATTAGGTAAATTACAACAATATCTTTTCCATAAATTTCCTTTCTTTTCTTTTTTGCCTTTTTTTTTTTTTTTTTTTTTTTTTTGAGACGGAGTTTGGCTCTTGTTGCCCAGGCTGGGGCGTAATGTCGCGATCTCGGCTCACCACAACCCCCACCTCCCGGGTTCAAGCGATTCTCCTGCCTCACTCCCAAGTACCTGGGATTACAGGCATGCGCCATCATGCCAGGCTAATTTTTGTATTTTTAGTAGAGAGGGGGTTTCTCCATATTGGTTAGGCTGGTCTCCAACTCCCGACCTCAGGGGATCCACCGCCTCGGCCTTCCAAAGTGCTGGGATTACAGGCGTGAGCGTCCGTGCCCGGCCCTTCTATAAATTTTATATAAACTAGGCCTTTTTTGGCCTACATTACCTAGGGTCAAGGTTTAGGGATTCATAGGAAAGGCAAATCCGGCTGGATTGCTCAGTGGTCCACTCTCCAGTCCACTCTCTATGTATCCCTTATCTTCACGTGTGATTAGGTTCAATTGTATGGCTAATCACTTCATGTTCTCTCTTTGCAATTTCTCAGGCAGGTTTTCTCTTCTTCTTCAGAAAGTTATATTTCTCTTTTGCATCTTAGTTTTGTTTATGGTTAATTTTGATATGGCGGGCTTTAAATTGTAAATATTGGATTGTATAGATATTTTTCTTTCTATTGTATTTCATTCCTTTTATGCTTAAAAATGCTTTCCTCATCTGAAGAGTAAATACATATTCACCTGTGTGTTGAAGATGACTGGGCTTTCATCTCTTATAATCTTTTTAATGAATCATGTGGTATGAGCATGTATCCCTCTTTGTATGCATCCTTCTAACTATGTTTCAATTGGTTATTGTTAAGCAGTGTGGTTTATAGGTTGCCAGCCCTTTAGCCACTGATTTTGTCTTTTAAAATTCTTTACTCTGAAATAATTTTAGACTTACAGAAAAGTTACAAAAATGATTATACAGAGAGCCCTCGCCTGGATTTCCTTAATGTTAACATCTTATATAACCATAGAAAAATTACCAAAACTAACTACTACATTACATTGATGCACTAATTGACATTACTACATCGATGTTAATTACCAACAGTTAGCATTGATGTAGTACTATTAACTAATCTACAGATTTTATGTGAATTTCACCAGATATCTCACTGATGTCCTTTTTCTATTCTAGGATCTTATCCAGGACGCTTCATTGCATTTGGTCTTCATTTCTCCTTAGTCTCCTCCAGGCTGACATTTCCTCAATCTTTATTGGTCTTCCACAGCCCTGACACTTTTGGAGATACCAGTCAGGTATTTTGTGGAATGTCTCTCAATTTGTGTTTGTCTCATGTTTTCTTATGATTAGATTGAAGTTGTGCATTTGTAGCAAGCACACCTGTTTTATTCTCCTCCCTTTCCCAGTGGCGAGGGAGGGATTCCCACCCTAGTGTTATGGGGGCGGCTGAACACATGGTACCCTATACTGGACAGACGGAATCCACAGCAATTTATCAGTAACATTTACTCACAACTGGAGAGAGGAGGGCACCTCACGCCAGGTAGAGCCACACAGTGTCACACTCTGGAAGAGAGTGAACAAGCAGGGGCTTTCAGGGGGAAGTCTTTGTAGTAACCAGAGGATGAAGTGACCGTTGGTTCAGGGTAGGACGATTGGCTTGTTTGAATAATTCTGCAGGCTGGTGGGGACCTGAAACATGCTACCCAGAGATAAGCAGGCACTGTGTCTGTTCAACATGATAATAAGGAGGGTACTTTGGCCAGGGGGCCTTTCTCCCTGGGAACCCAATAGGGAAGATAACTTGTGGTGAGGCCATTCAGGGTCCTCCTGTTCTACCCCAGATGTCAAGGCATCCATATAATTGGACCTCTAATTTTAGGTCTTATGCGACATTACCGCAAACGTGATTTCGTTCCCTTCTATGTGGATCATGTCAGGGGTACATGACATCCATAAGTTGTATTACTGGTGGTGCTCACCTTGATCACTTGGTTAAAGTGGTGGGAGTTATGCTGCCCCAGTGTAATGCTACTATTTTCCTCTTTGTTAGTAATAAATATAGTGTGAAAAGTTCTTTAAGAAGAAACACAATAGATCCTCTTATATTCCTGTTTCTTCGCAGACTTTGACCCACTACTGTTAAAATCTGTCTAGGGATCTTGCCTACAGCAAATATTACCTAATGGTGATTTTCTGTTTTCCTAATTTCTGCTACATTTATTAATTGGAATTCCTCTGTAAGGAAGAGCTATCTTTACTCCCTCATTCATTTATTTCTTCAATTTATTTATCTCAGTATGGGCTCTTGAATAATTATGTTATACATGCCAGGCTTAATACCTAGGTGATGGGTTGATGGGTGCAGCAAACCACCAGGGCGCAGGTTTACCTATGTAATGAACCTGCACATCCTGCGCATGTATCCTGGAACTTGCAATAAAATAAAATAAAAATTTAATCTAATTATATCATTATTTTGTTCTTTGAACTGTTCTAGCCTTGGCCATTGGGAAGTCATTTTGGTTGGTTCTGTGGTCTTTTGATATGACCCTATCCTTTTTTGGTACCTTTTTCTGGCACAATAAGATGTTCAGATTCAGCATGTGTGTGCCCCCCTCCCCTCACACACACACACCCCTTATAGCCCTGGATTAAAACAACTTCTACGAGGAGCCCCGGTTCCCTTTCTTGGGGAATGATATTTACCAACCAGTATCTCGGTGTGTGTTCATTATTAATGGCGTTTCATTGCTGCTAAGGCTCTCTCTATGGAGAGGGTTAGGAAATAATGTATGTATACACCCATGCCTATAGACACATCCACATTTATTTTGGTATCTATCTGTATGCATAGCTATTAAAAGCCAGGAGCTTGTATTGATACTTTCAATTCCAATCATTCTAGACTTATTTGTAGATTCGTTCTCCGACCTGGCTTTCATTATCAAATAGTTTACATACCTGTTTATTTCTGGTCAGTAGATACATAAAGTAGCGCCTGAATTGCTAACAAATGCCCCTGTTGCAAACATGTTAATAACTTATATTTTTGTACAGTTGTTTTTGTCTTTGGCCTTAGAGGATATAGTCAAAATACTGCTCTCCAAAGTTATGTATCTTAGATCTTTTCTTCCTCTCTCCTTCAGCGTGGTTAAGACACTCATTTGTAATATTGTTAGTTGAACCTGTTTCTGTTTGATTTGGGGTACCCTCACCCCAATATCCCGGTTGATTTTAATTTTTTATTTATATTTTGGGTATGTGCATCATTACTATGATCCAAAGAGTCAGGGTTATACAAAAACCTATACTCGGAGAAATGTCACTCCTTCGTCATCCCTTCTACCCTGTTCCCATTCCCCATTTCTTTCCACTTCTTTCCCTGGCCCTCCCTGTAGGGTAATCAGCCCCTTTGGTTTCTGGTTTAACCTTTCCTGTATTTATTTTGCCCAAATGAGCAGATACATACATGTTTTCTCATATTCCTTTCTTACACGAAGGATAGCATACTATACATGTTCCTTTGCACTTTGCCTTTCCTACTTAACAGCATTCTTGGAAATCACTCCATATTGTTTCACAGAGATCTTCATCGTTCGTTTTTACAGCTGCATTGTACTCCATTGTGTGGCTGCGCCACACATAGTTTATTCAACCACTCGCCTATGTTTGGGCATTTTGTTTTTAATACAGAAACCAGGTCTCGCTCTATAACCCAGGCTGACTGAAGTGCAGTGGCACAATCATAGCTCATGGTAACCTCAAACTCCTGGGCTCAAGCAATTCACAACTGCCTCAGCCTCCCAAGTGGCTAGGACTACAGGTGTGTGCCACCATGCCTGGCTAATTAAAGACTTTTTATTTTTTATTTTATTTTTTGTCGATATGGGGCCTCGCTATGTTGCCCAGACTGGTCTGGATCTCCTGGCCTCCAGTGATCCTCCCGCCTTGGTCTCCAAAGTGCTGAGATTACAGGCATGAGCCATGGTGCCTGGCCTGTATGGGCTTTTAAATTCCTTCCAAGATTTTGCAGTTACAGACATTACTCCCGCGAATAACCCTGGACATGATTTTTTTTTTTTTTTTTGTATTGGTAGAAATGTACCTTCAAGGTATATTCCCACTAGTAGGATTATTGGGCCAAAAGTTAAGTGCACATGTAGTTTTCTTAGGTGTTTCCAAGTTTCTCTCCAGAAGGATTGTACTGGTTTTCATTTCCATTAGCAATATATGAGAATGACAATTTCCCCACAGCCTCACTAACAGAACATGTTGCCTTACTTTTGAAACTTTTTTCTACGGGTTAGGCGAGAAATGGTGTCTCGCTGTTTCTGTAATATACCTTTGTCTAACTATGAGCAAGTTTTGACACTTAACCATATATTTGAGGACTGTTTTTATACTTTTTGTTGGAATTATCTGTTCATATCTTTCCCCCATATTTCTATTGCTGTTGTGGTCCTTCATCCCTCAATATTTAAGAGCTCTCTATATATTTGGAATATTATCCAGTTGTCTGCGATATGTGCTGCAAGTACTTTACATCAATTTGTCAGTTGCCTTTTGATTTATTTATGATGCATTTGCATCACTTTCGTTTATCCTTATGTGGTCAAATGGATTGATTATTTTTTTCTTTCATTGCCTCCGGAATTTGAATCCTAGTTAGAAAGCTTTTCCCTACAGTGGGGTTCTGCCATGTTTTGTTTTGTTTTGTTTTGTTTTTTCTTTCTTTTCTTTGGTTGACATGGAGTCTCGCTTTGTCGTCCAGGCTGGAGTGCAGTGGCGCGATCTCGGCTCACTGCAACCTCTGCCTCCCAGGTTCAAGCAATTCTCCTGTCTCAGCCTCTCGAGTAGCTGGGATTACAGCCGCCCGCCACCTCGCCTGGCTCATTTTCGTATTTTTAGTAGAGACGGGGTTTCACCATTTTGGCCAGGCTGGTCTCAAACTCCGGACCTCAGGCGATCCACCCGCTTCAGCCTCCCAAAGTGCTGGGATTATAGGCGTGAGCCACCCCCCTCCCCCGGCCACTGCCATGTTTTCTTCAAGAACTTACATGGTTTCATTTGTTATGTTTAGATCCCTAACCCATTTGCAGTTTATTCTTGTGCATGCTGTGTTATATGGATCTACCTTTATTTTTCCAGACGTCTCAGTTGTTCCAGGACCATTTATTAAATGTCCATCTTTGCCCTAAAGAGTTTATGTGCCATCTTTATCATGTACTAACTGTCATATGATTTGGTTGTATTTCTGAGTTTTCTATTCTAGTCCACTGGGCTATTAGTCTATTCTTGCACCAGTGCCACAATGTCGTAATTACAGAGGCTTTATAGTGTGCTTTTCTGGCTGATATCATAAGTCCCCTCTCATAGATTTTCTTTTTCACGTGTTTCCTGGCTATGCTTGCATGTTTTCACAAATATATTAACTTTATTATCAATTTGCCTAAATGCATAAAAATGTGTGCTGGCGTTTTTGCGACTGAATTAAATTTATACACCAATTTAGGAAGAACCGACATCTTTTTAATGCTGGATTATTCCATCTAGGACAGTGACGTAGTCTGTTTGGGCTGCTATTACAAAATACCATAGACTAGGTAGTTTATAAACAACAGAAATTTATTTCTCGCAGCTCTGGAGACTGACAAGTCCAAGATAAAGATTCTGGCTGATTTGGTGTCTGGTGAGGACCCTCTTCCTCATCGATGGTACTTTCTAATTGTATCCTCAACATGGTGGAAGGGACAAGGCAGCTCTCTGAAGCCTCTTTTATGAGAGAACTAATCCCATTCATAAGGGCTCCACCCTTATGACCTAGTCGCCTCTCAAAAGGCCCCACCTCCTAATGGCATCACCTTGCGGGTAAAATTTCCTAACCTGCACATTGTGCACATGTACCCTAAAACTTGAAGTGTAATAATAATAAAATAAAATAAAATAAAAATAAAAATAAAAAATTTCAAGATAGTAATTTTGGGGGTACACAAACATTCAGACCATCTCAGATAGCGTATGTGTTTCCATTTGTTCAAGTCTTCTGTGGTGTCATTCAGGCATATTTAAAAATTTTTCTTGTATAAATGTTGTTATCAAGTTTATTCCTAAACTTTAATCCTTGTTGCTAGTGTATATGGGGCTTTGTCTGTGAATGTATCCTCCAGCTGCTTATTTTTTGTGTGTGTATTAAAAGACTGCTGATTTTTTGTATGTTAATTTTATATTTTGCTACCTTAATGACTTCTTTTACTGGTTCAGTTGATTTATCATCGTTTCTATAGGGTTTTTCAGGTATACTATAATATCATCTGCATGTAGAGATGGCTTTACTTCTCTTTGTAAAAAGTAAGTTTTATTGTGTATATCTAAGGTATACAACACGGTGTTATGGGACACGTATGGATAGTAAAATAGTTACTATAGTGGAACAAATTAACATAACCCATTATGTCACATAGTGACCCATTTTTGGTTTTGGTAGCAGTAGGCGCTAAAATCTATTCATTTAGCAGAAATCCCGCATCATATTTAATAGTACAATTGTACAAACTGTATTCCAGCATGTTGTGCACTAGATCTCTAGTCTCTTTCATCCTACATATCTGCTACTTTGCATCCTCTGACCTACATCTCCCGCTTTCCTCCTCCCATCCCCTCCTCCCCACCCCGACCCTGATAACCACTGCTTTATTCTGTATCTCTGTATATTTGAGTTTTGTTTTACTTTTATTTTTTTAAGATTCCACATATAAGTGAGATCATGCAATATTTCTCTTTCTGTATCTGGATTATTTCACTATTATTTCATTGTTATAGCATAATGTCCTCCAGATTCATCCATGTTTTGGCAAATGGCAAGATCTCCTTTTTAAAGTGTATACATACAACACATTTTCTGTATCCATCTGTCCCTTGATGGACACCTAGGTTGTTTCCATATCTTGGCTATTGTGATTAATGCTGCAGTGAACATGGGAGTTCAGATACTTTTCAAAGATCAGCTACTTTCAAAAGGTGGTTATTTTATTTCCTTTAAGTAGATACCCAGAAAAGCAGTTGCTGGGTCATATGATAGTTCTCTTTTTCACTACCATATTTTTTTCTAAAATAGAAAAATGTAGAACTACCATTTTATTTACTAAAACAGAAAAAAAAAATCTATTTCTTTAGGTACCTCCATACTGTTTTCCATAATGATTGTCCCTATCTACATTCCCATCAACAGTGTACAAGGGTTCCCTTTTCTCCACACACTCGGCAATGTTTGCCATCTCTTGGCTTTTTGATAATAGCTATCCTAATGGTTGTATGGTGTTGCCTCATAGTAGCTTTTATCTGCATTTTCCTGATGATTAATGATGTTGAGCACTTTTTCATACACCTGTTAGTCAGTGTGTATGTCTTCTTTGGAGAAATGTCTATTCAGGTCCTTTGCCCGTTGTTTAAATTTGATTGTTTTTCTGCTATGGAGTTGTATGATTTCCTTACAAAATTTGGATGCTAACCCCTTATTCATACATATGTTTTGCAAGTATTTGCTCTCAATGTGTAAGTTGCCATTTCATTTTGTTGATTGTTCCCTTTGCTGTGCTTTTTAGTTCTTCTTATTCATTCCTAGGAAAATGATCTATTTCTCTGCTCAGTTGACTAATACTTGTAATGCAAGATTGAATAGGTGTGAGGTAGTAGGCATGCTTTCCTTGTTCCTGATCCCAAGGGAAAGCTTCGAGTGCCCCCCCACCCCATTAAATAAGTTACTAGCATTAGGACTTAGGTATATATGTTTTATCATGTTAAGAAAGCATCCTGTGGTGCCTATTTTCTTAAGGCTTTTCTATTTTTTAACATAAAGAGGTGTTGAATTTTTCCAAAGGCTTTTTCAACATCTGTGGTGATAACCATATGATATTTGTCTTTAAGTATATTAATATGGTGGATGATATCAAGGTACTTTCTAATATTGAGCCAATCTGTATTGATGGGATAAATCCCACTTTGCCAAAGTATATTATGATTTTTTAAATATGTTGTTTGCTAATATTTTATCTAGCATTTTTGCATCTACACTTATCTATCCATGTCACACTTGCTTCATAAAGGAAGTTATGAAAATTTCCTTTATAATGCTGTTGAATAATTTATAGAGCATTGGCACTCTGGTACTATCTGATCTTTGAAGGTTTAGTAGAATTGACCTGTAATAGCATCTGAGCCAGGTGCTTCTTGGGAGTTATTCCTTAATAACTTTTTCCATTTTTTTCTGTAAAAATTGGCCAAGTTAAGCCTTCCAGCATTAGAGTAAAAATCTTGATAATCTGTATTTTCCTAGGAAATTATTTATTTCATGTGTATTTTTAATTTCTTTATACACAGGTTTGAAAAGCAACCTAATTTTTTCTGTTTAAATGATTATCATTTGTCGTTTATTATTTTGTATATTTGTGCTCTCTCCCTTTCTTCCTTCATTAATCTGCCTAGTGAGTTTGTCCATTAAAAAAAAAACCAGGATTTTGATTTAATAAATATACACACATTGTTTTTCTACTATGTATCTTATTAACATCTGCTTATGTATTCATTCATTCATTCATTCATTCATTCATTTTAATGACCGAATCTCCCTGGATCACTCAGTCTGGAGTGCAGCGTTGTGATCACAGCTCACTGCAGCCTTGAGCTCCTGGGCTCAAGCAATCTTCCCACCTCCGCCTCCTCAGTAAGTAGGACTACAGGCATGTTCCATCACGCCCTGCTAAAGAATCATTATTATTATTATTATTACTGTAGAGGCAGGGTCTCCTTATGTTGCCCAGGCTGGTCTCAAACGCCTGGCCTCAAGTGATCCTCCCGCCTCAGCCTCTCAAAGTGGTTGGATTACAGGTGTGAGCCACCAAGCCCGGCAATTTCTGCTTTTATGTTATTTCTTTATTTGTGTTTCTTTTGGTTTCCCGGGTTGTTCTTTTATTAGATTTTTGAGGCAGTGCTTTAATTTGTCTAATTTTATTCGTTCATTTTCATTGATGAGAGTATTTAGCGCTCTGAATCTGCTTCCAATCACTGCTTTAACTATCTTCTACAGAGTCTCATATGTAAGCTCTTATAATCACTCTTCTTAAATATTTCTGTAACTTCAGTTGGTATCTCGTCTTTATCTCGACATTTGCTTAATAGAAGACTGAACATTTTTTCCAGGTAGAAGAGCCTTTGTGCTTTCAGTTTGTGTTAGTAAGTTCTACTTTTGTTGCATCGTGATTGCAGAGGGTTGGTTGTAATATTTCTACTTTATGGAAATTAGCGAGGCCTTCACTGTGAGGTAATTATGATCACGTTTTGTTAACGTGCCATCAGCTTTTGACAAGGTGGTATATTCTTTATCTCCAAGGTGTAGATTTATGTGTGTGTATGTATGCCTATGTGTGTATACACACACACAATGTATCTTATTGTGTTGTTTACATTTTCGGTATAGGTCTCTTTATTGTACCACTGGATTTGCCTTGTACTGAGACTTGCCATGTATTAAATCTCCTATTATTACTGTGCTTCAATGTCTCCATACCTTTTGGCATTACAAAGGTGGTTCCTATGTTATTTGGTGCATAAGTATTCCTAAGTATTATATATTCACTGTGAATTTTCAATTTTAATGTTAGCATGTAAACTTTGTCATTAAAAAAATTACTTTTAGCACCTGCTTTCTTATTGAACATTTTACTATCTGGTCCACTAGTTTGTTTTTAACCCCCAGTCTCCTTTTAACACTCATCTACTGCCTTATGAAAAAAAAAAAGTTTATTCTCTTTTTCTTTCTATCTCTCTCACTTCTCTTATTTTACTTGCACTATTTCTTTTTTTCCACAATATAAAATAAATGCACGTTAGTCATTTTCCTTGCTTCACCTTCATTTTAGTATTAGATACCAAATGCTTGCCATCAGATGTTGTAGGGAAGATTTTCCTGTCGTTACCTGTGGAATCACAATCCCAGTTTACCCTTTAGAATATAAGTTAGCAAACGTTTTCTGTAAAGAGCCATATGGTAAATATTCCAACCAGTGGGCCATAGTTTGCAGACCCTTGCTCTAGTGGAGTCCTCAGGAAGGGCTGATGGGTACATAATTTCCTAAGTTCCTGTCTGTTTTTCTATAAGCTGTGATATTAGTGAAGGATCGGCTGAGCTGGATATCAAATCAGTACTTCAGACGTTTTTCTCAGCCCATTTCTGAGTTTAGAGTTTTAAGTAATATTCTAATTCAAGGCAGGTTTTATATCCTCAAATGCTTGTTTGAATGGAATTAATTCTGTTTGCAGGGTTGACGTACAGTTTCCTTCTGTTTCATGGTTGTTTAATATGTGTGAAATTTTGTCTTCTGCTCTTTTTCTCTTTCTGGAATGTTTTTGTAAGGAATTATCCTTCCTTTTGTTCATTTTTATGATATTGGATTGTTTTACCAGATTCCTATTTTACAGGTGCTATTTTCTGTCAGTGTAGAAAAATTCAGGCCTGAAATTTACTGATTTCGTTTGCTTGTTTTGGTAGCGGACAAAGAAGTTATGAGTGCTCTGATTCTGTGGTTCTCTTATGTCTTGCAAGATTCTTCATTTTCCCCTTTTGTTTCTTTTCCCCATCATTACCAAAGTGGCAAAGCATGCTTCTCCCTTTCTGTTTGCCCTTACTCTTACCCAGAAGCTGTGGATTTCAAAGGCTACTTTTATTTTATTTTATTTTAATTTGAGATAGAGTCTCGCTCTGTCTCCCAGGCTGGAGTGCAGGGGTGTGATCTCGGCTCACTGCAACTTCTGCCTCCTGGGCTCCAGCGATCCTCCCACCTCAGCCTCCCGAGTAGCTGGGACCACAGGCGCACACCACCACACTTGGCCACTGTTTTAAGTTTTCGTAGAGACGAGGTCTCACTATATTGCCTAGGCTGGTCTGAAACTCCTGGGCTCAGTGGTCCTCCTGCCTCGGGCCTCCCAAAGTGATGGGATTACAGGCATGAGCCACTGCACCCAACCCAAAGACTACATTCTAAGATCATCTCTACCCCTTTAAATTACACGTATTTTAGAGGTCCTTCCCTGTAGTCCCTGCTCTTATTATCTGGGACACCTTTTTGGTATTTTTTTAGACTTAGTCTGGGCTCAGTCATTTTAACTGTAGTTTCGGACCAACTTTAAGTCCCTTGCCTCTTCCTTTCTCTGTGTCTCTTGCAGCTTTTCTTGGTCTGTCTTTGCTTGCCACAAAGACTAGTGATGAGAGCATGACAGATCTTGTGCTGGGATTTCATGCCTTTTCTCCTTTTACTCACTACTAAAGATTTGGCATTATCTGTTTCTAAGTAACGATGAGGATGTGGCTTCTGTATAGATTTACATCTTCCTTTCTGATTGGTTTATATCCTTTTGACATGAAACATTGGGAGGCAGGTGCCTGGGTGGTCGACATTGCCTTATGCTGACTTACAGCTGATTTCAAATGGCATTTTATCTTATCTAAATACATATGTGTGTGTATACACACACAGACAGACAGACACCACACACACACACACACACACACACACACACACACACACACCAACACAGACATTTATACACACATACAAGTCTATTTGTATTCCATGTCTATAGTAGAGGTCTCTTGAAGTGGTCGTTTGATTTACCATATATTTGTTCAATACATATTTCATTTATTGCTATCTTTGGTGGCAGGCAAGAGACTGTGAAAATCTTCTCAGGATTTGTTAATGTTCCTCACCCTAAAGCAGGTTCATGTCAATGGACCAAAAGGTGCCAGCCACACTGCTAGAGCTCGCTGCATGGAGTCTGCTGAGTGATGAGCCTGCAGCTATCCATGCTCTTGAGGAGCTCCCATGAGACCTCTTTGTTCCATTGTTCATCACTGCCTTCTTGGGTGGGCAGAAGATGAAACTAAAGGCCATGGTGAGGATTTGGCCCTCCCGTTGTCTCCATGTTGGACCGTTGAGTGTAAGGGAGTCACACTATGAAATCTTGGGAGCCACGATTGATGGTCCTGCAGATCCTCCCTGCCCAGAGCTCTTCCCCTCGGTAACCCTATGTACACTAGAGACATAGTGAGTCATCAGGAGGGTATGCTGCAGCCTGAGGCAGGGGGTGGCCTAACAGTCTCCCAAAGGTGGTTGACGGTGAATGCTGAGGATCTCTGTGAGGTTGTTGGTCCAACACTTGGGGTCACCTTAAGGACTCTAATGTCTTACAGAGGTGATTATGGAATAGAGGTGATTGAGAGTACTATTGATGGATTCACCTACTGGGTATGATTACATAGAAGAACAACATGGACACCAGACTGGGGAGGATCGGAGGAGAAGGAAGGATGGGAAAAACAATAAAAGATGTTGAGTTTGTACAAAAAAATATTTGTTGGTAGATTGTTTACAGAGTGAAGAGCAAAGATAAAGGGTTTGCCCCTCCTTCCCCTCATTGATGTTGCTGGGTTATATTAAAATCAGCCACCTTTCATATTCTGTCTCTTCCTCTTCCTGCAGACGGCCAAAACGGAGGGTCCTGGATTTAAAGCAGGACCCAGACAGCAGAACCACATGCTCTGAGATCAGGAGCACATTCCCATTTTGTTTTCAGTCTTGCGTTTACTCTCAGCACTCTATCCTGAAAATAGAAGAAGCCAAGCGAAGTGTTAGGTGCCTGGAAATTGTACATTTAGAGTCTGAGTCTCGGCCCATCCAGGGAACGCATGGGATTGTTAGTGGACATTTCCCTTGATGGTACCTTGAGAACAAGGCAACTCTTTTCTTTCCTTTCGAGTAAAGTTGAGCAGAGCCTTGGGTCCTTGCATCTCTGCTGCAGAGATTTGCAAATTCATCAAGTGTCTGCCCACAAAAGCGTCCTGTAGTTTCTGGATCTGGGATGCACTGATCACCTGGAAGTAGGTCAGGCTTGTTTGAGTGAAGTCAGCACCCTTTTGGCACAGAAGATCCACCAGGACAGACTTAGTCTATCTAAAATCCTTTTAAAATCCTGTAAGGGGAGAAACTTCTCAACTTTTTTCACTCATCATGAGCGGATGAACAACCTCCAGGAACTCAGCTTGTCTTGCTTCTGCCTCACAGATCAGCTGGACAAAATTTCCGGGTGAGAGGTTGGGGAGGGACCTGGGTTCCCTGAATGCCCCATTACGAACAAAAGAGTGCGACTATTCTTAGATATTCTTAAACACTTTGTAACCTATTTCTCCTTCCACATCAGCACGGGCACTGCTGGGTGTTTTAAACTGGCCAAGCTAGAGAGTGTGGTCCCTCATGCTGAGGAGAAAGACAGGATTAGAAAAGTCAGCTGTGCCCAGTCAGTCAGTCAGTCAGTCAGTCAATCAACCATGTGCAGACGTGCAGACACTAAGATAAGTCTGTCGACATATTGGCGAAAAAGACAACAGTCCTGCTTTTATTGGAGTGTGTAGCCTTCTAGAGAGGAAGGGGAGGCATTCAGTCGGAGAAATAACTGACGCTGTAGCACTGATGCACATCCCCATGGGCTGGTCACAATAGGTAATACCGCCAGATCGTTTTGTTCCTGTAGTTTTCCCGAGGCTTAGGACCTGAATGGAGAACCTGTCATTTGGAAATTCGTCAAAGGGAATTCTCAGTCGGCTGCTTTCCCAGACCCATCCCCATCAAATAACTGAACTAGATACACTGCTAATTATACTGTAGGCACTAAGTTAAATTCTTTTTCCCTTAATCTGTCCCACAACCCTCTATAATAATTGCTATTGTGCACATTTGAAAGATTAAAAAACTGTATCTCAGCGTGGAAAAGTAACTTTCTTAGGGTCACAAATCTATTAAGTCTGACTGTAAAGTCCACAGTGTTAACTGCTGTTGCAATGGATATACAGATTACTTTATTCTAGAGTCATAAGTATCTATAATTCAGGGCTGCTTGCTCTAATCCAACCCTCATTCTTCAGAAATGCCTTCCTTTTTTCTCTCTACAGAGCCCTGCCATCTCATTTGTACACACTGTATGTGTCTTTCTGTGGACTTTCTACCAGAGAGACATCACTGTCCTATCCCAGAGCTCTGAGGTTACCCACCTAAGACTGTTGAGTCTGAGTAACAATCAGATATCCTGGGAAGTTTCTGAGCCATTCCAGGCTCTGCTGGAGACGGTCTCAGGGACCCTGCAGCATCTGGAGATAGACAACTGCCTGATAACTGATTCTACTTTCTCTGTTGTCATCCCAGCCCTGAGCCACTGTTCCCACCTCTGTGTCCCTAGCTTTGTCTTCAACCCCATTACAATGCCTGTGCTCACGAGTCTTCTGCAGCACTTAACAGCGTTGATGGAGCTGAAGCATGTGATTTATCCTGTCCCTGTCCATTGCTATGAACAATGGCAATCACATGGCAGTTTGGACATACAAGCTTGCTAAAGTGCAGGCCTCATTGAAGGTGATGCTGCAGGCAGTACCACAGAACGACATGAACTAGACCACCCATTCTCAGTGATCTTCACAGGACAAGGAGTTGTTTCATCACTGATGTGTGGCCACTAAAATACTGAGTGTTCTTGCCTGAAGCCCAATTTGTAAAGACACATAATGTGCCATTCTGCTATTCCAGGAAACTGGTGTTAGGAAGATTGGATATGTAACTGACCTCCATAAAAGAAAAACTCTAAGAAGGAAACAGCAGACTTTACGAAGTCTTGTGGGTCTCTTGCCCATTGTCCTCTACGTCCTCCTTCTTGTTACTGACCACAGTGTTGGGTACGTGACATGGGCTGACCCAGTCGTGGCACACCATTTCCCTGTCCACACTGATCGGTTCACTTATGGGTACTTGACGCAAGTCAGGACAGTTGAAACCTTTCCTGGATGTTTTTCTGGAGTAGGTGCTGGTTACTGAAGCCAATAATATTACTCACTGAGGTCCTTTAATCTTCCTGTATTCATGATTGCCTTAGGTTGCTTATGACAAACCATTGGCAATTAAAATGAAAAACAAGAACAACAAGAAACAAACTATCCCCACTACCTACTGGTGTCTTTATCAGTATATTGCTATCTCCTTTCCTAGGTCTCAGAAGCCTGGGGTTCAGTTTGCCCTTATTTCACACAGATTCACCAAAGATCTGTTATTAGCTAGGTACTGTTCCCGGTGCTAAGAATGAATAGGCAAACAAGACCCTACACCAAGTCACTCACAGTACAGATCTTCCTATGTTTTGTCTGTTTCCCCGCTCTTTTCTTAGGGGATTTGGGAAAGTTATTTTGCCCATCTATGGCCCAGAATTTTTTTTTTTTTTTTTTTTTTTTTTTTTTTTGCTTTGCCCCTTGCATACTCTGCTCAATCCACATTGGCCTCTTTATGCTGTTGGATAGCTCATCAAGACTCAGGCCGTAGCTTAGATGTTACGTCCTCCGAGAGGTTTTTCTCTTACTTCCCTCTCCTTACTTACCCCACTTCTCTCCCATTACTTCCCTTACTTCACCATGCTGTTTTTAAATGTACCATGTACATTTCCTTCATGGTACACATCATTCCATATGTATTTGCTCCCTCTGCTCCTCCCCTAGAGTTGCACTATTCAGTATAGTAAACACTAGCCACATGTGGCTACTGAGCACTAGAAATTTGGCTACTCCAAAATGTGATGTACGATAACTGTAAAACGCACACGGTATATTCAAGACTTAGTGAGAAACAAAAAATGTAGAATAACTAACTAATAACTTATTTGTATTGTTTACGTGTTGAAATGATAAGTTACTGCAGGTCAAAGACAGTAAAAAAAGAAGACAGAGTACTAATGTGTTTATATTGTTCAACATGTTGAAATGATAGCACTGCGGCAAAGACAATCACTCTCAGCATTCCTATTGAATACCTCCTTGGAAGACCCAACCGGTACAATAAAGCAAAGGAAAGCACTAAAAGGCACACAGATTGGAAATGAAGTCATGAAAAAGTGTCCCTATTTACTGACATGGTGGCTATGTATAAAATTTCTGGGAATTTATGAAAAACCTCCTAGAACTAATGAGTGAGTGTGCCTAGGTTGCCGTATACCAGGTCAATATTAAAAGTAGGTCAACTCTATTTTTATATACAGTCCTCCCTTTGCACAGTTCTGATATGCACTAAGGTCATTCACCGTGATTTAGTTAAATAACACTAGTCCCTTCACAGTATGGGTCAAATTTCAGTTACCATGGTAAACTAACTGTCAGTAACTACATAAAGACCAAACATTGCTGCTGGTTCTTCAGTCCACAAATCGCTACTGAAATAACAGATGAGAATCATGATCAGTGGCCAGTCATGTCACTTCTTTCAAATTCTGTTTGTGTCGCTCCACAAATCACTATTTAAATAATAGATGAGCATCAGGATCAGTGACCAGTCATGTCACTTTTCTTTTAAAATCTAATCATGTTTGGTCACTGAGTATCTATTATTTATTTCATGCATCAACAGCAAAGAATGAAGCTGAGTTTCCTCCTTGTCTCCCAGTGAACTACTCATATGACATTTTACCAAAGAACTGGATAGTTTAAAAAGGTAATTGGCCAACAAAGACAGAAACATGCAAACAAATGACAAGAAATAATGCTGGAAGTGGAAATTGCAAAACGGTTTTGATGGAAAGGATTAAGATATCCCAGTGAAAGTGACACTTGCAAAAAACTTTACACTACAGGATTCCTTGGAGATATTCATGACACAGAAAGAACAAAGAATAAAGTTGTGGAAGCTGATCAACACTCAAAACTGAGAAACAAAATTTGCCAAGTCACGGGAAAAAATGTCTACTCCATATCACAATTAATAAGATGAGAAGAAGGCAAGAACTGTTCATACTACTCTTTTTTTTTCCATGAGAAATTCTGGATTTAATTTTATTTGGAATGTCACCAACTTCTCTGGCATAACATATGGTATAATTATTTTTAGAATGTGATTACTTTATGAATATTTGAAGACATTTTTATGTTTTGAGCACTTTTCTGAAACAATAGCTTCTGTTTTAGTGCATAGTAGTGGACAAGGCCAGAATTGATGTTTTTCTGTAACATTAAGCTAGTAATGGTAGAAGCAGTTAGATAAATTCAAGTCCCTTGACTCCAGTCACAAGACTTCCTCTAAATTATTGTGACTTTGTAAAATATTCTTAATTTGAATTTTTTTTTTATTAATCCAATAGTTATTTACATTGATCTTAAGTAAAATTTGTATGTGGCGGCCAGGCACGGTGGCTCACGCCTGTAATCCCAGCACTTTGGAAAGCTGAGGCAGGCGGATCACTTGAGATCAGGAGTTCGAGACCAGCCTGGCTAACATGGTGAAACCCTGTCTCTACTAAAAAAAAAAAAAAACAAAAAACAAATTAGTCAGTTGTGGTGGCGGGCGCCTATAGTCCCAGCTACTCAGGAGGCTGCGGCAGGACAATTGCTTGAAACCCGGTAGGCGGAGGTTGCAGTGAGCCGAGATCATGCCATTGCACCCCAGCCTGGGCAACAGAGTGAGACTCTTTGTCTCAAAAAAAAAATTGTATGTGGCTACTTATTGTTAATTTCACTTTCATTGACATTTCTACTTTCACTTCACAGTGCTTTAAAAATAGGCAGGCCAACATTCAGATTCAGGAAATACAGAGAACACCACAAAGATACTCCTCGAGAAGAGCAACTCCAGGACACATAATTGTCAGATTCACCAAAGTGGAAATGAAGGAAAAAATGTTAAGGGCAGCCAGAGAGAAAGGTCGGGTTACCCACAAAGGGAAGCCCATCAGACTAACAGCGGATCTCTCGGCAGAAACTCTACAAGCCAGAAGAGAGTGGGGGCCAATATTCAACATTCTTAAGGAAAAGAATTTTCAACCCAGAATGTCATATCCAGCCAAACTAAGCTTCATAAGTGAAGGAGAAATAAAATACTTTACAGACAAGCAAATGCTGAGGGATTTTGTCACCACCAGGCCTGCCCTAACAGAGCTTCTGAAGGAAGCACTAAACATGGAAAGGAA
Source organism: Homo sapiens (assembly GCF_000001405.40). Lineage (NCBI taxonomy): Eukaryota > Metazoa > Chordata > Mammalia > Primates > Hominidae > Homo > Homo sapiens. Next base: position 102,265,303 of record NC_000023.11, read on the forward strand.
CAACCGGTACCAGCCACTGCAAAAACATGCCAAAGTGTAAAGACCATCGAGGCTAGGAAGAAACTGCATCAACTAACGAGCAAAATAACCAGCTAACATCATAATGACAGGATCGGATTCACACATTACAATATTAACCTTAAATGTAAATGGGCTAAAGGCTCCAATTAAAAGGCACAGACTGGCAAATTGGGTAAAGAGTCAAGACCCATCAGTGTGCTGTATTCAGGAAACCCGTCTCACGTGCAGAGACACACATAGGCTCAAAATAAAGGGATGGAGGAAGATCTACCAAGCAAACGGAAAACAAAAAAAGGCAGGGGTTGCAATCCTAGTCTCTGATAAAACAGACTTTAAACCAACAAAGATCAAAAGAGACAAAGAAGGCCCTTACATAATGGTAAAGGGATCAATTCAACAAGAAGAGCTAACTATCCTAAATATATATGCACCCAATGCAGGAGCACCCAGATTCATAAAGCAAGTCCTTAGAGACCTACAAAGAGACTTAGACTCCCACAGAATAATAATGGGAGACTTTAACACCCCACTGTCAACATTGGACAGATCAATGAGACAGAAAGTTCACAAGGATATCCAGGAATTGAACTCAGCTCTGCACCAAGTGGACCTAATAGACATGTATAGAACTCTCCACCCGAAATCAACAGAATATACATTCTTTTCAGCACCACACCACACCTATTCCAAAATTGACCACATAGTTGGAAGTAAAGCACTCCTCAGCAAATGTAAAAGAACAGAAATTCTAACAAACTGTCTCTCAGACCACAGTGCAATCAAACTAGAACTCAGGATTAAGAAACTCACTCAAAACCGCTCAACTACATGGAAACTGAACAACCTGCTCCTGAATGACTACTGGGTACATAAGGAAATGAAGGCAGAAATAAAGATGTTCTTTGAAACCAACGAGAACAAAGACACAACATACCAGAATCTCTGGGACACATTCAAAGCAGTGCGTAGAGGGAAATTTATAGCACTAAATGCCCACAAGAGAAAGCAGGAAAGATCTAAAATTGACACCCTAACATCACAATTAAGAGAACTAGAGAAGCAAGAGCAATCACATTCAAAAGCTAGCAGAAGGCAAGAAATAACTAAGATCAGAGCAGAACTGAAGGGGATAGAGACACAAAAAACCCTTCAAAAAATCAATGAATCCAGGAGCTGGTTTTTTGAAAGGATCAACAAAATTGATAGACCGCTAGCAAGACTAATAAAGAAGAAAAGAGAGAAGAATCAAATAGATGCAATAAAAAATGATAAAGGGGATATCACTACTGATCCCACAGAAATACAAACTACCATCAGAGAATACGATAAACACCTCTATGCAAATAAACTTGTAAATCTAGAAGAAATGGATAAATTCCTCGACACATACACTCGCCCAAGACTAAACCTGGGAAGAAGTTGAATATCTGAATAGACCAATAACAGGCTCTGAAAGTGAGGCAATAATTAATAGCTTACCAAACAAAAAAAGTCCAGGACCAGATGGATTCACGCCCCCGAATTCTACCAGAGGTAGAAGGAGGAGCTGGTACCATTCCTTCTGAAACTATTCCAAGCAATAGAAAAAGAGGGAATCCTCCCTAACTCATTTTATGAGGACAGCATCATCCTGATACCAAAGCCTGGCAGAGACACAGCAAAAAAAGAGAATTCTAGACCAATATCCCTGATGAACATCGATGCAAAAATCCTCAATAAAATACTGGCAAACCAAATCCAGCAGCACATCAAAAAGCTTATCCACCATGATCAAGTGGGCTTCATCCCTGGGATGCAAGGCTGGTTCAACATACACAAATCAATAAACGTAATCCAGCATATAAACAGAACCAAAGACAAAAACCATATGATCATCTCAATAGATGCAGAAAAGGCCTTTGACAAAATTCAGCAACCCTTCAAGCTAAAAACTCTCCATAAATTAGGTATTGATGGGACGTATTTCAAAATAATAAGAGCTATCTATGACAAACCCACAGCCAATATCATACTGAATGGGCAAAAACTAGAAGCATTCCCTTTGAAAACTGGCACAAGACAGGGATGCCCTCTCTCACCACTCCTATTCAACATAGTGTTGGAAGTTCTGGCCAGGGCAATCAGGCAGGAGAAGGAAATAACGTGTATTCAGTTAGGAAAAGAGGAAGTCAAATTGTCCCTGTTTGCAGATGACATGATTGTATATCTAGAAAACCCCATCGTCTCAGCCCCAGATCTCCTTAAGCTGATAAGCAACTGCAGCAAAGTGTCAGGATACAAAATCAATGTGCAAAAATCACAAGCATTCCTATACCCCAATAACAGACAAACGGAGAGCCAAATCATGAGTGAACTCCCACTCACAGTTGCTTCAAAGAGAATAAAATACCTAGGAATCCAATTTACAAGGAACGTGAAGGACCTCTTCAAGGAGAACTACAAACCACTGCTCAATGAAATAAAAGAGGATACAAACAAATGGAAGAACATTCCATGCTCATGGGTAGGAAGAATCAATATCGTGAAAATGACCATACTGCCCAAGGTAATTTATAGATTCAATGCCATCCCCATCAAGCTACCAATGACTTTCTTCACAGAATTGGAAAAAACTACTGTAAAGTTCATATGGAACCAAAAAAGAGCCCGCATTGCCAAGTCAATCCTAAGCCAAAAGAACAAAGCTGGAGGCATCACTCTACCTGACTTCAAACTATACTACAAGGCTACAGTAACCAAAACAGCATGGTACCGGTACCAAAACAGAGATATAGACCAACGGAACAGAACAGAGCCCTCAGATATAATGCCACATATCTACAACTATCTGATCTTTGACAAACCTGAGAAAAACAAGAAATGGGGAAAGGATTCCCTATTTTGGAAATGGTGCTGGGAAAACTGGCTAGCCGTATGTAGAAAGCTGAAACTGGATCCCTTCCTTACACCTTATACAAAAATTAATTCAAGATGGATTGAAGACTTAAATGTTAGACCTAAAACCATAGAAACCCTAGAAGAAAACCTAGGCAATACCATTCAGGACATAGGCATGGGCAAGGACTTCATGTCCAAAACACCAAAAGCAATGGCAACAAAAGCCAAAATTGACAAATGGGATCTAATTAAACTAAAGAGCTTCTGCACAGCAAAAGAAACTACCGTCAGAGTGAACAGGCAACCTACAGAATGGGAGGAAAATTTTGCAATCTACTCATCTGACAAAGGGCTAATATCCAGAATCTACAACGAACTCCAACAAATTTACAAGAAAAAAACAAACCACCCCCTCAACAAGTAGGCGAAGGATATGAACAGACACTTCTCAAAAGAAGACATTTATGCAGCCAAAAGACACATGAAAAAATGCTCATCATCACTGGCCATCAGAGAAATGCAAATCAAAACCACAGTGAGGTACCATCTCACACCAGTTAGAATGGCGATCATTCAAAAGTCAGGAAACAACAGGTGCTGGAGAGGATGTGGAGAAATAGGAACACTTTTACACTGTTGGTGGGACTGTAAACTAGTTCAACCATTGTGGAAGTCAGTGTGGCGATTCCTCAGGGATCTAGAACTAGAAATACCATTTGACCCAGCCATCCCATTACTGGGTATATACCCAAAGGATTATAAATCATGCTGATGTAAAGACACATGCACACGTATGTTTATTGCGGCACTATTCACAATAGCAAAGACTTGGAACCAACCCAAACGTCCAACAATGATAGACTGGATTAAGAAAATGTGGCACATATACACCATGGAATACTATGCAGCCATAAAAAATGATGAGTTCATGTCCTTTGTAGGGACATGGATGAAGCTGGAAACCATCATTCTCAGCAAACTAGCGCAAGGACAAAAAACCAAACACCGCATGTTCTCACTCTTAGGTGGGGATTGAACAATGAGAACACATGGACACAGGAAGGGGAACATCACACACCGGGGCCTGTTGTGTGGTGGGGGGACGGGGGAGGGATAGCATTAGGAGATATACCTAATGTTAAATGACGAGTTAATGGGTGCAGGACACCAACATGGCACATGTATACATATGTAACACACCTGCACGTTGTGCACATGCACCCTAAAACTTAAAGTATAATAAAAAAAAAAATGACCTGTTGGATTTCTACTTTGATGAAGTTAATGTCATTTTTAGGCCTAAAACTTTTTCTTTTTTAAAAAAATCTTCAGGTGTTTTTAAATTTTATTTCATTTTGTTTTAAGTTCCAGGATACATGTGCATGACGTGCAGGTTTGTTATATAGACAAACGTGTGTCATGGTTTGCTGCACCTATCAGCCCATCACCTAGGAATTAAGCCCCGCATGCATTAGCTATTTATTCTGATGTTCTCCCTCCCCCGGTGCCCCCGACCAGGCCCCACTGTGTGTTGTTCCCCTCCCTGTGTCCATGTGTTCTCGATGTTCAGCTACCCCTTTTAAGTGAGAACATGTGGTGTTTGGTTTTCTGTTCCTGCATTAGTTTGCTGAGGATAATGGTTTCCAGCTCCATCCATGTCCCTGCAAAGGAAATGATCTTGTTCCTTTTTGTGGCTACATAGTATTCCGTGGTGTATATGTACCGCATTTTCTGTATCCATTCTATTATTGAAGGCCATTTGGGTTGATTCATTGCCTTTGGTATTGTGAATAGGGCAGCAATGAACATATGCATGCATATATATTTATAATGGTATGATTTATATTCCTTTGGGTATATACCCAGTAATGGGATTGTTGGTTCAAATGATATTTCTGTTTCTAGGTCTTTGAGGAATCACCACACTGTCTTCCACAATGGTGGAGCTGACTTACACTCCCACCAACAGTTTAAAAGCAATCCTATTTCTCCACAGCCTCGCCAGCATCTTTTGTTTCGTGACTTTATAAAAACCGCCATTCTGACTGGTGTGAGATAGTACCTCACAGTGGTTTTGACTTTTATTTGTCTAATGATCAGTGATGTTGAGCTTTTTTTTATATGTTTGTTGGCCGCATAAATATCTTCTTTTGAAAAGTGTTTGTTCATGTTCTTTGCCCACTTTTTAATGGGGTTGTTTGTTTTTTCTTGTAAATTTGTTTAAGTTCCTTGTAGATTCTGGATATTAGACCTTTGTCAGATGGATAGACTGCAAAAATTTCCACCCACTCTGTAGGTTGTCTGTTCACTCTGATGATAGTTTCTTTTGCTCTGCAGAAGCTCTTTAGTTTCATTAGATCCCCTTTGTCAATTTTTGCTTTTGTTGCAATTGCTTTTGATGTTTTTGTCATGAAGTCTTTGCCCGTGCCTGTGTCCTGAATGGTATTGCCTAGATTTTCTTCTAGGATTTTTATAGTTTTGGGTTTTACATTTAAGTGTTTAATCCGTCTTGAGTTAATTTTGGTATAAAGTGTAAGGAAGGGGTCTGGTTTCAGTTTACTACAGGGGTCTGGTTTCAGTTTACTACATATGGCTAGCCAGTTCTCCAAGCACCATTTATTAAATAGGGAATCCTTACCACATTGCTTCTTTCTGTTAGGTTTGTCAAGGGTCAGATGGCTGTAGATGTGCAGTCTTATTTATGAGATCTCTATTCTGTTCCATTGGTCTATATGTCTGTTTTTGTACCGGTACCTTGCTGTTTCACTGTCAAGTGCTGGAAAAAGAACAAAAGGAACTGTCTCTCATTGTCGATGGAAGTATAAAATGGCCAAGACACTTTGAAAAACAATTTGGCAGGTTTGCATGAAGTTAAAGGTACACTTATACAGCAATCGCACTCCAGGGTATTTACCCAAGAGAAGTGAAATCCTTCTTCCCAGGAAACCTTCCAGCAAAACGTTCTTAATTGCTAAAAACTGGAAACATCTCAAATGCCCATCAACTGGGGAATGGATAAACAAATTGTGGTATGTACCTACACTGGAAGACTACTCGACAACAAGACAGTTCTAAGTACTGATAACATAATATGCGTGCCACAGAATGGATGACTCTCAAAATACATTATGCTAAGTGAAAGAAGACATACTCAAAAGACTACATACAATGCCATTTCTTTGGCTTTATAGAAAAGGGAAAACTAGAGAGAGAACAAATCAATCAGTGGTTCTCTTGGGCTATAGAAGATCAACTTTAAAAGGGCATGAGGGCACTTTATGGAGGTTTGGACATGTCCTAGATCTTCATTCTTGGGTTGATCACATGGTTGCATGCTTTTGTCAAAATGCACAGAATGGTGGACTGAAAAGGGGAGAATGTTATACTATGTCTCAAAACTCGGCACCTTGATTGTTATTTTGTAACCTGCCTTTCTCCCCACTGTGTCCTGAATCAGCAAAAACTCTATCGGTTCTAGGGCGTGATTCCTGCTGTAATCCCCAACTCTGACAGACTGTCATCCCTGTATTCCTGATTCTGACCTGGTTTGCCTCTGATTTGGAAGATATGCTTTCTCAGATCCTCTGCCACTCTTACTCATTAACCTTACTCAGAGCCTCCTGAAACTCACTCAGTGCAATACAAAGGAGGGATCCACAGCTGCACAGAAGGTGGTTGTCAGTTTCTGGCTTTTCCATGATTCTTCTGAGATGTGTTGACTAGGAGTCCCTGGGCTTCATCCATAGATTCATTCTTTCACCAAATATGTGTTGAACATTTTCCATATGCGGTGGATTCTGTCATCATTTCCTGTTTATTCTCCACTGCCTAACCCAGAACCAGATGTTCACGATGTCCAGTTAACAAACGCTTCTGGAGCACATATGATGCTCTAAGCCCTGTGCCTGGCACCAGAAAGACAGATAAATTGGAAAAGACCATCTTTGTCATCTCTAGCGTCACATGCCCTCCGTGGTGGACATAAAGATCTATTAAGCATGTCTTTTATTTTCTGTGTCGTGATGCTTTGACATCCTGGGCCTTGCTGACCCTGGAAGGCTTGCTCCTCCCAGGCCTGGTAAGGCAATTCTTAGAAATAGTAAACACCTTGCCCTGGAGCGTGCTTTTCAAATGCAAACAAATCAACGGGGATACAATACCTCCCAACCATGTCCTATATAGGGCTCTCACACCCTGGGTCACTATCCACCTGCCCTAATCACCCCAAGGCCAGGTACCAGGCAACTAGGGACAGCCCCTATGCCCCAAGGCTGCTTAAATTATTCAGACTAGCCAATCCTAAACTGGTTACTCTCCCTTGCCTGTTCCTTCCCACAGAGGCAGAGACAACAACAAATGCTCTGGCTTGCAGTTCTCCTGTCTCCCTCTGGCCCGGACCAACCATGGTGCTTCGCCATGAGATTTCCCATGTCTGGGCATCCTTTCTTCTCTTCGGAACTGTGACTAACAATCTGTCTCTCCAAGGCAGTCATTTCCTGATCTGTTTCAAATGTTCTACTAATCCACTCTATTTTAAAACACTCTCAGATTCCCCTTTAGGATGTTTTCCTCGCTCTGCTGGGAGTGCTGTCCACAGACAGCCTTCAGCTACCAGCTTCCTTGGAGAGCACCTTGGCTCCGGAGAGCCTCCTTGTTTTTCCAGTGGCCCACATTCAGTGACTGGTGGAGGCAGGAGTATAAAATCAGACATTTTTAATCAACGTAAGAAAACCCCAAGGGTCATTTTTAGCTTCAGAGTACCCCATGGAGCTGGCTGAGGGTAATGAGACCTCATAGTAGCTCATTTCCTTCCTTTTCCAAATTCTGTGTTCTGACTGTGCTCTCCACAGGTACTCATCCCATATGTACTCTCACATAAACATCCTGCACAATAAAATCAGTCACACAGACTATCTGTTGCAGTGCTTCAAGCATTTGAAAAATATGGTGGAGATTGTAATGGATAAATAAGATTCTATGGCTACTACTAAGCTCAACTGACACTCTAGAAGAAGACAAAGAAATCAGAGAGAAATTATTATGCACTTGAAAGCCGACTGCGAAAGCCACAGGGCTTCCTTGGGATTATACGGAGACTTTCAACTCCTGGCACAGGATGGCAGAGAAAGCTTGTGATTTAATAATCATAGAAGTAAACCTCCAAAGAAGGTTAAATTTCCACCCAAAGTAGGACCGTTTCTCCAGGTTCATGGCTCGCACTGGGCAAAATTGAGACCCATAATGTAGTTTGGAATGAGACCTCTAGAAACCTGAATTTCCGCAAATCTGAGGAATCTCTTGAACTGCAGAAGTGAGCTACTCCTTCTTATCATGAGCTAGCATTTCTTCTTGCGTGAAGAAAATGCACAGGTTTCTCTCTCAAGTCAACATATCATCCCCTCAGGATGTACCTCCCAAACATCCCCTTGCCATAGGCCATAACTAGGGTTAAATCACAGTAAGAGAAGAAAGTACAGAAGTAGGCGCACAGATAGAAATGGAGATGACAAGACCCTGAAACTATAGAAGGCAGGTGTCAGCATTTGACTGTCAGCAGCCAGGTGGATTGAATTACTGTAATGAGCCCCAAGGAAACCTGACAACAGAGAGCTATGGAAATCGTTAACAGAATGTGTTGCCACCTTACTCCTGAGTAAAACAGAGTACTTCTCAACATGTGCCATCAGAAGAAATCAAGACTGATGACAGGTATACTGAAGAGTTTCGCAGCCCTTCCAACCCCTGCCACAGGAAACTCGGGATCCTTTGTTCAATTCCTGGACCTGAATCAATTTTTTACATCTGGAACTTTTTGACTGAAAAGGAGGTTGGGTACCCAGGCAGAGAAGGTCTGTGCAGCACCACAGCCTGTGGACACAGTAATGATTCACCCAGACCTCCCCTCAAGAGGCATCCATCCGTTGATTCACGTCACCATGAACTGTGGAAAGGAAAATGCCCAGGTATCTTGAGAAATGTCAAGCATGGAGTAGGAGATGACACTGATACCCCAAAAGTCATTGTGGCACCCTGTTAGAAAGGGGGCATGTGCGGGCCAGGTAGTAAATAGAGTTCTGACCAAGATCTACTAGTGAGTTCGCAGTTTCTGCAGACCTAATTGGAATTCATTTACTGGCTTGCAAATGTGTAACTCGGATATACATATAGGGACATATTTGTGGACCACCCACACTGGTCAGTTGCCTGTGGTCTAAGATCCATCATAATTGGAAGGGGCCAGTGAAGATGATGACAACAACGACGATGATGACTACTTCTTCTTCTTCTTCTTCTTCTTCTTCTTCTTCTTCTTCTTCTTCTTCCTCTTCCTCTTCCTCTTCCTCTTCTTCCTTCTTCTTCTTCTTCTTCTTCTTCTTCTTCTTCTTCTTCTTCTTCTTCTTCTTCTTCTTCTTCTTCTTCTTCTTCTTCTTCTTCTTTCTTCTTCTATCCCTTCAAGCATTTATTCTTTGAGTTGCAAACAATACAATTGCATTCCTTAAGTTATTTTAAAATATACGGTTAAGTTATTATTGACTATAGTCACTGTGTTGTGCTATCAAGTAATAGGTCTTATTCATTGTTTCTGGTTAACCATTAACCATCTCCACCACTTCCCCAACTCCCCACTACCAATCCCAGCCTCTGGAAGCCATCCTTCTACTTTCTGTGTCCATGAGTTCAACTGATTTGATTTTTAGATCCCACAAATAAGTGAGAACATCAGATGTTTGTCTTTCTGTGCCTGGCTTATTTGCCTTGACATGACGATCTCCAGTTCCCTCCATGCTGTTGGAAATGACAGGATCTCATTCTTCTTCATGGCTGAAGAGTACTCCATTGGGTATGTGCACCACATTTTCTTTATCCATTCATCTGTCGATGGACACTTGGGTTGCTTCCAGATCTTAGCTGTTGTAAACAGTTCTGCAGCAAACATAGGAGTGTAGATATATCTTTGACATACTGATTTCCTTTCCTTTGGGTATATACTCAGCAATGGGATTGCTGGATCATATGGTAGCTCAATTTTTAGTTTTTGGAGGAACCTCCACACGGTTCTCCAAATGGTTGTACTAATTTACATTCCTACCAAAAGTGTGGGAACTTTCCCTTTTCTCCACATCCATGCCAGCATTTGTTACTCCCTGTCTTTTGGATATAAGCCATCTTAACTGGGGTGAGATGATATCGAATTTTTGACTTGTGTTTCTCGGATGATCAATGATGTTGAACACCATTTCATATGCCTGTTTGCCATTTGTGTGTCTTCTTTTGAGAAACGTCCATTCAAATCTTTTGCCCATCTTTCGATCAGATTATTAGATTTTTTCCTATAGAGTTGTTTGAAATCCTTGTATATGCTAGTTATTAATCTCTTGTCAGAGGAGTGGTTTGAAAATATTTTCTCCCATTCTGTGGGTTGTCACTTCACTTTGTTGATTGTATCCTTTGCTGTGAAGAAGCTTTTTAACTTGACGTGATCCCGTTTGTCCATGTTTGCTTTGGTCGTCTGTGCTTGTGGGGTGTTGCTCAAGAAGTCTTTGCCCAGACCTATGTCCTGGAGATTTTTCCCAATGTTTTCTTGTAGTAGTTTCAGAGTTTGAGGTCTTACATTTAAGTCTTTAATCTATTTTGATTTGATTTTCGTATGTGGGGAGAGATAGGGGTCTAGTTGCATTTTTCTGCATATGGGTGGTCCAGGTTTTCCAGCACGATTTATCGAAGAGACTGTCCTTTCTCCAGTATATGTTCTTGGCACCTTTGTCAAAAATGAGATCACTGTAGGTGTATGGATTTCTTTCTGGACTCCCGATTCTGTTCCATTGTTCCATGCATCTGTTTTTATGCCAGTACCATGCTGTCTTGGTTACTATGGCTCTGTAGTATTATTTGAAGTCAGGTAACGAGATTCCTTCAGGTTTGTTCTTGCTTAGGATAGCTTTAGCTATTCTGGGTCTTTTGTGGTTCCATATAAATTTTAGGAATTTTTTTTTCTATTTCTGTGAATAGAAATAGTATCAAAATAGGTATTTTGATAGGGATTGCATTGAACCTGTAGATTGCTTTGGGTATTATGGACATTTTAACAATATTGATTCTTTCAATCCATGAGCGTGGAATATTTTTCCATTTTTTGGTGTCCTCTTCAATTTTCTTCATCAGTGTTTTATAGTCTTCATTATAGAGATCCTTCACTTCTTTGGCCTAGTTAATTCCTAGGTGCTTAATTTTATGTGTGGCTATTTTAAATGGGATTACTTTTTAAATTTGTTTTTCAGGTAGTTCACTGTTGCCAGATAGAAATGCTACTGATTTTTGTATGTTGATTTTGTACCATGCAACTTTACTGAATTAGTTGATCAGTTATTAGTAGTTTTCTTGTGGAGTCTTTTTTTTTTTTCCAAATATAAGACCATATCATCAGCAAACAAGGATAATTTGACTTCTTCATTTCCAATTTGAATGCCCTTTATGTCTTTGTCTTGTCTGATTGCTCTAGCTAGGACTGCTAGTACTATGTTGAACAACAGTGGTGACAGTGGGCATCCTTGTCGTATTCCAGTTCTTCAAGGAAAGGCTTTCAGTTTTTCCACATTCGGTATGATACTAGCTGTCAGTCTGTTGCATATGGCTTTTATTATGTTGAGGTATGTTCCTTCTATACCCAGGTTGTTGAGGGTTTTTATCAGGAAGGGATGTTAAATTTTTTATCAAATGCTTTTTCAGCATCAATTGCAATGATCATATGGCTTTTATCCTTCATTCTGTTGATCTGATGTAACACCTTGATTGATGTGTGTATGTAGCACCATCCTCGCAACCCAGGGATAAATCCCACTTGGTCAAGATGAATGATTGTTCTAATATATTGTTGAATTGGGCTTGCTAGTATTTGGTGGAGGATTTTTGCATCAATATGCATCAGAGACAATGGCCTGAAGTTTTCTTTTTCTTTCATTCTTTTTGTTTTCTGATGTTTCTTTGTCTGGTTTTGGTATCAGGGTAATACTGGCCTGGTAAAATGAGTTTGGAAGTACTCTGTCCTCCTCTCCTTTTTGGAATAGTTTGAGTAGGATTGGTATCAGTTCTTCTTTAAGTGTTTGGTAGCATTCAGCAGTGAAGCCATTGGGTCCCAGGCTTCTCTTTACTGGGAGAGTTTTTCATATGGCTTTGATCTCGTTACTTGTTATTGGTCTGTTCGGGTTTTGGATTCAATCTTGGTAGGATGTATTGTATCTAGGAATTTGTCCATCTCTTCTAGGTTTTCCAATTTATTGACATATAGTTGCTCATAGTAGTAGCCACTAATGATCCTTTGAATCTCTGCAGTATCAGTTGTAATGTCTCCTTTTTCATTTCTGATTTTATTTGCGTGTATCTTCTTTCACTTTTTCTTAGTTAGTCTGGCTAAAGGTTTGTCTCATTTGTTTAACTTTTCACAAAATCAACTTTCTGTTTCAGTGATTGTTCAGTGTATTGTTTTCTTCAGTTCAATTTCATTTATTTCTGCTCTCCTCTTTATTATTTTTCTTCTACTAATATTGGGTTTGGTTTGCTCTTTCTTTTCTAGTTCTTTAAGAGGCATCGTTACATTGTTTATTTGAAAATTTTCCTCTTTTTTGATGTAGGCACTTATAGCTATGAACTTCCCTCTGAGTACTGCTTTTGCCATATCCCAGAGGTTTTGGTATGTTGTGTTTCCATTGCCATTCGTTTCAATTTCCTTCTTAATTTCTGCATTGACCCACTGGTCATTCAGGAGTATATTGTTTAATTTCCATGTATTTGTACAGTTTCCGAAATTCCTCTTGCTATTGATTTCTAGTCTTATTCTATTCTATCGTGGTCAGAGAAGATGCGTGATATTATTTCAGGGTTTTGGAATGTTTTACGACTTGTTTTGTGACCTAATGTATGGTCTGTCCTTGAGAATGATCCATGTTCTGGGGAAAAGAATGTGTTATCTGCATCTGCTGGATGAATCGTTCTGTACATATCTGTTAGATCCATTTGGTCTACAGTGAAGATTCAGTCTGAGGTTTCTTTGTTGATTTTCTGTCTGGAAGATCTGTCCAGTGCTGAAAGTGGGGTGTTGAAGTCTCCAGCTGTTACTGTGTCAGGGCCCATCTCTCTCTTTAGCTCTAGTAATATTTCCTTCATGTATCTGGGTGCTCCAGTGTTGAGTGCATATATATTTAAAATTGTTACATCCTCTTGGTGAATCGACCCGTTTATCATTACATAGTGACGTTCTTTTTCTTTTCTTATAGTTTTTGTCTTGAAATCTATTTTGTGTGATATAAGTATAGCGGCTCCTGCTCTTTTTTGGTTTCCATTGGCATGGGGTATCTTTTTCCATCCCTTTATTTTTAGCCTGTGTGTGCTTTATAGGTGAAGTGTGTTTCTTCTAGGCAAGAGATCAATGAGCCTTGTTTCTTCACCCATTCAGCCAGTCTGTGACTTTTGATGGGAGAGTTTTTCCAATTTGCATCCAATGTTACGGTTGACATGTAAGGACGTAGTCCTGCCATTTTGTTATTTGTTTTCTGGTTGTTTTGTGATCTTCTCTTCATTCTTTCTTTCCTTCTTGTCTTCCTCTAGTGAAAGTGGTTTTCTCTGGTGATAAGATTTAGTTTCTTGCTTTTTATTTTTTGTGTATCCATTGTATTTTTTTTTTTTTTTTTGGTTTGAGGTTACCATGAGGCTCAATAATACTATCTTATAACCCATTATTTTAACCTGATAGCAACTGAACACTATTTGCACAAACAAACAAACATAAAGCAAGCAAGCAAAAAGAAAACTAATGAAAACTCTGTGCCTTAACTTCATCCCCCCACGTTTTAATATTTTGTTGTTTCTATTTCTATATCATTGCATTGACTATGTCTCAAAAAGTTGTTCTAGTTATTAATTTTTATTGGTTCATCGTTTAGTCTTTCTACTTAGGGTAACACGAGTTTGTACACCACAGTTACAGCGTCATTGTATTCTGTGTTCTTCTGTGTCCTTACTATTACCAGTGACTTTTGTACCTTCGGGTGATAATTTATTGCTCATTAACGTCCTTTTCTTTCTGATTGAAGTACACCCCTCAGCATTTCTTGTAGGATAGGTCTGGTATTGATGAAATCTCTCAGCTTTTATTTGTCTGGGAAGGTCTTTATTTCTCCTTCATGTTTGAAGGATATCTTCTAGGGTATATACTATTTTAGGGTAAAAGCGTTTTTTGTTTTTTTGTTTGTTTGTTTTCCTTCAGCATTTTAAATATGTCATACCACCCTCTCCTGGCCTGTAAGGTTTCCACTGAAAAGTCTGCTGCCAGACATTTGGAGCGCCATTGTAAATTACTTGTTTCTTTTCTCTTGCTGCTTTCAGCATCCTTTCTTTATCCTTGTTCTTTGGGAGTTTGAATATTAAATGCCTTGAAGTAGTCTTCTTTGGATTAAATCTGCTTGGTGTTCTGTAACCTTCTTATACTTGGATATTGATATCTTTCTCTAAGTTTGGGAAGTTCTCTGTAATTATCTCTTTGAATAAACTTTATACTCCTATCTCTTCATCTCCCTCCTCTTTAAGCCTAATAACTCTTAGATTTCCCCCTTCGAGGCTGTTTTCTAGGTCCTGTAGGCATGCTTCATTTTTGTGTATTTTTTCTTTTGTCTCCTCTGACTGTGTATTTTCAAATAGCCTGTCTGCAGGCTCACTAATTCTTTCTTTCTGCTTGATCAGTTCTGCTATCGAAGGACTCTGATACATTCTTCAGTATGCCAGTTGCATTTTTCAGCTCCAGAATTTCTGCTTGATTCTTTCAGATTATTTCAGTCTCTTTGTTAAATGCATCTGATAGAATTCTGAATTCCTACTCTGCATTATCCTGAATTTCTTTGAGTTTCCTCAACAAAGTTGTTTTGAATTCCCTGTCTGAAAGGTCACATACCTCTCTGTCTCCAAGATTGGTTCCTGGTACCTTATTTAGCTTATTTGGTGAGGTCGTGTTTTCCTGGATGGTGCTGATGCGAATATTTTTTTCTTCAGTTTCTGAGTATGTGAACTGTTAGGTATTAATTGTAGTCTTCACTGTCTGGGCTTATTTGTAGCCGTCCTTCGTCAGAAGGCTTTTCAAATATTTCAGAGGACCTGGGTGTTTGGATCTAAGCTGTGTCTGCTTCAGGGGGCACCCCAAGCTCAGTAACGCTGTGGTTCTTGTAGACTCATAGAGGGCACCACCTTGATGGTCTTGGACGAGGTCCGGGAGAATTCTCTGGATTACCAGGCAGAGACTCTTGTTCCCTTTCCTTACTTTCTCCCAAACATACAGAGTCTCTCTCTCTCTCTCTGTCTCTGTTCTGAGCCACCTAAAGCTGAGGGTGGAATGACACAAGCACCCCTGCAGCCACCACTATGCGGCCACCACTACTATGACTGCACTGGGTCAGACCTGAAGCCAGCACAGCACTGGGTCTCCCCCAAGGCCTGCTGTAATTACTCCTTGGCTACTGCCTTTGTTTGCTCAAGGCCCTGGGGCTCTACAATAAGCAAGTGGCAAAGCCAGCTAGGACTGTTTTTCCCTTCATTGGAGAGAGGTCCCCCAAGCCCCAGGTGGGTCCAGAAGTGCCATCTGGGAATCAGGGACTAGCATCAAAAACCTTAGAAGGCTACCTGTGGTTCTAAGTATTGTGGCTGAGCTGTCACTCAAACCACAGGACGCAGTCTTTCCCACTCTTCCCTCCCCTTCCCAAAGGTACAAGAGCCTCACACTGTAGCCACCGCCACCCTAGGCCCCGAGCAGTACTGGCAGACTACTGCCAATGTTCCCTTAAGGCTCAAGGTCTCGTAAGTCAGCTGTCGTGAATGCTGCCTGGCCTGGGACTCACCCTTCGGGGCAGTGGGCTCCCCTGTGGCTCAGGGCAGGTCCAGAAATGCAGTCCAAGAGTCCAGTCCTGGAACTGGGGACTCCAAGGGTCTGCTTGATGCTCTACCCCACTATGGCCATACTGGTACCTAAGATGCAAAACGAAGTCCCCTTTACTTTTCCCTCTGCTTTTCTCAAACTGAAGGAGTTTTGCCCCATAGCCACCACTTGCTGGTTATGTACCAAGTCTCACCTGAAGCCAACAAGTCTCAGAGGTTCACCCAAGGCCCTCGATGTAGTGCCTGGGCATCACTGCTGGTTATTCAGGGCCCAGGGGCTCTTCAGTTTGCAGGTGGTGAGTGCTGCCAGGACTAGGTCCTTTCCTTCAAGGCAGTGGGTTCCCTTCTGGCCCAGGACGTGTCTAGGAATGTCCTCTAGTAGCTAGGTCCTGGAACAGGGGCCACGTGACTCTGACTGGTGCCCTATCTTGCTATGGCTGGGCTGGTATCCCAGATGCAAGACACAGTCTTCACCACTGTTTTCTTTCTCCCCTCCTCAAGTGGAAGGAAGGGGTCTCCTTCGGAGCCACAAGGTGTGCAGCCTGGGGTTAGGGGACGGGTGATGCCAGCACTCCCTTGGCTGCCCCAGCTGGTATCTCAGTATGTCGTGTGACCCCCCCCCTCCCCCGACCCCTGGTCCACTGTCTCTGGGCCTAATTCAACACCAGGACTCACCTAAGAGTTGCAGTTCTTTTTTTTGTTTGTTTTTTTGAGATGGAGTCTCGCTCTGTTGCCCAGGCTGGAGTGCAGTGGCACGATCTCAGCTCACTGTAAGCTCCGCCTCCCGGGTTCACGCCATTCTCCTGCCTCAGCCTCCTGAGTAGCTGGGACTACAGGTGCCCGCCACCACGCCCGGCTAATTTTTTTTTTTTTTTTGTATTTTTAGTAGAGACGGGGTTCCACCGTGTTAGCCAGGATGGTCTCGATCTCCTGACCTCGTGATCCTCCCGCCTCAGCCTCCCAGAGTGCTGGGATTACAGCCGTGAGCCACCACGCCCGGCCAGAGTTGCAGTTCTTATGGCCTAGTCTGCCTTTCAAATTTACTTGGAGACACAGAGTGCTGTAGCCTGCCATGGTGAGGTTTGTGGGAACTCAAGTTCTGATCACTGGGATCAGTGATTCCCCTCTGGCTAGGGCTGCTTTAAATGCTCCCTCTGTTGGGGGGGCATGAGCTGAGTTTGGTCCGGTTTTCCTTTCTGCTCTAACAGGATAGCACTGAGGTCATTGCTTCACAAATGCTGTGGTCTCCCTCCCCCTGCACCCAGAGATGCTCTCCACACCATGCTGCTGTGGCCAGGGGTGGGGGAGGGGTGGCGTCGGTAATTCAGGACTATGTTTTGGTTCTCAGGGAGAATGCTTCCAGGTTTTGGCCTTTGAGTAGGATGTTGGCTGTGGGTTTGTCCTAGATGACTCTTATTATTTTGAGGTATGCTTCTCTGATGCCCAGTTTGTTGAGGGTTTTTGACATGAAGGGATGTTGAATTTCGTTGAAAACCTCTTCTGCATCTATTGAGATGATATGTGGTTTTCGTTTTTAGTTGCGTTTATGTGATGAATCACATTTATTGATTTGCACATGTTGAACCAACCTTGCATCCCAGGAGTAGGGCCTACTTGATCGTGATGGATTAGTTTTTTGATGTACTGCTGGAATCAATTTGCTGGTATTTTGGTGAGGATTTTTGCATCTAGGTTCATCAGGAATATTGGCCTGAAGTGTTGTATTTTCACTGTGTCTCCGTCAGGTTTGGGAATCAGAATGATGCTGGCCTCGTACAATGAGTTAGAGAGGAGTCCCAGTTCCTCAAATTTTTGGAATAGTTTCATTAGGGATTGGTTACAGCTCTTCTTTCTGTGTCTGATAGAATTGGACTGTGAATCCGTCTGGTCCAGGCCTTTGGTTGGTAGGTCTTTTTTATTACTGATTCAAGTTTGAAACTCGTTATTGGTCTGTCCAGGGATTCAGTTTCATCCTGGTTCAATCTTGGGAGGTTGTATGCTCCCAGGAATTTATCGATTTCCTCTGGGTTTTCTAGATTATGTGCATACAGGTGTTCATAATAGTCGCTGAGGATTTTTGTTGTTGTTGCTGCATTTCTGTGGGGTCCGCAGTAATGTCACCTTTGTCATTTCTGATGGTGTTTATTTGGGCCTTCTCTCTCTTTCTTTCTTTTCCTTGTTTGTCTAGCTAGCAGTTTGTCGAGCTTATTTATTTTTTCAAAGGACCTTTGGTTCCTTTGGTTTCTTTGACCTTTTGTAGGGTGGTTCACATCTCAACTTCTTTCAGTTCAGCTCTAATATTTGTTATTTCTTTTCTTCTGCTAGCTCTGGGGTCACTTTGCTCTTGTTTCTCTAGTTCCTCTAGGTGCGATGTTAGATTGCTAATGTGAGATCTGTCTGACTTTTTCCATGTAGGCACTTAGCACCATAAACTTTCCTCTTAACACTGTTTTAGCTGTGCCCCCAGAGATTCTGGTATGTTGTACCTTTGTTTTCAATAGCTTCAAAGAATTTTTTTGAATTCTGCCCAAATTTTGCTCTTTACTCAAAAGTCATTCAGGAGCAGGTTGTTTAATTTCCATACAATTGTTTGGTTTTGAGACATCTTCTTGGTATTAATCTCTATTTTCATTGCACTGTGGTCCGAGAGTGTGGCTGGTAATGATTTCAGGTTTGTTTTTGAATTTTTTGAGAATTGCTTTACGGCCAAACATGTAGTCGACCTTATAATATAATTGATTGGTTTTGAAAGATCTATATATAATTGTTTGCCTCTGAGAGATCTTCCTGCTACAGATGTCTATTTTTATTGCACTGCGGTCTGAGAGTGTGGCTGGTATGATTCCGGGTTTGTTTCTGAATTTTTTGAGAATTGCTTTATGGCTGAGCATGTGGTCGACCTTAGAGTATGTGCCCTGTGCAGATGAGAAGAATGTATATTGTGTTGTTGTTTCGTGCGATGTTCTGTGGATATCTGTTAGGTCAATTCTGTCAAGTGTTGAGTTTATGTCCCGAATATCTTTGTTAGTTTTCTGCCCCAGTGATCTAGCACTGTCAGTGGGGTGTTGAAGCCTCCCACTATGATTGTGTGGTTATTTAAGTTTCTTTGTAGGTCTCTAAGTGATTGTTTTGTGAATCTGCGTGCTCCAGTGTTGGGTGCATATATATTAAGGATAGTTAAGTCTTCTTGTTGAATTGAACCCTTTATCATTATGCAGTGCCCTTCTTTGTCCTTTCTGATCATTGTGGGTTTAAAGTCTGTTTCGTCTGAAATAAGAACAGCAACCTCTGCTCTTTTCTGTTTTCCATTTGCTTGATAGATCTTTCTCCATCCCTTTACTTTGAGCCTATGATGGGTGTCATTGCATGTGAGATGGGTCTCTTAAAGACGGCATGCAGTTGGGTCTTGCTTCTTTATCCAACTTGCCACTCTCTGCCTTTTAAGTGGGGGCGTTTAGCCCATTTACATTCAAGGTTAATATTGATATGTGAGGATTTGATCCTGTCACTGTGCCGTTAGCTGGTTGTTATGTAGACGTGATTATATAGTTGCTTGGTAGTGTCAGTGGGCTGTGTACTTAAGTGTGTTTCTGTGGTGACAGGCAACGACCTTTTGTTTCCATGTTTAGCGCTCCCTTAAGGACCTCTGGTAATGCAGATCTGGGGGCAATGAGTTCCCTTAGCATTTGCTTGTCTGAAAAGGATTTTATTTCTGCTTTTCTTATGAAGCCTAGTTTGGTTAGATATGAAATTCCCAGTTGGAATTTCTTTTCTTTAAGGATGCTGACTATTGGCTCCCAATCTCTTCTGACTTGTAAGAGTTCTGCTGAAAGGTTTGCTGTTAGCCTGATGGGGTTCCCTTTGTATGTGACCTGCCCCTTCTCTCTGGCTGCTTTTAGTGGTTTTCCTTTCACCTTGACCTTGGAGAATCTTATGACTATGCATCTTGGGGATGGTCATCTTCTGTAGCATCTCACTGGGGTTATCTGACTCTCCTGAATTTGCCTCTCTACCTGTCTAGCGAGGTTGGGGAAATGTCTGTGGGCAATATCCTCAAATATGTTTTCCAAGTTGCTTGCTCTCTCCCTCTCTTTGTGGGACACCAATGAGTCATAGGTTTGGTCTCTTCACATAATCTCATATTTCTTGGAGGTTTTGTTCATTTTTGTTAATTCTTTTTTTCCTTGTTTTAGTCTGATTGATCTGATTCAAACAACTGGACATCAGGATCTGAGATTATTTCCTCAGGTTGTTCTAGCCTGCTGTTAATACTTCTGATTGTATTATGAAATTCTTGTAGTGAGTTTTTTAGCTCAAGCAGGTCAGTTTGGTTCTTTCTTAAAATGGCCATTTAATCTTTCACCTCTTGTATTGTTTTATTGGATTCCTTATATTCCTTGGCTGCCATGTCAACTTTCTCGTGAATCTCAATGATCTTTGTTGCCATCCAGATTCTAAATTTTATGTCTATCATTTCAGCCACATAGGTCTGGTTAAGAACCATTACTGCAGAGCTAGTGTGGCCATTTGGAGACAAGAAGACACTCTGGCTTTTAGCATTAACAGAGTTCTTGGGCTGGTTCTTCCTCATCTGTGTGGGCTGACGTTCCTTTAATGTTTGAGGTTGCTGTCCTGTGGATGGGCCTTTTTGCTTTTACATTCTTTGATGAACTTGAGGTTTTGATGTGGTATAAGTCAATTTAGTCAATTGGCTTCATTTCTGGATGATTTTGGGGAACCAAGACACAGCTCAGCGCTCCTGGGCTGCATGCTCTACCCCTGGGGGCTGGGACGTGTCCATGGTTTTTTTTGTTTGTTTGTTTTTGTTTTTTTTTTTTTTTCTGGACTCTGAAGGTTTACTGCCTGCTCTTCTGGAGGGGCTGAGGTGTTCCCATTCCGCTGGCAACAGCACTCTGATGGGATGTTCCGGCCAAAGTACTTCCGTGGGGCAGCGGTAGGGCAGCAAGGGCCCCCAAATGCATGGGCTCACCAGCGAAGCAGTGCAGGAAGGCTATGAGTGAGAGTGCATCGGTGGAGGAGGGCTGCGGGAGGGTGCACTTGTCTGCAGGGGACCACCTGCAGAAGATCCCCAACTGCTAGGCAGCGTCTGCCAGTGAAAGAGCTATGGTGGTGGCTGCTGGCAAATGCCTCATCTGGGAAGCTGAGGCTGCGCTGCAAGCGGGTGTGGCCAGGCAGGGACGCTGGGATAGGCCAGCAGACAGCGGGACACTCAGATCAGACTGACCCTATCCCATGGCCAAGATTGCCCTGCTGCGTCCAGGTCCAGCAGCCAGCAAACACTAAAGCCACAGAGAGGAGTGTGGTGAGGCTTGGGGTTGGGTGCCCATGGCCATGCTTCAGTGCAGCTTTTCCCATGCTAAACCCTCTGGACTCCATGCAGGCAAGATTTCTATCTCTGCCAGCTCTCCCGGCAATTCTCCCTGCAATCTCAAATGTCTGTGGGGGTCATGGGGTCTCCTGCAGCTTGGATTCCAGAGGTCCATGGCGAGAATGAGCCACTCTATGCTTGTTTTACTCGCCCCTTCCCCAGGAGTCACTCAGGCCCCAAAATGAGTCCTGGTCCTCAGCAACCTGATGCAGGGTTCCCAGCTTCCTCCCCTTTCAGCTCAGGGTCTGTGTCCTTCCTCCATCCATTTTCAATGCCTTCTTTCCAAAGATCTGTTTGGAATGTGCTGGTCTTCTTGATGATCGGGTCTCTTATTGGGAGGAGTTCTTCCTGTCTGCATCTGGTCAGCCATCTTTGCCCCAAAGCCTTCAGTAATTTTTAAATCTGAGAATGTGTTAATTTTCCCCTTCATTTTTGAAGGATGGTTTTGCTGGATATGTAATTCCTGCTTGACAGGTTTCTCCTTTTTTAGAACTTTGAATATATCGCCTACTGCTTGAGGACTACATATCTCTTATGAGATACAGTCTCCTTACTAGTTATAGTAAGGAGTTATCAGTAATAGGAATTATCAGTAATCAAAACCTTCCAACAAAGTCAAGTCTTGGGCCAGATGACTTCATTGGTGAATTCTACCAAACATTTAAAGAAGAATTACCACCATTCCTTCTAAATCTCTTCCAAAAAATTGAAGAAGAGGGAACACTTCCTAACTCATTCCATAAGGCCAATGTTAGTTACCATGATACCAAAGTCTGCCAAAGCCACAACAAGAAAGCTACAAAGCAATATCCCTTATGAATACCAGTGTTCAGAATCCTAGATGAAACGCTAGCAGGCAGAACCTTGCAGTATATTGAAAG
This sequence comes from Homo sapiens, assembly GCF_000001405.40. Taxonomy (NCBI): domain Eukaryota; kingdom Metazoa; phylum Chordata; class Mammalia; order Primates; family Hominidae; genus Homo; species Homo sapiens. Next base: position 102,287,386 of record NC_000023.11, read on the forward strand.
GATTACACACCCATGACTGAATGGGAATAATTGCTGAAATGCAAAGATGATTCAACACATGAAAATAAACCCATGCACTATATTAACAGACTGATGATAAAAGACCGCATCACCATGTCAACTGATGCAGAAAAAGCACCTAACAAAATCCAACATGGTTTTATAATAAAAACCCTCAACAGATTAGGAAGAGAAGGATACTTCCTTAGCGTGACATAAACCATATATGGAAATACCTATAGCTAACGTCATACTCAATGGAAAAGACTGAAAGGTTTTCCCCTAAGATCGGGAACAGGACAAGGATGCCTGCTTTTGTCACTTCTAACTCAACATACTATTGAAAGCTCTAGACAGAGTAATTAGGCAAGAGTAAGAAATAGAAGGCATCTAAGATGGAAAAGAAGAAGTTATCCCCTGTCACAGACGACATGATCTTCTATGTAGAAAACCCTAGAGATTCCACAAAAAAAGCTGTTAGGGCTAATAAATGAATTTGTCAAAGTTGCAAGATAGAAAATCAACACACCATAACCAGTTGCATTTGTGTACACTGACAATCAACAGTCCAAGAATAATTAAGAAAATAATTACATTTACAATAGCACGAAAAGAATAGAATACTCAGGAGTAGACGTAATCAAGACATTTACCTTGAGAACTACAACACTGCTTGAAGAAATTAAAGAAGACATAAATAAGTGGAAAGATGTCCTGTGTTCATGGGTTGTGGTTAATTTTGCGAAAAAGTCTTTCCTGCTCTGAGGACATAAACTTAGGCACTCTCGTAATTGTTCTAACATTTTTTAAAATTTCAATAGTTTGGGGGCATACAGGTGGATTTTGATTACGTGGATAAGTTCTTCAGTGGTGATTCCTGAGATTTTGGTGCACCCGTAACCTGAGCAGTGTACACTGTACCCAATAGATAGTCTTCTTTTATCCCTCACCCTCTTTCCACCTTTCCCTCCGAGTCCCCTAAGTCCATCATGTCATTCCTATGCCTTTGCACCCTCATAGGTTAGCTCCCACTTATAAGTGAGCGCATACGATATTAGGATTTCCATTCCTGAGTTACTTCACTTACAGTAGTGGCTTTCAGCTCCATCCAAGTTGCTGCAGAGGCCATTATTTCGTTCCACTTTATGGCTGAGTAGTATTCTGTGGTGTATATATGCCACATCTTCTTTATCCACTCGTTGATTGATGGGCAATAAGGTTGCTTCCATATTTTTGCAATTGTGAAATATGCTGCTATAAACATGCATGTGCTTGAGTCTTTTTGATATAATGACTTGTCTTCTTTTGGGTAGATACCCGGTAGGGGGATTGCTGGATCGAATGGTAGTTTTACTTTTAGTTCTCTAAGGAATCTCCATACCGTTTCCCAGAATGGTTGTACTAGTTTGCATTCCCACCAGCAGTGTAAAAGTGTTCCCTTTTCACCACATCCACTCCAACATCTATTATTTTTTGACTTTTTAATTATGGCCATTCTTGCCGGAGTAAGGTGGTATCTCATTGTGGTTTTAATGAGCATGTCCCTGATAATTAGTGACGGTGAGCATTTTTTTTCATATGTTTGTTGGCTGGTTGTATATCTTTCTTTTCTTTTTTTTTTTTTTTTTTTGAGAATTGTCTATTCATGTCCTTTGCCCACTTTTGGATGGGATTTTGCTTTTTTCTTGCCGATTTTTATTGAGTTTCTTGTAGATTCTGGATATTAGTCCTTTGTTGGATGCAGGGTTTGTGAATGTTTTCTCCCACTCTGTGGGTTGTCTGTTTACTCTTCTGAGTATTTCCTTTGCCGTGCAGAAGCTTTTTAGTTTAATTAGGATCCACTTGCTTATTTTTGTTTTTGGTGCATTTGCTTTTGAGTTCGTAGGAACGAGTTCTTGTAAATTTGTTTGAGTTCATTGTAGATTCTGGATATTAGCCCTTTGTCAGATGAGTAGATTGCAAAAATTTCCTCCCATTCTGTAGGTTGCCTGTTCACTCTGACGGTAGTTTCTTTTGCTGTGCAGAAGCTCTTTAGTTTAATTAGATCCCATTTGTCAATTTTGGCTTTTGTTGCCATTGCTTTTGGTGTTTTAGACATGAAGTCCTTGCCGATGCCTATGTCCTGAATGGCATTGCCTAGGTTTTCTTCTAGGGTTTTTATAGTTTTAGGTCTAACATTTAAGTCTTCAATCCATCTTGAATTAATTTTTGTATAAGGTGTAAGGAAGGAATCCAGTTTCAGCTTTCTACATATGGCTAGCCAGTTTTCCCAGCACCATTTCCAAAATAGGGAATCCTTTCCCCATTTCTTGTTTTTGTCAGGTTTGTGAGAGATCAGATAGTTGTAGATATGTGGCATTATTTCTGAGGGCTCTGTTGTGTTCCGTTGGTCTATATCTCTGTTTTGGTACCAGTACCATGCTGTTTTGGTTACTGTAGCCTTGTAGTACAGTTTGAAGTCAGGTAGCGTGATGCCTCCAGCTTTGTTCTTTTGGCTTAGGATTGACTTGGCGATGCGGGCTCTTTTTTGGTTCCATATGAACTTTACAGTAGTTTTTTCCAATTCTGTGAAGAAAGTCATTGGTAGCTCGATGGGGATGGCGTTGAATCTATAAATTACCTTGGGCAGTATGGCCAAAACAACCCCATCAACAAGTGGGCGAAAGATATGAACAGACGCTTCTCAAAAGAAGACATTTATGCAGCCAAAAGACACATGAAAAAATGCTCATCACTGGCCATCAGAGAAATGCAAATCAAAACCACAATGAGATACCATCTCACACCAGTTAGAATGGCGATCATTAAAAAGTCAGGAATAACAGGTGCTGGAGAGGATGTGAAGAAATAGGAACACTTTTACACTGTTGGTGGGACTGTAAACTAGTTCAACCATTGTGGAAGTCAGTGTGGCGATTCCTCAGGGATCTAGAACTAGAAATACCATTTGACCCAGCCATCCCATTACTGGGTATATACCCAAAGGACTATAAATCATGCTGCTATAAAGACACATGCACATGTATGTTTATTGCGGCACTATTCACAATAGCAAAGACGTGGAACCAACCCAAACGTCCAACAATGATAGACTGGATTAAGAAAATGTGGCACATATACACCATGGAATACTATGCAGCCATAAAAAAGGATGAGTTCATGTCCTTTGTAGGGACATGGATGAAGCTGGAAACCATCATTCTCAGCAAACTATCGCAAGGACAAAAAACCAAACACCGCATGTTCTCGCTCATAGGTGGGAATTGAACAATGAGAACACATGGACACAGGAAGGGGAACATCACACACCGGGGCCTGTTGTGGGGTGGGGGGACGGGGGAGGGATAGCATTAGGAGATATACCTAATGTTAAATGACGAGTTAAGGGGTGCAGCACACCAACATGGCACATGTATACATATGTAACGAACCTGCACGTTGTGCACATGTACCCTGAAACTTAAAGTATAAAAAAAAAAGGAATGAATTCATTACCTAAGCCAATGTCTGCAAGAGTTTTTCGATGGTATCTTCTAGAATTTTTGTGGTTTCAGGTCTTAGATTTAAGTCTTTGATCTATCTTGAGAGTTGATTTTTGTAATAAGGTGAGAGATGAGGATCCAGTTTCATTCTTCTGCATGTGGCTTGCCAGTTTTACCAGCACCGTTTATTGAATAGGGTGCCCTTTCCTCGCTTTATGTTTTTGTATGCTTTGTCAAAGATCGGTTGGCTGTCAGTATTTGGCTTCATTTCTGAGTTCTTTATTCTGCTCCATTGGTCTACATACCTGTTTTTATGCCAGTACCATGCTGCTTTGGTAACTATAGCCTTGTGGTATAATTTGAAGCCAGGTAATGTGATGCCTCCTGATTTGTTCTTTTTGCTTAGTATTGTGTTGATTATGCGGGCTCTCTTTTGGTTCCACGTGAATTTGAGGATATATTTTTTTTCTAGTTCTGTGAAGAATGATCATGGTACTTTGATTGGAATTGCATTGAATTTGTAGATCGCTTTGGGCAGTATGGTCATTTTCACCATATTGATTCCACCCATCCATGAGCATGGGATGTGCTTCCATTTGTTTTTGTCATTGATGATTTCTTTCAGCAGTGTTTTGTTGTTTTTCATTTAGAGACCTTTCACCTCCTTCTTTTTCCACTAAGGTTTCTTTTTTTTTTTTTAATTTCTGGAATTTATATTGTGTATGGAGTGAGATAGCAATCTCCTCTCTAAAAAATGGGTATAACCAATGGATCCAGCACTATATATTGAATAGCCTGTCTTTTCTTCAGCTAACCTTCAATGGCAAACCTCTCATGCCACGTTTTCCTATATTTAATGGGCTCTCTATCCTATCAATTGTATTGGCCTAGATGTCATATAAGTGAACTATCTTAACTATCTTAATTATTAAAACTTGATATCTTGTAAGCCATGTCCCTTCTGATCCCCTCTACTTTGTTTTAATATTCTTGGATATTAAGCGCCCTTGGTCCTTCAGTATGCATTCTAGAGTCATAGAGTCTATTGTTCCGTAGAAAGCTGTGTTGGATTTTTTATTGGAATCACGTCAAATATACAGGTTAAGTGGAGAAAACCGTCATCTTTATCATAGGGATTCTTCCATGAGCATGCTTTATATCTGCCTAATTTGGAACTAATAGCTCTCGATAACATTTGATAATTTTCTCATTTAAAGTCTGAAGCATCTTTGTTAGACTTATTTCCATGTACCTTACTATTTTGTGGCAGTTATAATTGGTGTTCATTGAAGAGTTGTTTTTCCTCTAAGTGGTTGTTGCTGGTTTGTAGGAATACAGTTGATTTTCTTCTTAGCTGTAATTAATGCTGAGAGTTTGTAGATTATCTCAGGTTTTTCCATACAGGTAAATAATATATTGTCTATATAGATATGATCGTTTGGGTGTTTTTAATTCCAATCATTATATCTTTTATTTATTGCACTGGCTAGAACCGCCACTGTTGAGCAGAAATGACAATATTGAGCAACCTTGTCCTGTTCTTGATTTTTAAGGACAATCCATGTAAATCTTCACCAGTGTGCACAGCTGTTGGTGCAGATTATTTTGTAGATATGTGTTTTCCATCTGTTTTTTCCCAGTTTGGCAAGAATTGTGTTTTGGTTTGTTTTTGTGTGTTCCGTGAACAGGCACTGGATTTTATCAAATGATTTTACCCTGTCCATTAAAATGATAGCCCAATCTTGTTTCTTTCCATTAATGGGATGATTTACATTAACATTCCTTTCTAATGTTAAGGCATTTTTACACTGCTGTGATACACCAAACTTGTTCTGGTTTATTATCATTTCTGTGCGTCACTTAAGTCTGCAGTATTTAATTTAGCATTTAGCTTGAATTATAAATTTCCTTTCTCCTATTATACTTACCTCATTTTAGAGTCAAGATTATCCTCATAAAATATACTTGGGAGTGTAAGCTTTTATCTTGGTCTTTGGTGAAGTTTGTATGAACTTGGAATTAATTATCTACTCCTTGAATGTTTAGTGGAATTTTCCCCGTGTTCCTGGTAGTTTTCTTGACGTTGTTTTTTTTTTTTTTGAACTAAAGATCTATTTTTTTTAATGTCAACTTTTATTTTTAGATAGAATGGTTACACATACAGGTTTGTTACATGGGAATATTGTGTGATGCTGAGGTTTGGGGTGTGGATCCCATCACCCAGGTTTTGAGCATAGTATCCAATAAATAGGTTTTCAACCCATATCCCCTCCCTGCCCCCTCGAGTAGTCCACAGTAATTTCTTTAATCGTTGTTAAGTCTAGTCAAGTTTTCTATTTCTTCTATAGTTAGTTTAGGCAGGATATGTTTCTCTTTCAAAATTTCTACGTTGTCTAGGCATTAATTTATATCAGTATGAAATTGTTTTTGGTATTATCTTGTTTATTGTTTATGTCTAATCATATTCTGCTTGTTAATTTTTAATATTGTTCCTTTGTGTTCTCTCTCTCTCTCCTCCTGTCCACTGCTCTTCATCTTTCTCCCTTCACCAGTATTGCCAACGTTGGCTGTTTCGTCAGTCTTTTCAGAAACCAACTTTTGGTTTGGTTGATTTTGTTGATTCTCTCTATTGTACTTTTCTTTCTCTCTTTCTTTCCATATATATATATATATATATATATATATATATATATATATATTTAGTTTTGTTTGTTTTTTTTTTTTTGTTTTGTTTTTTGAGACAGAGTCTCACTCTGTCACCCAGGCTAGAGTGCAGTGGCGCCATCTTGGCTCACTACAACCTCCGCCTCCCTGGTTCAAGCGATTCTCCTGCCTCAGCTTCCTGAGTAGCTGGGATTACCTGCGCGTGACACCACGCCTGGCTAATTTTTGTATTTTTAGTAGAGACGGAGTTTCACCACGTTGGTCAGGCTGGTCTCGAACTCCTGACCCCGTGATCCGCCCGCCTCAGCCTCCCAAAGTGCTGAGATTACCATGCCCGGCCTCTATTGTACTTTTCTTTTATACCTCATTGCTTTCTCGCCTCATATTATTTTTTCTTTTTATTTTTCTGCTTTTCTTTTGCTCTTCTTTCAAGCATGGATATGACTCTACACAGCTGCACCCAGGGGTGACCTTTAAAGACAGTGCAGAGAAAAGTATCTCCCTGTTGTGGGGTGGGGGGACGGGGGAGGGATAGCATTAGGAGATATACCTAATGTTAAATGACGAGTTAATGGGTGCAGCACACCAACATGGCACATGTATACATATGTAACAAACCTGCACGTTGTGCACATGTACCCTAAAACTTAAAGGATTAAAAAAAAAAAAAAAGAAGTCTGTTGAAAAGATACACTATGGACCTTGGGCTCAAAGACCTACGGTAGGAAGCTCTGAGTAGGATGTGAGAAAAATCAATGTGACAGTGAAAAACAATTATTATGTACAACTCTTTTATATTCTAAAGAAGGGGGTTAAGAATAAAGATCCTTGATGTGCTGATCAGGGTGATGAGTCTGAGGATTCAGTCATCAGAATCTCACAGAGATAAATGGCTCCACAGAGAAAAGAGATTTGAAGGGAATGAGACTGTTCAGGAAGAACAGGAGCTGATGCCCATCCATCTCATGAGGGTATGAGGAAGAGAGGCAAGATAGTCTAACGCAGACTGTTTGGTGACATTTCACTGGGACACGTGCCATTGAATCTCCCCCGTTTGTCCCCATGAAGACGTCTACAAATGCGCATTGAATGCTTTGGTAATCAGATTTATCATTGGTTTGGGGGTGGGGGGTGAATTTCAGCATCTACTGTCAAGCGGGGCAAGAGCAAAGGTAGCTCTTGGCGCCCTAATAGTACTCTGCTTCAATAAGTTAGCTGTGGTCATTGCAAATTATGTCAGCAGAAGTTGAGTGGTTAAACATGGGCTTTACCTTCAGAGAAACGGAACAATTCTGAAAAAGAAGAAAAGAGAGAAGATCCAAACTTGCCACAGGCACATGCAGCAGGTTCTCCAGTCCTCTTTAGAGTGGTTTAGCTGTTTAAAAACATTGGGTGGGTTCTGGCACGTGCCTAGTGTTTTCCACTCTTACCCTGTTTATGCACCTCTGTCCTGCTTCCTTGATCAGCTGCCCACCAGTCCTGAGATTCTCCCAACATGGATCACTTCTCAGTCATTGAGAAGGGAATATGAGAGGAGGTCTAGATCATTATGTTCTTATTTGGCAGTTTAATTGTTAAAAGGAACATTCACCAATATACTCCCACCTCGACACCCACAGAACGTAAAAATAAACTGTTGTAGGATGTGGTACAGTGGCTCTTACAGGGTATACTAGAGAAGAATGAGGATGTGAAGAAAACTGGGGTTCACATTGAGCCTGGGGTGGAAATCCTGGCTGTTCAGGGTGGTGGAAAGTGTAGGGCTGATTGCCATTCCTATGATGCCTTCCTTGAATCCTCCGGTAAGTATCCACATCTTCTAGTCTCTGACTTCGACCATATTTATCACCTCTAATACCAGAGTTCTGAAGTTTGTTTCTTGCTGGATTAGTTTCTGTGGTCTTCTAAGGACTTATGACCTATACGTCTGTTTTATAGCCTATAAAATTTTGCTAACATATTTTTCTTGGTGTGGTGTCGTTGTCTGGTACCTTCTGATTTTTTGTCCCGCTTTGCACCCCCCGCCCCCCCCCACTTCATTATTAGGGGTTTTCTGGTGGGAGCATAAAAAGCATTTGCACTCAGTATTCCTGAAGTAATCAGAAGTAAATTGATAGATTCTCTAATGTTCCACTACCCTTTCATTCCTGGAACGAACGCTTTTTTAATAGACATATACTAGTTAAGTTTAGTAATAATTAATTTAGAAGTTTTGCATCTGTAATTATATATACTATAATTTTTACTGCTCGTACTGTCCTTTTTGAACTTTCAGTGTCTAATTTTACCAGCCTCATGATAGAGACTTTAAAAATAATCTCATTGACTTTACTGACAAATGTCTTATTATGTCTGAAATATAATGGATCTAGAACCTGAAAAAATTAGTTAATGAAATGCACTGAAATGAATGGAAAGTAGGATACTCTTCTATGGTTTTTAAAAATTGAGGCATTTACTGAGTCATATAGTGGCCCCCGCCAAATTCCTGTCCACCCTGAACCTGTAAATGTGGCCGTATTTGGAAATAGTGTTTTTTCAGACGCAGTCACATTAAGATGAGATCATATTGAACCAGGCAGGGTAGGCCCTAACTCCAATATGACTGCTGTCCCTATAAATAGAGGTAGATTTGGACAAGGAGACACAGACACATAGGGGAGTCGCGTGGAGACAGAGACAGAGACTGGAGTAAGGCATTACAAACCAAGGAGTGACAAGGAGTACCAGCATCCACCAGGAACTAGGAGAGCTAAGAAAGGCTTCTTCCGTCAGATGGAGCATGGCCCTGCTGACATCTTGATTTTGTACTTCTAGCCCCCAGAACTGTGTGAGAATAAATTTATCTTGCTTTTAGCCACCCAGTTTGGGTATTTTGTTATGGCAGCCCTAAGAAACTAATGCAGATTTTAGTGCTAAGACGTGGGTTGTTCCTGTCACAAATGCCTAAAAATATGGAAGTGGCTTTGTAATTGGGTAATGACTAGAGGCTGGAAGACTTGAGGCACATGATATGAAAACCCTAGATTGCCTTGAAGAGACCGTTGGTAGAAATATGAATGCTAAAGGTGATTCTTGTGAGAGCTCCAGAAGGAAGTGAGAAGAGTTGTAGAGGAAGTGCTTATCATCTTAGAGAACACGTGTATCATTATGAACAGAATGATGCTAGAAATATGAATATTCAAGCTGCTTATGATGCCGTCTGAGATGGAAATTAGACACATGTTAATGAGCACTGGAGGAAAGGTGACCCTTGTGATAGAGTGTCAGAAAACTTGAATGAATTGTGTAGAAAGCAGGTCTTGTAAGCGACGAACTTGGATATTTAGCTAGGAGATTTCCATGCAAACTCTGGAAGGTGTGGCCTTGTCTCTTTATAGTAAAACGTGAGAGTAAAGAGATAAGTTGAGGAAGGAACTGTTAAGCCAAAAGGAAGCACGCTTGATGATTTGGAAAATTCACAGTCTACCCAGATAGTGCACTATGGAAACAGGGCCAAAAGTGTGGCTGAACAGCCATTTGCTAATGAGACTAGCTAGGCATGTGGACCCAACCAACCACCTTGGCCCTAAGCCAGGAAACCAGATAGGTTAATCCAGGAAGGACCCACACAGAGCCTACATATCTAGTTGTGTGGATCCCCTTGGCATCTGCAAAAACATGGCAAGGATTTTGAGAGTTTTATACTAGCAGAAACGCTGCCAGCCTGGACTGAAATGTCCAGAGATGGGACAAAAATGAAAGAAGAATGTCTCTGAAGGCAGAAACATGGAAGACCAGACCAGAAATGGCATTGTCATTACCCTGGAGGGCTGGATGGACTGAGTCCCTGACCCAGAAAGCCAGGAAGATGGGGCTGCCTCCCTGGAGGGTCCTAAAGTTTGGGGCTGCCTCCCTGAAGGGCCCTTGGGACAGAAGATTGAGCCATGGAAGTTTACTCTTGGCCTGAAACTTAATGGACTTTTTTCCTGCTGGGTTGTGAACCTGCCCCAGAGCGACAACCCCTTTAATCTTTCCACCTTCTCCCTTTTGTGAAGGGGACGTCTAACCTACGTCCGTCCCACTGTAGTATTCTGGAAGTAGATAACTTGTTTTCTAGCTTCATGGGTCTGCAGACAGAGAGGAACATTGCCCCAGGGTGGACCTTGCCCAAAGTCTACTCGGTAAGATCCTGACAATTTTAGATGAGATTTTGGATTTAGGGTTAATGCTGGAATAGGTGAAGATCTGGAGGATTTGGAGATGGGGTGAATATAATTTACTCACGGTAAGAATGTAAATATTGGGGAGCCAGAGGGCAGACTCTATTGGGTTGAATAGTGCGTGCACCCCCCTCCCCAAATTTATGTCTACCTGGAATCTGTGAAGGTGATTTTAATTGGAAGCAAGGTCTCTGTAGATGTAATCAAGTGACGATAAAGTCACACTGGACTAGGGTGTGCCCTAATCCAATGACTGGTATCTTTATAAGAAGAGGAAAATTGGGACAAAGAGACAGACACACAGGGAGAATACCATGTGACAACCGAGGCAGAGATTAGGGTTAAGCTGCCACAAGCCAAGGAATGCCAAGGATTGCCAGCAACCACCAGAAGCTAAGAGAGATGTGTGGTACAGATTCTCTCTTTAACTGCCACCCTCACCACAAGGTACCAATCTTTCTGACACCTTGATTTCAAACGTTTGGCCAATAGAAATGTGAGAGTTTAAAATTCTGTTGTTTCAAGCCACCCGTTTATGGAAATTTGTTATAGCAGCCTGAAGAAACGAATACAGCACTTGAGTCCTGTTTAGCAAGGATCAAGCTAGAGCTCTTTGGTCACTGTGTCTAGCCTGGTGAACATCAGTGGCTGCTTGGGGCAGCCATATGGACATTATTTGTGATTGTGCATCCCTGAGATGGGCCTGGGGATGAGCCCTTGTGAGTTATGCAAAAAAAAAAAAAAAAAAAAAAAGGAAGGACCCCAGCACCCCAGGGAGACTTAAGCATGGCACCAAGTTGCCTAACAGTCATTGTTTTTCAGGCATGGGTACCACAGTTGCTGCCGTAGCATGCATTCTCCTTACCCTCAAGCGTATTCATGTGCATAGCCATGGCAGCCGGTGTCCCAGGGACTGATGATTAAATAAAGAGGGTGGTGGAGGAGGAGCGTTTGGCACTCAGCTGCTCCCACAGTGCTAAACCACTTAGCCCTTATTCTATGCAGAGCTATATCTAAGTTTCATTTAATTCTCACGCCAAATTGAGGATCATGATGGAAAATTTTGTCTATAGCTAAATAGAAAGCTGAAACTAAGAAAGGTCAAGTATCATGAAGTAAAAGAGAGGTTCTATTAGTAATAGCAAAAACTTGGACTTCAAGCACTGTGTTCCTTTCATTTGTTTTTAAATTTTATTTATTTTTTAATTAGACAAAATTGTATATATTTACGGGGTACAATGTGGTATTTTGATAAGTGTATACATTTAGAAAGACTAACTCAAGCTAATTAATATATCCATCATCTCACCTACTTATCACATTTTGTGTTAAGAATATCTAAAATCTACTTTTAAAGCAATATTGAAATATATGATACGTTGTTATTAACTCTGCTCACTATGCTGTGCAATTGATCACCAAAACATATTCCTCCTGTCTAACTGTGCTCCAGTCCCAAATCCTCAGCAGTAAAATGCCCCTGTCTCTCCTCAGTGAAACCACTCTTGATTAATAAAGTAGTCTTAGTGTAGTCTTACCTGGGGCTTAGTTGTCCCAGATCTTTCCTGCCATCCACCAGAACCTCTTTGCCTGTAGAGAGTCCTCTGAACTTGAGAAGCTGCAGGATTATGAAAGCCCAGCATGTCATACACTTGCCTGCTCATTGCTCCTTCTCTCACCTTGGCTCTCTTGTCTCTCATAGCAATGTCATCTCAATATCGGGCATCATGAACATAACTCTTCCGGCCTGTCACAGAAATGAAGCAAATAAACTGATGGAAAAAAAACCATAAAGAAACCCACAATACCAGCCACAAGTCAAACCATTTAAAACTGTTACTTTTGTATTAGTATCAGACAAAATAGACGTTAAGACAACAATAATTATTTGGAATAAAGAAGGCCACCATGTAGTCATGATAGAACATTTATCAAAGAGCTAAAAAGTCTGAACTTAACATGCACTCAAAAACATAGCCAAGAAATACATAAAGCACGATGTTCAGAGTTACAAGAAGGTTGCCACAATAAAATATAAAAGTGCACTATTTTAGAGTTGGGGCAGTTCCAAGAAGTAGCAAGATCCAGGGAGTGCCCCTGAGCATGGCAGTCAAATAAGAGGTCTTGCGACCATGAGGCTTGGAATCAGACTGGTTTTCTACATGGACATTGAAATCACCCAGGACTGTGACAAGATTAGGTGTAGAAACTCTGAATGAGACATAAAAATCTTTGACCAAAAGACCAATACGTTGGTTTTATTTTAGAAAGCCATCTTTGTAAGATGCCCAGGATGGCCATAAAATTGAATGTGTATTGGTCAGGGATATTTAAACTACAACTAACAGAAAGTGCAAGTCTCGCTGGCTTATCCAATAGGTAAAGACACTTGCTTATATAACTGAGAGTTCAGAGGCAGAGTGAGTTTCATGGTTAACTGAGCCAGTAACGGAAAGATGTAAACATCCAGGCTAAATCTTGACCCAACCACTGCTGGATTGGGCATTGGATTATTGGATTAGATTAGACTAATTCTGGGCCCACTCTTGGAGCTAAGAAAGTGGCCATATATCCTCAAGCACATGACTCTACTGGGAGGAGATACACTGATGGAGGCCTGAGCCCAGCCAGGAAGGTGAGGAATGTATATTGTGTAGGTAAACAAAAATGTCACCTGCAGGTACAGACTCAAATTATATATACCGCTATGAGCATAGTAACCACAATATTCAAGTCCTTCTTGTGTCCTAATAGAGTGACTCTTCGGGTAACAAAGACGGATATTTTATTCAGGAGCTACCTATATTGAATTCATGAATAGGCGGTTACAAAGCATGAGAGCTCTCCCCTGTGCAGTATATGTTTTGGAAGAACCTCAACAGGCATCCACTGTGGGATGCTTAAATCCCATTTTCATTCTTTTTCGATTCGTCGGCAAAGTTTTCTATTCGCTCTTGTCCTGAGATGATGTTGTGTTAGGATTATTTGACCAGAGGTAACTGAATTCTTCGTATTTACCGTTAAGTTTTGTCTTTCTGTAAACACGCGACACAGACTTCACAAAGATATCAAAGATCCTCAGATTTCAGTATGGAACAACCTTAAAAGCCCTGGGTCTTTAGAAGAAAGTCAGACTCAGCCAGGCGCCGTGGCTCACGCCTGTAATCCCAACACTTTGGGAGGCCAAGGCGGGCTGATCACGAGGTCAGGAGATCGAGACCATCCTGGCTAACGTGGTGAAACCCTATCTCTACTAAAAATACAAAAAAATTAGGGCTTGGTGGCATGCGCTTGTAGTCCCAGCTACTCAGGAGGCTGAGGCAGGAGAATCACTTGAACCCGGGAGGCGGAGGTTGCAGTGAGCCAAGATCGCACCACTGCACTCCAGCCTGGGCAACAGAGCGAGAGTCCGTCTCAAGGAGAGAAAAAAGAAGAGAGTCAGACTCCTATAATGTACCAAAATTAAAGAACAACCTTTTCCTCTAATGCACACATTTATTCACGCTTTGAAAAGAATATGTTTCCATAACAATACCAAATATGCATATGAAAAGAAAATTAAAAATAAGATAATCACCCAATCTGCGAATATGCAGATTTGAAAATTAATTATCAATATATAAATGGAAGCTCTTAATAAAGACGTTGTAGTATCACATAGACAAGATATGTAATGTGTTATTGCTCATGTTTTGCCTTAGTCTGCATCTACACTGTGAAATGAGCTTAATCGTGTTCACTGGTTCATTATTTGCTAACTCCTTGATTGACTTAGCCAGTTGAGCAATCCAGCCAGTGAGTCATTCTATAACTGTTGATAAACTACGTGATGTTTTAAATCCAAGGATTAAAAGAAAACACAAACATTATATATCTTGCCTTTTTTCACAGGATCTAATCACTGATAATAAATTATCAGTGATAAGCTGATCACAAGAAACAAGGTATAAATGCTGCATACACTAAAAAGAAAACAATGTGGCTGACTATGTTTTAAAAATTATCTGACAGTATTTTCCAACAGAGTATTTAGAACTATTTCTTGAATTGCAAAATATAGTTGCCTTGAGCAGATAACAGGAAGCAATCTGGGAAATTTAAAATTCTCTACTTTTAATACATTAGAAATCTTTGAATCATAATTGCTCATTGTTTTAAATGGTCTTCACAGTGGAGGGGGTTTGGACCAGAGAGCTGCATCTTCACAAATGGCACTGCTCTTCAGTAAACACCCTCTATGGAATCCCTACCTTTTCACTCCTCTCCATCCTTTGCCTGAAGGAAGTTTTCCTTGTAGACATAATTTTGTATTTGTATGTTGTGGTAGTCCTCAAAGAGTGAGCCTATTACCTAGAGCTGTTGAATTTTACCTTGCATTGAGGGGTTGGCATATTGAGCAATTTGCCAGGGAGCACTATCTGCAACTGCTTCTCTTTTTTTCCTATTGCTTGGCACTGACATAAAGTTACTTCTAGCTACGCTAATGAATTTCACGAAGGAACACAGAAAAACAGGTCTTGAATGTAATGCCCGTAATGATAGAGTCCCATCTTATGCTTTCCCTTGTATGCTGTTGCTAGGTCAGTCATTTTTACTTTCTGAAAGTTAATTTACATAGGACACCTAGTTCAGGTGTATGTATCTGTTCAAACCAAAAGCGTTAGAGTATTTATGTTTAATTTAACAACGTCGCAACCGTTCTGATACTTAGGGGAGTTCTGAGTAAGTAAGTTCTAGAAAGGGGAGTTCCAGTACTCCCCTTTCTCTCTTTTCTGTGTTAGGTAAAGCCACCCCTCCTAAAGCCACTAGCATGGATCCCCAAAATGTCCACCACAGAACGAAAAGGTAAAAGAAGGAGAAGTTGTTCCTGTTAAATCCTGCCGTATCACACGCAAGAGAAATGGCTTATCAACCTGCCTCACCCCAGTAAACACAGCGCCTAATAAATTCAGTGCCTAAACTGGACCCCGGACATATGAATCTTTGTCCACAGAGTTACCTTCCCCCACTGTTTGTGCATATTAGAGCACCGACAGACTTCCATTGGTGTAACTTAAAAAAAAAAAAATCCTAACAAAGTCCTGATAATCATCTCAGAGAAAGAGTGAATGATATGAGTATCAGGTCTGACAGGAGCAAACTGTGAATTAAAGTAAGAGTTATAATTAGGATTTGTCTTTTGGTGAAAGAATTTGACCATCATCAATACCGTGTAAGTTCCAGTTGAGCATAGGTGGGCTAGATAAAATTGTGCTGTGCCTTTTACTGGTGATCTGTTCATCTGTATGTAATGATAGAAACGGGGGCCAGGGCAGATACCAGGTCTTGAAGTAGGCTTCCATCCTGTGACTTTGTATAGATACTTCCTAAATCCAACTTGAAATTTCATAATAGGCTCTTTCATAAATATGTAGCCCCATTTTATATCCTCTATTTACATGTGTCCCATAAATAATTCTCCAGAATTATCCGAGACCCACTGATTGGCGCTTCCTAGTCATTCATTCCAATTATCATGACTTCAGTCTACGGCCATACCACCGTGAACGCGCCCAATATCGTCCAAATATCATGACTTCCTTTGATAACCTTAGAGCCACTAACACAGCCTGTTGTCCTCACTAGTATATTCAACTTTAACTGTGGTGGAAAATTTGGTCTGTTGAGTTTTCTTCTGCTTATTTATGTAGCCAGGCCACAGTGCGGGAACCTAGCAAAGTAATCCCAATGCTTGTATAGCATTGTTTGCCTCTGCAAGCAAATCAGAAAGACTCCACTCCACCAAATTTATTTTGGACATGCAGGTGAAGCTGCAGTTTCCCACACAAACCAGCAAAACAGGTGGTCGTGAAATTGCGATTAACAACAACTGCAATGTGTACTCTCCTTCTCTTTTCTCTATCCTTTCTGGGGAGACACAGGCAGAATAAAAATACAGTGAAATCTAATTATAATTCAGATTCCACTCATACAAAATTGTTGCAGTTCAGGCCAGAGCCAGGTATGATGTTTTAAAAGTGCTAATCTTTCTCTTTTCAGTAATTTTTTTAAAGAAGGAAATGTTTTCAGCTAACCTCAAACATTTTATACTGACTTTCATATATACATATTTTATATATTAATGGTAGGTTTATATGTATACATTTAAATGAATCTCCTGAGGTCCTTAATTAGATTCAGCATTGACTGGTGCTAATTACTGACAGTACTTGAAATTTCTTAGTTGGTATTTCAAAGAGAACATCCAAGACCTCAACTCTTCAGTAACTGGGTCTGGCTTCCAGTTTGTGTGAATTAATAAGGCTGAACTAAAATTAATTTCCTTTGGAAAACCCGGGGGTGGTCAGAACAGTCTAGCACCATACTGCCTGGGGGAGACAGCTGGTTTGCCACCTGCAATGTCTGTGACCTCTTAGGCAAGTGATTTAACGCCTCTGTGCTTCAGTTTCCTCGTCTGTAAAATTCTGTTATACTACCTACTCCATAGAGTTAGCACTCTTAAATGCGGTAACCTTTTGGAGTGTGTGGCACATACTAATCACTATACACATTTTCTTTTTCAAATGAACAACTAAAATTCATTAGGTTTGCCCTAATTTCCTTTGGCCCTGTATGAAATTAAGTAAACAGTGCTTACCTGTACGGACTGCTTAGGCTCTTGCAGTAGTGTCTATGATTATGGTTTTAGTGAGGACCTTCTTCATTGTGAAGTATTAAATTTCACGTGTTGTTAGAAATGAAACACATAAAATATATTAAAGAGGGATGGGGGGCCGGGAGCGGTGGCTCATGCTGTAATCCCAGCACTTTGGGAGGCCAAGGCGGGCAGATCACCTGAGGTCAGGAGTTCGAGACCAGCCTGGCCAACATGGTGAAACCCCGTCTCTACTAAAAAAATACAAAAATTAGCTGGGCGTGGTGGTGGGCGCCTGCAATCCCAGCTACTTGGGAGGCTGAGGCAGGAGAATCGCTTGAACCGGGAGGCGGAGGTTGCAGTGAGCTGAAATCATGCCATTGCACTCCAGCCTGGGCAACAAGAGCAAAACTCCGTCTCAAAAAAAAAAAAAAAAAAAAAAAGTGAGGTGAGGGTAGCAAAAGCTCAAGTCTGTGTGCTGTGGGAGGTTATCTGGAGGTACCACCATCTCAGTAATATGGGCAATCTCAGAGCTCCAGGTCTCATGAACAGAACGGTCTCCTGAAACATGCAGATCAGGAGAACTCTGCAGTGGTTGGATTCTACTGTCAGGAAGTTGACCCAAGCTCACCCACCTATCCTGGGTACTTGAGCCTTGCAGGATCCTAAGGCTGCAAGCCACGTGGATGCCACCATCATGTGAACACTACAATTATGAGCCCTACTGATAGGGCCCTACTGGTCATATCAGCACCAAGGGCTCTAAAACTTTGAGGTCATGTGGCCTCTCTTGTCATGTTGCTCCTATGGTCATGTGATGGGCCCAGCTCTTCCAGTCACTACAGTATGGTGGACTCCTGAACCCTGTTGCTCACATGGATTCTTCCCTCACCTGGCCATTACTGGCTACCAGCATGTGGAAGTCTCAGCCCTCGAAGTCATATAGATGACCTACTGTTTAGGGTCATGTGGATGCTATGGTCATGTCCACTGCTCCCACTCACCCCTCCCCATGGCCACAGTGTTAGGCTCATTCCTCTCTGTCACGTGAAGATTGTGAGCTGCCAAACTCTGCAGATGTGTGTGTGGGCAGCCAAGTGGCTCCTGTCATCTCGTGGCAGGCAAAGCCTTTGCGGTCCTGTGAGCACCGCAGCTAACCAATGGCTGTTGTACATGTGGCTCTTATGGTCACGTGAGATTCCGCACCCTCCCATTCACGTGAAGATTGAGTGCTCCGAATCCTGTCAGAGAGGTGCTTCCGGCTCCACACCCTGACTCAGGCGGAAGTTTTATTGGACTTCGGCTCAGATCTGAAGCCTTCCGGCAACTTTCATATCCTGACGCGCTGGAAGGAAGTCTGGTACGAGTGGAACCAGCCGGTACTAGAAGTTTACTGAGAATTGGGCTTTAAGGCGTGGCTGAGCAATCTCCAAATAGCAGAGGCTCTGAGGGGGTGGGGTGGGGTGGGGTGGGTGGGGGGTGCCGGGGGTGCGGGAGGGTGGGGGGTGCGGGAGGTGCGGGAGGGTGGGGGGGTGGGGAGGGTGGGGGGTGCGGGAGGGTCGGGGTGTATGGGGGGTTTGGGTGGAGGTAGCGGAGGACTTCCCTAATGTGGCCGAACTTGTGAACACCTGGCAGAGAAACTGTGTGTGCGTGCGTGTGTGTGTGTGCGTGCGCACCCATGCATCTATGTCTGCCATCCGCCTTGATCCTGGACTCACAGGAGCTGTTGTTGGAGGAGAAGGCACTGGGGCAGAATGTGGGGCTGGGGGATAGGGGTAGGGTTGGTAGTGGGGCGGCAGGGATTCATGAACTCGTAAGTCGTTTCTCAGGGGCAGGGCTGTGGAAGCCTGATGGGATTCCCCCCCCTTCCCGCCCCCACACTAAAAGCCCTACCCTTGCCTGTCACTCTGCCCGATTCACCGTCTGTGCCAGGTGATTCTGTCCTCTGCCCCTCCTCAGACCATGTTGTTATTAAGGACACTCGAGACTGCCTAGATCCCAGTTTGTATAGACGATTCCAGACCCAATCTTAATTTCTGTCTCTTATTTGATTATGTAAAGATTCTCTTTGTTTCCATGATTTATTTTTCTACTAAACCTTCTAAACATGGGCTCAGGGGGGTGGGCGAAAGGGAGAGAGGGGAATCGGGAATTTTTTTAAAAAGAGAATTTGATATTTCAATAAAAGTGTCCAAGTCGTCATGATGTGAAGATTCAGAATTTACTTGTTATACTTTATTTGAACTCCATTGGCTTTAAAAAGTACATTTGGGAGTGGGTGACATTTTTTTTGTGTGTGTGTGCGCTTAGGATCTCTCAGTAGCTTATAGTAGTATAGCTTCACACTCTTTTGTTTCTGATTCTCCCCCCATCAACCCCTGATTTTCTAATGATTGCTTCTTAGATTCCTTTCTGAAAACTCTCTCCTTTTCTTCCTGTGGAAAAAAGTATAGTGAATGGATTTAAGGTACAATCATGGGTGATAACATTTGGTACATCATGAAAGCGGTATTGGGTGAATGAAGTTGAGCAAATAGCAAGATTGTGCTTAAACTTACGGGGTTTCAAATATTGCTTGTCAGATGGTTAGAGAATATTGTCACTTGTGATATTTGATATTACATGTAGGTTGAATAATCTATTTTTCTCTCATTTCAGCATTTCCAAGTTCGTTCTGTGAGACTGTAGTGTCAGGACAAAGCAACAACAAAATGTGCTCTACTCTAAAGAAGTGTGGGACATACAGAACTGAAGGTAAACGAATACTGTAGGATTTTTTTAGATGATATGCTAATAAACAACACGAGTCTCAAAGGGGGGGCTACTTTCCCCAACTTGTATGGGAATGGAACATTTTTTTCCACAGAGCATTTGAGGTACCAGTGTTCTTCAGAAAATATTTGGGGAAACCCTGTTCAGACTACATCTTCTAACACTTTAAAACCTTGTGCCTTTGTTTACTCAGAACAATGGAATGTGGGTTTATAATAGTTGTAATCTAGTCTGCTCATTAAGACATTGATTGTTGCTCTTTAATTCATTTTATCTCATGTCATCAGTCAGTCTCTCCTGCTTGAATCTTTGTACTTTTTTACTCTTCAGAGATACCGCCAAGCATGCATCTGATACCATGGTGGTGGCAGACAATATGTGCATAAATGCAAGTCATTAGGAAGCCTTACCTGTGGCAGCAAATAAAGTGCCCCCACTCTTGAAAACAAGATACAACTTACCTGTCAGGACAAGCAGATGCAGTACCGCTCATTTTACACAATAAAAAACCACACTTCTTCAGAACCATTTTATTATTACTTAATAATTACAGCTGCCATAGTTTGAGCCCCTGTCATATGTCAAGCACTGTGATAACCTCGGCTGTCATGCAAGTTACTGCATTTAACCCTCAGGAAAGTCCTGAGAGGGTGTTATCTTAATTGACAGATGAGATATATGAGTCAGGAGAGGCTGAGTGTAACGCTGTGCTTATAGGCAACCCCCAAACCTCAGTGACTTATTTCTCACTCCTGCTGCATGTTTATGCCAGGTGCATATCCTTCACGGGATGGTGGATGTTGGGTTCTGAGCCATTCTTATTGGAATGACTCAGAGACCCAAACTAATGGAGCAGCCACCATCTAGAAAGGGGTTACTCACTGCGTCAGAGTGGGAGAGAGCCGTAGAGGGTCTCAAACCAACAACCAAAGGTTCTGACCCAGAAATAACCCGTGTCACTCGTCACTCACAACCCATTGGCCAGAGCTAGTCACATGCACGGCCCTGCCCCAAGGAAGGCAGTCGGGTCGGGCAGTCCTACCAGGTGCCTGGTACAGGGGAGAATGTAAACACTTGGTAAATGGCAGCACTGACTACTGCATGAAGGAATCAAAGCTGGGAGGGATTAAGTACTTGCCTAACATCACATCGGCCGTAAGTGACAGAATCAGGATTTGAATCCACCCAGGCGTGATTTCAAAGTCGATGTCCTTTCTGCTTCTTTCTACGCTGCCTGCTCTTCTCTTAAAGGAAGCTTATAGTAAAAATTCTTTTACATCAATGATGCAATGCCCTCTTCCTTAATCATCTGATAGTTTAATTGAATAGACACGATGGCACTGGTTAAAAAGACCAGCACTGATAAGCCAGAGGTCTTTTCCAAATGAGGGAATGTATTGGATATTTGAATATCCATTGTATTCAATTATAAAAATAAAACCAGGTGGTAGATGAAAGGACTTTTCATTGATCATTTACTTAATGTGGAATAATCCCCATGTCTTACCGCTATGTTGAGGAAAAATGATAAAAAAATAGAGCCTACCTTGATGAAAGTGAAAACACCATGTGAGAGAGTTGAACAAAATTGCTAGATGTCAGTGTTTCAGAAGCGCAGGATAATGATAAAATCTCTGGCCACACGGGCAGAGAAAATTAGCGAGGTGGTGCGGGTCAGCCACTTTTGGAATGAAGATAGTGTCACACTTACAGTGACAGAAAAGATTGAAAAAGATCACATTATGAAAAGGATGTGAAAATTTGAAAATTTAGATTAAATAGATGAATTCCAGGGGAAAAATATATATAACTTTCCAAACTGAAGGAATAGAAAACCTTGGTTTATTCAATGTATTCTTGACAAGGAATACATGCAAAGGCAAAATTACTAGCCAACCCGAATTAGTTACATAAACGCAAATAATATAAATCAATTAATAGCAAACTAAACCCAACAATGGGTAAAGCAGATAATACAGCATGACGAGGTTGTGTTTAATCCCAAGCATGCAAGCTGAGTTTAACATTTTAAGAGATCCATAATGTAATCTAACACATTAGCTGAATAAAGGGAGGAGGACAGGACAAATACCACAAAAGATCCAGTTAAAAAAAAAAGTATGCAATAAATTAACCAACCGGGATTGAACAACAACAATACCAATAATTCTCAGCAGATCGGTAATATAGAAAGCTATCTCTTTAAACTGACAATGGGTATCAAAACAATAGACCCCATCAGACACCACCCTTAATAGTAAAACATTAGAAGTATTCTCCTTACAATCAGAAAAGGGATAAAGATGACTGGTATGACGAATTCTGTTCAATGTCGTACTGAGTCTAGTGCAGTAAGCCATATGTCATACTAGGCAGTGCGGTAAGCTGTGATACATGCATGCCTACATACATAAATTAATACGTGTATAAAAGTGAAAAAGCTGTCAACGTGACTATCTTCATATGAAACTCAAGAGAAGCTACAGAAAATTAAAAATAATAATGGAGATTAACAAGTTTGTTGGCTATAAGACGAACATACACAAACCATTGTAACAAAGAAAATACCATCATTATTGTAAATATACCATTTACAACAGAAAACATGTCTTGTGAAATATACGATGAATCTGCTTACTTGGCAACTATTCCAGCACTCTTAAACATTCTTATATGCTTTCCTGTACTGTAGAGACTAGAAAGTTGGAACATGAAAGGAAACACACATGCACATGACCCCACGCATGTGCGCACACACTCTCTTTCTCTCTCTCTCTCGCTCTCTCTCTCTCACACACACACACACACACACACACACACACACACAAATACACTCTCACACACATACAATTTACCAGAGTCCCTTGCAGTTAGGGTCTCAAATGGGATATTTATCGCATCAAGCGTATGTGCCAACATGAGACTCAGAAGTGGAACTGAATAACATGGGAGCCATATGTGGGGTGGACTACCTGTGATGAGGGAGGTCTCCAGTTTTCATGCGGCAGCCATTGCAGAGTTTCTAGAATTCAGTCTCTGTCATGCATGTCAATTAACGGGCAGGCAGCAGTGGTATTTCAGCTGTAGCAGTTCCATCACGTGGGTGGACTTCTCCTGGCTGTGCAGCATCCAGGCCTGCTTTTCTGGCCCTCACAGAGTTTTTGTAAGCTATGTAATATATTTTATTAGAGATATCTTGTTTGTATAAAAGAGCTAGAGTGAATTCTGGCATAGGCAAGTTGGGACCTTGATTAACAGAGTACTTGGCAGCAAAATTGGTTGCAAGCAAAAGACCTTGAAGGAAATGGGGATCTGGGGTAGATTTGGCCCACAGGGCATAGTTGCTGACCTCTAAGCTAATAAGTTGCTGACCTCTAAGCTAATAGACTCACTGGGTCCCCAAAACAGTGCTGAGTGGGAAGTCAGCAAAATGAGGAGGCAGCTATTGCTAGGATCCTCTGGCAAGCATAAGCCAAAAACTGAGGCTTTAACACGGTTGTTTTCAACCTTGGTTGCACACTGCAATTCACATGGAGAGTTAAAAAATGTGGTTGCCTGGATCTAACCACGGTTCTGCTTTGATTGTTTTGGGTGTGTCCTGGTGCTAGTGAATTGTTTCAGTGTCCCCAAGTGGCTCTAATGTGTAATCATGGTTGAGAACTGCTTGAACAATTTAAATCATAAGAATGCAAGCCTTTCACAATATTTAATTTTAAAATTTTATAATTGTGGTTTCAGAATGATAATATTACAGTAATAATAAATACATAGTTACGCTGGAAAATATGAAATAAAGATTCCCATGTAAGACATCGAGAAGATTGTCTTTTTCAAAGAGAAAGGAAATGGGAAAACACAGTGGTAAAGCCGGGGCCACCACAGGTTGTGTCCGGCTTGAAGCTAAACTGCCGGCAAGGCCAGAGCAAGGTATGGATTAAAGCTAAGTGTCTGTGAGCCCAGGGCTGATTCAGCAGTGGAGCTTCCTCTGCAGAAGACATCCACAACCCAGGATCAGCAAGGAAGGGATGGCACAAACTCAACAAATCCAATAATTGGCACTGAGGGAACAGAAAGAATGGAAGAGGCTGAAACAGACATTAAGATAATATTTCCCCAGAGAGACAAAGGAGTGATAAAGGATGAAATTGTGTCTATTACGAAAGAATAGAAGACTGCCCAAGAAAGATGGCTTTTTGAAGGCAAGGATCTCCTTTCACTTCCTCCTGAAACTTCATTAAAACAACATCAAAGGTGAACAAATTATGGTATATCCATCAAGGGGCTTTTACTCAGCAAGGAAAAGTCAAGAACATGGATGGGTCTCAGAAACATTATGCCGAGTTAAAGAAGCCAGACCCAAAGGGGTGCAGCATGCACAAGTCCATTTGTGTGAAATCCTAGAACAGGAAGATGAATATATAGTAACGGAAAGTATATCAATGTTTGCACGGAGCCAAGGGATGAAGAGGAGATCGACTGGAAACCTTTTGGGTTGTGTTATATGTTCTATATCTTGATTGAGGTGGTAGCTAGCCCTAATCTCTGATTTTTACATGTAAGGAACCTGGGATCAGGAGAAGTTGAATGAGTCGTCAAAAGTGAGGTTAGCTTATTAATCAGAGAGAAGATATTCACACTTGATTGTCAGTAATAAACGGTTTCCATTATGCTGTATATGGGTCGATAGGAAAAGTGCTTCTCCCCAAGCACTTGACAAAACCCTGACCCGGCCATAAACATCCTCTTATACAAGTATGAAGCGTAGGTGTGAAAGTATAACCATTCTGCATTCCAGCCACCTACTTCTACACATGGTTGACATTCTCACGTGTCCCTTTACCCTGACTTGTTTGTGTTTATATTTACAAATGAAAACATAACTTCTCATTAATATTTTCTTCTGAGGAATCATACTGTAATATACAGTTTTATAACCTGACTTTGTTTTTCTTTCCCTTTGTATCACGTGGCGTGACGAGTATTCTACCTTGTTGCTTATAGTCTGCCACTTAAACCTGAAACATTTCTTGCATAATAATACATTTTTTTTTTTCCTGAAAGATCGGAAACGGGAACTTAAGCTCCCTACTGAATCCTTCCGCATAACCTGTTTCATGCTCTGAGCTTTCTGTTTTGGTTCCCTGAACCCATATGTCAGATGATTCCCCACTGGAGCCGGGGCTGCCCTGTTTTACTACTGCCGCTTTGTAAGATACATTAATAGCTGACATGGCAACCAGATGCCACTCACTCATCTCTTTTCCTTGTCATTTCCAGGAGGACTAATAACAACGAATGCAACTAACACGTATTTCTCCCTCAATAAACGCCAGATGTTGTACTACGTTCTCGACATAGTAATAGACAACTTATTTATAGTGCTTGTTAGGTCACGGGCATTTCTCCAGGTGCTTTTCACGTGTTTCCATGTGTTAACTCACTTAATTTTTACAGTAGCCCATGAGGTAGAAACTGTTACTATCTTTGAGTTAGGGGGAAAACAAGCAAAAAGAACTTGAGTCACAGCGAGGTCACTTAGTTGCCTTGGATCATAGAATTTAGCACCAGGATTGAAATCCTGATGGATCTGACCACAAATCCTAGGCCCATAACCAATAATGTGCGACTCTGTGTCAAGGCTGAAATGAGCAGTACGACAGGGCCCACTCAAAGTCTGCTGGGCAATGATGGGTGTGGTTTCTGGAACCAATGTCCCGACTCCAGCCTTCTGTCCAAGAGACTCATCATTGCACAGTGTTGCCCTATACCATCTCTCCTTTTTTCGGACTGTGTGGGAACTGTTTCTCTGGTGTTCAACTTGAAGTGAAGTAACAGGGACAGACAAGATGTACATGGACAGGAA
This sequence comes from Homo sapiens, assembly GCF_000001405.40. NCBI lineage: Eukaryota > Metazoa > Chordata > Mammalia > Primates > Hominidae > Homo > Homo sapiens. The sequence goes on from NC_000023.11 coordinate 102,313,003, forward strand.
GGAAGGAGGGTTTTCAGAGGGGAGCATATCGCCAGGATGAATTCAGTTCCCTGGAGGCGTTTTCAATGTGTGTTTCTTTGTCTTCTCTGTACTCACCCTCTTCTTTCTGACCCACACATCCATCCCTTGGCCTTTTCACCCTGTATGTCAGGTACTCATGCCCCTTCCTTGCCATGTCTACTTCATTGCAAGGGCAGTCATTTCTACTTCTCCCTTTGACAATATCAGCCACTCTCTGGTCCCGTCATCCTTCTGTCCCAAAGGACCTGTAAAGCACAGCCGTATAATTATATGTATATATTTAGACAGAGAGTGATATATGTAATAAATTCGAAAAGTGAAACGTCTGGATCAAAGTGTAAGAATGACTTCTGAATGGTTAGGCATATTGCAGAAAATTAGACTCACACACGGTTAGTGGAAGTGTATATTGGTGTAAATATCATTGAAAATCCTTACGAAAATATCACTTTATGCTTAAAAGTACTCATGTGCTTCTCCTGGGAAACTGTAGAGCAGGGACTCAAAATCTTAAACCCACTTCGAAGCCCTGGCTGTGTTCCACTGGGTTTTTTGGCCACCCCTGCTGGGGGTACTCTGTAACCCTGGTCAACCTGTGGGTATTGTTCCATTACTTTTGTGTACAGGGAACTCTCCTACTTTCTTATTTTAAAACTATCAGTTCAAATATTAAAACACCGAGAGGTAGAAAAGAAAAAAAGCACTAAAAAGCATATTCTGAACAAGAAACAAAATTTGGCCATATATAATACATAACACATGAAAAGAAATGTGCAGTGGGATCCAGTGTTGTGTGGCAATGTGTTTACCAACATGATTTGGAGTACATGTATCTGTAACCTAATTGTGGAAGCATGTAATACGAAACACTAATACTTGCTCGCATGGGCAACACGGACACACAGACCACACATTCTTCCCTTTCTCTGAGACAGGGATGATGCTTCCTGTCTGTCACAAGGCTGAGTGAACACAACATGCCTGTAGGTCCAGAACATTCTTCCTACAGAGACCAGATGTCCAGAAAGCCCTATCTGCTGGATTCAGGGAACGCCTCTCCTCATTTCTGTCAGCACTATTTGCAAAAGCCTCCTTCTCTGAGATCTTCAAAGCTGCAGTTCTAGCCACAGTCTGCAGGGAGGTACTCAGTTCTATTTCTAAGGATACATTAATGAAAAAATATTAATGTTGCAGAAGAAAAGATTAATTTGTTCTAGTTTTGCAGTCAGGTTATGAAATAGTTCTGCAGCCCGAATAGCTCTGGAATAAATATAAATAGAGGTCGGTAGAAATGGTTCAGATGGATGTATTCTCAAAAGTGGTTTTGTCGATGATCCCAAACCTACATCAAATGCATTCATTTAACAAATATTAATTAGGCCCTTATTCTATGCCAGACACTACCAGCCCAAAGTGACTCCTAATCTGAAAACCCATGGCCCAAACAGATTACACCCATCTGGTCCAAGACAGAGATCTCCACCTTATCCAAGACACCTGGTTCCCACCCCAACAGGAGTGACTAGCACAAAACATCATCCCGGCCTGCTTACAAAAAAATCTGTCGATGAGACCTGAAAGCTTGCCATTTAAGGGAGAACCAGTGCAGTCTCTGGAGGAGCACTCAGGGTATAGAGGCAGACCAATATACGTGAGGACATAATTCCTGTTCTGCCACTTACCTGGCTGGGAAATGTACCCGACATCTGTGAACCCAATATTCATGATCTGAAAAGGGACTGTGGATAAAATTCTCATGGGATTTCTGTGAGGAGGTCAAGAGAAACCTAGTGAGTCTGCCCAACACTGAGCAGATGTTGGTTGCCACTGGGCAAGGGTTGGTTTTCTTCTTATCCCGTTCTTTCCCTGCCGTAGCAGGGATGCTGATGCCATGCACTCAGTGGCATGGCAGTGATGTAGGCAGAATTCCAAACTAACACAGGAAGTACCAGTAGGAACACACGTGATGTCATAAAGGTTACTCACCACTATGTCTGTGTGGGGGGATCAGCCAGTACATGGTGGGACTTGAGGGGAAACCCAGGCGGTCTGGGTGAGAAGTACTAGCTGCTTTATAATACTCTTGAGATCGCCCGTAATTCTGGCAGCACAACTGCGAGACAGGGATTGTGCTGAGATGCCAGAGTTCAGCAAGTGGATGTACGCCTGTGTGTGTTGTGTCTTCGGCATCTCTCTCTGTCCGGTCCCTCTGTGGCTTTTTATCACATGTGCTCTCTTCCAACACAAGGCCTTGCCTGAGGCTGTAGCTGTAGCTGTTGGCTAGCTTACACTTTTACACCTTCTTCCCCTCAGTGACGTTATTTCTGAAGTAATGTGTGTTCTCAAAAATGACTCTGACTCTTCCTGTGCTCCATATATTGACCGTGTGCCCTTAACCCTCACTTTAATCTTTGATTTTTTTCCCTTTCATTTATGGACTTTCATGAAAATGAGTTGGTTTCTGGACATCCTCCAAATGTCACCAATAGGGGTCTTTGTTGTTGTTGTTGCTGTTGTTGAGTATTGTTATGGACTCATAACTTTTTAACATACTGATGGGCTCCAAACCGCGGTTAAAGGATTTTGAGTAAAGGAATGACAAGATTTGACTTATGCCTTAAAAAATCACTCTGCCTCCTGTGTTGAAAATAGATGGTAGGGGAGTCAAGGGCAAAAGCAGGACAACTTGGAAGGCAGCATAATCCAGGAGACAGATGTTGGTGACCTGGCCAGGGTAGGTAGCAATGGAGGGGGTGAGAAGTGGCCAGACTCTGGATATATTTTAAAGGTAGAGCCAAGAGAAGATACATCCATCCTGATCGGTTGGATGTAGAGTGTGAGAGAAAGAGAGCACTCCAGCCCCACTTCCAAGTTGTAGGGACCAAGCATCAGGAATGTCTAGGTCAGATGCTCTGCCCACATTTAATTTCACTTCTAATGGCACACAGGGAAAGTCCCAGCAATCGAGAGGAGCAGGACTGTCCTGACAGCGGGTCACACACAGTGAAAGCAATGATGCCCCCTACAGAAGTTCATCTGAGGCCTGGCCATAATCAGTATATTGCAGAGAGGTCAGCAGTGACCGAAATTTTATTCATAAGAGTGCCCTGAGACAAGGTGTACATTTTGAAATTGGTCGAGGTCTGTTTGATGGTCCAGGAGATGGTCTACCTTCGTGAATGCTGCAAGACAGTAGAGGGGGAAAAAACATACATGCTCTGTTTTTGTTGTTGGGTACAGTGTGTTGGGTACGGTGTTTTATTTATGTCATTTAGATCCTGTTACTGTAGTGGTTTTCAGTATCTGCTGATTTTCTTTCCAGTAATTCTGTCACTTGCTTAGGAAGAGTTGTCTCTTGGGCTGAAAGCATTTCGGGCTGGGCAAAAAGAAAGCTTGCTCTGGGTATTTCAAACTGAGTATTTTTGAGGGCAAGGCTGGAGGCAGGAGGGCAGCTTGGGAAGCTGTTACATCGGACCCACCTGTCATTAAAGCTCGTACTGCACTGGCAAAGAGGTATAGCTTGCTGATTGTTCACAGAATGCATTTGGGGATTGGATTTGGGAGGTGCGAGAGAGCTTGTCTCCCAGGTGTTGGTGTGGTTGTTAGATTAGAGAAGCCTGAGAGAAGGCAAGATTAGGACCCCTTCCAGGTGTGTGGCTGGTGTCTAGTCTAACCCATGGACACGCGCACCTCTGTTCTTTATAATTCCTGCTCCATTTCTCAGGAGGTTCAACACAGTTGCTTCCTCTCCCAAGATTCCTACCCTGATTGTGCCACCTGTGAGATAAGGCTCTTGTATCTGGACAGGCAGAGGAGTTTGTTTTCTGGGGCTTATGTGGCGGGTTGGCACTTTGCTAGCCCTACCATGGAGTTAGCTCACGACGTGGTACGTGGTAAGTGGACCATTGATGTGTCTCAAACTTGTCTTTTTGTTCTCAGTTGCAGAATGCCATGACCATGGTAGCACTTTTCAAGGAAGAAAGAAAGGTGGGAGTTCTTTCCGGGATAATTTTGACAAGAGGAGCTGTCATTATGAACATGGTGGGTATGAGCGCCCGCCTTCACACTGCCAGGAGAATGATGGAAGCGTGGAGATGAGGGATGTCCACAAGGACCAACAACTAAGACAGTAAGTGACCAGGCAGCCTGGTTTGCACGTAGCAGCCCCCGGGACTGTGCAACCCTTTCATTCTCTGTGGTCTTCCTTTTCTTCTCTCATTAGAGAACTGACGAATGCTGGAAGTGGAATAGTGGCTGAGCAGTCCTAATTGTAGCCCTGGCGTCAGTGAGTGGAGCATGTATAGGAGACTTTCTTAGATTTAATGGATACCCGCCTTCTCTCCTCTTCCCCACAGCACTCCTTATAGCATCCGATGCGAAAGAAGAATGAAATGGCATAGTGAAGACGAAATCCGTATTACCACGTGGAGAAATAGAAAACCTCCGGAGAGAAAAATGAGTCAGAACACACAGGATGGATACACAAGGAACTGGTTTAAGGTCACAGTGAGTATCTTGGTGGGGTCTGCATTAGGTGGACTATTCTGGAACCTGATAGAAGGAAGACCACTTAAAACACCCTAAGTTGATTATTTGGAGGAGAGCTTCGGAATGGGGGGAAAGGGAGTTTAGGGCATCTATATTTGGCACAAAAATAAGAAATCATGTCAGCGGTCCTTTCTTTAGAAATCTAAGCTAAGTAGAAGGTTGGAAAGAAAGAAAAAAAAAACCCAGCTGGTTGGTTCTGTTCTCCATCCTTAGTTCCACGTTGTCTCTCCCTTCCCTCCTATTTCTTCTTTTTACCCTTAGATTCCTTACGGGATAAAGTATGACAAGGCATGGCTAATGAATTCAATCCAGAGCCATTGCAGTGACCGCTTCACTCCGGTTGATGTAAGAGAGGATGGTGAAGCCAGATGAGTGGGCATGGGGGACGGGGAGAGGCCTGGCTCAGCAGGGGCCATTGGCCTCTGACGCTGTTGCTCTTGCCTTCACTCCCTGTAGTTCCACTACGTCCGAAATCGGGCATGCTTCTTTGTCCAGGATGCTAGCGCTGCCTCCGCATTGAAGGATGTCAGTTATAAGATTTATGATGATGAGAACCAAAAGGTGTGTGCCGAGGGCATGCCCTGTACTTAGTCTCTGGGCAGGAGGACAGGCCAGGGGGCTGGTCATCCTCTTTGGGATTAGAGGTCCTGGTACTTACCACCCTGCCTTCCTGCAGATATGTATATTTGTCAATCATTCTACTGCGCCCTACTCTGTGAAGAATAAGTTGAAGCCAGGCCAAATGGAGATGCTAAAGGTAATACAGACTCAAGGATCATTGTATGCCTGCTTCCTGGACCCACCTCTTCTTCCCCTGGCCCCCTCTTTCCCTGTCACCACCACCACCACCACCACCACCACCACCACCACCACCACCATCACCACCACCACCACCACCATCACCAGAGCCCCAGAGCCTCTGTCTTCATCTCTATCTCTGCAGCTGACCATGAACAAACGGTACAATGTCTCCCAGCAAGCTCTTGATCTCCAGAATCTCCGCTTTGACCCAGGTAAGGCTGACAGCAGCAATTCTAAGACAAGCGGGGGCAGAGAGGTCTGCCTGGGAGGGAGACTTAGGAATGGCAATTTACAGAGGGGTTGGGGCTGGCTCTGGTCCAGCCAGGGCCCTCCCAGCCTTCCGATTCCCTTCTCTTGGCTTCTTCAAGACTTGATGGGCCGTGACATTGATATAATCCTGAATCGAAGAAACTGCATGGCTGCCACCCTGAAGATCATTGAAAGAAATTTCCCTGAGGTGAAGCCTTAGGCTCAGTGCTGGTATTTAGTTAGAGGGGTGGAAGGGATAAGGTGGAGGGCAGATTTGTCTCTGAGGCCCAAGATAGTAGCCGCCACTCTAACTCTTCTTGACCCAAAGCTGTTGTCTTTGAACTTGTGCAACAACAAGCTGTACCAGCTGGATGGCCTTTCTGACATTACAGAGAAGGCTCCCAAAGTCAAGACCCTGAATCTCTCCAAAAATAAGGTGAGAAGGGGGAGCCAGATCAACTTTGGGTGGAGGGCAGGACACATCAGGATAATGGCAACAGCCAGGCAGTGGCACCTGTGGGTGACTATGAGGGCCGGGGGAATTCAGGGCCCAGGGTCCTGGGTGTCTCTCTTTCCCTGGCCCTCCTTCTCCAGTTTCCTCCCCATCTTTCTTAGCTGGAGTCGGCGTGGGAGTTGGGCAAGGTGAAAGGGCTGAAGCTCGAAGAGCTATGGCTAGAAGGGAACCCGTTGTGCAGCACCTTCTCGGACCAGTCCGCCTATGTAAGGTCAGTGGCAACCCCGGTCACCCTTCCTGGGCACCTTTGCTCCCTGGGTGACTGAGCTGTGTCTGAAGGTGCCCTTCTGCAGGAAGAAGCAGCCTTGGTCCTCTGGGAGGACCACAGACCTCCCTTCCTACTCTCTCTCTCTCTCTCTCTCTCTCCTCTCTCTCTGTCACTCACTCATCTGTGCTTAGAGGTCTCCTTTCCTTCCTCTGACATGGTCCCCTTTTCACCTGCTCTGGGGTGTGTTTCCCGCCTGTCTCCACCAAGCCTCCTCCAGTGTGCCCTCTGTGAGTGTGCTCCAGGAAGTGGGGCTCCCCCACCTCCCCAGGACCAGCAGTATTCAGATGCTGGTGCCCTGGACCGAGAAGAGTCCTTTAGTCCGGGGCTTCATGCTGAGACAGGCCTTCCTGCCTCCATGCTGCGATGGGGCTTCCCTCCCCTGTCCCAAGAGGGGTTCTCCTTCTCTTGCTCCAAAAAGGTCCCCCCACCTGTCCTGGGCTGGCATGGGGGCTTCCCTGCCCCATACTGAGGGCTGGGGCCCCGGGTGGCTGCTGTCATGCCATCTCTTCCTCTGGCCCAATGCCAGGAGCTGGGCCCTCCTTGGGGAGAAACCTGGGTTTCCTACGTCAAGGGGCCAGAAGCGGGCCACGTTCCTGAGGCAGGAGTGGAAGGCAGAGGGCAGAGGAGGTTGAGAAGACAGAAGGACAGGCCTCTCAGGGCACTGCCCCACCTTCCCTCCTTCTCCACCTCACATCGTCCTGCCTGGGCCCTCAGAGGAGCCCTGGGTAGCCCGAGATGGGTAGCATTCCTCGGTCAAGGCGTCAGCACAGAGGGGCACAGGAGTCAGGGACCATCAGAAGAGAATGCAGTGGTCTGGAGAGGGGGTCCCCAGACTCTGAACCCCATGCTGAGCTGGGGCCTGACTCTTCACTCCTCCCGGGAGAAGGTCTCCTGTCCCCGTGGCTGCTCTGTTTCCCATGCCCAGCTCAGACTGAGCTCACACAGGTGAGGAAGGCTCCAGCTGCATCCAGTGGGCCCCAGCCCAACAGGCGCATGTTTTCCTTTCCTGCCTCGGTCCCCAGGGCCAGCCAGGGAGCAGTGAGGGAAAGGGCTGCAGCAGGGGAGCCCTTTTCTCCTCTTCTCCTCCCTGAACTCCACCTCCGCAGTAGAGAGTCTTTCCCTTCCCTTTGCATTGCATCCTGTTTCTCCCTTGTCTCTCCTCTCCTATGTCTCACCCATCCGTCCCTCCCCTACCTTCACCCCGTTTCTGTTGTTGTCCCCCCTGCCTTCCGCTTCCTGCCTCCTGAGTCCGGCCTCACTCACCTCCGTGTCCCAGCATCCTGGGCCATCCCTAAGGGCTGACCTGGTCTTGGCCAGGGCCTGGTCAGGCAGGTTGATGGACAGCCAGTGAGGTGGCAGAGCCCTGGGCTCCCACCCCATTTCCTGCTCCCTGCAGAGCCTTCCATGGTGACTTGGGCAAAGGGGAGGGAGGGAGAGGAAGAAAGCCCTGGAGCCTGGGCTCCCAGTGCTGCTTCTTGTAGCACTGGAGAAAAGGGAGTCAGGACAGTCTAGATGGAAGCTAACCAGGAGGAAGGAGAGGGAGGAGTGTGAGAGGGAGTGGGAGAGAGACTGTGCAACCCTGAACTGTCAGTCACTTCATTCAATTTTTGGTTTTGGACAGTGCCATCCGGGATTGTTTCCCCAAGTTGTTACGCCTGGTAAGTATGTATAATACCGTCATCATTGTCTCCTCTTACTCAAGAAAAGGACCTCCACGCCTGCCCTCAAGTCCTTTGGGTCTTGCCTAGATTACATGCTTGTATCAGACCCTCATCCATTTTACAGGCATGGATTCCTGAAAAAGACAAGAATATTCTCCCTGGAAAATGTGTCCCCCCGCCGCCACCCCCCCCACACACACACATTTGCATGTGATAGTAGAGATGTCCAGCACCCCATGAGAAAGCCACCCACTGGAATTTCCAGGGCCATTTCCCACCTAGCCTCTGATGCTTGTCTCCCTGGGCATGTTCATCTTATCGATCATCCAGCTCCATCTCCTTGGTCTCCACTGCTGACTTCCTCTTTCCTTCTCCAGGACGGCCGAGAGTTATCCGCACCAGTGATTGTTGACATTGACAGCTCTGAGACAATGAAACCCTGCAAGGTGAGGAAGAAGGACCAAGCAAGATTTGGGTTGCTGTAAGGGAGGCTTTGTCCACCGCATAGATCCAAATTGTCTTTTGATTTCAGGAAAACTTTACTGGATCTGAGACCCTAAAGCATTTAGTCCTGCAATTCCTGCAGCAGTGAGTATCCCTGGGACCATGAGGAAGGGGAGGGCTGAGACAGGCTGGGCCACCCGTGCAGCCTGGGAGTTTTCAAGTCTCATCTGGGGCCCAGGCCACAGAGATAGCCTATCCTCACTGCTTCCCCACAGGTATTACTCGATCTATGACTCTGGAGATCGACAGGGTCTCCTCGGTGCTTACCACGATGAGGCCTGCTTCTCCTTGGCTATTCCCTTCGACCCCAAGGACTCAGCCCCGTGAGTATCACGGCTCAGACTCTGCTCTGGGGCTGTGTGTCTCCCCAGCAGACACAGGCCAACTCCTGGAAATGCCCACACTGGCCGGACCACCCACTCCTGCTCCTCTTTTTCTCCTAGGAGCAGCTTGTGCAAGTACTTTGAGGATAGCAGGAATATGAAAACACTCAAGGACCCCTGTAAGTGTGTGATGGGGAAGAGTGGGCAAGGTAAGGGGGTGTGATGGGAACAATCACAGGGGCCAAGGACCAGGATGTGGTAGCCCCCCGCCCTGCCCCGCCCACCCTGCCATTCCTTGCTTCTCCTCTCCTCTACAGACCTGAAGGGGGAACTGCTGAGGCGCACAAAACGTGACATTGTGGACTCCCTCAGTGCGTTGCCCAAAACTCAGCATGACCTCAGCTCCATCCTGGTGGACGTGTGGTGCCAGACGGTGAGCACCTGCTTCCTCCCTTGGGCAGGCCCAGAGAGCCAGAGGTGGGTAGGAGGTTAAGGAGGATCCTGAGCACCTGAGCGCTTCCTTTTCAGGAAAGGATGCTCTGCTTTTCTGTCAATGGGGTTTTCAAGGAAGGTGAGTGTCTGTATAGTCCCCTCCCCAGATCCCCCACTGCTCCCTCCCCCTGGCTGGGCTCCCTCTCAGAACTCCCCCAGCTTCCCTGCTTTCGTTCCTTTCCTTTCCTTCCTCTTCTTTCTTCCGTGTTTTCCCACCCCCACTCTGCCTTCAAACCACCCTGATCTGACCTAGGTCCATGCCTGTCTGCCCTGCACAGCTCAGGCGTGCGTTAAGGACACAGACTGTGGAGTTTGACAGCTCTCATCCCAGGTCCTTACTCTGTGAACTTGTGCTGGTTACTTAACCCTTCAGTTTCCTCATTTGCAAAATGGGGCTAATAATCTATCTCTTGGGCTACTGTGAAATAGGAATTAAGTGAACTTGTGGTTTTCCCAGGGCCCCACACATGATAGGGGCCCTGTCACTGGGAGCGGATTGTTCCTGTTGCTGCCCTCCCCATTCCTGCCACATCCGCCTGACTCCAAGTGAACAATTGTCCTGGTCTGCCCCCTCCCCCCCTTCTGTGTGAGTGTCAAGCAATACTCTGACTGGGGATCACCGTGTGAGCATGTTAAAGCCTGTGCAACTCTAAGGTGGTGGTGTTTGTTGTCTTTGAAGTGGAAGGACAGTCTCAGGGTTCTGTTCTCGCCTTCACCCGGACCTTCATTGCTACCCCTGGCAGCAGTTCCAGGTTAGTGCTGTGTTGTGGGTGGGAGCACCCATCCAAGCTTGGGGCCAGTGTTGTGGAAATGTGGTGGGTGCAGTCCTCCGGGTGTTCTCAATATTGTGGAAGGCCGACAGGAAGATCCAAGGAGCAGTCTAGCCTAGTGTTTAAGAGTGTGGGCCCTGGAGTCAGAATACAGATTCTGTTCCTCACTCCAACACTCACAAACTGTGTGACCTTGATCAACTTATTCGACCACTCTGTGATTCAGTGCCTTTTTCTGAAAATTGGAATAAGACTATCCACTTCCTTGGGCTGTTGTACAGGGTAAATGCGTTGGGGTTGGATCTAAAAATCTAGTGAAGCTGGTAGACAGTCCCTCCAAAGGTGGACTCTGTGGGAGGGTTAGAGGGTACCAGCCAAAAAATCTGGGAGGCAGGCACAGTTAGGGATATGGAAGGAATTTGGTTGTTGAGTGGCAGTGGTTAAGAAGGATCCTGTTGTTGGGGGTGCGGAGTTATCTACTTGTCCAGTTTGAGGGTGCATTTTTCTTTCCTCCAGTCTGTGCATCGTGAATGACGAGCTGTTTGTGAGGGATGCCAGCCCCCAAGAGACTCAGAGTGCCTTCTCCATCCCAGTGTCCACACTCTCCTCCAGCTCTGAGCCCTCCCTCTCCCAGGAGCAGCAGGAAATGGTGCAGGCTTTCTCTGCCCAGTCTGGGATGAAACTGGAGTGGTCTCAGAAGTGAGTGCTGGGAGTACATGGGGATGGGGGCTGTTGGGACATCAGAGGAATGAGTAATGGAAACTCACATGCAATTTGGAAAAATAACTATCTGGGTATTTTGCTTCCAAAAAAAGTGGGTCCATGAAAAAGGTATCATACTTTTATACTGGTATATGTAAATATTTTTTTAAATGGCATAATGCCCAAATGACATTACCTTCCATTTGTAAAATCTGAAAGAATCAACCACAATAAACTACTGATAAACCAGGTCAGCAAGGTTGAAAGATACAATATACAAAAATCATTTGTACTTCTATGTAGTTGCAATGGACAATCCAAAAAAATGAAATTAAGAAAATAAGTCCATCTACAGTAGCATCGAAAAGAAGAAAGTATGTAGGAACAAATTTAAGAGAAGAAGCGCAAATCTTGTACTCTGAAATCTGCAAAACATTGCTGAAAAAAATTAAAGAAGACCTAAATACGTGGAAAGGCATCCCACGTTCATAGATTGGAAGACTTAATATCATTACGATGGCAGTACCACCCAGAACAATCTACAGATTCATTGCAGTCCCTGACAGAATCCCAACTGACTTCTTTGCAGAAATTGACAAGGTAATCCCAAAATTCATGTGGAAATGCAGTGGACCCCAAACAGCCAAAACCATCTTGAAAGAGAAGAACAACGTTAGAAGACTCACACTTCCCGATTTCAGAACTTGCTACAAAACTACATTAATCAAGACTGTATGGTACCGACATAGGAACAGACGTGGGAATCAATGGAATATAATTGAGAGTCCACAGATAATCTCACGTATTTATGTCCAGTTGATTATCATTCAGGGTGCTGAAAAAATCCAATGGAGAAAAAAAATAGTCTTCTTAACAAATGGTGCTGGGAGAAGTGGATATCCACTTGCAAAACAATTAATTTTGACCCCTAACTCACATCACGTGCAAACACTGGCAGAAAATGGATCAATGACCTAAAATAAGAGCCAGAACTGTAAAACACTGTAAGTGTACATCTTCATTACCTTGAATTAGGCAACCATTTCTTACATATGAAACCAAAAGCACAAGCAACCAAAGAAAAAATAGGTAAATTGGACTTCATCTAAATTAAAAGCTTTTGTGCATCAGCAGACACTATCAAGAAAGCGGAAAACCGACTGGTGGGAACAAGGGAAAATATTTGCAAATCACATCGCCGACAAGAAGAACCCTTACAACTCAACAACAAACAGACAAGCCACCGAATTAAAAAATGGGGAAATGATTTGAATAGATGTTTCTCCAAAGGAGATATACAAATGACCAAGAAGCACGTGAAAATCTTCTCAACATCGTTAGTCATTAGGGAAACGCATATCGAAACCACAGTGAGTTACCACTTCATACCCACTACGCTAGCTTTAGTCCATAAAAGGAAACATGACAAATGTCGGTGAGAATGCAGAGAAATTGGAAATCTCATGTATTACTACTGGGAACATAAAGTGGAGCAGTTGCTGGCAAAAAGATTTTGGCAGTTCCTCAAAATCTTAAACATGGAGTTACCACATGATCCAGTAATCCCACTCCTAAGTGTATACCAAAAGAAATGAAAATATATGCCCATTCAACAACTTGCACATGAATTTCCGTAGTGGCATTATTCCAAATAGCCAAAAAATGGAAACACATGGATTGACCTTCAGCTGATGAATGGATAATGTGGTACATCCATACGGTGGAATATTATTAGAATATTATTCATCCACAAAAAAGGATGTAGTTGTGATATATGCTATGACGTGGATGAACCCTGAAAACATTATGTGCTAAGTGGGAGCACCCAGTCACAAAAAGCCACATAATTATATGATTCCATTCATACGAAGTGTTCAGAATAGCCAGATCCGTAGAGACCGAAAGCAGAGTAGTGGTTGCCAAGATCTGGGGAAGAGGGAGAACAGGGAGTGATCTCTAACAGTTAAGGAGTTTCTTTTTGAGGTGATAAAAACAGTTTGGAATTAGATAGGTGTGATGGTTGCACAATCTTGTGAATAGACTTAAAAGCACTGAATTGTACACCTTAAAATGGTGACTGCTACAGTATGTGCATTATATCTCAATAGAAAAGAAACGTATTATTGAATTTCCACTTGTTATTTCTTGAACATCTTTCTTTATCAATATGTATTAAGCTCCCTTGTTCATTTGAATACCGCTATGTTTCTGATTTGAATTCTAGTGGGCATTAATGTCAGGGATGGGCGTTTTGGTTTTCCCCAGGCCTTTTTTCATTGTTACAATAGTGCTCATATTGGTACATGTGACCCAGCAAAAAGGTAGCATAGATTAAGGGTGGCATTGCATAGTCAGCGTGTCTGTCCTGGGCTAGTAATGGAGAGCACCTGTTCTTCTCCCACCCCAGGTGCCTTCAGGACAATGAGTGGAACTACACTAGAGCTGGCCAGGCCTTCACTATGCTCCAGGTGAGGTCTGGGAATCAAGTGGGTAAAAGACAGCTGTCTCTGGGTCGTCAGGAGGGCCAAGAAGATGGAGGCCAGGTAGTGTGGGGATGGAACCCAGTGCACCTGGCTCTACTAACATCCCAACTCCTTTTCTTTACTTTCTCTAGACCGAGGGCAAGATCCCCGCGGAGGCCTTCAAGCAAATCTCCTAAAAGGAGCCCTCCGATGTCTTCTTTGTCTTCGTTCACATCCTCTTTGTTTCCTCTTTTCACCAGCCTAAGGCCTGGCTGACCAGGAAGCCAACGTTAACTTGCAGGCCACGTGACATAACCACCCAAAGAGCCAGTTGCTCTGTGTATTCGCCCCACTCATGATCACCATTTTATTTTCATAATAAAGAGTGACGTTACACGTTGTACATTGTGTGCCCTGGATTGCTCTTCCCCTGCCCCAGCCGTGAGCCAGCGGGACCAGGACTGAAAGCACTGCATCCCTGTTCATCCCTGGCTGGCCTTAGCAGATACATGAATCTGGCTTGCCTTCATAGGTAATTTTGTCCGTAAATCCTCATGAGAAAGGACACACGCTCCTTCCAGAGACTGGCCTTGAGAGACAGTTGGACTCTGTCAGATGCTCGACCTGGAGGCCCACAGAAGCAGGCATGTTACCTTGGCACACCAGGGGCTTCCATCCACCGTCCCGACCCCTCCCTTTCCCAAAGGTGCACTTTTCGAGGAGTCGTCTCAGGGTAGCACCTGCGGCGGGGGGTGGCGGGGGAGGGGGATACTCAGCCCATCTACCCGGCACACTCCTCAGAGAGCTGACACCGGGTGCTCCATGTCCATGTTCTTGAAGGGGATCAGCCATTTATTTTCACTTCTAAACAAACAGCGATAGCACAGAATCTCACCTTATGGTCAGTTCTCAACAACTGGCATTTAGCAGTTCCTAATTGCAGGCAAGAGTTGAACGAAACGTTTGCACAATTTATTGTCCACACTCCTGTGATGCTTGCACGTTAGACAATCAGCTGGCATACTTTTCGAAATTAAAATAATAGCAGTGTGACGTTTTCAAGTCACAGTCCTATAAATGGTGACATAGGAGAAGTACCACCAGTTTACAAATTATGCCTCCACTTTCGTGTTTGGCATACGTTACTTCCTACCACTTGCCGCCTTCCTACCACTTGCCACTTTTCAGTTCTTTATGTACATGTACATTAGGGATCCATATGTTGGAGTGTGGATTTCATAAAACTAGGAACTAAGGGGATAGTTGCCATTACAAAAAGAATATGCCAACCTTGTTCTTCCCTGTAGTGCTTCAATAGTCGAAGACAAGCTCCTATACCTCTCTAAGCCTTGGTCCTCTCAGCCAGGGAGCAGAGACTACAATGTGTGCTTCTCAGCCTCATCGTGGGGACTAGAGATGGCCTCACATGTTACCCATCAACCACAGTGTCTATTCAGCTCAGGCTCTCAGAGCTACCAGGGTTCCTTTGTGGACAGGAACCATGGAACCCATCACATGGCCCCTCTGCTTCCTCTCTCTACATCATCAGGCTTCCACAGCCTGGACCTCCTTCCCTAGCCAGCTCTGACGTCCTGGTCTTCCAGTCACTCATCCTCCTGCCAATTCCCACGATTTCCTGTGGTCCTATCCTCCCAGCACATGCTAACTCTGACACCTGAACTCACTCTCTCATCTCTCGTGCGCTCTACCTCTATACACACACACACACACACATCATCATCATCATCATCATCTGCAAATGGTCCATTAGGAGACAATCTTGGAAGTTTAAATGGTGAGGCAAAGTGTATGCTTCCCAAGATTATTTCTGAAGTTGGAGGGAGGAGACAAGAGTACTCACATACATTGCTTCCGAGCATGTAAATTGACATAGCCATTTTTTAGAATCATTGAGAACAATTCAGTCATAAATAATTGAATAAATATATATGTGCACATAAATATATATGCACACTTTTTATATAAGAGAAATCATAATGCAGATGCAGTTTAATATCCGTTTCATTTTAGTTAAAGTCATTAACATAAAGCTATGCATGTCATCATGCTATAATTTTATGTAGATCTGCAGTGATGACTTTCTTTTATTCTTGACATTGTTCATTTATGTGCTAATTGTGTGGAGTGTGGAGGGGAAACTTTGATTAGGACAGAAAGGAGCATACGGCAGCCACAGCCAGGAGAGTCCATCCACAACTGCTCTGTTCTTTTCCTTGGGCCTTGGCACACTCTCCTTAGGGATAGGGTGGCAGGGAGGCTGGGGCTGTGGAATTCATAAGGGCTCATCCCTGAGAAGAGGCATTATTTCCCATATGTCACTTGTTTTCCTGCCCACTGCATATGATGGCATCAAGTTTATAGACACCTCCAACAGGGTGTACTTTTTTTTAGAGTTGGGGTCTCATTATGTTGCCCAGGCTGGACTCTTAACTCCTGGGTGCAAACTCCTGGGCTCAAGCAGTCCTTCAGCCTCAGCCTCAAGAGTAGCTGGGATTACAGTCACCCAGCAAAGTTGCACTTCTTACAAAGGTTGCTGGTGTGGGCGGGTGGTGGACCCCTCCCTGTCTTCATCAGAGCACAGGAACCTCCATGTGGAAGGAGTCCAGAAGCAACTGCAGGAACACCAGGGTGAGTGGCCTTGATGATGCCCTTTTCTATCCCTCATCTCCAAGTAAATTTTGTGCCTTCCCTCAGAATACCTCTGGCTCCTGTGTATTAGTCTGCACTCCTAATAGTTTGTCCCAGAACTTGCCTCCAACTGATTCCCTTACCCCAGGGTTCCTGCCTATAGCTCCTGCCCTCAGCCCTACTGCATAACTGCTGCTGATCTTTGCAAACATGGATTCCATTCATCCTAGTTGTCTGCTCATGAGGCCTTAATGGCATCATTCCATTAATGATCTCAGAATTCCCCTCCATGCAGCACTCCTTATGATCCCACCCTCCTGTTACCCCTGTGCTGGAGAAAGCCAGTGGTTGGATATGAACCCTTCTCCCCTTCAATGGCCACATCCAAGAGCACGAACCTAGATATTTGGTCCAACATTATTCCAAATGCCTTCCATTATTCTAAAAATACCTTCTGTGAAGGTATTTTTAGATGAGATTGCCATTTAGATCTGTAGACTTTGAGTAAAGCAGATTACCCTGCACAATGTGGGTTGGCCTTATCCAATCAGTTGAAGGCCTTCAGGAGTAAAAAGATTTACCTGCCTTGAGGAAGAGGGAATTCTGCCAGCAAAATGCCTTCAGACTTGAACTGCAGCTCTTCATTGGGTCTCCAGCCTGCCAGCCTTCCCTGCATGCTTTCCAGGCTCCAGGTTCACGGGAGCCAATTTCTAAAAAAGTGCACACACACACACACACAAACGAGACACACACACACACACACACACACACCCCTTGCTGGTTCTGTTTCTTGGTGGATCCCTAATATACCAGGTAATGCTGAAGCTACTATTTCATGGATCACACTTTGAGTAGCAAGAAACTAGAGAATATCTGGCATGTCCGTACATGGCCTCATCTGTAATCGTGGTACCTTCAGCATTGTCTGTGAGAGCAAAGCTGTAGGAAAAACAAAAATGTTCATTACCATTAGTCCAAAAAAATACATTGTGGCTCATTCTTATATTGGAATATTCTATAACCATGAAAATAAATACCCTAGACCTATAAGAATCAGACCATATATTCGTATGAAAAACGAAATTTCAGATCATGATTATAAGGAGAATAAAGACACCTACAGTATGAAAATATATGCATACAACATATATATAATACTTTAAGAATGCTTTTATTCACGATAAAATTATGAAACAATTTATGGGGAATATAAACACCACGTTCTGGTTATGAGTTACATCTGAGGAGTAAAGGAAGGACAAGTGAAATGAGGGGATGGGCTCAAACATTCGTCAAGTTTATTGCTTAACCTGGTTAGTGGATACACAAGTGTTCATTTTATAGCTCTCTATAACATTTTGCATATTTGATATGTTGGATTAGTAACAAAAATTTTAGAAGCTGAAGGTTTATTCTACCATAAACATATACTCATTTTACCAAATGATTAAAATACAGTTAATTATAGAGATGAAAATATCAATAACCAACGATCCCATCATCGCTGGAAAAAGAACTGTTAACATTTTCCTGAACTTCATTCCCTTATTTTTTGTTTGCTTGCCCACGTGCAAATGTACTGCATTGACATTTCATAGAACTGTGATATATACGCAGTTTTATGCTGTATTGTTTTGTTGATGTTTTAATTAATATTAAATAATTTGCTATGGGGAAAGTATTGAACTTCAATTTCTATCAAACCGTATATACATGCACCTGTCTCATTTCTAGAACCATGCATCTGAATGCACGGATTGGAAATGCCAAATATGTCTTATACTAAATAATGTTACATATCTGAGACTGCTCCCGAGCTTTTTACAGTCCCCCTTTAAACTGTATGTCAACCAGTTTGTTCCCAACAAAGATGAAGGTGCAGCACCACAGAACAATTACATTGCCTGGCAATGCAAACCCCATTCACACGACTCTCCTTTTGGATGGTTGGGAGGAGTAACGATAAATACGATGAATGATGCAAATGCATATTCATCACTAGAAGATGCTGGGCATTTGATATGGTTTGTCTCTGTGTCCCCCCACACAAATCTCATGTTAAATTATAATCCCCAAGTTTCAGGGAAGGGGCCTGGTGGGAGGTGATTGAATCAAGGTAGCAGATTTCCCCCTTGCTGTTCTTGTGATAGTGAGTTCTCATAAGATCTGATGGTTTAAAAGTGTGGCACTTTCCTCTCTCTCTCTCTCTCTCTCTCTCTCTCTCTCTCTCTCTCTCTCTGTCTCCCTCCTGCCACTATGTAAGTTGTGCCTTACTTCCCCTTTGCCTTCTGCTATAATTGTAAGTTTTCTGAGGCCTCCCCAGCCGTGCATCCCGTACAGCCTACAGAACTGTGAGTCGATTAAACCTCTTTTCTTTATAAATTGCCCAGTCTCGCGTAGTTCTTTATAGCAATGTGAAAATGGACTAATATATCATTGCTCTGCTTGCTTTCAATGCAGTGATCCATTTACTCCTCATGTCATCTTTAAGGGGCAAGTACCATCCCAATTCCCATATAGCCCAAGAAGAAAGGTGAACTCCGGAGAGAGAAATTGCTTCCTCGAGATTAAGTGCCTCTCAACTAAAGGACAAATCCACATGTATCTCACTCTACAAACTCCACGCCCACAACCACTGTTTCTGTATTGCGTCTTCTTCTCCGTTAGAGCTGAGGCCAGCACAGGACGAGGGACTCACCCAAGGTCCTCTGGTTCACCATGGGTGCCAATATTGCTTTATTCTCATTTATGCTCTTTTTTAAAGACTTGGTGGGAAATGCTCCTCTGGTATCAAACTAGAAAGGAAATAAGAAGATTGGAAATCACCTGAAATAAAAGCAAATTATTTTCTTCTCCTTCTTAAAATTCCTTGCTTTTCCCAAGACACGGAAATGACACCCAAAACTCATACATTAGGTAAATATCTGTATATTTCTCTTTTCTGGCTATTATTTCCAGGTGTTCTCTAAGATAGATACGCTCTATAGTTTATTTGAAAGACATCTCTCTTATGGGAGGAAGTGAAATGGGCAGTATTAATGTTTTTCCAAGTCTTACAATGTGCCAGGCATTTCTATAGGGTTTCTCCTTTTTTCCCCACCAGAGCTCTCTGAGGAAGGTAACATTCCCGTTTTACAGATGATCAAGGATAGACCCACAGAACACTATACTTTTTCAGGGTCACACATCAAGTCATGAGCAGGAATGGGCTTCTCTCTCTTGCCCGCCTCACAATACCCCCGTTAGCCTCCCTTTCAGATGATGGGCTTCCAAAGCTTAAGGAGTGATTGTTTTAAGCTGTCCTAGAATTGTATCCACATGGGTACTCCCTCAACATGATATTCAGTATAGGAATAAAAACCTTGTGCCAGAAACCTGGGTGTAGGAGCCACATGGTTGAGCTGGTCCCTGAGGTGTTAAGCAAGGCTTACATGAAAACGGAGTTGTTGCTCTCTCTGGAAGGTGGCCTGAAAAAGATTACTGACGTTTGCGCAAGGATTTTAATCCACAGGTAATTTATCTAATTGAATTCTTACAGCTATTCAAGTTACTGTTCATTGTTGATATTATTCAGATCAGGGTACAGGGGTTATGGGAAGTTAAGCAACTTTCCCTAGAGAAATAAACTTGTAAATTAATGTCCAGGAACTCAAAACCTATAATTACACAGAGCACCATTATTTTTCTGCTCCGTTATCTGCGAAGACAATCAGTGAACCTAAGTGTGTTGTTTGGGGTTTCTTGTTAACAATGAGCATTACTGCTTCTCTCTCTCTCTCTCTCTCTCTCTCTCTCTCTCTCTCTCTCTCTCTCTCCCCCCTCTCTCTTCTCTCTCCTCTCTCTCTCTCTCTCTCTCTCTCTCCTCTCTCTCTCTCCTCTCTCTCTCTCTCTCTCCACAATGTTTCAGTTAACGATGGACCACATATATGACAGTAGTTCTATCAGATTATCATAGAGCTGCCCTATACAGGTGACTATTTTGTATCTTTTATACCATATTTTTATTGAACCTCTTCTATGTTTAGATACACAAATACTTAGCATTGTGTTACCATTGCTTAAAGTATTCAGTACAGTAACATGCTGTACAGGTTTGTAGCCTAGGAGGAATACGCTATAGCATATAGCCTAGGTGTGTAGTAGGCTATACCATCTAGTTTTGTGCAAGTACACTCTATGATGTTCACACTTTTACGGGATCTTTGGGGTGTCACTTTTCTGGCCGGAAACCTCTGTGGCCTGTGGCACCTTTGCTTGAGTTTTTCTTGGGCCCACTGGGCTCATTCCACCCACTCGACCTGGCAGGCTGCGCTCAGCTCATGCTACCGGCCTGGATCACACGCCTGCCATGGGAGACTGCATGGAGCAGCGAGGGGTGTGTGAGCAAGTGTGTTGTCCAACCACTGCACAGTCAGAAATGCCGGCTGCTGCAGCGGGTGGGGAGCTCCAGGTGCCAGCATGGGTGCCAGCTCTCCACTGGGCTGCCACTTGACCAGGTGCGCCACGGCTTCCACAGTTGGCACCAGGGAACGCTGTGGTGCCTTGAAGCTTGGAGACGCCAGGAACTGCAGTGCCTCAAAGACAGAGTCACAGCCCTGGCTCAGTGAGCTCCTCAGTCTGGGCTCCCAAACGGCCGCAGCTCTTCTTTCCTTCTCTTCACCTGCAACATGATGAGCAAGGGGCATGCCTCAGCCCTGTTTGTGTTACAGATCCTTTAGCCTCATTCAGTGGGTCCTGAGTTCTTATCCTGTGCCCAGGAAGAATAAGGTATGCAGACAAGTGGAGGGTGGGCAAGACGAAGAGGAGCGTTATTGAGCAATAGAACAGCTCAGAGGATACCCGAAGGGGGCAGCTCCTTTCTGCACCCAGGGTGTCTCAATGACTGTTCAGCTGCTAGCATGGAGGGTAGCTTCTCTCTGCTAGGCAAGTCAACCCGACAAGTGTTCAGCTATCAGCAGAGAGGGTAGCTCCTCTCTGCAGCTGGTCATCCCATCATCTGCACAGCTCTCAGCAGAGAGGAGGCCCTAGAGAGTGGGTGGCTCCTCTCTGCAGGCAGGTCATCCCATCATCTCCCCATTGTCTCTTCATCATCTCTGCAGCTCTCAGCAGAGAGGAGGCCCTAGAGTGGGTTGCTCCTCTCCGCAGCTGGTCGTCCCAACGTCTGCTCAGCTCTGGCTTATCCCAGGGCTTTTATGGGCCTCGGAGGGGAGGAAGTGCATGCCAATTGCTCCATGGGTGGCCATGGGCGGGCCCAGAAAGGGCACCACAAGTTCCCACTCCAGTCCGAAGGACTGGCAGCCCGACCCCAGCCCAAGTCTGGTCCCGCTCTGGTCCATGGGACTGGCAGCCCAGACTTTGGGCACCGACGAGCATAGGAGGGAAGTCAAGGGGTGGCTGAGGGCAGCTCAGTGCTGGCCCGCAGGGTGCCCCTTGGCACCTACAGCCTGGGCAACATGAACGGCAGCAGGAGGCAGACAGGTTCCTGGGCAGAAAGGCATGGGTCCCCGGTCAGGGACTACAGATTTATCTGAGTTTTAGCCACTCCGCATGTAACCAGGCAAAAAGCCATAAAAGCAGGCGCCCAGAAACATTTCCTCGTCCAAATGTCAACTTCTCTCCAATCTTCTGCTTGCTTTCAATCTTTCTCAAGTGCTTTAAAATAATGAACAATAAATGTTAATTATTCTGTGACACAGTTACAGAAAATAAGCACCACTAAATCTTAGCATGAAGCAACAAGAACGCAGAAATGTCATTATTAAGGCATCAAAATGTATACATCATACAGTACTCTAAGCAAACCATGGTATAAAAACATGTACTATGATAATCTCATAAATATTGTAAGGAGACAAATAGGTACTAATGGGAAATTGTTTTTAAAAAAAGCTTTATTGACACATAATGATTGCACACATTTATGGGGTACATGTGATATTTTGGTACGTACGTATAATGTGTAATGATCTAATTAGGGTATTTAAAATATCCATTGCCTTGAACATTTATAATTTCTCTGTGTTGGGAGTATTTCAAATCTTCTAGCTATTTTGAAATATACAATAAATTGTTAACTACAGTCAGCCTACTGTGCTATCAGAAGAGTATGGAGGTTTCTCAAACAACGAAACATAGAACTACCATATGATCCAGCAATCACACTACTGGCCATTTATCCAAGGGAAAGGAAATTGGTATATCAAAGGGACACCTGCACCCCTATGTTTATTGCAGCACTATTCACAATAGCCAAGATAGGGAATCAACTTAAGTGCCCATCAGCTGACGAATGGATAAACAAAATGTGGCATATATGCACAATGGAATACCATTGGTTAAAGGGTACAAACACACAGTTAGATATAAGGAATAAGTTCTAGTGTCCTCAAGTGCTTTTAGATAGTTATTTAAGTTGTTTCCCAGGGTTTATAATTGCTAGCTATGGGAGGTTTGGTTCAATGTGACTTACTTTGCCATTACTGGAAGTAAAACATGTACTCTGCCTTTAATTATGAAAAGAATGAGCCATTGACTTTCTTGCCTGAAGAGGTTGAATGCAATTTAATTGTGAAAGTGAGGGATGTCTACCTCAGTCGAAATGGAGAATGCAAATAGGGATGAATTCCTTAGTTACCATAGGCAAAAAAGGTTTCATGTGTAGATCTATATATTTAGAAAAGTGAAACATTAATTTAAATAAATCATGTTCTTACCAGAATGCCTTAATTCGAAATATGTGAGCTCTTATAACAAATTATTGGAATTGACTTTCCTCCATAGCATACAGTGTCTTAAACCATAGCATGTTCCCTTCAGCTACACTCTCAGCTGAAATAAATTTGCATGTGTGTGTATACACACATACGTATGTGTCAGGTATGAACATATAATAAATATATAGAGATATATTTTCAAGGGAAAATGTAATCTTATCATAACATCTCTTTGCAACATGCTTTTTTCACAAAACAGCATATTTTCCAAGTAATGGAACACATTTCTAACATGTTATTTTTTTGGTTTGCTTCACAAACAGGCTTATCCTGCGTTTTCAAAAATATTATTTTGTTTACTTTACCTGGTTATAAAATTAATGTAAATTTTCTGCCCAAAACAAGTAATTGTTTTGTATTTTCCTTTTCCTCTATCTATATTATGGTATTAATTCAGTTATATAAATTATAAATCAACATATACATTTTGTGTGTGTGTGTGTGTGTGTGTGTGTGTGTGTGCGTGTGTGTATATATACACACACACGCAAGGAAAGAAAATGTTTCTAAATTTTTAACTTTGTTTATCAGTAGGTGTCATCAACCCTAAACAACAGCTAATGTCCTTTCTGTCTCTATGGCTATGCTTATTCTGGATGTGTCTTACAAATGGAATCATACAGTATGTGACCTTTTGCATCTGACTTATTTTAGTTAGCATAATGTTTTTAAGGTACGTGCCAGTAATTTTTTATGGCTGAATAATATTCCATTGTATAGATGTACCACAATTCACTTGTACATTTATCAATTGATGGGCACTGGATTGTTTCCATCTTTTGGCTACTATTTATAATGTTGCTGTAAATATTCATGTACAAGTTTTTGCTTGAACACCTGTTTTCAATTCTCTTATGTAAAGACCTAGGAGTGGAATTGCAGGCCGTGTGTTCATTTTTAAACAAAGCTGATTTTACCTGTGAAAAATTGATTAAAACAAATAGACAAATAAATAAACAAACCTGTTTTTATGGTATTACCAAATGGCTGCCTGGGAGCAAAGAGACCATCAGGGAATATGGACAAATAAAATACTTGAACCTTTGAGAGAGGGTATTTACCAGGTAATGGTTTTCTACGGTTACACATAAATATTAAAAATGCAGAAGGCAGCAGGAGTTGCTTCTGTTACTGGAAATCCAAATCCATTAAATTCATTCTCTAGGCTTTTAGGCACTTAGGGTTATGTTGAGTATTTGTGACACAATTCTTACAAAGGCATAAAGCATACCATTCTGTAAACAGGCAAAGACTGTTCAGACAAATATCTATGCCTAATGTGAGCCGATTCAATTGAAATGCTGTCCCCACATCACTCACTGGGTCAGAGGAAAATATCATGGCCAGAGATAACTTGGCACAGAACTGAATTTATCCAAGATGTATTATCTTTGAATACCCCATTGTGACCTGCCAGCTGGAGGTCACACAAGAAAATATGACAGCACTAAATATGGCAAACAAAAGTTCATTCTGTCCCATCAAACATTTTTCTAATGTGGTATTTAAAAGTTTTTTCAAATACGAACTTCCTTTATTTGTTTAAAAATGGAAAAATGTGCTTGTTTATCATATTCACCTCAGAAAGTCTATGTGGCACATCAGGGATGTGACGTAGAAAACTTTTAACTCCAGGAAAGCCAAACTCAAAAGCCTATGGGGTCAAGTTGATAATGTAGATAATACAAGCAGGGCTATACAAAAATAACAAGAACTTTTGCTAACACAAGTTAGTACCCTCTCTCCAGTTTTACGGAAATGAACAGTAGTCTTAGTCTTTTCTTCACCACTTTTCACAAATTTTATTTTTTAGCCGGGCACGATGGCATGTGCCTATTGTCCCATCTTACTTCAGGAGGCTGAAGTGGGAGAATTCCTTGATCCCAGGAGTTTGAGACTACCCTGGGCAACATAGTGAGACCCCGTCTCTAAAACAATAAATAAATAAAATTTTATTTTGAATAGAGAAGTAATAATTGTATTATTTATTAGGTACAATGTGATGCTTTGAGATACGTAGATAGATAGGTAGCTAGATAGATAGATACACACAGATTGTGGAATGATGAAATCAAATGAATTAACATAGCCATCACCTCACCTATTTATCGTTTATTTTTAGTCAGAATGTTTAAAATCTACTCTTTTAACAACAAATATTTTACTTTTTACTGTAAGAAAAACAACAGCAATAACAGTACAATAAAGACTAATATTCTGTGTATGTGTGGGGATAGGAAGTGACAGGAACCACAGTGACTGGGGATAAAGAAGCTGCTACTCAGCTCCAGCCAGTTGTTTCCTTAAGGGCATGCAGGAATCAGTAGCATTCAGTAGCATTTCTATATACTAATAACATCCAAACTGAGAGCCAAATCAAGAACACAATCCCATTCAGAATAGCCAAAAAAAGAACAAAATACCTAGAATAATACCTGAATAATATTCCATTGTATGGATGTACCACATTTCACTTGTACATTTATAAATTGACAGCCAAGGGGTGTGTGAACCAGCATGGGGTCCACCCACCGTGCAGTCCGATATGCTGGCTGCTGCAGCACAGCAGGAAACTCCAGGTTCCAGCATGGGTGCTGGCTCTCTGCAAGGCTGCAGCTGGACCAGGAACACTGCAAGCAGCCTCCACAACTGGCACTTGGGAACACGGTGGCATCCAGAAGCTTGTAGATACCAGGAACTACAGGGCCCAAAGAGGGAGTCATAGCCCTGCCTTGGGGAACTCCCAGGTCTGGGCTTCCAGAAGAGCCACAGGTGTTCTTTCCTTCTTTTGGGCCACAACGTGTTGAGCAAGGGATATAATATGTTTTGGCTGTGTTCCCACCCAAATCTCATCTTCAGTCCCCATGTGTTGTGGGAGGGACCCGGTGGGAGGTAATTGAATCATGAGGACAGGTCTATCCCATGCTGTTCTCACAATAGTGAATAAGCCTCATGAGATCAAATGGTTTTAAAAATGGGAGTTTCCCCACACAGGCTCTCTCTTTGCCTGCCACCGTCCATGTAAGACATGACTTGCTCCTCCTTGCCTTCCACCATGATTGTGAGGCCTCCCCAGCCATGGGGAACTATAAAACCTCTTTTTCTTCCCAGTCTCAGGCATGTCTTTATCACCAGCATGAAATGGACTGATACAGAGCATGTCTGAGCCCTGTTTGTGTTACAGCTCTGTTAGCCTCATTTGGCAGGTCCTGAGTTCTTATCTTGTGCCCAGGAAGAATGAGATATGCAGGCAAGTGGAGGGTGAGCAAGATGAAGAGGAGCTTTATTGAGCAATAGGACAGCTCAGAGGAAATCCACAGGGGACAGCTCCTTTCCACAGGCAGGATGTTCCAATGAGTGTTCATCTCCTAGCAGAGAGGATAGCTCCTCTCTGCTAGGCAAGTTCTGCTAGAACACTTGCCTGACAAGTGTTCAGCTATCAACAGAGAGTGTAGCTCCTCTCTGTACCTGATTGTCCTGTTGTCTGTGCAGCTCTCAGCAGACAGGAGGCCCTAGAGTGGGTGGCTCATCTCTGCAGGCAGGTCATCCTGTCGTCTCTGCAGCTCTCAGCAGAGAGGAGGCCTTAGAATGGCTTTTTCCTCTCTGCAGCTGTTCAGCCTGATGACTGCTCAGCTCTGGCTGAGCCCGAGCCTTTTATGGGACTCAGAGGGGAGGAAGTGTGAGCTGATTGGTCCATGGGCAGCCATGGGCAGGCCCAGAAAAGGCACCACAAGTTCCCACTCTGGTCAATGGGACTGGCAGCTCAACCCCCAGCCTTCTGGCCCTCCCTGGCCTGAAGGTGGGGCCTCACCAGGGACCCACCCCCTTCTGCCTAGAAACCTGTCTGCCTCCTGCTGCCAATCACAGCGCCCAGACTGTAGGTGCTAAGAGGAGCCTGCAGGCCAGCCTCAGCTGCCCTCAGCCTCCCCTCGGCTTCCTGTCAGTGCCCAAAGAACGGAAAGGGCCAGGGCGGCAAGGGGCTTTCATGTCAGCACTACACAGAGCCTGTGCAAACCCGGCCGGGCTGCAACAGTGCCTGGGCTTGGCTCCAACTTTGCTCTAAGATTGGAGTGGGCACAAACAGCAGGGAGAAACCAGGCAGCTGGAGCAGGCACTGCGATGGCATGGAGGGCCTTCTTGGGCCCCCGAGTGCAGAGATGCCTGCGTCCACAGCTGTGTGGGGTGGGGGCGGGGCTCTTGCCTGCTCCCTGGAGTGGGAGGCCCAGGTCTGCAGCTGTGGTTTGGGTGGCTGCAGCTGTGCTCTGGAGGGGGGGCTCCCGCCTGCTCCCACGCCCAAGAGCACAGGGATGTCTAGGTTCACAGCCATGGCTTGGGTGGCTGCAGGGGCACACAGGGAGTTCCCACCAGAACTTCGAAGGGGCCGGGCTCCCACTTGTCCCCGCTTCCACTGGCTCCATGGAGGGTGCAGCCCTGGCCACATCTCCCTGCTGCAGCCAGCATGATGGCAGCGGCCACTCCAGACAACCTGCCGCTGCCATCAATACAACAACAAAAATCACCTAACCATGCCTTTCTCAGAAGGTATCGCCATTGTTAAGTGACACATGATTGTATATATTTAAACACAATCTGTATTGCAAAATTTAAGAGTACAATGTATATAAAAAGCTGGAAGAAAATAGTTGCAACCTGTATTGCAGATATATGGTTAATATCCTTGATACCTTAACCAACAGAGAAATGAGCCAAAGATTACAACAGAGAAAGTACATGAAAGTAACATAGATACCCAGTGAACATTTGAAAATATGCCCAACGATATAAGTGACGAAATGTGAAACAAGCTCTCATACTACATGAAAGAGATAAATATAAACACAGTATGTAGAGAACAATCACAAGTTTATAAAAGAGTATACTTTTACATTTGGATAAATATCTGTGCATTTTATTAAGACATATACAAAAATCACAGAATATACATCAAATTATTAATAATGAATATCTTCTGGTTGGGGTGGGAGTGCAGACTGTACAGTTAATATACTGATGTATTAATTTGGGAAAATGAATAAACCTCAAAATGCTACTTTCCATGCTGGTTATGAAACCTCCTTTTTGATAAATAATAATTATCCTTACCTTGAAATAGCCATTTACTTCTTTCTTTCTTATTTTAGAATATATAATTCATACTAAGAGTTACTCTATTTAAGTGGCTATGACTCTGTGCTGAGAGAACTGATGGACAAAACTGCCTAGGGTCAGAGTAAAGAGGTCACAATGTGCACAGATGTAATGCTCCTAGGGCAGTGACCAGGACTTCACAAATAAACAATGGGTGCCAGTACTGTCACCTCCCTGAAGGTAGAAGAGACCATTCAGCTGGGCAGTGATAAATCCAGCCTGGATGCCACACCGCCCCTTCCCAGGAGAGCATCCATAAAGTGTCTGCTCATATTAGGACACCAGAGGGAGGGCTCTGCATTGGACACAACATATTTGTACTATAATTTATAGACATAATTAATATACCTGACATATAAGGAAATCTAACTAGCTAAAAGAGTTGTGTACATGTCTACCAACAGGTAATTTAAAGAAAAAAATGAATGGCAATGGCAATCAACATATTTAAAATTTCTTAACCCCACCAAAAATTAAATCTAATAAAAAGCTCTGAGATATATAAATATATAAGCAAGATATAGAACATAATATGCAACATGATCTGATTTTTGAAGAATATATATTTCCATAAGGATATACACATGTCATATTTTAAAATATAAATGAGCCCACAGAAACAAATCTGGATAATATTTACAAACTGATTGAGTGATTATCTTGAGAAAGGACATAGTAATAGGGGAAACACAAGATAATGCCTCTTATAATTGTATATTTCTCCAGTGTTTTCAAGAGCTGGGAAACACAGCACACTGATTTTTAATTAGCAGAATAACCAAGATACAATTATGACAGCATAGAATAAACCTAGTTGTGGTTTGATTTACAAAACTAATGCTGAAAAATATATTTCTGGACATTAAAAGATGTTAAATATCCTGTAACATAAAAAGGAGGTCACATACCACATTATATTTATAACCACACACATACAAATTCAATCAACTGGGTTTAATTTGAGAGAGGGGTCAAAGGAAACATCCTGTCACATGAATTAATACCCACGGGCTCTGTCTCCATCTCTGCTTAGTGCTTTGTCTGCCATATAACTTCCAGAAAGTTTATTCTGGTGGGCTTACACAGCCCTCCTTTCCCTCCTTCCCTCCTTCCTAGATCCCTTGCTAAAGTGATATCCAAGCTGCAGTTCTGGATTGGGTCAACAGATGGCATTGACTGATCTTCAATTTCATTTTTCAATAAAAAAATAACTCATTTCACAAAATGAACAAATTGTACTTTGAATGGAGATTTTGAAAAAGTATGGAAATAAAATCAAAATTCGTTCCTTAACTCAGCAATTAACACTTTTCATTTACTACTTTAAATTTTGTAGAATATGGTTCTCAAACTTCAGCTTGCATCAGAATAACTTGGGGAGCTTGTGACAAACTGGGGAGTACATGTACCCCATAAATTTGTACAAACAACAAAGAAAGAAAAGATTGCTAGAACCAACCACAAGAGTTTCTGATTCAGTAGGTCTAGGGTGGAGCCTATGAATTAGCACTTTCTAGCAAGTTCCCAGGTGATACTGACACTGCTAACAAACACAAACAAAACAAAACAGCGCCTTACCCTTTATAGAATACCTGGAGAATCACACTGTGCTGAGAATGCTGGGATCAAGGAAATGAGGTTATAGTGTGCAGTGGGGCCACAGACTCAAGCAGTGGATGCCACAACGTTGCTCTCTAAAGCATGAAGGGACCAGTCACTAATCAATACAACAGCATAGAGCCCGTATGTGGACAATGTGGTGATTTCATCACATCTCCCACCCTGGGGAGCCCTGTGGGTGAAGAATTAAGCTCCAGGCTCCCTGAGGCTCAGGGATCTGAAGTAACTGCCCAGATCTCACCTGGCCAAGCCCTGTTCCTTCCACTGCATCTCCAGACCTGGTGTTGTTTATTAGTTATAAATAAAGTACATTTTTTAGGCCCTGCTTATTCTTATAAAGGTAATCCACACTCATTTTGGACCATGTGGAAAATACTGTCAAATACAGACAAGAAAATATATCCAGCACTCCTGCCCCTTCGTGGTAAACACAATTAATGTTTTGGTGTATTTTGTTATAGTATTTGTTCTCTACTTTGATATATGCCCACAAAGATAGATACTAGCATTTCTGGAGAAGAGGCTTCTGTTTGGGGGCAAGTGACAGCATTGCTATCGGGACACAGTTCCTTTGACTGCAGCCTTCTGTACAGCAGTTCTGTTATAAGGATTGGTTCCTCTTACTGTCTCTTCATTCCAAGACTCAAAGGAAATCTCTTCATCTTGCACCTCTTAAGAGTCTTTCTTCCCTTACAACATAAAAGACAAAGTACTAAGGACAGGAAAGCATGTATGGTGGTAGGAAATGGCATGAGGATTTTTTTGTTCCCTTCCAAAGTCCCTCAGGTAACTCATCCTACAATACTGGACAGTCACCATGGCTAATACATCAAAAAACTCTGCACACATTTCCCTCCATACACTTAGGATCCCAACTGTTCTCTCTTAGAGTTATGAATTTAGTTTCTATCACAGACATCTCTTCTGCAGAGAAGGCAAGGTGAGGCTAAGATAGTAACCACTAAAGCCTCCCATGGATTTCTCATTTCCTTAAAACATCATTATTTTCATTTTACTGATGATCAGCTCCAGGCTTGCCAAGGATAAACCACATATCCTGATAAGCGGCAACAATGAAAATCAGCCACTGGATCTGCCCAGAGTACACCCAGCAGCTTCTATTGTAGATGTGGGCTTCCAGGGGTAAGAAATGGTAGTTGTAAACTTTTCTGGTATTGTGCCTGAGCTTTGTCATGCCCATATGGTAACATACTAGACAACTCCCCTTAGTGATGATGTTTGTGGAGAGGAAATCCTGTCCTAGGATAGGAGGCATGTTGATTGGCAGTTCCTGAAGTGGCGAATAATTCAGATGAAAGTACAGGTTTTAGACCTTGGGAATGTGACATGGAGGAAGGATATTCTTGTTTATCAAAGCTTGAGTTATGTCTAAGGAATTTTATATTGTATCTTTTCTAAATATGATAATAAATTCAAGGTAGGTAATAAGGATCGCTTACGAGAAATGAGAAAAGCCAAGACTTAAGAGGCTAAGCAAGTTACCCTTAGTGCCAAGTCTGTAAAACACAGGCCAGGGACTTTAAAACCCAAGCCTTTCACTCTATGATGTCTTCCTGAGCTTTGAATGGCTTCTATCTAAAATCTTCTTATAAAGTGGCAATCTCTACACTCCTGTGATTCTTAAAAACTTTTATAATGACTGTATTGATTTCTTCATCATTAAAATCAATGAGATTTTAACATTTAAAATTGCATTAAAAATTGGAGGGGAAATTATCCACATATACCTCAGAAACCACTTTATATGCCAGGAACTCTCTTTAACCAGAAGAGAAACAAATGAAAATTTAAAATCTCATAGAAAATTAGAGGAATGCAATTAAACTTATGAGAAGATATCCAATAGCAATGAACACACAACTAAAAATTCAGGTAACCTTATTCTCAGCTAAGGAAGGTAAATTGCATGACAAAGTTTGCAGTCATCCCATTTTCATGAAGAATATGTGTATATACATGCTGTCTGTTCAGGCTGCTATAACAAAATGCCACAGACTGGGTGACTTAAATGACAGACATTTATTTCTGATAGTTCTGGAGGCTGGGAAGTCCAAGACCAAGTGTCAGTAGAGTCAGCGTCTGGTGATGGCTCTCTTCATGGCTTGTAGACAGCCACTTTCTTGCTGTTTGCTCACATGACCCTTGGTGCATACTTGTGAAGAGAGAGATCTGTCTCTCTCTTCCTCTGCTTATAAGGGCATCAATCCCATTATGAGGGTCCCACTCTCGTGGTGGTCTAATCTAAACTTAATTAAACCCCAAAGGCCCCACCTCCAAATACTATCACCTTGGAAGCTAGGGCTTCAATGTGTAAATTTGGGAGGATAGAAACATTCATCTCATAACACA
This sequence comes from Homo sapiens, assembly GCF_000001405.40. Lineage (NCBI taxonomy): Eukaryota > Metazoa > Chordata > Mammalia > Primates > Hominidae > Homo > Homo sapiens. Next base: position 102,344,878 of record NC_000023.11, read on the forward strand.
TGTTCATACACATTGTACATCTTTATGTATTTTGTACATATATATTTCCATATATATTCTCATGAACATTTTCTTTCTATGGAGAAAAAAAATCATCTGTTGAATATGCTCCACACCATTAACAAAGGATACCTCAGCAGAGTGAAGGAGGTAGATACAGGATCATTTCATTTTCCACATAAGCATGTCTTTTGCTCAGCTTCTATCAATTACAAACATATATTAGTTTTGTGATTTAAGAAAGTAATTGTGATAAATTTGTGAAAAAAATAAAAACGTTATAATAATCTAATCTCAGTAATTTATTTTGTGTAAGTCTACTGGACTGGAAAGCAATTTGCACTAAGTAATATAAATAATGTAGTATAAAAAACAAGGAGATCCTGCCATTTGCCACAACATGGATGGATCTGGAGATCATTATACTAAATGAAATAAGCCAGACACAGAAAGACAAATATTGCACATTCCCACTTATGTGTCAAATATTTTTAAAAGGTCAAATATATATAGAGAGACAAGACAATAGTGATTACAAGGGTTAGGGTGGGAGAAGGAAATGGGGAGATGTATACATCAAAGATACAAAGCGCAAACATGTAGGATGAACAAAACAAAAGATCTAACATACAATATGAGGACTATAGTAAATAATAGTATATTGCATTCGAAATTTTTGCTAAATGTGTAGATTACAGCTGTTCTTGCCACAAGGAGGAAAATAGGAAACTCTGTGAGATGATGGATATGTTAATCTGTTCCACTACAGTAACCATTTTACTATATATATGTATGTATCTTATAACATCATGTTGTACATCTTACAATTTACAGTATAATTAATTTTTCAAAAGGAATTCATACTTAATTGTGAGATTTCTTTTAAAGAGGAAATTTCACATTGTATTTACAATATGATTGGTCCCCCTTATTGTTAATACTCCCGTGTGAATAAGTACATGTTATAAATCAAATGTGTTTAAAAGGATATAACCCAAAATACAAAATATCGACACACGCACACACATGCACTGATATACCGTTTCTCAGAGACACACTGATGGCTTTCTCTTTATTTGAGACAGGGGTGGAACTTCCTGCCAGGATCTCAGAGAGCCAGGCAGCAATAGATTAAGCAGGAAGGGCTGCCTGTGCCATTCAAGCCTCCAGCATGCCCTGTTTGGTGGGTCAGGCCAGAGGCCCCTTGCTCTCCAAATCCTTAGAGAGCCTCCTCCCTGACATTCGGAGATGTAGTTCTGGCTTTGACCAGCAGGTGGCGATTATCTCTATAGTCCACCTCTGCTGCAATGGAAAAGTAACAATTTTTGCAAAGAGAGAAAAAGACAATATAAAATGAATAGTACTAAATATATTAGAAAATTCATGTGCAGAGAAAAAAATTGAATGTGTATTGCTGTTTTATTTGTTGATAATGACTTCCAAAGCTGGGTCTCTCGCAATTATTCTTTCATTCTGTACATATTTTTGTGGGGGGGTGGGCACTGCCAACTCAAGTCCATTTGTCCATCCCACTCTTTTCTCTGAAGCCCAGACTCTCATTTTCAACTTACTGCAGGACATATTCATTTGGAGAAAGACGACTGAAATTTGTTTCTACATGTGTGGAGTGAGTGTGTGTTTCTCTAATGTTAAACTGAAGAGTAAATAGGCAGGATAACTCATTAAATAATAAAAAGAAATGGCACAAATATCTTTTCCTCTCCCAAACTCCAAAGGAAAGCATATGCTAAAAAAAACACCAAAGCTCACAAGTTACATAAATATGTTTACATTGCATGTTTTGTGCGTATATTTTCAAATAATCCTTAATTTATTCATGCCATTCATTTTACATCAAAATCCCCCCATTGAAGGAATGAAGAACTCTGGAACTAACATTTCCAATATCAGTTAAGGGAGTGGCATGTTCCAGACCCTTTCTTTTTATTGTTTTTAACTTTTATTTTTGGTTCAGGGGTACACGTGTAGGTTTCTTATACAGGTAAATTGCATGTCACTGTGGTTTGGTGTACAGATTATTTCATCATCCAGATAATAAGCATAGTACCCTGTATTAGTCCATCTTCACACTGCTATAAAGAACTTCTCTGAGACTGTGTAATTTATAAAGGAAAGAGGTTTAATTGACTCACAGTTACACATGGCTGGTGAAGAGGGCCTCAGGAAACTTAAAATCATGGTGGAAGGTGAAGGAGAAGCAAGTACCTTCGTCACAAGGTGGCAGGAAAAGAAAGAACGTGAAGAAGAAATTTCCAAACACTTATAAAACCATCAGATCTAGTGAGAACTCACTCACTATCATGAGAACAGCGTGGGGGAAACCACCCCCATGATCCAATCACCTCCCACCAGGTTCCTCCCCCAACACATGGGGATTACAATTCAAGATGAGATTTGGGTGGGGACACAGAGCCAAACCATATCATACCCGATAGGTAGTATTTTGATCCTCACCCTCTCCACACCCTGTGACCTCAAGTAGGACCTGGTGTCTGTTGTTCCTTTCTTTCTATCCGTATGTACTCGATGTATATAGATCCCATTTATAAGTGAGAACATGTGGTATTTGGTTTTCTGTTCCTGCATTAGTTTGCTTAGGATAATGAACTCCAGCCCCATCCATGTTGCTGCAAAATACATGATCTCATTCTTTATGGTTGTGTAGTATTCCATGGTGTATATGTACCACATTTTCTTTATCCAATCTACCATTGATGCGCATTTAAGTTGATTGCATGTCTTTGCTACTTTGAATAGTGCTTTGCGATTGTGAATATGTCTTTATGGTAAAACGATTTATAGTCCTTTGGGTATATACCCAATAATGGAATTGCTGGGTCAAATGCTCATTCCATTTTAAGTTCTTTGAGAAATCGCCAAGATTTCTACAGTGGCTGAATTAATTTACATTTCCACTAGCAGTGTTCGAGCTCATTTTTCTCTACAACCCTGCCAGTACTTGTTATTTTTTGACTTTTTAATAATAGTCGTTCTGACTGGTGTGTTATGGTATCTCATTGTGGTTTTGACTTGCATTTCTCTAATGATCAATGATGTTGAACTTTTTTTCATATGCTTGTTGAGTGTGGGTATGTCTTCTTTGGAAAAGTGCTTGTTCATTTTACTATATGTCCTTTGCCAATTTTTGAATGGGGTTATTTGGTTTTTGCTTGCTGATTTAAGTTCTTTATAGATTCTGCATATTAGTTCTTTATGAGATGCATAGTTTACAACTATTTTCTCCCATTCTGTGAGTTGTCTGTTTACTCTGTTGATAGTTTATTTTGCTGTGCAGAAGCTCTTTAATCAGGTCCCATTTGTCAGTGTTTGTTTTTGTTGAAATTGCTTTTGGCATCTTCATCATGATATATTTTCCAGGACCTATGTCCACATTGGTGTTTCCTAGGCCATCTTCCAGGGCTTTTATAGTTTTAGGTTTTACATTTAAGCCTTTAATCTATTTTGAGTTGATTTTTCTATATGGGGTAAAAGGAGGGTCCAGTTTCAGTCTTCTGTGTATGGCTAGCCAGTTATCTCAGCATCATTTATTTAATAGGGAGTTCTTTCCCTATTATTTGTTTTTGTCAATTTTGTTGAAGATCAGATGGTTGTTGGTGTGTGGCATTATTTCTGGGCTCTAGATTCTGTTCCGTTGGTCTATGTGTCTGTTTTTGTACTAGCACCATGCTGTTTCGGTTACTATAGTTTTGTAGTATAGTTTGAAGTCAGGTAATGTGATGTTTCCAGCTTTGTTATTTTTCCTGAGGATTGCCTTGGCTATTCAGGCTCTTTTATGGTTCTATTTGAATTTTAAAATAGTTTTTGTTTCTAATTCTGTGATGAACGGCATCAGTAGCTTGATAGGAATAGCATTGAACCTGCAAATTGCTTAGGGCAGTATGGACATTTTAACAATATTGATTCTTCCTCTCCATGAGCATGGAATGTTTTTCCACTTATTAGTGTCATCTCTGAATTATTTGAGGAGCATTTTGTAATTCTCATTATAAAGATGTTTCATCTACCTGGTTAGCTGTATTCTAGGTATTTTGTTCTTTTTTTGGCTATTCTGAATGGGATTGTGTTCTTGATTTGGCTCTCAGTTTGGATGTTATTAGTATATAGAAATGCTACTGAATGCTACTGATTCCTGCATGCCCTTAAGGAAACAACTGGCTGGAGCTGAGTAGCAGCTTCTTTATCCCCAGTCACTGTGGTTCCTGTCACTTCCTATCCCCACACATACACAGAATATTAGTCTTTATTGTACTGTTATTGCTGTTGTTTTTCTTACAGTAAAAAGTAAAATATTTGTTGTTAAAAGAGTAGATTTTAAACATTCTGACTAAAAATAAACGATAAATAGGTGAGGTGATGGCTATGTTAATTCATTTGATTTCATCATTCCACAATCTGTGTGTATCTATCTATCTAGCTACCTATCTATCTACGTATCTCAAAGCATCACATTGTACCTAATAAATAATACAATTATTACTTCTCTATTCAAAATAAAATTTTATTTATTTATTGTTTTAGAGACGGGGTCTCACTATGTTGCCCAGGGTAGTCTCAAACTCCTGGGATCAAGGAATTCTCCCACTTCAGCCTCCTGAAGTAAGATGGGACAATAGGCACATGCCATCGTGCCCGGCTAAAAAATAAAATTTGTGAAAAGTGGTGAAGAAAAGACTAAGACTACTGTTCATTTCCGTAAAACTGGAGAGAGGGTACTAACTTGTGTTAGCAAAAGTTCTTGTTATTTTTGTATAGCCCTGCTTGTATTATCTACATTATCAACTTGACCCCATAGGCTTTTGAGTTTGGCTTTCCTGGAGTTAAAAGTTTTCTACGTCACATCCCTGATGTGCCACATAGACTTTCTGAGGTGAATATGATAAACAAGCACATTTTTCCATTTTTAAACAAATAAAGGAAGTTCGTATTTGAAAAAACTTTTAAATACCACATTAGAAAAATGTTTGATGGGACAGAATGAACTTTTGTTTGCCATATTTAGTGCTGTCATATTTTCTTGTGTGACCTCCAGCTGGCAGGTCACAATGGGGTATTCAAAGATAATACATCTTGGATAAATTCAGTTCTGTGCCAAGTTATCTCTGGCCATGATATTTTCCTCTGACCCAGTGAGTGATGTGGGGACAGCATTTCAATTGAATCGGCTCACATTAGGCATAGATATTTGTCTGAACAGTCTTTGCCTGTTTACAGAATGGTATGCTTTATGCCTTTGTAAGAATTGTGTCACAAATACTCAACATAACCCTAAGTGCCTAAAAGCCTAGAGAATGAATTTAATGGATTTGGATTTCCAGTAACAGAAGCAACTCCTGCTGCCTTCTGCATTTTTAATATTTATGTGTAACCGTAGAAAACCATTACCTGGTAAATACCCTCTCTCAAAGGTTCAAGTATTTTATTTGTCCATATTCCCTGATGGTCTCTTTGCTCCCAGGCAGCCATTTGGTAATACCATAAAAACAGGTTTGTTTATTTATTTGTCTATTTGTTTTAATCAATTTTTCACAGGTAAAATCAGCTTTGTTTAAAAATGAACACACGGCCTGCAATTCCACTCCTAGGTCTTTACATAAGAGAATTGAAAACAGGTGTTCAAGCAAAAACTTGTACATGAATATTTACAGCAACATTATAAATAGTAGCCAAAAGATGGAAACAATCCAGTGCCCATCAATTGATAAATGTACAAGTGAATTGTGGTACATCTATACAATGGAATATTATTCAGCCATAAAAAATTACTGGCACGTACCTTAAAAACATTATGCTAACTAAAATAAGTCAGATGCAAAAGGTCACATACTGTATGATTCCATTTGTAAGACACATCCAGAATAAGCATAGCCATAGAGACAGAAAGGACATTAGCTGTTGTTTAGGGTTGATGACACCTACTGATAAACAAAGTTAAAAATTTAGAAACATTTTCTTTCCTTGCGTGTGTGTGTATATATACACACACGCACACACACACACACACACACACACACACACACAAAATGTATATGTTGATTTATAATTTATATAACTGAATTAATACCATAATATAGATAGAGGAAAAGGAAAATACAAAACAATTACTTGTTTTGGGCAGAAAATTTACATTAATTTTATAACCAGGTAAAGTAAACAAAATAATATTTTTGAAAACGCAGGATAAGCCTGTTTGTGAAGCAAACCAAAAAAATAACATGTTAGAAATGTGTTCCATTACTTGGAAAATATGCTGTTTTGTGAAAAAAGCATGTTGCAAAGAGATGTTATGATAAGATTACATTTTCCCTTGAAAATATATCTCTATATATTTATTATATGTTCATACCTGACACATACGTATGTGTGTATACACACACATGCAAATTTATTTCAGCTGAGAGTGTAGCTGAAGGGAACATGCTATGGTTTAAGACACTGTATGCTATGGAGGAAAGTCAATTCCAATAATTTGTTATAAGAGCTCACATATTTCGAATTAAGGCATTCTGGTAAGAACATGATTTATTTAAATTAATGTTTCACTTTTCTAAATATATAGATCTACACATGAAACCTTTTTTGCCTATGGTAACTAAGGAATTCATCCCTATTTGCATTCTCCATTTCGACTGAGGTAGACATCCCTCACTTTCACAATTAAATTGCATTCAACCTCTTCAGGCAAGAAAGTCAATGGCTCATTCTTTTCATAATTAAAGGCAGAGTACATGTTTTACTTCCAGTAATGGCAAAGTAAGTCACATTGAACCAAACCTCCCATAGCTAGCAATTATAAACCCTGGGAAACAACTTAAATAACTATCTAAAAGCACTTGAGGACACTAGAACTTATTCCTTATATCTAACTGTGTGTTTGTACCCTTTAACCAATGGTATTCCATTGTGCATATATGCCACATTTTGTTTATCCATTCGTCAGCTGATGGGCACTTAAGTTGATTCCCTATCTTGGCTATTGTGAATAGTGCTGCAATAAACATAGGGGTGCAGGTGTCCCTTTGATATACCAATTTCCTTTCCCTTGGATAAATGGCCAGTAGTGTGATTGCTGGATCATATGGTAGTTCTATGTTTCGTTGTTTGAGAAACCTCCATACTCTTCTGATAGCACAGTAGGCTGACTGTAGTTAACAATTTATTGTATATTTCAAAATAGCTAGAAGATTTGAAATACTCCCAACACAGAGAAATTATAAATGTTCAAGGCAATGGATATTTTAAATACCCTAATTAGATCATTACACATTATACGTACGTACCAAAATATCACATGTACCCCATAAATGTGTGCAATCATTATGTGTCAATAAAGCTTTTTTTAAAAACAATTTCCCATTAGTACCTATTTGTCTCCTTACAATATTTATGAGATTATCATAGTACATGTTTTTATACCATGGTTTGCTTAGAGTACTGTATGATGTATACATTTTGATGCCTTAATAATGACATTTCTGCGTTCTTGTTGCTTCATGCTAAGATTTAGTGGTGCTTATTTTCTGTAACTGTGTCACAGAATAATTAACATTTATTGTTCATTATTTTAAAGCACTTGAGAAAGATTGAAAGCAAGCAGAAGATTGGAGAGAAGTTGACATTTGGACGAGGAAATGTTTCTGGGCGCCTGCTTTTATGGCTTTTTGCCTGGTTACATGCGGAGTGGCTAAAACTCAGATAAATCTGTAGTCCCTGACCGGGGACCCATGCCTTTCTGCCCAGGAACCTGTCTGCCTCCTGCTGCCGTTCATGTTGCCCAGGCTGTAGGTGCCAAGGGGCACCCTGCGGGCCAGCACTGAGCTGCCCTCAGCCACCCCTTGACTTCCCTCCTATGCTCGTCGGTGCCCAAAGTCTGGGCTGCCAGTCCCATGGACCAGAGCGGGACCAGACTTGGGCTGGGGTCGGGCTGCCAGTCCTTCGGACTGGAGTGGGAACTTGTGGTGCCCTTTCTGGGCCCGCCCATGGCCACCCATGGAGCAATTGGCATGCACTTCCTCCCCTCCGAGGCCCATAAAAGCCCTGGGATAAGCCAGAGCTGAGCAGACGTTGGGACGACCAGCTGCGGAGAGGAGCAACCCACTCTAGGGCCTCCTCTCTGCTGAGAGCTGCAGAGATGATGAAGAGACAATGGGGAGATGATGGGATGACCTGCCTGCAGAGAGGAGCCACCCACTCTCTAGGGCCTCCTCTCTGCTGAGAGCTGTGCAGATGATGGGATGACCAGCTGCAGAGAGGAGCTACCCTCTCTGCTGATAGCTGAACACTTGTCGGGTTGACTTGCCTAGCAGAGAGAAGCTACCCTCCATGCTAGCAGCTGAACAGTCATTGAGACACCCTGGGTGCAGAAAGGAGCTGCCCCCTTCGGGTATCCTCTGAGCTGTTCTATTGCTCAATAACGCTCCTCTTCGTCTTGCCCACCCTCCACTTGTCTGCATACCTTATTCTTCCTGGGCACAGGATAAGAACTCAGGACCCACTGAATGAGGCTAAAGGATCTGTAACACAAACAGGGCTGAGGCATGCCCCTTGCTCATCATGTTGCAGGTGAAGAGAAGGAAAGAAGAGCTGCGGCCGTTTGGGAGCCCAGACTGAGGAGCTCACTGAGCCAGGGCTGTGACTCTGTCTTTGAGGCACTGCAGTTCCTGGCGTCTCCAAGCTTCAAGGCACCACAGCGTTCCCTGGTGCCAACTGTGGAAGCCGTGGCGCACCTGGTCAAGTGGCAGCCCAGTGGAGAGCTGGCACCCATGCTGGCACCTGGAGCTCCCCACCCGCTGCAGCAGCCGGCATTTCTGACTGTGCAGTGGTTGGACAACACACTTGCTCACACACCCCTCGCTGCTCCATGCAGTCTCCCATGGCAGGCGTGTGATCCAGGCCGGTAGCATGAGCTGAGCGCAGCCTGCCAGGTCGAGTGGGTGGAATGAGCCCAGTGGGCCCAAGAAAAACTCAAGCAAAGGTGCCACAGGCCACAGAGGTTTCCGGCCAGAAAAGTGACACCCCAAAGATCCCGTAAAAGTGTGAACATCATAGAGTGTACTTGCACAAAACTAGATGGTATAGCCTACTACACACCTAGGCTATATGCTATAGCGTATTCCTCCTAGGCTACAAACCTGTACAGCATGTTACTGTACTGAATACTTTAAGCAATGGTAACACAATGCTAAGTATTTGTGTATCTAAACATAGAAGAGGTTCAATAAAAATATGGTATAAAAGATACAAAATAGTCACCTGTATAGGGCAGCTCTATGATAATCTGATAGAACTACTGTCATATATGTGGTCCATCGTTAACTGAAACATTGTGGAGAGAGAGAGAGAGAGAGGAGAGAGAGAGAGGAGAGAGAGAGAGAGAGAGAGAGAGAGGAGAGAGAAGAGAGAGGGGGGAGAGAGAGAGAGAGAGAGAGAGAGAGAGAGAGAGAGAGAGAGAGAGAGAGAGAGAGAAGCAGTAATGCTCATTGTTAACAAGAAACCCCAAACAACACACTTAGGTTCACTGATTGTCTTCGCAGATAACGGAGCAGAAAAATAATGGTGCTCTGTGTAATTATAGGTTTTGAGTTCCTGGACATTAATTTACAAGTTTATTTCTCTAGGGAAAGTTGCTTAACTTCCCATAACCCCTGTACCCTGATCTGAATAATATCAACAATGAACAGTAACTTGAATAGCTGTAAGAATTCAATTAGATAAATTACCTGTGGATTAAAATCCTTGCGCAAACGTCAGTAATCTTTTTCAGGCCACCTTCCAGAGAGAGCAACAACTCCGTTTTCATGTAAGCCTTGCTTAACACCTCAGGGACCAGCTCAACCATGTGGCTCCTACACCCAGGTTTCTGGCACAAGGTTTTTATTCCTATACTGAATATCATGTTGAGGGAGTACCCATGTGGATACAATTCTAGGACAGCTTAAAACAATCACTCCTTAAGCTTTGGAAGCCCATCATCTGAAAGGGAGGCTAACGGGGGTATTGTGAGGCGGGCAAGAGAGAGAAGCCCATTCCTGCTCATGACTTGATGTGTGACCCTGAAAAAGTATAGTGTTCTGTGGGTCTATCCTTGATCATCTGTAAAACGGGAATGTTACCTTCCTCAGAGAGCTCTGGTGGGGAAAAAAGGAGAAACCCTATAGAAATGCCTGGCACATTGTAAGACTTGGAAAAACATTAATACTGCCCATTTCACTTCCTCCCATAAGAGAGATGTCTTTCAAATAAACTATAGAGCGTATCTATCTTAGAGAACACCTGGAAATAATAGCCAGAAAAGAGAAATATACAGATATTTACCTAATGTATGAGTTTTGGGTGTCATTTCCGTGTCTTGGGAAAAGCAAGGAATTTTAAGAAGGAGAAGAAAATAATTTGCTTTTATTTCAGGTGATTTCCAATCTTCTTATTTCCTTTCTAGTTTGATACCAGAGGAGCATTTCCCACCAAGTCTTTAAAAAAGAGCATAAATGAGAATAAAGCAATATTGGCACCCATGGTGAACCAGAGGACCTTGGGTGAGTCCCTCGTCCTGTGCTGGCCTCAGCTCTAACGGAGAAGAAGACGCAATACAGAAACAGTGGTTGTGGGCGTGGAGTTTGTAGAGTGAGATACATGTGGATTTGTCCTTTAGTTGAGAGGCACTTAATCTCGAGGAAGCAATTTCTCTCTCCGGAGTTCACCTTTCTTCTTGGGCTATATGGGAATTGGGATGGTACTTGCCCCTTAAAGATGACATGAGGAGTAAATGGATCACTGCATTGAAAGCAAGCAGAGCAATGATATATTAGTCCATTTTCACATTGCTATAAAGAACTACGCGAGACTGGGCAATTTATAAAGAAAAGAGGTTTAATCGACTCACAGTTCTGTAGGCTGTACGGGATGCACGGCTGGGGAGGCCTCAGAAAACTTACAATTATAGCAGAAGGCAAAGGGGAAGTAAGGCACAACTTACATAGTGGCAGGAGGGAGACAGAGAGAGAGAGAGAGAGAGAGAGAGAGAGAGAGAGAGAGAGAGAGAGGAAAGTGCCACACTTTTAAACCATCAGATCTTATGAGAACTCACTATCACAAGAACAGCAAGGGGGAAATCTGCTACCTTGATTCAATCACCTCCCACCAGGCCCCTTCCCTGAAACTTGGGGATTATAATTTAACATGAGATTTGTGTGGGGGGACACAGAGACAAACCATATCAAATGCCCAGCATCTTCTAGTGATGAATATGCATTTGCATCATTCATCGTATTTATCGTTACTCCTCCCAACCATCCAAAAGGAGAGTCGTGTGAATGGGGTTTGCATTGCCAGGCAATGTAATTGTTCTGTGGTGCTGCACCTTCATCTTTGTTGGGAACAAACTGGTTGACATACAGTTTAAAGGGGGACTGTAAAAAGCTCGGGAGCAGTCTCAGATATGTAACATTATTTAGTATAAGACATATTTGGCATTTCCAATCCGTGCATTCAGATGCATGGTTCTAGAAATGAGACAGGTGCATGTATATACGGTTTGATAGAAATTGAAGTTCAATACTTTCCCCATAGCAAATTATTTAATATTAATTAAAACATCAACAAAACAATACAGCATAAAACTGCGTATATATCACAGTTCTATGAAATGTCAATGCAGTACATTTGCACGTGGGCAAGCAAACAAAAAATAAGGGAATGAAGTTCAGGAAAATGTTAACAGTTCTTTTTCCAGCGATGATGGGATCGTTGGTTATTGATATTTTCATCTCTATAATTAACTGTATTTTAATCATTTGGTAAAATGAGTATATGTTTATGGTAGAATAAACCTTCAGCTTCTAAAATTTTTGTTACTAATCCAACATATCAAATATGCAAAATGTTATAGAGAGCTATAAAATGAACACTTGTGTATCCACTAACCAGGTTAAGCAATAAACTTGACGAATGTTTGAGCCCATCCCCTCATTTCACTTGTCCTTCCTTTACTCCTCAGATGTAACTCATAACCAGAACGTGGTGTTTATATTCCCCATAAATTGTTTCATAATTTTATCGTGAATAAAAGCATTCTTAAAGTATTATATATATGTTGTATGCATATATTTTCATACTGTAGGTGTCTTTATTCTCCTTATAATCATGATCTGAAATTTCGTTTTTCATACGAATATATGGTCTGATTCTTATAGGTCTAGGGTATTTATTTTCATGGTTATAGAATATTCCAATATAAGAATGAGCCACAATGTATTTTTTTGGACTAATGGTAATGAACATTTTTGTTTTTCCTACAGCTTTGCTCTCACAGACAATGCTGAAGGTACCACGATTACAGATGAGGCCATGTACGGACATGCCAGATATTCTCTAGTTTCTTGCTACTCAAAGTGTGATCCATGAAATAGTAGCTTCAGCATTACCTGGTATATTAGGGATCCACCAAGAAACAGAACCAGCAAGGGGTGTGTGTGTGTGTGTGTGTGTGTGTCTCGTTTGTGTGTGTGTGTGTGTGCACTTTTTTAGAAATTGGCTCCCGTGAACCTGGAGCCTGGAAAGCATGCAGGGAAGGCTGGCAGGCTGGAGACCCAATGAAGAGCTGCAGTTCAAGTCTGAAGGCATTTTGCTGGCAGAATTCCCTCTTCCTCAAGGCAGGTAAATCTTTTTACTCCTGAAGGCCTTCAACTGATTGGATAAGGCCAACCCACATTGTGCAGGGTAATCTGCTTTACTCAAAGTCTACAGATCTAAATGGCAATCTCATCTAAAAATACCTTCACAGAAGGTATTTTTAGAATAATGGAAGGCATTTGGAATAATGTTGGACCAAATATCTAGGTTCGTGCTCTTGGATGTGGCCATTGAAGGGGAGAAGGGTTCATATCCAACCACTGGCTTTCTCCAGCACAGGGGTAACAGGAGGGTGGGATCATAAGGAGTGCTGCATGGAGGGGAATTCTGAGATCATTAATGGAATGATGCCATTAAGGCCTCATGAGCAGACAACTAGGATGAATGGAATCCATGTTTGCAAAGATCAGCAGCAGTTATGCAGTAGGGCTGAGGGCAGGAGCTATAGGCAGGAACCCTGGGGTAAGGGAATCAGTTGGAGGCAAGTTCTGGGACAAACTATTAGGAGTGCAGACTAATACACAGGAGCCAGAGGTATTCTGAGGGAAGGCACAAAATTTACTTGGAGATGAGGGATAGAAAAGGGCATCATCAAGGCCACTCACCCTGGTGTTCCTGCAGTTGCTTCTGGACTCCTTCCACATGGAGGTTCCTGTGCTCTGATGAAGACAGGGAGGGGTCCACCACCCGCCCACACCAGCAACCTTTGTAAGAAGTGCAACTTTGCTGGGTGACTGTAATCCCAGCTACTCTTGAGGCTGAGGCTGAAGGACTGCTTGAGCCCAGGAGTTTGCACCCAGGAGTTAAGAGTCCAGCCTGGGCAACATAATGAGACCCCAACTCTAAAAAAAAGTACACCCTGTTGGAGGTGTCTATAAACTTGATGCCATCATATGCAGTGGGCAGGAAAACAAGTGACATATGGGAAATAATGCCTCTTCTCAGGGATGAGCCCTTATGAATTCCACAGCCCCAGCCTCCCTGCCACCCTATCCCTAAGGAGAGTGTGCCAAGGCCCAAGGAAAAGAACAGAGCAGTTGTGGATGGACTCTCCTGGCTGTGGCTGCCGTATGCTCCTTTCTGTCCTAATCAAAGTTTCCCCTCCACACTCCACACAATTAGCACATAAATGAACAATGTCAAGAATAAAAGAAAGTCATCACTGCAGATCTACATAAAATTATAGCATGATGACATGCATAGCTTTATGTTAATGACTTTAACTAAAATGAAACGGATATTAAACTGCATCTGCATTATGATTTCTCTTATATAAAAAGTGTGCATATATATTTATGTGCACATATATATTTATTCAATTATTTATGACTGAATTGTTCTCAATGATTCTAAAAAATGGCTATGTCAATTTACATGCTCGGAAGCAATGTATGTGAGTACTCTTGTCTCCTCCCTCCAACTTCAGAAATAATCTTGGGAAGCATACACTTTGCCTCACCATTTAAACTTCCAAGATTGTCTCCTAATGGACCATTTGCAGATGATGATGATGATGATGATGTGTGTGTGTGTGTGTGTATAGAGGTAGAGCGCACGAGAGATGAGAGAGTGAGTTCAGGTGTCAGAGTTAGCATGTGCTGGGAGGATAGGACCACAGGAAATCGTGGGAATTGGCAGGAGGATGAGTGACTGGAAGACCAGGACGTCAGAGCTGGCTAGGGAAGGAGGTCCAGGCTGTGGAAGCCTGATGATGTAGAGAGAGGAAGCAGAGGGGCCATGTGATGGGTTCCATGGTTCCTGTCCACAAAGGAACCCTGGTAGCTCTGAGAGCCTGAGCTGAATAGACACTGTGGTTGATGGGTAACATGTGAGGCCATCTCTAGTCCCCACGATGAGGCTGAGAAGCACACATTGTAGTCTCTGCTCCCTGGCTGAGAGGACCAAGGCTTAGAGAGGTATAGGAGCTTGTCTTCGACTATTGAAGCACTACAGGGAAGAACAAGGTTGGCATATTCTTTTTGTAATGGCAACTATCCCCTTAGTTCCTAGTTTTATGAAATCCACACTCCAACATATGGATCCCTAATGTACATGTACATAAAGAACTGAAAAGTGGCAAGTGGTAGGAAGGCGGCAAGTGGTAGGAAGTAACGTATGCCAAACACGAAAGTGGAGGCATAATTTGTAAACTGGTGGTACTTCTCCTATGTCACCATTTATAGGACTGTGACTTGAAAACGTCACACTGCTATTATTTTAATTTCGAAAAGTATGCCAGCTGATTGTCTAACGTGCAAGCATCACAGGAGTGTGGACAATAAATTGTGCAAACGTTTCGTTCAACTCTTGCCTGCAATTAGGAACTGCTAAATGCCAGTTGTTGAGAACTGACCATAAGGTGAGATTCTGTGCTATCGCTGTTTGTTTAGAAGTGAAAATAAATGGCTGATCCCCTTCAAGAACATGGACATGGAGCACCCGGTGTCAGCTCTCTGAGGAGTGTGCCGGGTAGATGGGCTGAGTATCCCCCTCCCCCGCCACCCCCCGCCGCAGGTGCTACCCTGAGACGACTCCTCGAAAAGTGCACCTTTGGGAAAGGGAGGGGTCGGGACGGTGGATGGAAGCCCCTGGTGTGCCAAGGTAACATGCCTGCTTCTGTGGGCCTCCAGGTCGAGCATCTGACAGAGTCCAACTGTCTCTCAAGGCCAGTCTCTGGAAGGAGCGTGTGTCCTTTCTCATGAGGATTTACGGACAAAATTACCTATGAAGGCAAGCCAGATTCATGTATCTGCTAAGGCCAGCCAGGGATGAACAGGGATGCAGTGCTTTCAGTCCTGGTCCCGCTGGCTCACGGCTGGGGCAGGGGAAGAGCAATCCAGGGCACACAATGTACAACGTGTAACGTCACTCTTTATTATGAAAATAAAATGGTGATCATGAGTGGGGCGAATACACAGAGCAACTGGCTCTTTGGGTGGTTATGTCACGTGGCCTGCAAGTTAACGTTGGCTTCCTGGTCAGCCAGGCCTTAGGCTGGTGAAAAGAGGAAACAAAGAGGATGTGAACGAAGACAAAGAAGACATCGGAGGGCTCCTTTTAGGAGATTTGCTTGAAGGCCTCCGCGGGGATCTTGCCCTCGGTCTAGAGAAAGTAAAGAAAAGGAGTTGGGATGTTAGTAGAGCCAGGTGCACTGGGTTCCATCCCCACACTACCTGGCCTCCATCTTCTTGGCCCTCCTGACGACCCAGAGACAGCTGTCTTTTACCCACTTGATTCCCAGACCTCACCTGGAGCATAGTGAAGGCCTGGCCAGCTCTAGTGTAGTTCCACTCATTGTCCTGAAGGCACCTGGGGTGGGAGAAGAACAGGTGCTCTCCATTACTAGCCCAGGACAGACACGCTGACTATGCAATGCCACCCTTAATCTATGCTACCTTTTTGCTGGGTCACATGTACCAATATGAGCACTATTGTAACAATGAAAAAAGGCCTGGGGAAAACCAAAACGCCCATCCCTGACATTAATGCCCACTAGAATTCAAATCAGAAACATAGCGGTATTCAAATGAACAAGGGAGCTTAATACATATTGATAAAGAAAGATGTTCAAGAAATAACAAGTGGAAATTCAATAATACGTTTCTTTTCTATTGAGATATAATGCACATACTGTAGCAGTCACCATTTTAAGGTGTACAATTCAGTGCTTTTAAGTCTATTCACAAGATTGTGCAACCATCACACCTATCTAATTCCAAACTGTTTTTATCACCTCAAAAAGAAACTCCTTAACTGTTAGAGATCACTCCCTGTTCTCCCTCTTCCCCAGATCTTGGCAACCACTACTCTGCTTTCGGTCTCTACGGATCTGGCTATTCTGAACACTTCGTATGAATGGAATCATATAATTATGTGGCTTTTTGTGACTGGGTGCTCCCACTTAGCACATAATGTTTTCAGGGTTCATCCACGTCATAGCATATATCACAACTACATCCTTTTTTGTGGATGAATAATATTCTAATAATATTCCACCGTATGGATGTACCACATTATCCATTCATCAGCTGAAGGTCAATCCATGTGTTTCCATTTTTTGGCTATTTGGAATAATGCCACTACGGAAATTCATGTGCAAGTTGTTGAATGGGCATATATTTTCATTTCTTTTGGTATACACTTAGGAGTGGGATTACTGGATCATGTGGTAACTCCATGTTTAAGATTTTGAGGAACTGCCAAAATCTTTTTGCCAGCAACTGCTCCACTTTATGTTCCCAGTAGTAATACATGAGATTTCCAATTTCTCTGCATTCTCACCGACATTTGTCATGTTTCCTTTTATGGACTAAAGCTAGCGTAGTGGGTATGAAGTGGTAACTCACTGTGGTTTCGATATGCGTTTCCCTAATGACTAACGATGTTGAGAAGATTTTCACGTGCTTCTTGGTCATTTGTATATCTCCTTTGGAGAAACATCTATTCAAATCATTTCCCCATTTTTTAATTCGGTGGCTTGTCTGTTTGTTGTTGAGTTGTAAGGGTTCTTCTTGTCGGCGATGTGATTTGCAAATATTTTCCCTTGTTCCCACCAGTCGGTTTTCCGCTTTCTTGATAGTGTCTGCTGATGCACAAAAGCTTTTAATTTAGATGAAGTCCAATTTACCTATTTTTTCTTTGGTTGCTTGTGCTTTTGGTTTCATATGTAAGAAATGGTTGCCTAATTCAAGGTAATGAAGATGTACACTTACAGTGTTTTACAGTTCTGGCTCTTATTTTAGGTCATTGATCCATTTTCTGCCAGTGTTTGCACGTGATGTGAGTTAGGGGTCAAAATTAATTGTTTTGCAAGTGGATATCCACTTCTCCCAGCACCATTTGTTAAGAAGACTATTTTTTTTCTCCATTGGATTTTTTCAGCACCCTGAATGATAATCAACTGGACATAAATACGTGAGATTATCTGTGGACTCTCAATTATATTCCATTGATTCCCACGTCTGTTCCTATGTCGGTACCATACAGTCTTGATTAATGTAGTTTTGTAGCAAGTTCTGAAATCGGGAAGTGTGAGTCTTCTAACGTTGTTCTTCTCTTTCAAGATGGTTTTGGCTGTTTGGGGTCCACTGCATTTCCACATGAATTTTGGGATTACCTTGTCAATTTCTGCAAAGAAGTCAGTTGGGATTCTGTCAGGGACTGCAATGAATCTGTAGATTGTTCTGGGTGGTACTGCCATCGTAATGATATTAAGTCTTCCAATCTATGAACGTGGGATGCCTTTCCACGTATTTAGGTCTTCTTTAATTTTTTTCAGCAATGTTTTGCAGATTTCAGAGTACAAGATTTGCGCTTCTTCTCTTAAATTTGTTCCTACATACTTTCTTCTTTTCGATGCTACTGTAGATGGACTTATTTTCTTAATTTCATTTTTTTGGATTGTCCATTGCAACTACATAGAAGTACAAATGATTTTTGTATATTGTATCTTTCAACCTTGCTGACCTGGTTTATCAGTAGTTTATTGTGGTTGATTCTTTCAGATTTTACAAATGGAAGGTAATGTCATTTGGGCATTATGCCATTTAAAAAAATATTTACATATACCAGTATAAAAGTATGATACCTTTTTCATGGACCCACTTTTTTTGGAAGCAAAATACCCAGATAGTTATTTTTCCAAATTGCATGTGAGTTTCCATTACTCATTCCTCTGATGTCCCAACAGCCCCCATCCCCATGTACTCCCAGCACTCACTTCTGAGACCACTCCAGTTTCATCCCAGACTGGGCAGAGAAAGCCTGCACCATTTCCTGCTGCTCCTGGGAGAGGGAGGGCTCAGAGCTGGAGGAGAGTGTGGACACTGGGATGGAGAAGGCACTCTGAGTCTCTTGGGGGCTGGCATCCCTCACAAACAGCTCGTCATTCACGATGCACAGACTGGAGGAAAGAAAAATGCACCCTCAAACTGGACAAGTAGATAACTCCGCACCCCCAACAACAGGATCCTTCTTAACCACTGCCACTCAACAACCAAATTCCTTCCATATCCCTAACTGTGCCTGCCTCCCAGATTTTTTGGCTGGTACCCTCTAACCCTCCCACAGAGTCCACCTTTGGAGGGACTGTCTACCAGCTTCACTAGATTTTTAGATCCAACCCCAACGCATTTACCCTGTACAACAGCCCAAGGAAGTGGATAGTCTTATTCCAATTTTCAGAAAAAGGCACTGAATCACAGAGTGGTCGAATAAGTTGATCAAGGTCACACAGTTTGTGAGTGTTGGAGTGAGGAACAGAATCTGTATTCTGACTCCAGGGCCCACACTCTTAAACACTAGGCTAGACTGCTCCTTGGATCTTCCTGTCGGCCTTCCACAATATTGAGAACACCCGGAGGACTGCACCCACCACATTTCCACAACACTGGCCCCAAGCTTGGATGGGTGCTCCCACCCACAACACAGCACTAACCTGGAACTGCTGCCAGGGGTAGCAATGAAGGTCCGGGTGAAGGCGAGAACAGAACCCTGAGACTGTCCTTCCACTTCAAAGACAACAAACACCACCACCTTAGAGTTGCACAGGCTTTAACATGCTCACACGGTGATCCCCAGTCAGAGTATTGCTTGACACTCACACAGAAGGGGGGGAGGGGGCAGACCAGGACAATTGTTCACTTGGAGTCAGGCGGATGTGGCAGGAATGGGGAGGGCAGCAACAGGAACAATCCGCTCCCAGTGACAGGGCCCCTATCATGTGTGGGGCCCTGGGAAAACCACAAGTTCACTTAATTCCTATTTCACAGTAGCCCAAGAGATAGATTATTAGCCCCATTTTGCAAATGAGGAAACTGAAGGGTTAAGTAACCAGCACAAGTTCACAGAGTAAGGACCTGGGATGAGAGCTGTCAAACTCCACAGTCTGTGTCCTTAACGCACGCCTGAGCTGTGCAGGGCAGACAGGCATGGACCTAGGTCAGATCAGGGTGGTTTGAAGGCAGAGTGGGGGTGGGAAAACACGGAAGAAAGAAGAGGAAGGAAAGGAAAGGAACGAAAGCAGGGAAGCTGGGGGAGTTCTGAGAGGGAGCCCAGCCAGGGGGAGGGAGCAGTGGGGGATCTGGGGAGGGGACTATACAGACACTCACCTTCCTTGAAAACCCCATTGACAGAAAAGCAGAGCATCCTTTCCTGAAAAGGAAGCGCTCAGGTGCTCAGGATCCTCCTTAACCTCCTACCCACCTCTGGCTCTCTGGGCCTGCCCAAGGGAGGAAGCAGGTGCTCACCGTCTGGCACCACACGTCCACCAGGATGGAGCTGAGGTCATGCTGAGTTTTGGGCAACGCACTGAGGGAGTCCACAATGTCACGTTTTGTGCGCCTCAGCAGTTCCCCCTTCAGGTCTGTAGAGGAGAGGAGAAGCAAGGAATGGCAGGGTGGGCGGGGCAGGGCGGGGGGCTACCACATCCTGGTCCTTGGCCCCTGTGATTGTTCCCATCACACCCCCTTACCTTGCCCACTCTTCCCCATCACACACTTACAGGGGTCCTTGAGTGTTTTCATATTCCTGCTATCCTCAAAGTACTTGCACAAGCTGCTCCTAGGAGAAAAAGAGGAGCAGGAGTGGGTGGTCCGGCCAGTGTGGGCATTTCCAGGAGTTGGCCTGTGTCTGCTGGGGAGACACACAGCCCCAGAGCAGAGTCTGAGCCGTGATACTCACGGGGCTGAGTCCTTGGGGTCGAAGGGAATAGCCAAGGAGAAGCAGGCCTCATCGTGGTAAGCACCGAGGAGACCCTGTCGATCTCCAGAGTCATAGATCGAGTAATACCTGTGGGGAAGCAGTGAGGATAGGCTATCTCTGTGGCCTGGGCCCCAGATGAGACTTGAAAACTCCCAGGCTGCACGGGTGGCCCAGCCTGTCTCAGCCCTCCCCTTCCTCATGGTCCCAGGGATACTCACTGCTGCAGGAATTGCAGGACTAAATGCTTTAGGGTCTCAGATCCAGTAAAGTTTTCCTGAAATCAAAAGACAATTTGGATCTATGCGGTGGACAAAGCCTCCCTTACAGCAACCCAAATCTTGCTTGGTCCTTCTTCCTCACCTTGCAGGGTTTCATTGTCTCAGAGCTGTCAATGTCAACAATCACTGGTGCGGATAACTCTCGGCCGTCCTGGAGAAGGAAAGAGGAAGTCAGCAGTGGAGACCAAGGAGATGGAGCTGGATGATCGATAAGATGAACATGCCCAGGGAGACAAGCATCAGAGGCTAGGTGGGAAA
The DNA here is from genome assembly GCF_000001405.40 of Homo sapiens. Lineage (NCBI taxonomy): Eukaryota > Metazoa > Chordata > Mammalia > Primates > Hominidae > Homo > Homo sapiens. The sequence goes on from NC_000023.11 coordinate 102,365,781, forward strand.
TGGCCCTGGAAATTCCAGTGGGTGGCTTTCTCATGGGGTGCTGGACATCTCTACTATCACATGCAAATGTGTGTGTGTGGGGGGGGTGGCGGCGGGGGGACACATTTTCCAGGGAGAATATTCTTGTCTTTTTCAGGAATCCATGCCTGTAAAATGGATGAGGGTCTGATACAAGCATGTAATCTAGGCAAGACCCAAAGGACTTGAGGGCAGGCGTGGAGGTCCTTTTCTTGAGTAAGAGGAGACAATGATGACGGTATTATACATACTTACCAGGCGTAACAACTTGGGGAAACAATCCCGGATGGCACTGTCCAAAACCAAAAATTGAATGAAGTGACTGACAGTTCAGGGTTGCACAGTCTCTCTCCCACTCCCTCTCACACTCCTCCCTCTCCTTCCTCCTGGTTAGCTTCCATCTAGACTGTCCTGACTCCCTTTTCTCCAGTGCTACAAGAAGCAGCACTGGGAGCCCAGGCTCCAGGGCTTTCTTCCTCTCCCTCCCTCCCCTTTGCCCAAGTCACCATGGAAGGCTCTGCAGGGAGCAGGAAATGGGGTGGGAGCCCAGGGCTCTGCCACCTCACTGGCTGTCCATCAACCTGCCTGACCAGGCCCTGGCCAAGACCAGGTCAGCCCTTAGGGATGGCCCAGGATGCTGGGACACGGAGGTGAGTGAGGCCGGACTCAGGAGGCAGGAAGCGGAAGGCAGGGGGGACAACAACAGAAACGGGGTGAAGGTAGGGGAGGGACGGATGGGTGAGACATAGGAGAGGAGAGACAAGGGAGAAACAGGATGCAATGCAAAGGGAAGGGAAAGACTCTCTACTGCGGAGGTGGAGTTCAGGGAGGAGAAGAGGAGAAAAGGGCTCCCCTGCTGCAGCCCTTTCCCTCACTGCTCCCTGGCTGGCCCTGGGGACCGAGGCAGGAAAGGAAAACATGCGCCTGTTGGGCTGGGGCCCACTGGATGCAGCTGGAGCCTTCCTCACCTGTGTGAGCTCAGTCTGAGCTGGGCATGGGAAACAGAGCAGCCACGGGGACAGGAGACCTTCTCCCGGGAGGAGTGAAGAGTCAGGCCCCAGCTCAGCATGGGGTTCAGAGTCTGGGGACCCCCTCTCCAGACCACTGCATTCTCTTCTGATGGTCCCTGACTCCTGTGCCCCTCTGTGCTGACGCCTTGACCGAGGAATGCTACCCATCTCGGGCTACCCAGGGCTCCTCTGAGGGCCCAGGCAGGACGATGTGAGGTGGAGAAGGAGGGAAGGTGGGGCAGTGCCCTGAGAGGCCTGTCCTTCTGTCTTCTCAACCTCCTCTGCCCTCTGCCTTCCACTCCTGCCTCAGGAACGTGGCCCGCTTCTGGCCCCTTGACGTAGGAAACCCAGGTTTCTCCCCAAGGAGGGCCCAGCTCCTGGCATTGGGCCAGAGGAAGAGATGGCATGACAGCAGCCACCCGGGGCCCCAGCCCTCAGTATGGGGCAGGGAAGCCCCCATGCCAGCCCAGGACAGGTGGGGGGACCTTTTTGGAGCAAGAGAAGGAGAACCCCTCTTGGGACAGGGGAGGGAAGCCCCATCGCAGCATGGAGGCAGGAAGGCCTGTCTCAGCATGAAGCCCCGGACTAAAGGACTCTTCTCGGTCCAGGGCACCAGCATCTGAATACTGCTGGTCCTGGGGAGGTGGGGGAGCCCCACTTCCTGGAGCACACTCACAGAGGGCACACTGGAGGAGGCTTGGTGGAGACAGGCGGGAAACACACCCCAGAGCAGGTGAAAAGGGGACCATGTCAGAGGAAGGAAAGGAGACCTCTAAGCACAGATGAGTGAGTGACAGAGAGAGAGGAGAGAGAGAGAGAGAGAGAGAGAGTAGGAAGGGAGGTCTGTGGTCCTCCCAGAGGACCAAGGCTGCTTCTTCCTGCAGAAGGGCACCTTCAGACACAGCTCAGTCACCCAGGGAGCAAAGGTGCCCAGGAAGGGTGACCGGGGTTGCCACTGACCTTACATAGGCGGACTGGTCCGAGAAGGTGCTGCACAACGGGTTCCCTTCTAGCCATAGCTCTTCGAGCTTCAGCCCTTTCACCTTGCCCAACTCCCACGCCGACTCCAGCTAAGAAAGATGGGGAGGAAACTGGAGAAGGAGGGCCAGGGAAAGAGAGACACCCAGGACCCTGGGCCCTGAATTCCCCCGGCCCTCATAGTCACCCACAGGTGCCACTGCCTGGCTGTTGCCATTATCCTGATGTGTCCTGCCCTCCACCCAAAGTTGATCTGGCTCCCCCTTCTCACCTTATTTTTGGAGAGATTCAGGGTCTTGACTTTGGGAGCCTTCTCTGTAATGTCAGAAAGGCCATCCAGCTGGTACAGCTTGTTGTTGCACAAGTTCAAAGACAACAGCTTTGGGTCAAGAAGAGTTAGAGTGGCGGCTACTATCTTGGGCCTCAGAGACAAATCTGCCCTCCACCTTATCCCTTCCACCCCTCTAACTAAATACCAGCACTGAGCCTAAGGCTTCACCTCAGGGAAATTTCTTTCAATGATCTTCAGGGTGGCAGCCATGCAGTTTCTTCGATTCAGGATTATATCAATGTCACGGCCCATCAAGTCTTGAAGAAGCCAAGAGAAGGGAATCGGAAGGCTGGGAGGGCCCTGGCTGGACCAGAGCCAGCCCCAACCCCTCTGTAAATTGCCATTCCTAAGTCTCCCTCCCAGGCAGACCTCTCTGCCCCCGCTTGTCTTAGAATTGCTGCTGTCAGCCTTACCTGGGTCAAAGCGGAGATTCTGGAGATCAAGAGCTTGCTGGGAGACATTGTACCGTTTGTTCATGGTCAGCTGCAGAGATAGAGATGAAGACAGAGGCTCTGGGGCTCTGGTGATGGTGGTGGTGGTGGTGGTGATGGTGGTGGTGGTGGTGGTGGTGGTGGTGGTGGTGGTGGTGGTGACAGGGAAAGAGGGGGCCAGGGGAAGAAGAGGTGGGTCCAGGAAGCAGGCATACAATGATCCTTGAGTCTGTATTACCTTTAGCATCTCCATTTGGCCTGGCTTCAACTTATTCTTCACAGAGTAGGGCGCAGTAGAATGATTGACAAATATACATATCTGCAGGAAGGCAGGGTGGTAAGTACCAGGACCTCTAATCCCAAAGAGGATGACCAGCCCCCTGGCCTGTCCTCCTGCCCAGAGACTAAGTACAGGGCATGCCCTCGGCACACACCTTTTGGTTCTCATCATCATAAATCTTATAACTGACATCCTTCAATGCGGAGGCAGCGCTAGCATCCTGGACAAAGAAGCATGCCCGATTTCGGACGTAGTGGAACTACAGGGAGTGAAGGCAAGAGCAACAGCGTCAGAGGCCAATGGCCCCTGCTGAGCCAGGCCTCTCCCCGTCCCCCATGCCCACTCATCTGGCTTCACCATCCTCTCTTACATCAACCGGAGTGAAGCGGTCACTGCAATGGCTCTGGATTGAATTCATTAGCCATGCCTTGTCATACTTTATCCCGTAAGGAATCTAAGGGTAAAAAGAAGAAATAGGAGGGAAGGGAGAGACAACGTGGAACTAAGGATGGAGAACAGAACCAACCAGCTGGGTTTTTTTTTTCTTTCTTTCCAACCTTCTACTTAGCTTAGATTTCTAAAGAAAGGACCGCTGACATGATTTCTTATTTTTGTGCCAAATATAGATGCCCTAAACTCCCTTTCCCCCCATTCCGAAGCTCTCCTCCAAATAATCAACTTAGGGTGTTTTAAGTGGTCTTCCTTCTATCAGGTTCCAGAATAGTCCACCTAATGCAGACCCCACCAAGATACTCACTGTGACCTTAAACCAGTTCCTTGTGTATCCATCCTGTGTGTTCTGACTCATTTTTCTCTCCGGAGGTTTTCTATTTCTCCACGTGGTAATACGGATTTCGTCTTCACTATGCCATTTCATTCTTCTTTCGCATCGGATGCTATAAGGAGTGCTGTGGGGAAGAGGAGAGAAGGCGGGTATCCATTAAATCTAAGAAAGTCTCCTATACATGCTCCACTCACTGACGCCAGGGCTACAATTAGGACTGCTCAGCCACTATTCCACTTCCAGCATTCGTCAGTTCTCTAATGAGAGAAGAAAAGGAAGACCACAGAGAATGAAAGGGTTGCACAGTCCCGGGGGCTGCTACGTGCAAACCAGGCTGCCTGGTCACTTACTGTCTTAGTTGTTGGTCCTTGTGGACATCCCTCATCTCCACGCTTCCATCATTCTCCTGGCAGTGTGAAGGCGGGCGCTCATACCCACCATGTTCATAATGACAGCTCCTCTTGTCAAAATTATCCCGGAAAGAACTCCCACCTTTCTTTCTTCCTTGAAAAGTGCTACCATGGTCATGGCATTCTGCAACTGAGAACAAAAAGACAAGTTTGAGACACATCAATGGTCCACTTACCACGTACCACGTCGTGAGCTAACTCCATGGTAGGGCTAGCAAAGTGCCAACCCGCCACATAAGCCCCAGAAAACAAACTCCTCTGCCTGTCCAGATACAAGAGCCTTATCTCACAGGTGGCACAATCAGGGTAGGAATCTTGGGAGAGGAAGCAACTGTGTTGAACCTCCTGAGAAATGGAGCAGGAATTATAAAGAACAGAGGTGCGCGTGTCCATGGGTTAGACTAGACACCAGCCACACACCTGGAAGGGGTCCTAATCTTGCCTTCTCTCAGGCTTCTCTAATCTAACAACCACACCAACACCTGGGAGACAAGCTCTCTCGCACCTCCCAAATCCAATCCCCAAATGCATTCTGTGAACAATCAGCAAGCTATACCTCTTTGCCAGTGCAGTACGAGCTTTAATGACAGGTGGGTCCGATGTAACAGCTTCCCAAGCTGCCCTCCTGCCTCCAGCCTTGCCCTCAAAAATACTCAGTTTGAAATACCCAGAGCAAGCTTTCTTTTTGCCCAGCCCGAAATGCTTTCAGCCCAAGAGACAACTCTTCCTAAGCAAGTGACAGAATTACTGGAAAGAAAATCAGCAGATACTGAAAACCACTACAGTAACAGGATCTAAATGACATAAATAAAACACCGTACCCAACACACTGTACCCAACAACAAAAACAGAGCATGTATGTTTTTTCCCCCTCTACTGTCTTGCAGCATTCACGAAGGTAGACCATCTCCTGGACCATCAAACAGACCTCGACCAATTTCAAAATGTACACCTTGTCTCAGGGCACTCTTATGAATAAAATTTCGGTCACTGCTGACCTCTCTGCAATATACTGATTATGGCCAGGCCTCAGATGAACTTCTGTAGGGGGCATCATTGCTTTCACTGTGTGTGACCCGCTGTCAGGACAGTCCTGCTCCTCTCGATTGCTGGGACTTTCCCTGTGTGCCATTAGAAGTGAAATTAAATGTGGGCAGAGCATCTGACCTAGACATTCCTGATGCTTGGTCCCTACAACTTGGAAGTGGGGCTGGAGTGCTCTCTTTCTCTCACACTCTACATCCAACCGATCAGGATGGATGTATCTTCTCTTGGCTCTACCTTTAAAATATATCCAGAGTCTGGCCACTTCTCACCCCCTCCATTGCTACCTACCCTGGCCAGGTCACCAACATCTGTCTCCTGGATTATGCTGCCTTCCAAGTTGTCCTGCTTTTGCCCTTGACTCCCCTACCATCTATTTTCAACACAGGAGGCAGAGTGATTTTTTAAGGCATAAGTCAAATCTTGTCATTCCTTTACTCAAAATCCTTTAACCGCGGTTTGGAGCCCATCAGTATGTTAAAAAGTTATGAGTCCATAACAATACTCAACAACAGCAACAACAACAACAAAGACCCCTATTGGTGACATTTGGAGGATGTCCAGAAACCAACTCATTTTCATGAAAGTCCATAAATGAAAGGGAAAAAAATCAAAGATTAAAGTGAGGGTTAAGGGCACACGGTCAATATATGGAGCACAGGAAGAGTCAGAGTCATTTTTGAGAACACACATTACTTCAGAAATAACGTCACTGAGGGGAAGAAGGTGTAAAAGTGTAAGCTAGCCAACAGCTACAGCTACAGCCTCAGGCAAGGCCTTGTGTTGGAAGAGAGCACATGTGATAAAAAGCCACAGAGGGACCGGACAGAGAGAGATGCCGAAGACACAACACACACAGGCGTACATCCACTTGCTGAACTCTGGCATCTCAGCACAATCCCTGTCTCGCAGTTGTGCTGCCAGAATTACGGGCGATCTCAAGAGTATTATAAAGCAGCTAGTACTTCTCACCCAGACCGCCTGGGTTTCCCCTCAAGTCCCACCATGTACTGGCTGATCCCCCCACACAGACATAGTGGTGAGTAACCTTTATGACATCACGTGTGTTCCTACTGGTACTTCCTGTGTTAGTTTGGAATTCTGCCTACATCACTGCCATGCCACTGAGTGCATGGCATCAGCATCCCTGCTACGGCAGGGAAAGAACGGGATAAGAAGAAAACCAACCCTTGCCCAGTGGCAACCAACATCTGCTCAGTGTTGGGCAGACTCACTAGGTTTCTCTTGACCTCCTCACAGAAATCCCATGAGAATTTTATCCACAGTCCCTTTTCAGATCATGAATATTGGGTTCACAGATGTCGGGTACATTTCCCAGCCAGGTAAGTGGCAGAACAGGAATTATGTCCTCACGTATATTGGTCTGCCTCTATACCCTGAGTGCTCCTCCAGAGACTGCACTGGTTCTCCCTTAAATGGCAAGCTTTCAGGTCTCATCGACAGATTTTTTTGTAAGCAGGCCGGGATGATGTTTTGTGCTAGTCACTCCTGTTGGGGTGGGAACCAGGTGTCTTGGATAAGGTGGAGATCTCTGTCTTGGACCAGATGGGTGTAATCTGTTTGGGCCATGGGTTTTCAGATTAGGAGTCACTTTGGGCTGGTAGTGTCTGGCATAGAATAAGGGCCTAATTAATATTTGTTAAATGAATGCATTTGATGTAGGTTTGGGATCATCGACAAAACCACTTTTGAGAATACATCCATCTGAACCATTTCTACCGACCTCTATTTATATTTATTCCAGAGCTATTCGGGCTGCAGAACTATTTCATAACCTGACTGCAAAACTAGAACAAATTAATCTTTTCTTCTGCAACATTAATATTTTTTCATTAATGTATCCTTAGAAATAGAACTGAGTACCTCCCTGCAGACTGTGGCTAGAACTGCAGCTTTGAAGATCTCAGAGAAGGAGGCTTTTGCAAATAGTGCTGACAGAAATGAGGAGAGGCGTTCCCTGAATCCAGCAGATAGGGCTTTCTGGACATCTGGTCTCTGTAGGAAGAATGTTCTGGACCTACAGGCATGTTGTGTTCACTCAGCCTTGTGACAGACAGGAAGCATCATCCCTGTCTCAGAGAAAGGGAAGAATGTGTGGTCTGTGTGTCCGTGTTGCCCATGCGAGCAAGTATTAGTGTTTCGTATTACATGCTTCCACAATTAGGTTACAGATACATGTACTCCAAATCATGTTGGTAAACACATTGCCACACAACACTGGATCCCACTGCACATTTCTTTTCATGTGTTATGTATTATATATGGCCAAATTTTGTTTCTTGTTCAGAATATGCTTTTTAGTGCTTTTTTTCTTTTCTACCTCTCGGTGTTTTAATATTTGAACTGATAGTTTTAAAATAAGAAAGTAGGAGAGTTCCCTGTACACAAAAGTAATGGAACAATACCCACAGGTTGACCAGGGTTACAGAGTACCCCCAGCAGGGGTGGCCAAAAAACCCAGTGGAACACAGCCAGGGCTTCGAAGTGGGTTTAAGATTTTGAGTCCCTGCTCTACAGTTTCCCAGGAGAAGCACATGAGTACTTTTAAGCATAAAGTGATATTTTCGTAAGGATTTTCAATGATATTTACACCAATATACACTTCCACTAACCGTGTGTGAGTCTAATTTTCTGCAATATGCCTAACCATTCAGAAGTCATTCTTACACTTTGATCCAGACGTTTCACTTTTCGAATTTATTACATATATCACTCTCTGTCTAAATATATACATATAATTATACGGCTGTGCTTTACAGGTCCTTTGGGACAGAAGGATGACGGGACCAGAGAGTGGCTGATATTGTCAAAGGGAGAAGTAGAAATGACTGCCCTTGCAATGAAGTAGACATGGCAAGGAAGGGGCATGAGTACCTGACATACAGGGTGAAAAGGCCAAGGGATGGATGTGTGGGTCAGAAAGAAGAGGGTGAGTACAGAGAAGACAAAGAAACACACATTGAAAACGCCTCCAGGGAACTGAATTCATCCTGGCGATATGCTCCCCTCTGAAAACCCTCCTTCCTTCCTGTCCATGTACATCTTGTCTGTCCCTGTTACTTCACTTCAAGTTGAACACCAGAGAAACAGTTCCCACACAGTCCGAAAAAAGGAGAGATGGTATAGGGCAACACTGTGCAATGATGAGTCTCTTGGACAGAAGGCTGGAGTCGGGACATTGGTTCCAGAAACCACACCCATCATTGCCCAGCAGACTTTGAGTGGGCCCTGTCGTACTGCTCATTTCAGCCTTGACACAGAGTCGCACATTATTGGTTATGGGCCTAGGATTTGTGGTCAGATCCATCAGGATTTCAATCCTGGTGCTAAATTCTATGATCCAAGGCAACTAAGTGACCTCGCTGTGACTCAAGTTCTTTTTGCTTGTTTTCCCCCTAACTCAAAGATAGTAACAGTTTCTACCTCATGGGCTACTGTAAAAATTAAGTGAGTTAACACATGGAAACACGTGAAAAGCACCTGGAGAAATGCCCGTGACCTAACAAGCACTATAAATAAGTTGTCTATTACTATGTCGAGAACGTAGTACAACATCTGGCGTTTATTGAGGGAGAAATACGTGTTAGTTGCATTCGTTGTTATTAGTCCTCCTGGAAATGACAAGGAAAAGAGATGAGTGAGTGGCATCTGGTTGCCATGTCAGCTATTAATGTATCTTACAAAGCGGCAGTAGTAAAACAGGGCAGCCCCGGCTCCAGTGGGGAATCATCTGACATATGGGTTCAGGGAACCAAAACAGAAAGCTCAGAGCATGAAACAGGTTATGCGGAAGGATTCAGTAGGGAGCTTAAGTTCCCGTTTCCGATCTTTCAGGAAAAAAAAAAATGTATTATTATGCAAGAAATGTTTCAGGTTTAAGTGGCAGACTATAAGCAACAAGGTAGAATACTCGTCACGCCACGTGATACAAAGGGAAAGAAAAACAAAGTCAGGTTATAAAACTGTATATTACAGTATGATTCCTCAGAAGAAAATATTAATGAGAAGTTATGTTTTCATTTGTAAATATAAACACAAACAAGTCAGGGTAAAGGGACACGTGAGAATGTCAACCATGTGTAGAAGTAGGTGGCTGGAATGCAGAATGGTTATACTTTCACACCTACGCTTCATACTTGTATAAGAGGATGTTTATGGCCGGGTCAGGGTTTTGTCAAGTGCTTGGGGAGAAGCACTTTTCCTATCGACCCATATACAGCATAATGGAAACCGTTTATTACTGACAATCAAGTGTGAATATCTTCTCTCTGATTAATAAGCTAACCTCACTTTTGACGACTCATTCAACTTCTCCTGATCCCAGGTTCCTTACATGTAAAAATCAGAGATTAGGGCTAGCTACCACCTCAATCAAGATATAGAACATATAACACAACCCAAAAGGTTTCCAGTCGATCTCCTCTTCATCCCTTGGCTCCGTGCAAACATTGATATACTTTCCGTTACTATATATTCATCTTCCTGTTCTAGGATTTCACACAAATGGACTTGTGCATGCTGCACCCCTTTGGGTCTGGCTTCTTTAACTCGGCATAATGTTTCTGAGACCCATCCATGTTCTTGACTTTTCCTTGCTGAGTAAAAGCCCCTTGATGGATATACCATAATTTGTTCACCTTTGATGTTGTTTTAATGAAGTTTCAGGAGGAAGTGAAAGGAGATCCTTGCCTTCAAAAAGCCATCTTTCTTGGGCAGTCTTCTATTCTTTCGTAATAGACACAATTTCATCCTTTATCACTCCTTTGTCTCTCTGGGGAAATATTATCTTAATGTCTGTTTCAGCCTCTTCCATTCTTTCTGTTCCCTCAGTGCCAATTATTGGATTTGTTGAGTTTGTGCCATCCCTTCCTTGCTGATCCTGGGTTGTGGATGTCTTCTGCAGAGGAAGCTCCACTGCTGAATCAGCCCTGGGCTCACAGACACTTAGCTTTAATCCATACCTTGCTCTGGCCTTGCCGGCAGTTTAGCTTCAAGCCGGACACAACCTGTGGTGGCCCCGGCTTTACCACTGTGTTTTCCCATTTCCTTTCTCTTTGAAAAAGACAATCTTCTCGATGTCTTACATGGGAATCTTTATTTCATATTTTCCAGCGTAACTATGTATTTATTATTACTGTAATATTATCATTCTGAAACCACAATTATAAAATTTTAAAATTAAATATTGTGAAAGGCTTGCATTCTTATGATTTAAATTGTTCAAGCAGTTCTCAACCATGATTACACATTAGAGCCACTTGGGGACACTGAAACAATTCACTAGCACCAGGACACACCCAAAACAATCAAAGCAGAACCGTGGTTAGATCCAGGCAACCACATTTTTTAACTCTCCATGTGAATTGCAGTGTGCAACCAAGGTTGAAAACAACCGTGTTAAAGCCTCAGTTTTTGGCTTATGCTTGCCAGAGGATCCTAGCAATAGCTGCCTCCTCATTTTGCTGACTTCCCACTCAGCACTGTTTTGGGGACCCAGTGAGTCTATTAGCTTAGAGGTCAGCAACTTATTAGCTTAGAGGTCAGCAACTATGCCCTGTGGGCCAAATCTACCCCAGATCCCCATTTCCTTCAAGGTCTTTTGCTTGCAACCAATTTTGCTGCCAAGTACTCTGTTAATCAAGGTCCCAACTTGCCTATGCCAGAATTCACTCTAGCTCTTTTATACAAACAAGATATCTCTAATAAAATATATTACATAGCTTACAAAAACTCTGTGAGGGCCAGAAAAGCAGGCCTGGATGCTGCACAGCCAGGAGAAGTCCACCCACGTGATGGAACTGCTACAGCTGAAATACCACTGCTGCCTGCCCGTTAATTGACATGCATGACAGAGACTGAATTCTAGAAACTCTGCAATGGCTGCCGCATGAAAACTGGAGACCTCCCTCATCACAGGTAGTCCACCCCACATATGGCTCCCATGTTATTCAGTTCCACCTCTGAGTCTCATGTTGGCACATACGCTTGATGCGATAAATATCCCATTTGAGACCCTAACTGCAAGGGACTCTGGTAAATTGTATGTGTGTGAGAGTGTATTTGTGTGTGTGTGTGTGTGTGTGTGTGTGTGTGTGTGAGAGAGAGAGAGCGAGAGAGAGAGAGAAAGAGAGTGTGTGCGCACATGCGTGGGGTCATGTGCATGTGTGTTTCCTTTCATGTTCCAACTTTCTAGTCTCTACAGTACAGGAAAGCATATAAGAATGTTTAAGAGTGCTGGAATAGTTGCCAAGTAAGCAGATTCATCGTATATTTCACAAGACATGTTTTCTGTTGTAAATGGTATATTTACAATAATGATGGTATTTTCTTTGTTACAATGGTTTGTGTATGTTCGTCTTATAGCCAACAAACTTGTTAATCTCCATTATTATTTTTAATTTTCTGTAGCTTCTCTTGAGTTTCATATGAAGATAGTCACGTTGACAGCTTTTTCACTTTTATACACGTATTAATTTATGTATGTAGGCATGCATGTATCACAGCTTACCGCACTGCCTAGTATGACATATGGCTTACTGCACTAGACTCAGTACGACATTGAACAGAATTCGTCATACCAGTCATCTTTATCCCTTTTCTGATTGTAAGGAGAATACTTCTAATGTTTTACTATTAAGGGTGGTGTCTGATGGGGTCTATTGTTTTGATACCCATTGTCAGTTTAAAGAGATAGCTTTCTATATTACCGATCTGCTGAGAATTATTGGTATTGTTGTTGTTCAATCCCGGTTGGTTAATTTATTGCATACTTTTTTTTTTAACTGGATCTTTTGTGGTATTTGTCCTGTCCTCCTCCCTTTATTCAGCTAATGTGTTAGATTACATTATGGATCTCTTAAAATGTTAAACTCAGCTTGCATGCTTGGGATTAAACACAACCTCGTCATGCTGTATTATCTGCTTTACCCATTGTTGGGTTTAGTTTGCTATTAATTGATTTATATTATTTGCGTTTATGTAACTAATTCGGGTTGGCTAGTAATTTTGCCTTTGCATGTATTCCTTGTCAAGAATACATTGAATAAACCAAGGTTTTCTATTCCTTCAGTTTGGAAAGTTATATATATTTTTCCCCTGGAATTCATCTATTTAATCTAAATTTTCAAATTTTCACATCCTTTTCATAATGTGATCTTTTTCAATCTTTTCTGTCACTGTAAGTGTGACACTATCTTCATTCCAAAAGTGGCTGACCCGCACCACCTCGCTAATTTTCTCTGCCCGTGTGGCCAGAGATTTTATCATTATCCTGCGCTTCTGAAACACTGACATCTAGCAATTTTGTTCAACTCTCTCACATGGTGTTTTCACTTTCATCAAGGTAGGCTCTATTTTTTTATCATTTTTCCTCAACATAGCGGTAAGACATGGGGATTATTCCACATTAAGTAAATGATCAATGAAAAGTCCTTTCATCTACCACCTGGTTTTATTTTTATAATTGAATACAATGGATATTCAAATATCCAATACATTCCCTCATTTGGAAAAGACCTCTGGCTTATCAGTGCTGGTCTTTTTAACCAGTGCCATCGTGTCTATTCAATTAAACTATCAGATGATTAAGGAAGAGGGCATTGCATCATTGATGTAAAAGAATTTTTACTATAAGCTTCCTTTAAGAGAAGAGCAGGCAGCGTAGAAAGAAGCAGAAAGGACATCGACTTTGAAATCACGCCTGGGTGGATTCAAATCCTGATTCTGTCACTTACGGCCGATGTGATGTTAGGCAAGTACTTAATCCCTCCCAGCTTTGATTCCTTCATGCAGTAGTCAGTGCTGCCATTTACCAAGTGTTTACATTCTCCCCTGTACCAGGCACCTGGTAGGACTGCCCGACCCGACTGCCTTCCTTGGGGCAGGGCCGTGCATGTGACTAGCTCTGGCCAATGGGTTGTGAGTGACGAGTGACACGGGTTATTTCTGGGTCAGAACCTTTGGTTGTTGGTTTGAGACCCTCTACGGCTCTCTCCCACTCTGACGCAGTGAGTAACCCCTTTCTAGATGGTGGCTGCTCCATTAGTTTGGGTCTCTGAGTCATTCCAATAAGAATGGCTCAGAACCCAACATCCACCATCCCGTGAAGGATATGCACCTGGCATAAACATGCAGCAGGAGTGAGAAATAAGTCACTGAGGTTTGGGGGTTGCCTATAAGCACAGCGTTACACTCAGCCTCTCCTGACTCATATATCTCATCTGTCAATTAAGATAACACCCTCTCAGGACTTTCCTGAGGGTTAAATGCAGTAACTTGCATGACAGCCGAGGTTATCACAGTGCTTGACATATGACAGGGGCTCAAACTATGGCAGCTGTAATTATTAAGTAATAATAAAATGGTTCTGAAGAAGTGTGGTTTTTTATTGTGTAAAATGAGCGGTACTGCATCTGCTTGTCCTGACAGGTAAGTTGTATCTTGTTTTCAAGAGTGGGGGCACTTTATTTGCTGCCACAGGTAAGGCTTCCTAATGACTTGCATTTATGCACATATTGTCTGCCACCACCATGGTATCAGATGCATGCTTGGCGGTATCTCTGAAGAGTAAAAAAGTACAAAGATTCAAGCAGGAGAGACTGACTGATGACATGAGATAAAATGAATTAAAGAGCAACAATCAATGTCTTAATGAGCAGACTAGATTACAACTATTATAAACCCACATTCCATTGTTCTGAGTAAACAAAGGCACAAGGTTTTAAAGTGTTAGAAGATGTAGTCTGAACAGGGTTTCCCCAAATATTTTCTGAAGAACACTGGTACCTCAAATGCTCTGTGGAAAAAAATGTTCCATTCCCATACAAGTTGGGGAAAGTAGCCCCCCCTTTGAGACTCGTGTTGTTTATTAGCATATCATCTAAAAAAATCCTACAGTATTCGTTTACCTTCAGTTCTGTATGTCCCACACTTCTTTAGAGTAGAGCACATTTTGTTGTTGCTTTGTCCTGACACTACAGTCTCACAGAACGAACTTGGAAATGCTGAAATGAGAGAAAAATAGATTATTCAACCTACATGTAATATCAAATATCACAAGTGACAATATTCTCTAACCATCTGACAAGCAATATTTGAAACCCCGTAAGTTTAAGCACAATCTTGCTATTTGCTCAACTTCATTCACCCAATACCGCTTTCATGATGTACCAAATGTTATCACCCATGATTGTACCTTAAATCCATTCACTATACTTTTTTCCACAGGAAGAAAAGGAGAGAGTTTTCAGAAAGGAATCTAAGAAGCAATCATTAGAAAATCAGGGGTTGATGGGGGGAGAATCAGAAACAAAAGAGTGTGAAGCTATACTACTATAAGCTACTGAGAGATCCTAAGCGCACACACACACAAAAAAAATGTCACCCACTCCCAAATGTACTTTTTAAAGCCAATGGAGTTCAAATAAAGTATAACAAGTAAATTCTGAATCTTCACATCATGACGACTTGGACACTTTTATTGAAATATCAAATTCTCTTTTTAAAAAAATTCCCGATTCCCCTCTCTCCCTTTCGCCCACCCCCCTGAGCCCATGTTTAGAAGGTTTAGTAGAAAAATAAATCATGGAAACAAAGAGAATCTTTACATAATCAAATAAGAGACAGAAATTAAGATTGGGTCTGGAATCGTCTATACAAACTGGGATCTAGGCAGTCTCGAGTGTCCTTAATAACAACATGGTCTGAGGAGGGGCAGAGGACAGAATCACCTGGCACAGACGGTGAATCGGGCAGAGTGACAGGCAAGGGTAGGGCTTTTAGTGTGGGGGCGGGAAGGGGGGGGAATCCCATCAGGCTTCCACAGCCCTGCCCCTGAGAAACGACTTACGAGTTCATGAATCCCTGCCGCCCCACTACCAACCCTACCCCTATCCCCCAGCCCCACATTCTGCCCCAGTGCCTTCTCCTCCAACAACAGCTCCTGTGAGTCCAGGATCAAGGCGGATGGCAGACATAGATGCATGGGTGCGCACGCACACACACACACGCACGCACACACAGTTTCTCTGCCAGGTGTTCACAAGTTCGGCCACATTAGGGAAGTCCTCCGCTACCTCCACCCAAACCCCCCATACACCCCGACCCTCCCGCACCCCCCACCCTCCCCACCCCCCCACCCTCCCGCACCTCCCGCACCCCCCACCCTCCCGCACCCCCGGCACCCCCCACCCACCCCACCCCACCCCACCCCCTCAGAGCCTCTGCTATTTGGAGATTGCTCAGCCACGCCTTAAAGCCCAATTCTCAGTAAACTTCTAGTACCGGCTGGTTCCACTCGTACCAGACTTCCTTCCAGCGCGTCAGGATATGAAAGTTGCCGGAAGGCTTCAGATCTGAGCCGAAGTCCAATAAAACTTCCGCCTGAGTCAGGGTGTGGAGCCGGAAGCACCTCTCTGACAGGATTCGGAGCACTCAATCTTCACGTGAATGGGAGGGTGCGGAATCTCACGTGACCATAAGAGCCACATGTACAACAGCCATTGGTTAGCTGCGGTGCTCACAGGACCGCAAAGGCTTTGCCTGCCACGAGATGACAGGAGCCACTTGGCTGCCCACACACACATCTGCAGAGTTTGGCAGCTCACAATCTTCACGTGACAGAGAGGAATGAGCCTAACACTGTGGCCATGGGGAGGGGTGAGTGGGAGCAGTGGACATGACCATAGCATCCACATGACCCTAAACAGTAGGTCATCTATATGACTTCGAGGGCTGAGACTTCCACATGCTGGTAGCCAGTAATGGCCAGGTGAGGGAAGAATCCATGTGAGCAACAGGGTTCAGGAGTCCACCATACTGTAGTGACTGGAAGAGCTGGGCCCATCACATGACCATAGGAGCAACATGACAAGAGAGGCCACATGACCTCAAAGTTTTAGAGCCCTTGGTGCTGATATGACCAGTAGGGCCCTATCAGTAGGGCTCATAATTGTAGTGTTCACATGATGGTGGCATCCACGTGGCTTGCAGCCTTAGGATCCTGCAAGGCTCAAGTACCCAGGATAGGTGGGTGAGCTTGGGTCAACTTCCTGACAGTAGAATCCAACCACTGCAGAGTTCTCCTGATCTGCATGTTTCAGGAGACCGTTCTGTTCATGAGACCTGGAGCTCTGAGATTGCCCATATTACTGAGATGGTGGTACCTCCAGATAACCTCCCACAGCACACAGACTTGAGCTTTTGCTACCCTCACCTCACTTTTTTTTTTTTTTTTTTTTTTTGAGACGGAGTTTTGCTCTTGTTGCCCAGGCTGGAGTGCAATGGCATGATTTCAGCTCACTGCAACCTCCGCCTCCCGGTTCAAGCGATTCTCCTGCCTCAGCCTCCCAAGTAGCTGGGATTGCAGGCGCCCACCACCACGCCCAGCTAATTTTTGTATTTTTTTAGTAGAGACGGGGTTTCACCATGTTGGCCAGGCTGGTCTCGAACTCCTGACCTCAGGTGATCTGCCCGCCTTGGCCTCCCAAAGTGCTGGGATTACAGCATGAGCCACCGCTCCCGGCCCCCCATCCCTCTTTAATATATTTTATGTGTTTCATTTCTAACAACACGTGAAATTTAATACTTCACAATGAAGAAGGTCCTCACTAAAACCATAATCATAGACACTACTGCAAGAGCCTAAGCAGTCCGTACAGGTAAGCACTGTTTACTTAATTTCATACAGGGCCAAAGGAAATTAGGGCAAACCTAATGAATTTTAGTTGTTCATTTGAAAAAGAAAATGTGTATAGTGATTAGTATGTGCCACACACTCCAAAAGGTTACCGCATTTAAGAGTGCTAACTCTATGGAGTAGGTAGTATAACAGAATTTTACAGACGAGGAAACTGAAGCACAGAGGCGTTAAATCACTTGCCTAAGAGGTCACAGACATTGCAGGTGGCAAACCAGCTGTCTCCCCCAGGCAGTATGGTGCTAGACTGTTCTGACCACCCCCGGGTTTTCCAAAGGAAATTAATTTTAGTTCAGCCTTATTAATTCACACAAACTGGAAGCCAGACCCAGTTACTGAAGAGTTGAGGTCTTGGATGTTCTCTTTGAAATACCAACTAAGAAATTTCAAGTACTGTCAGTAATTAGCACCAGTCAATGCTGAATCTAATTAAGGACCTCAGGAGATTCATTTAAATGTATACATATAAACCTACCATTAATATATAAAATATGTATATATGAAAGTCAGTATAAAATGTTTGAGGTTAGCTGAAAACATTTCCTTCTTTAAAAAAATTACTGAAAAGAGAAAGATTAGCACTTTTAAAACATCATACCTGGCTCTGGCCTGAACTGCAACAATTTTGTATGAGTGGAATCTGAATTATAATTAGATTTCACTGTATTTTTATTCTGCCTGTGTCTCCCCAGAAAGGATAGAGAAAAGAGAAGGAGAGTACACATTGCAGTTGTTGTTAATCGCAATTTCACGACCACCTGTTTTGCTGGTTTGTGTGGGAAACTGCAGCTTCACCTGCATGTCCAAAATAAATTTGGTGGAGTGGAGTCTTTCTGATTTGCTTGCAGAGGCAAACAATGCTATACAAGCATTGGGATTACTTTGCTAGGTTCCCGCACTGTGGCCTGGCTACATAAATAAGCAGAAGAAAACTCAACAGACCAAATTTTCCACCACAGTTAAAGTTGAATATACTAGTGAGGACAACAGGCTGTGTTAGTGGCTCTAAGGTTATCAAAGGAAGTCATGATATTTGGACGATATTGGGCGCGTTCACGGTGGTATGGCCGTAGACTGAAGTCATGATAATTGGAATGAATGACTAGGAAGCGCCAATCAGTGGGTCTCGGATAATTCTGGAGAATTATTTATGGGACACATGTAAATAGAGGATATAAAATGGGGCTACATATTTATGAAAGAGCCTATTATGAAATTTCAAGTTGGATTTAGGAAGTATCTATACAAAGTCACAGGATGGAAGCCTACTTCAAGACCTGGTATCTGCCCTGGCCCCCGTTTCTATCATTACATACAGATGAACAGATCACCAGTAAAAGGCACAGCACAATTTTATCTAGCCCACCTATGCTCAACTGGAACTTACACGGTATTGATGATGGTCAAATTCTTTCACCAAAAGACAAATCCTAATTATAACTCTTACTTTAATTCACAGTTTGCTCCTGTCAGACCTGATACTCATATCATTCACTCTTTCTCTGAGATGATTATCAGGACTTTGTTAGGATTTTTTTTTTTTTAAGTTACACCAATGGAAGTCTGTCGGTGCTCTAATATGCACAAACAGTGGGGGAAGGTAACTCTGTGGACAAAGATTCATATGTCCGGGGTCCAGTTTAGGCACTGAATTTATTAGGCGCTGTGTTTACTGGGGTGAGGCAGGTTGATAAGCCATTTCTCTTGCGTGTGATACGGCAGGATTTAACAGGAACAACTTCTCCTTCTTTTACCTTTTCGTTCTGTGGTGGACATTTTGGGGATCCATGCTAGTGGCTTTAGGAGGGGTGGCTTTACCTAACACAGAAAAGAGAGAAAGGGGAGTACTGGAACTCCCCTTTCTAGAACTTACTTACTCAGAACTCCCCTAAGTATCAGAACGGTTGCGACGTTGTTAAATTAAACATAAATACTCTAACGCTTTTGGTTTGAACAGATACATACACCTGAACTAGGTGTCCTATGTAAATTAACTTTCAGAAAGTAAAAATGACTGACCTAGCAACAGCATACAAGGGAAAGCATAAGATGGGACTCTATCATTACGGGCATTACATTCAAGACCTGTTTTTCTGTGTTCCTTCGTGAAATTCATTAGCGTAGCTAGAAGTAACTTTATGTCAGTGCCAAGCAATAGGAAAAAAAGAGAAGCAGTTGCAGATAGTGCTCCCTGGCAAATTGCTCAATATGCCAACCCCTCAATGCAAGGTAAAATTCAACAGCTCTAGGTAATAGGCTCACTCTTTGAGGACTACCACAACATACAAATACAAAATTATGTCTACAAGGAAAACTTCCTTCAGGCAAAGGATGGAGAGGAGTGAAAAGGTAGGGATTCCATAGAGGGTGTTTACTGAAGAGCAGTGCCATTTGTGAAGATGCAGCTCTCTGGTCCAAACCCCCTCCACTGTGAAGACCATTTAAAACAATGAGCAATTATGATTCAAAGATTTCTAATGTATTAAAAGTAGAGAATTTTAAATTTCCCAGATTGCTTCCTGTTATCTGCTCAAGGCAACTATATTTTGCAATTCAAGAAATAGTTCTAAATACTCTGTTGGAAAATACTGTCAGATAATTTTTAAAACATAGTCAGCCACATTGTTTTCTTTTTAGTGTATGCAGCATTTATACCTTGTTTCTTGTGATCAGCTTATCACTGATAATTTATTATCAGTGATTAGATCCTGTGAAAAAAGGCAAGATATATAATGTTTGTGTTTTCTTTTAATCCTTGGATTTAAAACATCACGTAGTTTATCAACAGTTATAGAATGACTCACTGGCTGGATTGCTCAACTGGCTAAGTCAATCAAGGAGTTAGCAAATAATGAACCAGTGAACACGATTAAGCTCATTTCACAGTGTAGATGCAGACTAAGGCAAAACATGAGCAATAACACATTACATATCTTGTCTATGTGATACTACAACGTCTTTATTAAGAGCTTCCATTTATATATTGATAATTAATTTTCAAATCTGCATATTCGCAGATTGGGTGATTATCTTATTTTTAATTTTCTTTTCATATGCATATTTGGTATTGTTATGGAAACATATTCTTTTCAAAGCGTGAATAAATGTGTGCATTAGAGGAAAAGGTTGTTCTTTAATTTTGGTACATTATAGGAGTCTGACTCTCTTCTTTTTTCTCTCCTTGAGACGGACTCTCGCTCTGTTGCCCAGGCTGGAGTGCAGTGGTGCGATCTTGGCTCACTGCAACCTCCGCCTCCCGGGTTCAAGTGATTCTCCTGCCTCAGCCTCCTGAGTAGCTGGGACTACAAGCGCGTGCCACCAAGCCCTAATTTTTTTGTATTTTTAGTAGAGATAGGGTTTCACCACGTTAGCCAGGATGGTCTCGATCTCCTGACCTCGTGATCAGCCCGCCTTGGCCTCCCAAAGTGTTGGGATTACAGGCGTGAGCCACCGCGCCTGGCTGAGTCTGACTTTCTTCTAAAGACCCAGGGCTTTTAAGGTTGTTCCATACTGAAATCTGAGGATCTTTGATATCTTTGTGAAGTCTGTGTCGCGTGTTTACAGAAAGACAAAACTTAACGGTAAATACGAAGAATTCAGTTACCTCTGGTCAAATAATCCTAACACAACATCATCTCAGGACAAGAGCGAATAGAAAACTTTGCCGACGAATCGAAAAAGAATGAAAATGGGATTTAAGCATCCCACAGTGGATGCCTGTTGAGGTTCTTCCAAAACATATACTGCACAGGGGAGAGCTCTCATGCTTTGTAACCGCCTATTCATGAATTCAATATAGGTAGCTCCTGAATAAAATATCCGTCTTTGTTACCCGAAGAGTCACTCTATTAGGACACAAGAAGGACTTGAATATTGTGGTTACTATGCTCATAGCGGTATATATAATTTGAGTCTGTACCTGCAGGTGACATTTTTGTTTACCTACACAATATACATTCCTCACCTTCCTGGCTGGGCTCAGGCCTCCATCAGTGTATCTCCTCCCAGTAGAGTCATGTGCTTGAGGATATATGGCCACTTTCTTAGCTCCAAGAGTGGGCCCAGAATTAGTCTAATCTAATCCAATAATCCAATGCCCAATCCAGCAGTGGTTGGGTCAAGATTTAGCCTGGATGTTTACATCTTTCCGTTACTGGCTCAGTTAACCATGAAACTCACTCTGCCTCTGAACTCTCAGTTATATAAGCAAGTGTCTTTACCTATTGGATAAGCCAGCGAGACTTGCACTTTCTGTTAGTTGTAGTTTAAATATCCCTGACCAATACACATTCAATTTTATGGCCATCCTGGGCATCTTACAAAGATGGCTTTCTAAAATAAAACCAACGTATTGGTCTTTTGGTCAAAGATTTTTATGTCTCATTCAGAGTTTCTACACCTAATCTTGTCACAGTCCTGGGTGATTTCAATGTCCATGTAGAAAACCAGTCTGATTCCAAGCCTCATGGTCGCAAGACCTCTTATTTGACTGCCATGCTCAGGGGCACTCCCTGGATCTTGCTACTTCTTGGAACTGCCCCAACTCTAAAATAGTGCACTTTTATATTTTATTGTGGCAACCTTCTTGTAACTCTGAACATCGTGCTTTATGTATTTCTTGGCTATGTTTTTGAGTGCATGTTAAGTTCAGACTTTTTAGCTCTTTGATAAATGTTCTATCATGACTACATGGTGGCCTTCTTTATTCCAAATAATTATTGTTGTCTTAACGTCTATTTTGTCTGATACTAATACAAAAGTAACAGTTTTAAATGGTTTGACTTGTGGCTGGTATTGTGGGTTTCTTTATGGTTTTTTTTCCATCAGTTTATTTGCTTCATTTCTGTGACAGGCCGGAAGAGTTATGTTCATGATGCCCGATATTGAGATGACATTGCTATGAGAGACAAGAGAGCCAAGGTGAGAGAAGGAGCAATGAGCAGGCAAGTGTATGACATGCTGGGCTTTCATAATCCTGCAGCTTCTCAAGTTCAGAGGACTCTCTACAGGCAAAGAGGTTCTGGTGGATGGCAGGAAAGATCTGGGACAACTAAGCCCCAGGTAAGACTACACTAAGACTACTTTATTAATCAAGAGTGGTTTCACTGAGGAGAGACAGGGGCATTTTACTGCTGAGGATTTGGGACTGGAGCACAGTTAGACAGGAGGAATATGTTTTGGTGATCAATTGCACAGCATAGTGAGCAGAGTTAATAACAACGTATCATATATTTCAATATTGCTTTAAAAGTAGATTTTAGATATTCTTAACACAAAATGTGATAAGTAGGTGAGATGATGGATATATTAATTAGCTTGAGTTAGTCTTTCTAAATGTATACACTTATCAAAATACCACATTGTACCCCGTAAATATATACAATTTTGTCTAATTAAAAAATAAATAAAATTTAAAAACAAATGAAAGGAACACAGTGCTTGAAGTCCAAGTTTTTGCTATTACTAATAGAACCTCTCTTTTACTTCATGATACTTGACCTTTCTTAGTTTCAGCTTTCTATTTAGCTATAGACAAAATTTTCCATCATGATCCTCAATTTGGCGTGAGAATTAAATAAACTTAGATATAGCTCTGCATAGAATAAGGGCTAAGTGGTTTAGCACTGTGGGAGCAGCTGAGTGCCAAACGCTCCTCCTCCACCACCCTCTTTATTTAATCATCAGTCCCTGGGACACCGGCTGCCATGGCTATGCACATGAATACGCTTGAGGGTAAGGAGAATGCATGCTACGGCAGCAACTGTGGTACCCATGCCTGAAAAACAATGACTGTTAGGCAACTTGGTGCCATGCTTAAGTCTCCCTGGGGTGCTGGGGTCCTTCCTTTTTTTTTTTTTTTTTTTTTTTTGCATAACTCACAAGGGCTCATCCCCAGGCCCATCTCAGGGATGCACAATCACAAATAATGTCCATATGGCTGCCCCAAGCAGCCACTGATGTTCACCAGGCTAGACACAGTGACCAAAGAGCTCTAGCTTGATCCTTGCTAAACAGGACTCAAGTGCTGTATTCGTTTCTTCAGGCTGCTATAACAAATTTCCATAAACGGGTGGCTTGAAACAACAGAATTTTAAACTCTCACATTTCTATTGGCCAAACGTTTGAAATCAAGGTGTCAGAAAGATTGGTACCTTGTGGTGAGGGTGGCAGTTAAAGAGAGAATCTGTACCACACATCTCTCTTAGCTTCTGGTGGTTGCTGGCAATCCTTGGCATTCCTTGGCTTGTGGCAGCTTAACCCTAATCTCTGCCTCGGTTGTCACATGGTATTCTCCCTGTGTGTCTGTCTCTTTGTCCCAATTTTCCTCTTCTTATAAAGATACCAGTCATTGGATTAGGGCACACCCTAGTCCAGTGTGACTTTATCGTCACTTGATTACATCTACAGAGACCTTGCTTCCAATTAAAATCACCTTCACAGATTCCAGGTAGACATAAATTTGGGGAGGGGGGTGCACGCACTATTCAACCCAATAGAGTCTGCCCTCTGGCTCCCCAATATTTACATTCTTACCGTGAGTAAATTATATTCACCCCATCTCCAAATCCTCCAGATCTTCACCTATTCCAGCATTAACCCTAAATCCAAAATCTCATCTAAAATTGTCAGGATCTTACCGAGTAGACTTTGGGCAAGGTCCACCCTGGGGCAATGTTCCTCTCTGTCTGCAGACCCATGAAGCTAGAAAACAAGTTATCTACTTCCAGAATACTACAGTGGGACGGACGTAGGTTAGACGTCCCCTTCACAAAAGGGAGAAGGTGGAAAGATTAAAGGGGTTGTCGCTCTGGGGCAGGTTCACAACCCAGCAGGAAAAAAGTCCATTAAGTTTCAGGCCAAGAGTAAACTTCCATGGCTCAATCTTCTGTCCCAAGGGCCCTTCAGGGAGGCAGCCCCAAACTTTAGGACCCTCCAGGGAGGCAGCCCCATCTTCCTGGCTTTCTGGGTCAGGGACTCAGTCCATCCAGCCCTCCAGGGTAATGACAATGCCATTTCTGGTCTGGTCTTCCATGTTTCTGCCTTCAGAGACATTCTTCTTTCATTTTTGTCCCATCTCTGGACATTTCAGTCCAGGCTGGCAGCGTTTCTGCTAGTATAAAACTCTCAAAATCCTTGCCATGTTTTTGCAGATGCCAAGGGGATCCACACAACTAGATATGTAGGCTCTGTGTGGGTCCTTCCTGGATTAACCTATCTGGTTTCCTGGCTTAGGGCCAAGGTGGTTGGTTGGGTCCACATGCCTAGCTAGTCTCATTAGCAAATGGCTGTTCAGCCACACTTTTGGCCCTGTTTCCATAGTGCACTATCTGGGTAGACTGTGAATTTTCCAAATCATCAAGCGTGCTTCCTTTTGGCTTAACAGTTCCTTCCTCAACTTATCTCTTTACTCTCACGTTTTACTATAAAGAGACAAGGCCACACCTTCCAGAGTTTGCATGGAAATCTCCTAGCTAAATATCCAAGTTCGTCGCTTACAAGACCTGCTTTCTACACAATTCATTCAAGTTTTCTGACACTCTATCACAAGGGTCACCTTTCCTCCAGTGCTCATTAACATGTGTCTAATTTCCATCTCAGACGGCATCATAAGCAGCTTGAATATTCATATTTCTAGCATCATTCTGTTCATAATGATACACGTGTTCTCTAAGATGATAAGCACTTCCTCTACAACTCTTCTCACTTCCTTCTGGAGCTCTCACAAGAATCACCTTTAGCATTCATATTTCTACCAACGGTCTCTTCAAGGCAATCTAGGGTTTTCATATCATGTGCCTCAAGTCTTCCAGCCTCTAGTCATTACCCAATTACAAAGCCACTTCCATATTTTTAGGCATTTGTGACAGGAACAACCCACGTCTTAGCACTAAAATCTGCATTAGTTTCTTAGGGCTGCCATAACAAAATACCCAAACTGGGTGGCTAAAAGCAAGATAAATTTATTCTCACACAGTTCTGGGGGCTAGAAGTACAAAATCAAGATGTCAGCAGGGCCATGCTCCATCTGACGGAAGAAGCCTTTCTTAGCTCTCCTAGTTCCTGGTGGATGCTGGTACTCCTTGTCACTCCTTGGTTTGTAATGCCTTACTCCAGTCTCTGTCTCTGTCTCCACGCGACTCCCCTATGTGTCTGTGTCTCCTTGTCCAAATCTACCTCTATTTATAGGGACAGCAGTCATATTGGAGTTAGGGCCTACCCTGCCTGGTTCAATATGATCTCATCTTAATGTGACTGCGTCTGAAAAAACACTATTTCCAAATACGGCCACATTTACAGGTTCAGGGTGGACAGGAATTTGGCGGGGGCCACTATATGACTCAGTAAATGCCTCAATTTTTAAAAACCATAGAAGAGTATCCTACTTTCCATTCATTTCAGTGCATTTCATTAACTAATTTTTTCAGGTTCTAGATCCATTATATTTCAGACATAATAAGACATTTGTCAGTAAAGTCAATGAGATTATTTTTAAAGTCTCTATCATGAGGCTGGTAAAATTAGACACTGAAAGTTCAAAAAGGACAGTACGAGCAGTAAAAATTATAGTATATATAATTACAGATGCAAAACTTCTAAATTAATTATTACTAAACTTAACTAGTATATGTCTATTAAAAAAGCGTTCGTTCCAGGAATGAAAGGGTAGTGGAACATTAGAGAATCTATCAATTTACTTCTGATTACTTCAGGAATACTGAGTGCAAATGCTTTTTATGCTCCCACCAGAAAACCCCTAATAATGAAGTGGGGGGGGGCGGGGGGTGCAAAGCGGGACAAAAAATCAGAAGGTACCAGACAACGACACCACACCAAGAAAAATATGTTAGCAAAATTTTATAGGCTATAAAACAGACGTATAGGTCATAAGTCCTTAGAAGACCACAGAAACTAATCCAGCAAGAAACAAACTTCAGAACTCTGGTATTAGAGGTGATAAATATGGTCGAAGTCAGAGACTAGAAGATGTGGATACTTACCGGAGGATTCAAGGAAGGCATCATAGGAATGGCAATCAGCCCTACACTTTCCACCACCCTGAACAGCCAGGATTTCCACCCCAGGCTCAATGTGAACCCCAGTTTTCTTCACATCCTCATTCTTCTCTAGTATACCCTGTAAGAGCCACTGTACCACATCCTACAACAGTTTATTTTTACGTTCTGTGGGTGTCGAGGTGGGAGTATATTGGTGAATGTTCCTTTTAACAATTAAACTGCCAAATAAGAACATAATGATCTAGACCTCCTCTCATATTCCCTTCTCAATGACTGAGAAGTGATCCATGTTGGGAGAATCTCAGGACTGGTGGGCAGCTGATCAAGGAAGCAGGACAGAGGTGCATAAACAGGGTAAGAGTGGAAAACACTAGGCACGTGCCAGAACCCACCCAATGTTTTTAAACAGCTAAACCACTCTAAAGAGGACTGGAGAACCTGCTGCATGTGCCTGTGGCAAGTTTGGATCTTCTCTCTTTTCTTCTTTTTCAGAATTGTTCCGTTTCTCTGAAGGTAAAGCCCATGTTTAACCACTCAACTTCTGCTGACATAATTTGCAATGACCACAGCTAACTTATTGAAGCAGAGTACTATTAGGGCGCCAAGAGCTACCTTTGCTCTTGCCCCGCTTGACAGTAGATGCTGAAATTCACCCCCCACCCCCAAACCAATGATAAATCTGATTACCAAAACATTCAATGCGCATTTGTAGACGTCTTCATGGGGACAAACGGGGGAGATTCAATGGCACGTGTCCCAGTGAAATGTCACCAAACAGTCTGCGTTAGACTATCTTGCCTCTCTTCCTCATACCCTCATGAGATGGATGGGCATCAGCTCCTGTTCTTCCTGAACAGTATCATTCCCTTCAAATCTCTTTTCTCTGTGGAGCCATTTATCTCTGTGAGATTCTGATGACTGAATCCTCAGACTCATCACCCTGATCAGCACATCAAGGATCTTTATTCTTAACCCCCTTCTTTAGAATATAAAAGAGTTGTACATAATAATTGTTTTTCACTGTCACATTGATTTTTCTCACATCCTACTCAGAGCTTCCTACCGTAGGTCTTTGAGCCCAAGGTCCATAGTGTATCTTTTCAACAGACTTCTTTTTTTTTTTTTTAATCCTTTAAGTTTTAGGGTACATGTGCACAACGTGCAGGTTTGTTACATATGTATACATGTGCCATGTTGGTGTGCTGCACCCATTAACTCGTCATTTAACATTAGGTATATCTCCTAATGCTATCCCTCCCCCGTCCCCCCACCCCACAACAGGGAGATACTTTTCTCTGCACTGTCTTTAAAGGTCACCCCTGGGTGCAGCTGTGTAGAGTCATATCCATGCTTGAAAGAAGAGCAAAAGAAAAGCAGAAAAATAAAAAGAAAAAATAATATGAGGCGAGAAAGCAATGAGGTATAAAAGAAAAGTACAATAGAGGCCGGGCATGGTAATCTCAGCACTTTGGGAGGCTGAGGCGGGCGGATCACGGGGTCAGGAGTTCGAGACCAGCCTGACCAACGTGGTGAAACTCCGTCTCTACTAAAAATACAAAAATTAGCCAGGCGTGGTGTCACGCGCAGGTAATCCCAGCTACTCAGGAAGCTGAGGCAGGAGAATCGCTTGAACCAGGGAGGCGGAGGTTGTAGTGAGCCAAGATGGCGCCACTGCACTCTAGCCTGGGTGACAGAGTGAGACTCTGTCTCAAAAAACAAAACAAAAAAAAAAAAACAAACAAAACTAAATATATATATATATATATATATATATATATATATATATATATATATGGAAAGAAAGAGAGAAAGAAAAGTACAATAGAGAGAATCAACAAAATCAACCAAACCAAAAGTTGGTTTCTGAAAAGACTGACGAAACAGCCAACGTTGGCAATACTGGTGAAGGGAGAAAGATGAAGAGCAGTGGACAGGAGGAGAGAGAGAGAGAACACAAAGGAACAATATTAAAAATTAACAAGCAGAATATGATTAGACATAAACAATAAACAAGATAATACCAAAAACAATTTCATACTGATATAAATTAATGCCTAGACAACGTAGAAATTTTGAAAGAGAAACATATCCTGCCTAAACTAACTATAGAAGAAATAGAAAACTTGACTAGACTTAACAACGATTAAAGAAATTACTGTGGACTACTCGAGGGGGCAGGGAGGGGATATGGGTTGAAAACCTATTTATTGGATACTATGCTCAAAACCTGGGTGATGGGATCCACACCCCAAACCTCAGCATCACACAATATTCCCATGTAACAAACCTGTATGTGTAACCATTCTATCTAAAAATAAAAGTTGACATTAAAAAAAATAGATCTTTAGTTCAAAAAAAAAAAAAACAACGTCAAGAAAACTACCAGGAACACGGGGAAAATTCCACTAAACATTCAAGGAGTAGATAATTAATTCCAAGTTCATACAAACTTCACCAAAGACCAAGATAAAAGCTTACACTCCCAAGTATATTTTATGAGGATAATCTTGACTCTAAAATGAGGTAAGTATAATAGGAGAAAGGAAATTTATAATTCAAGCTAAATGCTAAATTAAATACTGCAGACTTAAGTGACGCACAGAAATGATAATAAACCAGAACAAGTTTGGTGTATCACAGCAGTGTAAAAATGCCTTAACATTAGAAAGGAATGTTAATGTAAATCATCCCATTAATGGAAAGAAACAAGATTGGGCTATCATTTTAATGGACAGGGTAAAATCATTTGATAAAATCCAGTGCCTGTTCACGGAACACACAAAAACAAACCAAAACACAATTCTTGCCAAACTGGGAAAAAACAGATGGAAAACACATATCTACAAAATAATCTGCACCAACAGCTGTGCACACTGGTGAAGATTTACATGGATTGTCCTTAAAAATCAAGAACAGGACAAGGTTGCTCAATATTGTCATTTCTGCTCAACAGTGGCGGTTCTAGCCAGTGCAATAAATAAAAGATATAATGATTGGAATTAAAAACACCCAAACGATCATATCTATATAGACAATATATTATTTACCTGTATGGAAAAACCTGAGATAATCTACAAACTCTCAGCATTAATTACAGCTAAGAAGAAAATCAACTGTATTCCTACAAACCAGCAACAACCACTTAGAGGAAAAACAACTCTTCAATGAACACCAATTATAACTGCCACAAAATAGTAAGGTACATGGAAATAAGTCTAACAAAGATGCTTCAGACTTTAAATGAGAAAATTATCAAATGTTATCGAGAGCTATTAGTTCCAAATTAGGCAGATATAAAGCATGCTCATGGAAGAATCCCTATGATAAAGATGACGGTTTTCTCCACTTAACCTGTATATTTGACGTGATTCCAATAAAAAATCCAACACAGCTTTCTACGGAACAATAGACTCTATGACTCTAGAATGCATACTGAAGGACCAAGGGCGCTTAATATCCAAGAATATTAAAACAAAGTAGAGGGGATCAGAAGGGACATGGCTTACAAGATATCAAGTTTTAATAATTAAGATAGTTAAGATAGTTCACTTATATGACATCTAGGCCAATACAATTGATAGGATAGAGAGCCCATTAAATATAGGAAAACGTGGCATGAGAGGTTTGCCATTGAAGGTTAGCTGAAGAAAAGACAGGCTATTCAATATATAGTGCTGGATCCATTGGTTATACCCATTTTTTAGAGAGGAGATTGCTATCTCACTCCATACACAATATAAATTCCAGAAATTAAAAAAAAAAAAAGAAACCTTAGTGGAAAAAGAAGGAGGTGAAAGGTCTCTAAATGAAAAACAACAAAACACTGCTGAAAGAAATCATCAATGACAAAAACAAATGGAAGCACATCCCATGCTCATGGATGGGTGGAATCAATATGGTGAAAATGACCATACTGCCCAAAGCGATCTACAAATTCAATGCAATTCCAATCAAAGTACCATGATCATTCTTCACAGAACTAGAAAAAAAATATATCCTCAAATTCACGTGGAACCAAAAGAGAGCCCGCATAATCAACACAATACTAAGCAAAAAGAACAAATCAGGAGGCATCACATTACCTGGCTTCAAATTATACCACAAGGCTATAGTTACCAAAGCA
Organism: Homo sapiens; assembly: GCF_000001405.40. Classification (NCBI taxonomy): domain Eukaryota; kingdom Metazoa; phylum Chordata; class Mammalia; order Primates; family Hominidae; genus Homo; species Homo sapiens. The sequence goes on from NC_000023.11 coordinate 102,395,923, forward strand.
GCATGGTACTGGCATAAAAACAGGTATGTAGACCAATGGAGCAGAATAAAGAACTCAGAAATGAAGCCAAATACTGACAGCCAACCGATCTTTGACAAAGCATACAAAAACATAAAGCGAGGAAAGGGCACCCTATTCAATAAACGGTGCTGGTAAAACTGGCAAGCCACATGCAGAAGAATGAAACTGGATCCTCATCTCTCACCTTATTACAAAAATCAACTCTCAAGATAGATCAAAGACTTAAATCTAAGACCTGAAACCACAAAAATTCTAGAAGATACCATCGAAAAACTCTTGCAGACATTGGCTTAGGTAATGAATTCATTCCTTTTTTTTTTATACTTTAAGTTTCAGGGTACATGTGCACAACGTGCAGGTTCGTTACATATGTATACATGTGCCATGTTGGTGTGCTGCACCCCTTAACTCGTCATTTAACATTAGGTATATCTCCTAATGCTATCCCTCCCCCGTCCCCCCACCCCACAACAGGCCCCGGTGTGTGATGTTCCCCTTCCTGTGTCCATGTGTTCTCATTGTTCAATTCCCACCTATGAGCGAGAACATGCGGTGTTTGGTTTTTTGTCCTTGCGATAGTTTGCTGAGAATGATGGTTTCCAGCTTCATCCATGTCCCTACAAAGGACATGAACTCATCCTTTTTTATGGCTGCATAGTATTCCATGGTGTATATGTGCCACATTTTCTTAATCCAGTCTATCATTGTTGGACGTTTGGGTTGGTTCCACGTCTTTGCTATTGTGAATAGTGCCGCAATAAACATACATGTGCATGTGTCTTTATAGCAGCATGATTTATAGTCCTTTGGGTATATACCCAGTAATGGGATGGCTGGGTCAAATGGTATTTCTAGTTCTAGATCCCTGAGGAATCGCCACACTGACTTCCACAATGGTTGAACTAGTTTACAGTCCCACCAACAGTGTAAAAGTGTTCCTATTTCTTCACATCCTCTCCAGCACCTGTTATTCCTGACTTTTTAATGATCGCCATTCTAACTGGTGTGAGATGGTATCTCATTGTGGTTTTGATTTGCATTTCTCTGATGGCCAGTGATGAGCATTTTTTCATGTGTCTTTTGGCTGCATAAATGTCTTCTTTTGAGAAGTGTCTGTTCATATCTTTCGCCCACTTGTTGATGGGGTTGTTTTGGCCATACTGCCCAAGGTAATTTATAGATTCAACGCCATCCCCATCGAGCTACCAATGACTTTCTTCACAGAATTGGAAAAAACTACTGTAAAGTTCATATGGAACCAAAAAAGAGCCCGCATCGCCAAGTCAATCCTAAGCCAAAAGAACAAAGCTGGAGGCATCACGCTACCTGACTTCAAACTGTACTACAAGGCTACAGTAACCAAAACAGCATGGTACTGGCACCAAAACAGAGATATAGACCAACGGAACACAACAGAGCCCTCAGAAATAATGCCACATATCTACAACTATCTGATCTCTCACAAACCTGACAAAAACAAGAAATGGGGAAAGGATTCCCTATTTTGGAAATGGTGCTGGGAAAACTGGCTAGCCATATGTAGAAAGCTGAAACTGGATTCCTTCCTTACACCTTATACAAAAATTAATTCAAGATGGATTGAAGACTTAAATGTTAGACCTAAAACTATAAAAACCCTAGAAGAAAACCTAGGCAATGCCATTCAGGACATAGGCATCGGCAAGGACTTCATGTCTAAAACACCAAAAGCAATGGCAACAAAAGCCAAAATTGACAAATGGGATCTAATTAAACTAAAGAGCTTCTGCACAGCAAAAGAAACTACCGTCAGAGTGAACAGGCAACCTACAGAATGGGAGGAAATTTTTGCAATCTACTCATCTGACAAAGGGCTAATATCCAGAATCTACAATGAACTCAAACAAATTTACAAGAACTCGTTCCTACGAACTCAAAAGCAAATGCACCAAAAACAAAAATAAGCAAGTGGGACCTAATTAAACTAAAAAGCTTCTGCACGGCAAAGGAAATACTCAGAAGAGTAAACAGACAACCCACAGAGTGGGAGAAAACATTCACAAACCCTGCATCCAACAAAGGACTAATATCCAGAATCTACAAGAAACTCAATAAAAATCGGCAAGAAAAAAGCAAAATCCCATCCAAAAGTGGGCAAAGGACATGAATAGACAATTCTCAAAAAAAAAAAAAAAAAAGAAAAGAAAGATATACAACCAGCCAACAAACATATGAAAAAAAATGCTCACCGTCACTAATTATCAGGGACATGCTCATTAAAACCACAATGAGATACCACCTTACTCCGGCAAGAATGGCCATAATTAAAAAGTCAAAAAATAATAGATGTTGGAGTGGATGTGGTGAAAAGGGAACACTTTTACACTGCTGGTGGGAATGCAAACTAGTACAACCATTCTGGGAAACGGTATGGAGATTCCTTAGAGAACTAAAAGTAAAACTACCATTCGATCCAGCAATCCCCCTACCGGGTATCTACCCAAAAGAAGACAAGTCATTATATCAAAAAGACTCAAGCACATGCATGTTTATAGCAGCATATTTCACAATTGCAAAAATATGGAAGCAACCTTATTGCCCATCAATCAACGAGTGGATAAAGAAGATGTGGCATATATACACCACAGAATACTACTCAGCCATAAAGTGGAACGAAATAATGGCCTCTGCAGCAACTTGGATGGAGCTGAAAGCCACTACTGTAAGTGAAGTAACTCAGGAATGGAAATCCTAATATCGTATGCGCTCACTTATAAGTGGGAGCTAACCTATGAGGGTGCAAAGGCATAGGAATGACATGATGGACTTAGGGGACTCGGAGGGAAAGGTGGAAAGAGGGTGAGGGATAAAAGAAGACTATCTATTGGGTACAGTGTACACTGCTCAGGTTACGGGTGCACCAAAATCTCAGGAATCACCACTGAAGAACTTATCCACGTAATCAAAATCCACCTGTATGCCCCCAAACTATTGAAATTTTAAAAAATGTTAGAACAATTACGAGAGTGCCTAAGTTTATGTCCTCAGAGCAGGAAAGACTTTTTCGCAAAATTAACCACAACCCATGAACACAGGACATCTTTCCACTTATTTATGTCTTCTTTAATTTCTTCAAGCAGTGTTGTAGTTCTCAAGGTAAATGTCTTGATTACGTCTACTCCTGAGTATTCTATTCTTTTCGTGCTATTGTAAATGTAATTATTTTCTTAATTATTCTTGGACTGTTGATTGTCAGTGTACACAAATGCAACTGGTTATGGTGTGTTGATTTTCTATCTTGCAACTTTGACAAATTCATTTATTAGCCCTAACAGCTTTTTTTGTGGAATCTCTAGGGTTTTCTACATAGAAGATCATGTCGTCTGTGACAGGGGATAACTTCTTCTTTTCCATCTTAGATGCCTTCTATTTCTTACTCTTGCCTAATTACTCTGTCTAGAGCTTTCAATAGTATGTTGAGTTAGAAGTGACAAAAGCAGGCATCCTTGTCCTGTTCCCGATCTTAGGGGAAAACCTTTCAGTCTTTTCCATTGAGTATGACGTTAGCTATAGGTATTTCCATATATGGTTTATGTCACGCTAAGGAAGTATCCTTCTCTTCCTAATCTGTTGAGGGTTTTTATTATAAAACCATGTTGGATTTTGTTAGGTGCTTTTTCTGCATCAGTTGACATGGTGATGCGGTCTTTTATCATCAGTCTGTTAATATAGTGCATGGGTTTATTTTCATGTGTTGAATCATCTTTGCATTTCAGCAATTATTCCCATTCAGTCATGGGTGTGTAATCCTTTCAATATACTGCAAGGTTCTGCCTGCTAGCGTTTCATCTAGGATTCTGAACACTGGTATTCATAAGGGATATTGCTTTGTAGCTTTCTTGTTGTGGCTTTGGCAGACTTTGGTATCATGGTAACTAACATTGGCCTTATGGAATGAGTTAGGAAGTGTTCCCTCTTCTTCAATTTTTTGGAAGAGATTTAGAAGGAATGGTGGTAATTCTTCTTTAAATGTTTGGTAGAATTCACCAATGAAGTCATCTGGCCCAAGACTTGACTTTGTTGGAAGGTTTTGATTACTGATAATTCCTATTACTGATAACTCCTTACTATAACTAGTAAGGAGACTGTATCTCATAAGAGATATGTAGTCCTCAAGCAGTAGGCGATATATTCAAAGTTCTAAAAAAGGAGAAACCTGTCAAGCAGGAATTACATATCCAGCAAAACCATCCTTCAAAAATGAAGGGGAAAATTAACACATTCTCAGATTTAAAAATTACTGAAGGCTTTGGGGCAAAGATGGCTGACCAGATGCAGACAGGAAGAACTCCTCCCAATAAGAGACCCGATCATCAAGAAGACCAGCACATTCCAAACAGATCTTTGGAAAGAAGGCATTGAAAATGGATGGAGGAAGGACACAGACCCTGAGCTGAAAGGGGAGGAAGCTGGGAACCCTGCATCAGGTTGCTGAGGACCAGGACTCATTTTGGGGCCTGAGTGACTCCTGGGGAAGGGGCGAGTAAAACAAGCATAGAGTGGCTCATTCTCGCCATGGACCTCTGGAATCCAAGCTGCAGGAGACCCCATGACCCCCACAGACATTTGAGATTGCAGGGAGAATTGCCGGGAGAGCTGGCAGAGATAGAAATCTTGCCTGCATGGAGTCCAGAGGGTTTAGCATGGGAAAAGCTGCACTGAAGCATGGCCATGGGCACCCAACCCCAAGCCTCACCACACTCCTCTCTGTGGCTTTAGTGTTTGCTGGCTGCTGGACCTGGACGCAGCAGGGCAATCTTGGCCATGGGATAGGGTCAGTCTGATCTGAGTGTCCCGCTGTCTGCTGGCCTATCCCAGCGTCCCTGCCTGGCCACACCCGCTTGCAGCGCAGCCTCAGCTTCCCAGATGAGGCATTTGCCAGCAGCCACCACCATAGCTCTTTCACTGGCAGATGCTGCCTAGCAGTTGGGGATCTTCTGCAGGTGGTCCCCTGCAGACAAGTGCACCCTCCCGCAGCCCTCCTCCACCGATGCACTCTCACTCATAGCCTTCCTGCACTGCTTCGCTGGTGAGCCCATGCATTTGGGGGCCCTTGCTGCCCTACCGCTGCCCCACGGAAGTACTTTGGCCGGAACATCCCATCAGAGTGCTGTTGCCAGCGGAATGGGAACACCTCAGCCCCTCCAGAAGAGCAGGCAGTAAACCTTCAGAGTCCAGAAAAAAAAAAAAAAACAAAAACAAACAAACAAAAAAAACCATGGACACGTCCCAGCCCCCAGGGGTAGAGCATGCAGCCCAGGAGCGCTGAGCTGTGTCTTGGTTCCCCAAAATCATCCAGAAATGAAGCCAATTGACTAAATTGACTTATACCACATCAAAACCTCAAGTTCATCAAAGAATGTAAAAGCAAAAAGGCCCATCCACAGGACAGCAACCTCAAACATTAAAGGAACGTCAGCCCACACAGATGAGGAAGAACCAGCCCAAGAACTCTGTTAATGCTAAAAGCCAGAGTGTCTTCTTGTCTCCAAATGGCCACACTAGCTCTGCAGTAATGGTTCTTAACCAGACCTATGTGGCTGAAATGATAGACATAAAATTTAGAATCTGGATGGCAACAAAGATCATTGAGATTCACGAGAAAGTTGACATGGCAGCCAAGGAATATAAGGAATCCAATAAAACAATACAAGAGGTGAAAGATTAAATGGCCATTTTAAGAAAGAACCAAACTGACCTGCTTGAGCTAAAAAACTCACTACAAGAATTTCATAATACAATCAGAAGTATTAACAGCAGGCTAGAACAACCTGAGGAAATAATCTCAGATCCTGATGTCCAGTTGTTTGAATCAGATCAATCAGACTAAAACAAGGAAAAAAAGAATTAACAAAAATGAACAAAACCTCCAAGAAATATGAGATTATGTGAAGAGACCAAACCTATGACTCATTGGTGTCCCACAAAGAGAGGGAGAGAGCAAGCAACTTGGAAAACATATTTGAGGATATTGCCCACAGACATTTCCCCAACCTCGCTAGACAGGTAGAGAGGCAAATTCAGGAGAGTCAGATAACCCCAGTGAGATGCTACAGAAGATGACCATCCCCAAGATGCATAGTCATAAGATTCTCCAAGGTCAAGGTGAAAGGAAAACCACTAAAAGCAGCCAGAGAGAAGGGGCAGGTCACATACAAAGGGAACCCCATCAGGCTAACAGCAAACCTTTCAGCAGAACTCTTACAAGTCAGAAGAGATTGGGAGCCAATAGTCAGCATCCTTAAAGAAAAGAAATTCCAACTGGGAATTTCATATCTAACCAAACTAGGCTTCATAAGAAAAGCAGAAATAAAATCCTTTTCAGACAAGCAAATGCTAAGGGAACTCATTGCCCCCAGATCTGCATTACCAGAGGTCCTTAAGGGAGCGCTAAACATGGAAACAAAAGGTCGTTGCCTGTCACCACAGAAACACACTTAAGTACACAGCCCACTGACACTACCAAGCAACTATATAATCACGTCTACATAACAACCAGCTAACGGCACAGTGACAGGATCAAATCCTCACATATCAATATTAACCTTGAATGTAAATGGGCTAAACGCCCCCACTTAAAAGGCAGAGAGTGGCAAGTTGGATAAAGAAGCAAGACCCAACTGCATGCCGTCTTTAAGAGACCCATCTCACATGCAATGACACCCATCATAGGCTCAAAGTAAAGGGATGGAGAAAGATCTATCAAGCAAATGGAAAACAGAAAAGAGCAGAGGTTGCTGTTCTTATTTCAGACGAAACAGACTTTAAACCCACAATGATCAGAAAGGACAAAGAAGGGCACTGCATAATGATAAAGGGTTCAATTCAACAAGAAGACTTAACTATCCTTAATATATATGCACCCAACACTGGAGCACGCAGATTCACAAAACAATCACTTAGAGACCTACAAAGAAACTTAAATAACCACACAATCATAGTGGGAGGCTTCAACACCCCACTGACAGTGCTAGATCACTGGGGCAGAAAACTAACAAAGATATTCGGGACATAAACTCAACACTTGACAGAATTGACCTAACAGATATCCACAGAACATCGCACGAAACAACAACACAATATACATTCTTCTCATCTGCACAGGGCACATACTCTAAGGTCGACCACATGCTCAGCCATAAAGCAATTCTCAAAAAATTCAGAAACAAACCCGGAATCATACCAGCCACACTCTCAGACCGCAGTGCAATAAAAATAGACATCTGTAGCAGGAAGATCTCTCAGAGGCAAACAATTATATATAGATCTTTCAAAACCAATCAATTATATTATAAGGTCGACTACATGTTTGGCCGTAAAGCAATTCTCAAAAAATTCAAAAACAAACCTGAAATCATTACCAGCCACACTCTCGGACCACAGTGCAATGAAAATAGAGATTAATACCAAGAAGATGTCTCAAAACCAAACAATTGTATGGAAATTAAACAACCTGCTCCTGAATGACTTTTGAGTAAAGAGCAAAATTTGGGCAGAATTCAAAAAAATTCTTTGAAGCTATTGAAAACAAAGGTACAACATACCAGAATCTCTGGGGGCACAGCTAAAACAGTGTTAAGAGGAAAGTTTATGGTGCTAAGTGCCTACATGGAAAAAGTCAGACAGATCTCACATTAGCAATCTAACATCGCACCTAGAGGAACTAGAGAAACAAGAGCAAAGTGACCCCAGAGCTAGCAGAAGAAAAGAAATAACAAATATTAGAGCTGAACTGAAAGAAGTTGAGATGTGAACCACCCTACAAAAGGTCAAAGAAACCAAAGGAACCAAAGGTCCTTTGAAAAAATAAATAAGCTCGACAAACTGCTAGCTAGACAAACAAGGAAAAGAAAGAAAGAGAGAGAAGGCCCAAATAAACACCATCAGAAATGACAAAGGTGACATTACTGCGGACCCCACAGAAATGCAGCAACAACAACAAAAATCCTCAGCGACTATTATGAACACCTGTATGCACATAATCTAGAAAACCCAGAGGAAATCGATAAATTCCTGGGAGCATACAACCTCCCAAGATTGAACCAGGATGAAACTGAATCCCTGGACAGACCAATAACGAGTTTCAAACTTGAATCAGTAATAAAAAAGACCTACCAACCAAAGGCCTGGACCAGACGGATTCACAGTCCAATTCTATCAGACACAGAAAGAAGAGCTGTAACCAATCCCTAATGAAACTATTCCAAAAATTTGAGGAACTGGGACTCCTCTCTAACTCATTGTACGAGGCCAGCATCATTCTGATTCCCAAACCTGACGGAGACACAGTGAAAATACAACACTTCAGGCCAATATTCCTGATGAACCTAGATGCAAAAATCCTCACCAAAATACCAGCAAATTGATTCCAGCAGTACATCAAAAAACTAATCCATCACGATCAAGTAGGCCCTACTCCTGGGATGCAAGGTTGGTTCAACATGTGCAAATCAATAAATGTGATTCATCACATAAACGCAACTAAAAACGAAAACCACATATCATCTCAATAGATGCAGAAGAGGTTTTCAACGAAATTCAACATCCCTTCATGTCAAAAACCCTCAACAAACTGGGCATCAGAGAAGCATACCTCAAAATAATAAGAGTCATCTAGGACAAACCCACAGCCAACATCCTACTCAAAGGCCAAAACCTGGAAGCATTCTCCCTGAGAACCAAAACATAGTCCTGAATTACCGACGCCACCCCTCCCCCACCCCTGGCCACAGCAGCATGGTGTGGAGAGCATCTCTGGGTGCAGTGGGAGGGAGACCACAGCATTAGTGAAGCAATGACCTCAGTGCTATCCTGTTAGAGCAGAAAGGAAAACCGGACCAAACTCAGCTCATGCCCCCCCAACAGAGGGAGCATTTAAAGCAGCCCTAGCCAGAGGGGAATCACTGATCCCAGTGATCAGAACTTGAGTTCCCACAAACCTCACCATGGCAGGCTACAGCACTCTGTGTCTCCAAGTAAATTTGAAAGGCAGACTAGGCCATAAGAACTGCAACTCTGGCCGGGCGTGGTGGCTCACGGCTGTAATCCCAGCACTCTGGGAGGCTGAGGCGGGAGGATCACGAGGTCAGGAGATCGAGACCATCCTGGCTAACACGGTGGAACCCCGTCTCTACTAAAAATACAAAAAAAAAAAAAAATTAGCCGGGCGTGGTGGCGGGCACCTGTAGTCCCAGCTACTCAGGAGGCTGAGGCAGGAGAATGGCGTGAACCCGGGAGGCGGAGCTTACAGTGAGCTGAGATCGTGCCACTGCACTCCAGCCTGGGCAACAGAGCGAGACTCCATCTCAAAAAAACAAACAAAAAAAAGAACTGCAACTCTTAGGTGAGTCCTGGTGTTGAATTAGGCCCAGAGACAGTGGACCAGGGGTCGGGGGAGGGGGGGGTCACACGACATACTGAGATACCAGCTGAGGCAGCCAAGGGAGTGCTGGCATCACCCGTCCCCTAACCCCAGGCTGCACACCTTGTGGCTCCGAAGGAGACCCCTTCCTTCCACTTGAGGAGGGGAGAAAGAAAACAGTGGTGAAGACTGTGTCTTGCATCTGGGATACCAGCCCAGCCATAGCAAGATAGGGCACCAGTCAGAGTCACGTGGCCCCTGTTCCAGGACCTAGCTACTAGAGGACATTCTTAGACACGTCCTGGGCCAGAAGGGAACCCACTGCCTTGAAGGAAAGGACCTAGTCCTGGCAGCACTCACCACCTGCAAACTGAAGAGCCCCTGGGCCCTGAATAACCAGCAGTGATGCCCAGGCACTACATCGAGGGCCTTGGGTGAACCTCTGAGACTTGTTGGCTTCAGGTGAGACTTGGTACATAACCAGCAAGTGGTGGCTATGGGGCAAAACTCCTTCAGTTTGAGAAAAGCAGAGGGAAAAGTAAAGGGGACTTCGTTTTGCATCTTAGGTACCAGTATGGCCATAGTGGGGTAGAGCATCAAGCAGACCCTTGGAGTCCCCAGTTCCAGGACTGGACTCTTGGACTGCATTTCTGGACCTGCCCTGAGCCACAGGGGAGCCCACTGCCCCGAAGGGTGAGTCCCAGGCCAGGCAGCATTCACGACAGCTGACTTACGAGACCTTGAGCCTTAAGGGAACATTGGCAGTAGTCTGCCAGTACTGCTCGGGGCCTAGGGTGGCGGTGGCTACAGTGTGAGGCTCTTGTACCTTTGGGAAGGGGAGGGAAGAGTGGGAAAGACTGCGTCCTGTGGTTTGAGTGACAGCTCAGCCACAATACTTAGAACCACAGGTAGCCTTCTAAGGTTTTTGATGCTAGTCCCTGATTCCCAGATGGCACTTCTGGACCCACCTGGGGCTTGGGGGACCTCTCTCCAATGAAGGGAAAAACAGTCCTAGCTGGCTTTGCCACTTGCTTATTGTAGAGCCCCAGGGCCTTGAGCAAACAAAGGCAGTAGCCAAGGAGTAATTACAGCAGGCCTTGGGGGAGACCCAGTGCTGTGCTGGCTTCAGGTCTGACCCAGTGCAGTCATAGTAGTGGTGGCCGCATAGTGGTGGCTGCAGGGGTGCTTGTGTCATTCCACCCTCAGCTTTAGGTGGCTCAGAACAGAGACAGAGAGAGAGAGAGAGACTCTGTATGTTTGGGAGAAAGTAAGGAAAGGGAACAAGAGTCTCTGCCTGGTAATCCAGAGAATTCTCCCGGACCTCGTCCAAGACCATCAAGGTGGTGCCCTCTATGAGTCTACAAGAACCACAGCGTTACTGAGCTTGGGGTGCCCCCTGAAGCAGACACAGCTTAGATCCAAACACCCAGGTCCTCTGAAATATTTGAAAAGCCTTCTGACGAAGGACGGCTACAAATAAGCCCAGACAGTGAAGACTACAATTAATACCTAACAGTTCACATACTCAGAAACTGAAGAAAAAAATATTCGCATCAGCACCATCCAGGAAAACACGACCTCACCAAATAAGCTAAATAAGGTACCAGGAACCAATCTTGGAGACAGAGAGGTATGTGACCTTTCAGACAGGGAATTCAAAACAACTTTGTTGAGGAAACTCAAAGAAATTCAGGATAATGCAGAGTAGGAATTCAGAATTCTATCAGATGCATTTAACAAAGAGACTGAAATAATCTGAAAGAATCAAGCAGAAATTCTGGAGCTGAAAAATGCAACTGGCATACTGAAGAATGTATCAGAGTCCTTCGATAGCAGAACTGATCAAGCAGAAAGAAAGAATTAGTGAGCCTGCAGACAGGCTATTTGAAAATACACAGTCAGAGGAGACAAAAGAAAAAATACACAAAAATGAAGCATGCCTACAGGACCTAGAAAACAGCCTCGAAGGGGGAAATCTAAGAGTTATTAGGCTTAAAGAGGAGGGAGATGAAGAGATAGGAGTATAAAGTTTATTCAAAGAGATAATTACAGAGAACTTCCCAAACTTAGAGAAAGATATCAATATCCAAGTATAAGAAGGTTACAGAACACCAAGCAGATTTAATCCAAAGAAGACTACTTCAAGGCATTTAATATTCAAACTCCCAAAGAACAAGGATAAAGAAAGGATGCTGAAAGCAGCAAGAGAAAAGAAACAAGTAATTTACAATGGCGCTCCAAATGTCTGGCAGCAGACTTTTCAGTGGAAACCTTACAGGCCAGGAGAGGGTGGTATGACATATTTAAAATGCTGAAGGAAAACAAACAAACAAAAAAACAAAAAACGCTTTTACCCTAAAATAGTATATACCCTAGAAGATATCCTTCAAACATGAAGGAGAAATAAAGACCTTCCCAGACAAATAAAAGCTGAGAGATTTCATCAATACCAGACCTATCCTACAAGAAATGCTGAGGGGTGTACTTCAATCAGAAAGAAAAGGACGTTAATGAGCAATAAATTATCACCCGAAGGTACAAAAGTCACTGGTAATAGTAAGGACACAGAAGAACACAGAATACAATGACACTGTAACTGTGGTGTACAAACTCGTGTTACCCTAAGTAGAAAGACTAAACGATGAACCAATAAAAATTAATAACTAGAACAACTTTTTGAGACATAGTCAATGCAATGATATAGAAATAGAAACAACAAAATATTAAAACGTGGGGGGATGAAGTTAAGGCACAGAGTTTTCATTAGTTTTCTTTTTGCTTGCTTGCTTTATGTTTGTTTGTTTGTGCAAATAGTGTTCAGTTGCTATCAGGTTAAAATAATGGGTTATAAGATAGTATTATTGAGCCTCATGGTAACCTCAAACCAAAAAAAAAAAAAAAAATACAATGGATACACAAAAAATAAAAAGCAAGAAACTAAATCTTATCACCAGAGAAAACCACTTTCACTAGAGGAAGACAAGAAGGAAAGAAAGAATGAAGAGAAGATCACAAAACAACCAGAAAACAAATAACAAAATGGCAGGACTACGTCCTTACATGTCAACCGTAACATTGGATGCAAATTGGAAAAACTCTCCCATCAAAAGTCACAGACTGGCTGAATGGGTGAAGAAACAAGGCTCATTGATCTCTTGCCTAGAAGAAACACACTTCACCTATAAAGCACACACAGGCTAAAAATAAAGGGATGGAAAAAGATACCCCATGCCAATGGAAACCAAAAAAGAGCAGGAGCCGCTATACTTATATCACACAAAATAGATTTCAAGACAAAAACTATAAGAAAAGAAAAAGAACGTCACTATGTAATGATAAACGGGTCGATTCACCAAGAGGATGTAACAATTTTAAATATATATGCACTCAACACTGGAGCACCCAGATACATGAAGGAAATATTACTAGAGCTAAAGAGAGAGATGGGCCCTGACACAGTAACAGCTGGAGACTTCAACACCCCACTTTCAGCACTGGACAGATCTTCCAGACAGAAAATCAACAAAGAAACCTCAGACTGAATCTTCACTGTAGACCAAATGGATCTAACAGATATGTACAGAACGATTCATCCAGCAGATGCAGATAACACATTCTTTTCCCCAGAACATGGATCATTCTCAAGGACAGACCATACATTAGGTCACAAAACAAGTCGTAAAACATTCCAAAACCCTGAAATAATATCACGCATCTTCTCTGACCACGATAGAATAGAATAAGACTAGAAATCAATAGCAAGAGGAATTTCGGAAACTGTACAAATACATGGAAATTAAACAATATACTCCTGAATGACCAGTGGGTCAATGCAGAAATTAAGAAGGAAATTGAAACGAATGGCAATGGAAACACAACATACCAAAACCTCTGGGATATGGCAAAAGCAGTACTCAGAGGGAAGTTCATAGCTATAAGTGCCTACATCAAAAAAGAGGAAAATTTTCAAATAAACAATGTAACGATGCCTCTTAAAGAACTAGAAAAGAAAGAGCAAACCAAACCCAATATTAGTAGAAGAAAAATAATAAAGAGGAGAGCAGAAATAAATGAAATTGAACTGAAGAAAACAATACACTGAACAATCACTGAAACAGAAAGTTGATTTTGTGAAAAGTTAAACAAATGAGACAAACCTTTAGCCAGACTAACTAAGAAAAAGTGAAAGAAGATACACGCAAATAAAATCAGAAATGAAAAAGGAGACATTACAACTGATACTGCAGAGATTCAAAGGATCATTAGTGGCTACTACTATGAGCAACTATATGTCAATAAATTGGAAAACCTAGAAGAGATGGACAAATTCCTAGATACAATACATCCTACCAAGATTGAATCCAAAACCCGAACAGACCAATAACAAGTAACGAGATCAAAGCCATATGAAAAACTCTCCCAGTAAAGAGAAGCCTGGGACCCAATGGCTTCACTGCTGAATGCTACCAAACACTTAAAGAAGAACTGATACCAATCCTACTCAAACTATTCCAAAAAGGAGAGGAGGACAGAGTACTTCCAAACTCATTTTACCAGGCCAGTATTACCCTGATACCAAAACCAGACAAAGAAACATCAGAAAACAAAAAGAATGAAAGAAAAAGAAAACTTCAGGCCATTGTCTCTGATGCATATTGATGCAAAAATCCTCCACCAAATACTAGCAAGCCCAATTCAACAATATATTAGAACAATCATTCATCTTGACCAAGTGGGATTTATCCCTGGGTTGCGAGGATGGTGCTACATACACACATCAATCAAGGTGTTACATCAGATCAACAGAATGAAGGATAAAAGCCATATGATCATTGCAATTGATGCTGAAAAAGCATTTGATAAAAAATTTAACATCCCTTCCTGATAAAAACCCTCAACAACCTGGGTATAGAAGGAACATACCTCAACATAATAAAAGCCATATGCAACAGACTGACAGCTAGTATCATACCGAATGTGGAAAAACTGAAAGCCTTTCCTTGAAGAACTGGAATACGACAAGGATGCCCACTGTCACCACTGTTGTTCAACATAGTACTAGCAGTCCTAGCTAGAGCAATCAGACAAGACAAAGACATAAAGGGCATTCAAATTGGAAATGAAGAAGTCAAATTATCCTTGTTTGCTGATGATATGGTCTTATATTTGGAAAAAAAAAAAAGACTCCACAAGAAAACTACTAATAACTGATCAACTAATTCAGTAAAGTTGCATGGTACAAAATCAACATACAAAAATCAGTAGCATTTCTATCTGGCAACAGTGAACTACCTGAAAAACAAATTTAAAAAGTAATCCCATTTAAAATAGCCACACATAAAATTAAGCACCTAGGAATTAACTAGGCCAAAGAAGTGAAGGATCTCTATAATGAAGACTATAAAACACTGATGAAGAAAATTGAAGAGGACACCAAAAAATGGAAAAATATTCCACGCTCATGGATTGAAAGAATCAATATTGTTAAAATGTCCATAATACCCAAAGCAATCTACAGGTTCAATGCAATCCCTATCAAAATACCTATTTTGATACTATTTCTATTCACAGAAATAGAAAAAAAAATTCCTAAAATTTATATGGAACCACAAAAGACCCAGAATAGCTAAAGCTATCCTAAGCAAGAACAAACCTGAAGGAATCTCGTTACCTGACTTCAAATAATACTACAGAGCCATAGTAACCAAGACAGCATGGTACTGGCATAAAAACAGATGCATGGAACAATGGAACAGAATCGGGAGTCCAGAAAGAAATCCATACACCTACAGTGATCTCATTTTTGACAAAGGTGCCAAGAACATATACTGGAGAAAGGACAGTCTCTTCGATAAATCGTGCTGGAAAACCTGGACCACCCATATGCAGAAAAATGCAACTAGACCCCTATCTCTCCCCACATACGAAAATCAAATCAAAATAGATTAAAGACTTAAATGTAAGACCTCAAACTCTGAAACTACTACAAGAAAACATTGGGAAAAATCTCCAGGACATAGGTCTGGGCAAAGACTTCTTGAGCAACACCCCACAAGCACAGACGACCAAAGCAAACATGGACAAACGGGATCACGTCAAGTTAAAAAGCTTCTTCACAGCAAAGGATACAATCAACAAAGTGAAGTGACAACCCACAGAATGGGAGAAAATATTTTCAAACCACTCCTCTGACAAGAGATTAATAACTAGCATATACAAGGATTTCAAACAACTCTATAGGAAAAAATCTAATAATCTGATCGAAAGATGGGCAAAAGATTTGAATGGACGTTTCTCAAAAGAAGACACACAAATGGCAAACAGGCATATGAAATGGTGTTCAACATCATTGATCATCCGAGAAACACAAGTCAAAAATTCGATATCATCTCACCCCAGTTAAGATGGCTTATATCCAAAAGACAGGGAGTAACAAATGCTGGCATGGATGTGGAGAAAAGGGAAAGTTCCCACACTTTTGGTAGGAATGTAAATTAGTACAACCATTTGGAGAACCGTGTGGAGGTTCCTCCAAAAACTAAAAATTGAGCTACCATATGATCCAGCAATCCCATTGCTGAGTATATACCCAAAGGAAAGGAAATCAGTATGTCAAAGATATATCTACACTCCTATGTTTGCTGCAGAACTGTTTACAACAGCTAAGATCTGGAAGCAACCCAAGTGTCCATCGACAGATGAATGGATAAAGAAAATGTGGTGCACATACCCAATGGAGTACTCTTCAGCCATGAAGAAGAATGAGATCCTGTCATTTCCAACAGCATGGAGGGAACTGGAGATCGTCATGTCAAGGCAAATAAGCCAGGCACAGAAAGACAAACATCTGATGTTCTCACTTATTTGTGGGATCTAAAAATCAAATCAGTTGAACTCATGGACACAGAAAGTAGAAGGATGGCTTCCAGAGGCTGGGATTGGTAGTGGGGAGTTGGGGAAGTGGTGGAGATGGTTAATGGTTAACCAGAAACAATGAATAAGACCTATTACTTGATAGCACAACACAGTGACTATAGTCAATAATAACTTAACCGTATATTTTAAAATAACTTAAGGAATGCAATTGTATTGTTTGCAACTCAAAGAATAAATGCTTGAAGGGATAGAAGAAGAAAGAAGAAGAAGAAGAAGAAGAAGAAGAAGAAGAAGAAGAAGAAGAAGAAGAAGAAGAAGAAGAAGAAGAAGAAGAAGAAGAAGAAGAAGGAAGAAGAGGAAGAGGAAGAGGAAGAGGAAGAAGAAGAAGAAGAAGAAGAAGAAGAAGAAGAAGAAGAAGAAGAAGAAGTAGTCATCATCGTCGTTGTTGTCATCATCTTCACTGGCCCCTTCCAATTATGATGGATCTTAGACCACAGGCAACTGACCAGTGTGGGTGGTCCACAAATATGTCCCTATATGTATATCCGAGTTACACATTTGCAAGCCAGTAAATGAATTCCAATTAGGTCTGCAGAAACTGCGAACTCACTAGTAGATCTTGGTCAGAACTCTATTTACTACCTGGCCCGCACATGCCCCCTTTCTAACAGGGTGCCACAATGACTTTTGGGGTATCAGTGTCATCTCCTACTCCATGCTTGACATTTCTCAAGATACCTGGGCATTTTCCTTTCCACAGTTCATGGTGACGTGAATCAACGGATGGATGCCTCTTGAGGGGAGGTCTGGGTGAATCATTACTGTGTCCACAGGCTGTGGTGCTGCACAGACCTTCTCTGCCTGGGTACCCAACCTCCTTTTCAGTCAAAAAGTTCCAGATGTAAAAAATTGATTCAGGTCCAGGAATTGAACAAAGGATCCCGAGTTTCCTGTGGCAGGGGTTGGAAGGGCTGCGAAACTCTTCAGTATACCTGTCATCAGTCTTGATTTCTTCTGATGGCACATGTTGAGAAGTACTCTGTTTTACTCAGGAGTAAGGTGGCAACACATTCTGTTAACGATTTCCATAGCTCTCTGTTGTCAGGTTTCCTTGGGGCTCATTACAGTAATTCAATCCACCTGGCTGCTGACAGTCAAATGCTGACACCTGCCTTCTATAGTTTCAGGGTCTTGTCATCTCCATTTCTATCTGTGCGCCTACTTCTGTACTTTCTTCTCTTACTGTGATTTAACCCTAGTTATGGCCTATGGCAAGGGGATGTTTGGGAGGTACATCCTGAGGGGATGATATGTTGACTTGAGAGAGAAACCTGTGCATTTTCTTCACGCAAGAAGAAATGCTAGCTCATGATAAGAAGGAGTAGCTCACTTCTGCAGTTCAAGAGATTCCTCAGATTTGCGGAAATTCAGGTTTCTAGAGGTCTCATTCCAAACTACATTATGGGTCTCAATTTTGCCCAGTGCGAGCCATGAACCTGGAGAAACGGTCCTACTTTGGGTGGAAATTTAACCTTCTTTGGAGGTTTACTTCTATGATTATTAAATCACAAGCTTTCTCTGCCATCCTGTGCCAGGAGTTGAAAGTCTCCGTATAATCCCAAGGAAGCCCTGTGGCTTTCGCAGTCGGCTTTCAAGTGCATAATAATTTCTCTCTGATTTCTTTGTCTTCTTCTAGAGTGTCAGTTGAGCTTAGTAGTAGCCATAGAATCTTATTTATCCATTACAATCTCCACCATATTTTTCAAATGCTTGAAGCACTGCAACAGATAGTCTGTGTGACTGATTTTATTGTGCAGGATGTTTATGTGAGAGTACATATGGGATGAGTACCTGTGGAGAGCACAGTCAGAACACAGAATTTGGAAAAGGAAGGAAATGAGCTACTATGAGGTCTCATTACCCTCAGCCAGCTCCATGGGGTACTCTGAAGCTAAAAATGACCCTTGGGGTTTTCTTACGTTGATTAAAAATGTCTGATTTTATACTCCTGCCTCCACCAGTCACTGAATGTGGGCCACTGGAAAAACAAGGAGGCTCTCCGGAGCCAAGGTGCTCTCCAAGGAAGCTGGTAGCTGAAGGCTGTCTGTGGACAGCACTCCCAGCAGAGCGAGGAAAACATCCTAAAGGGGAATCTGAGAGTGTTTTAAAATAGAGTGGATTAGTAGAACATTTGAAACAGATCAGGAAATGACTGCCTTGGAGAGACAGATTGTTAGTCACAGTTCCGAAGAGAAGAAAGGATGCCCAGACATGGGAAATCTCATGGCGAAGCACCATGGTTGGTCCGGGCCAGAGGGAGACAGGAGAACTGCAAGCCAGAGCATTTGTTGTTGTCTCTGCCTCTGTGGGAAGGAACAGGCAAGGGAGAGTAACCAGTTTAGGATTGGCTAGTCTGAATAATTTAAGCAGCCTTGGGGCATAGGGGCTGTCCCTAGTTGCCTGGTACCTGGCCTTGGGGTGATTAGGGCAGGTGGATAGTGACCCAGGGTGTGAGAGCCCTATATAGGACATGGTTGGGAGGTATTGTATCCCCGTTGATTTGTTTGCATTTGAAAAGCACGCTCCAGGGCAAGGTGTTTACTATTTCTAAGAATTGCCTTACCAGGCCTGGGAGGAGCAAGCCTTCCAGGGTCAGCAAGGCCCAGGATGTCAAAGCATCACGACACAGAAAATAAAAGACATGCTTAATAGATCTTTATGTCCACCACGGAGGGCATGTGACGCTAGAGATGACAAAGATGGTCTTTTCCAATTTATCTGTCTTTCTGGTGCCAGGCACAGGGCTTAGAGCATCATATGTGCTCCAGAAGCGTTTGTTAACTGGACATCGTGAACATCTGGTTCTGGGTTAGGCAGTGGAGAATAAACAGGAAATGATGACAGAATCCACCGCATATGGAAAATGTTCAACACATATTTGGTGAAAGAATGAATCTATGGATGAAGCCCAGGGACTCCTAGTCAACACATCTCAGAAGAATCATGGAAAAGCCAGAAACTGACAACCACCTTCTGTGCAGCTGTGGATCCCTCCTTTGTATTGCACTGAGTGAGTTTCAGGAGGCTCTGAGTAAGGTTAATGAGTAAGAGTGGCAGAGGATCTGAGAAAGCATATCTTCCAAATCAGAGGCAAACCAGGTCAGAATCAGGAATACAGGGATGACAGTCTGTCAGAGTTGGGGATTACAGCAGGAATCACGCCCTAGAACCGATAGAGTTTTTGCTGATTCAGGACACAGTGGGGAGAAAGGCAGGTTACAAAATAACAATCAAGGTGCCGAGTTTTGAGACATAGTATAACATTCTCCCCTTTTCAGTCCACCATTCTGTGCATTTTGACAAAAGCATGCAACCATGTGATCAACCCAAGAATGAAGATCTAGGACATGTCCAAACCTCCATAAAGTGCCCTCATGCCCTTTTAAAGTTGATCTTCTATAGCCCAAGAGAACCACTGATTGATTTGTTCTCTCTCTAGTTTTCCCTTTTCTATAAAGCCAAAGAAATGGCATTGTATGTAGTCTTTTGAGTATGTCTTCTTTCACTTAGCATAATGTATTTTGAGAGTCATCCATTCTGTGGCACGCATATTATGTTATCAGTACTTAGAACTGTCTTGTTGTCGAGTAGTCTTCCAGTGTAGGTACATACCACAATTTGTTTATCCATTCCCCAGTTGATGGGCATTTGAGATGTTTCCAGTTTTTAGCAATTAAGAACGTTTTGCTGGAAGGTTTCCTGGGAAGAAGGATTTCACTTCTCTTGGGTAAATACCCTGGAGTGCGATTGCTGTATAAGTGTACCTTTAACTTCATGCAAACCTGCCAAATTGTTTTTCAAAGTGTCTTGGCCATTTTATACTTCCATCGACAATGAGAGACAGTTCCTTTTGTTCTTTTTCCAGCACTTGACAGTGAAACAGCAAGGTACCGGTACAAAAACAGACATATAGACCAATGGAACAGAATAGAGATCTCATAAATAAGACTGCACATCTACAGCCATCTGACCCTTGACAAACCTAACAGAAAGAAGCAATGTGGTAAGGATTCCCTATTTAATAAATGGTGCTTGGAGAACTGGCTAGCCATATGTAGTAAACTGAAACCAGACCCCTGTAGTAAACTGAAACCAGACCCCTTCCTTACACTTTATACCAAAATTAACTCAAGACGGATTAAACACTTAAATGTAAAACCCAAAACTATAAAAATCCTAGAAGAAAATCTAGGCAATACCATTCAGGACACAGGCACGGGCAAAGACTTCATGACAAAAACATCAAAAGCAATTGCAACAAAAGCAAAAATTGACAAAGGGGATCTAATGAAACTAAAGAGCTTCTGCAGAGCAAAAGAAACTATCATCAGAGTGAACAGACAACCTACAGAGTGGGTGGAAATTTTTGCAGTCTATCCATCTGACAAAGGTCTAATATCCAGAATCTACAAGGAACTTAAACAAATTTACAAGAAAAAACAAACAACCCCATTAAAAAGTGGGCAAAGAACATGAACAAACACTTTTCAAAAGAAGATATTTATGCGGCCAACAAACATATAAAAAAAAGCTCAACATCACTGATCATTAGACAAATAAAAGTCAAAACCACTGTGAGGTACTATCTCACACCAGTCAGAATGGCGGTTTTTATAAAGTCACGAAACAAAAGATGCTGGCGAGGCTGTGGAGAAATAGGATTGCTTTTAAACTGTTGGTGGGAGTGTAAGTCAGCTCCACCATTGTGGAAGACAGTGTGGTGATTCCTCAAAGACCTAGAAACAGAAATATCATTTGAACCAACAATCCCATTACTGGGTATATACCCAAAGGAATATAAATCATACCATTATAAATATATATGCATGCATATGTTCATTGCTGCCCTATTCACAATACCAAAGGCAATGAATCAACCCAAATGGCCTTCAATAATAGAATGGATACAGAAAATGCGGTACATATACACCACGGAATACTATGTAGCCACAAAAAGGAACAAGATCATTTCCTTTGCAGGGACATGGATGGAGCTGGAAACCATTATCCTCAGCAAACTAATGCAGGAACAGAAAACCAAACACCACATGTTCTCACTTAAAAGGGGTAGCTGAACATCGAGAACACATGGACACAGGGAGGGGAACAACACACAGTGGGGCCTGGTCGGGGGCACCGGGGGAGGGAGAACATCAGAATAAATAGCTAATGCATGCGGGGCTTAATTCCTAGGTGATGGGCTGATAGGTGCAGCAAACCATGACACACGTTTGTCTATATAACAAACCTGCACGTCATGCACATGTATCCTGGAACTTAAAACAAAATGAAATAAAATTTAAAAACACCTGAAGATTTTTTTAAAAAAGAAAAAGTTTTAGGCCTAAAAATGACATTAACTTCATCAAAGTAGAAATCCAACAGGTCATTTTTTTTTTTATTATACTTTAAGTTTTAGGGTGCATGTGCACAACGTGCAGGTGTGTTACATATGTATACATGTGCCATGTTGGTGTCCTGCACCCATTAACTCGTCATTTAACATTAGGTATATCTCCTAATGCTATCCCTCCCCCGTCCCCCCACCACACAACAGGCCCCGGTGTGTGATGTTCCCCTTCCTGTGTCCATGTGTTCTCATTGTTCAATCCCCACCTAAGAGTGAGAACATGCGGTGTTTGGTTTTTTGTCCTTGCGCTAGTTTGCTGAGAATGATGGTTTCCAGCTTCATCCATGTCCCTACAAAGGACATGAACTCATCATTTTTTATGGCTGCATAGTATTCCATGGTGTATATGTGCCACATTTTCTTAATCCAGTCTATCATTGTTGGACGTTTGGGTTGGTTCCAAGTCTTTGCTATTGTGAATAGTGCCGCAATAAACATACGTGTGCATGTGTCTTTACATCAGCATGATTTATAATCCTTTGGGTATATACCCAGTAATGGGATGGCTGGGTCAAATGGTATTTCTAGTTCTAGATCCCTGAGGAATCGCCACACTGACTTCCACAATGGTTGAACTAGTTTACAGTCCCACCAACAGTGTAAAAGTGTTCCTATTTCTCCACATCCTCTCCAGCACCTGTTGTTTCCTGACTTTTGAATGATCGCCATTCTAACTGGTGTGAGATGGTACCTCACTGTGGTTTTGATTTGCATTTCTCTGATGGCCAGTGATGATGAGCATTTTTTCATGTGTCTTTTGGCTGCATAAATGTCTTCTTTTGAGAAGTGTCTGTTCATATCCTTCGCCTACTTGTTGAGGGGGTGGTTTGTTTTTTTCTTGTAAATTTGTTGGAGTTCGTTGTAGATTCTGGATATTAGCCCTTTGTCAGATGAGTAGATTGCAAAATTTTCCTCCCATTCTGTAGGTTGCCTGTTCACTCTGACGGTAGTTTCTTTTGCTGTGCAGAAGCTCTTTAGTTTAATTAGATCCCATTTGTCAATTTTGGCTTTTGTTGCCATTGCTTTTGGTGTTTTGGACATGAAGTCCTTGCCCATGCCTATGTCCTGAATGGTATTGCCTAGGTTTTCTTCTAGGGTTTCTATGGTTTTAGGTCTAACATTTAAGTCTTCAATCCATCTTGAATTAATTTTTGTATAAGGTGTAAGGAAGGGATCCAGTTTCAGCTTTCTACATACGGCTAGCCAGTTTTCCCAGCACCATTTCCAAAATAGGGAATCCTTTCCCCATTTCTTGTTTTTCTCAGGTTTGTCAAAGATCAGATAGTTGTAGATATGTGGCATTATATCTGAGGGCTCTGTTCTGTTCCGTTGGTCTATATCTCTGTTTTGGTACCGGTACCATGCTGTTTTGGTTACTGTAGCCTTGTAGTATAGTTTGAAGTCAGGTAGAGTGATGCCTCCAGCTTTGTTCTTTTGGCTTAGGATTGACTTGGCAATGCGGGCTCTTTTTTGGTTCCATATGAACTTTACAGTAGTTTTTTCCAATTCTGTGAAGAAAGTCATTGGTAGCTTGATGGGGATGGCATTGAATCTATAAATTACCTTGGGCAGTATGGTCATTTTCACGATATTGATTCTTCCTACCCATGAGCATGGAATGTTCTTCCATTTGTTTGTATCCTCTTTTATTTCATTGAGCAGTGGTTTGTAGTTCTCCTTGAAGAGGTCCTTCACGTTCCTTGTAAATTGGATTCCTAGGTATTTTATTCTCTTTGAAGCAACTGTGAGTGGGAGTTCACTCATGATTTGGCTCTCCGTTTGTCTGTTATTGGGGTATAGGAATGCTTGTGATTTTTGCACATTGATTTTGTATCCTGACACTTTGCTGCAGTTGCTTATCAGCTTAAGGAGATCTGGGGCTGAGACGATGGGGTTTTCTAGATATACAATCATGTCATCTGCAAACAGGGACAATTTGACTTCCTCTTTTCCTAACTGAATACACGTTATTTCCTTCTCCTGCCTGATTGCCCTGGCCAGAACTTCCAACACTATGTTGAATAGGAGTGGTGAGAGAGGGCATCCCTGTCTTGTGCCAGTTTTCAAAGGGAATGCTTCTAGTTTTTGCCCATTCAGTATGATATTGGCTGTGGGTTTGTCATAGATAGCTCTTATTATTTTGAAATACGTCCCATCAATACCTAATTTATGGAGAGTTTTTAGCTTGAAGGGTTGCTGAATTTTGTCAAAGGCCTTTTCTGCATCTATTGAGATGATCATATGGTTTTTGTCTTTGGTTCTGTTTATATGCTGGATTACGTTTATTGATTTGTGTATGTTGAACCAGCCTTGCATCCCAGGGATGAAGCCCACTTGATCATGGTGGATAAGCTTTTTGATGTGCTGCTGGATTTGGTTTGCCAGTATTTTATTGAGGATTTTTGCATCGATGTTCATCAGGGATATTGGTCTAGAATTCTCTTTTTTTGCTGTGTCTCTGCCAGGCTTTGGTATCAGGATGATGCTGTCCTCATAAAATGAGTTAGGGAGGATTCCCTCTTTTTCTATTGCTTGGAATAGTTTCAGAAGGAATGGTACCAGCTCCTCCTTCTACCTCTGGTAGAATTCGGGGGCGTGAATCCATCTGGTCCTGGACTTTTTTTGTTTGGTAAGCTATTAATTATTGCCTCACTTTCAGAGCCTGTTATTGGTCTATTCAGATATTCAACTTCTTCCCAGGTTTAGTCTTGGGCGAGTGTATGTGTCGAGGAATTTATCCATTTCTTCTAGATTTACAAGTTTATTTGCATAGAGGTGTTTATAGTATTCTCTGATGGTAGTTTGTATTTCTGTGGGATCAGTAGTGATATCCCCTTTATCATTTTTTATTGCATCTATTTGATTCTTCTCTCTTTTCTTCTTTATTAGTCTTGCTAGCGGTCTATCAATTTTGTTGATCTTTTCAAAAAACCAGCTCCTGGATTCATTGATTTTTTGAAGGGTTTTTTGTGTCTCTATCCCCTTCAGTTCTGCTCTGATCTTAGTTATTTCTTGCCTTCTGCTAGCTTTTGAATGTGATTGCTCTTGCTTCTCTAGTTCTCTTAATTGTGATGTTAGGGTGTCAATTTTAGATCTTTCCTGCTTTCTCTTGTGGGCATTTAGTGCTATAAATTTCCCTCTACGCACTGCTTTGAATGTGTCCCAGAGATTCTGGTATGTTGTGTCTTTGTTCTCGTTGGTTTCAAAGAACATCTTTATTTCTGCCTTCATTTCCTTATGTACCCAGTAGTCATTCAGGAGCAGGTTGTTCAGTTTCCATGTAGT
Organism: Homo sapiens; assembly: GCF_000001405.40. Classification (NCBI taxonomy): domain Eukaryota; kingdom Metazoa; phylum Chordata; class Mammalia; order Primates; family Hominidae; genus Homo; species Homo sapiens. The sequence goes on from NC_000023.11 coordinate 102,420,975, forward strand.
TGAGCGGTTTTGAGTGAGTTTCTTAATCCTGAGTTCTAGTTTGATTGCACTGTGGTCTGAGAGACAGTTTGTTAGAATTTCTGTTCTTTTACATTTGCTGAGGAGTGCTTTACTTCCAACTATGTGGTCAATTTTGGAATAGGTGTGGTGTGGTGCTGAAAAGAATGTATATTCTGTTGATTTCGGGTGGAGAGTTCTATACATGTCTATTAGGTCCACTTGGTGCAGAGCTGAGTTCAATTCCTGGATATCCTTGTGAACTTTCTGTCTCATTGATCTGTCCAATGTTGACAGTGGGGTGTTAAAGTCTCCCATTATTATTCTGTGGGAGTCTAAGTCTCTTTGTAGGTCTCTAAGGACTTGCTTTATGAATCTGGGTGCTCCTGCATTGGGTGCATATATATTTAGGATAGTTAGCTCTTCTTGTTGAATTGATCCCTTTACCATTATGTAAGGGCCTTCTTTGTCTCTTTTGATCTTTGTTGGTTTAAAGTCTGTTTTATCAGAGACTAGGATTGCAACCCCTGCCTTTTTTTGTTTTCCGTTTGCTTGGTAGATCTTCCTCCATCCCTTTATTTTGAGCCTATGTGTGTCTCTGCACGTGAGACGGGTTTCCTGAATACAGCACACTGATGGGTCTTGACTCTTTACCCAATTTGCCAGTCTGTGCCTTTTAATTGGAGCCTTTAGCCCATTTACATTTAAGGTTAATATTGTAATGTGTGAATCCGATCCTGTCATTATGATGTTAGCTGGTTATTTTGCTCGTTAGTTGATGCAGTTTCTTCCTAGCCTCGATGGTCTTTACACTTTGGCATGTTTTTGCAGTGGCTGGTACCGGTTGTTCCTTTCCATGTTTAGTGCTTCCTTCAGAAGCTCTGTTAGGGCAGGCCTGGTGGTGACAAAATCCCTCAGCATTTGCTTGTCTGTAAAGTATTTTATTTCTCCTTCACTTATGAAGCTTAGTTTGGCTGGATATGACATTCTGGGTTGAAAATTCTTTTCCTTAAGAATGTTGAATATTGGCCCCCACTCTCTTCTGGCTTGTAGAGTTTCTGCCGAGAGATCCGCTGTTAGTCTGATGGGCTTCCCTTTGTGGGTAACCCGACCTTTCTCTCTGGCTGCCCTTAACATTTTTTCCTTCATTTCCACTTTGGTGAATCTGACAATTATGTGTCCTGGAGTTGCTCTTCTCGAGGAGTATCTTTGTGGTGTTCTCTGTATTTCCTGAATCTGAATGTTGGCCTGCCTATTTTTAAAGCACTGTGAAGTGAAAGTAGAAATGTCAATGAAAGTGAAATTAACAATAAGTAGCCACATACAATTTTTTTTTTGAGACAAAGAGTCTCACTCTGTTGCCCAGGCTGGGGTGCAATGGCATGATCTCGGCTCACTGCAACCTCCGCCTACCGGGTTTCAAGCAATTGTCCTGCCGCAGCCTCCTGAGTAGCTGGGACTATAGGCGCCCGCCACCACAACTGACTAATTTGTTTTTTGTTTTTTTTTTTTTTTAGTAGAGACAGGGTTTCACCATGTTAGCCAGGCTGGTCTCGAACTCCTGATCTCAAGTGATCCGCCTGCCTCAGCTTTCCAAAGTGCTGGGATTACAGGCGTGAGCCACCGTGCCTGGCCGCCACATACAAATTTTACTTAAGATCAATGTAAATAACTATTGGATTAATAAAAAAAAAATTCAAATTAAGAATATTTTACAAAGTCACAATAATTTAGAGGAAGTCTTGTGACTGGAGTCAAGGGACTTGAATTTATCTAACTGCTTCTACCATTACTAGCTTAATGTTACAGAAAAACATCAATTCTGGCCTTGTCCACTACTATGCACTAAAACAGAAGCTATTGTTTCAGAAAAGTGCTCAAAACATAAAAATGTCTTCAAATATTCATAAAGTAATCACATTCTAAAAATAATTATACCATATGTTATGCCAGAGAAGTTGGTGACATTCCAAATAAAATTAAATCCAGAATTTCTCATGGAAAAAAAAAGAGTAGTATGAACAGTTCTTGCCTTCTTCTCATCTTATTAATTGTGATATGGAGTAGACATTTTTTCCCGTGACTTGGCAAATTTTGTTTCTCAGTTTTGAGTGTTGATCAGCTTCCACAACTTTATTCTTTGTTCTTTCTGTGTCATGAATATCTCCAAGGAATCCTGTAGTGTAAAGTTTTTTGCAAGTGTCACTTTCACTGGGATATCTTAATCCTTTCCATCAAAACCGTTTTGCAATTTCCACTTCCAGCATTATTTCTTGTCATTTGTTTGCATGTTTCTGTCTTTGTTGGCCAATTACCTTTTTAAACTATCCAGTTCTTTGGTAAAATGTCATATGAGTAGTTCACTGGGAGACAAGGAGGAAACTCAGCTTCATTCTTTGCTGTTGATGCATGAAATAAATAATAGATACTCAGTGACCAAACATGATTAGATTTTAAAAGAAAAGTGACATGACTGGTCACTGATCCTGATGCTCATCTATTATTTAAATAGTGATTTGTGGAGCGACACAAACAGAATTTGAAAGAAGTGACATGACTGGCCACTGATCATGATTCTCATCTGTTATTTCAGTAGCGATTTGTGGACTGAAGAACCAGCAGCAATGTTTGGTCTTTATGTAGTTACTGACAGTTAGTTTACCATGGTAACTGAAATTTGACCCATACTGTGAAGGGACTAGTGTTATTTAACTAAATCACGGTGAATGACCTTAGTGCATATCAGAACTGTGCAAAGGGAGGACTGTATATAAAAATAGAGTTGACCTACTTTTAATATTGACCTGGTATACGGCAACCTAGGCACACTCACTCATTAGTTCTAGGAGGTTTTTCATAAATTCCCAGAAATTTTATACATAGCCACCATGTCAGTAAATAGGGACACTTTTTCATGACTTCATTTCCAATCTGTGTGCCTTTTAGTGCTTTCCTTTGCTTTATTGTACCGGTTGGGTCTTCCAAGGAGGTATTCAATAGGAATGCTGAGAGTGATTGTCTTTGCCGCAGTGCTATCATTTCAACATGTTGAACAATATAAACACATTAGTACTCTGTCTTCTTTTTTTACTGTCTTTGACCTGCAGTAACTTATCATTTCAACACGTAAACAATACAAATAAGTTATTAGTTAGTTATTCTACATTTTTTGTTTCTCACTAAGTCTTGAATATACCGTGTGCGTTTTACAGTTATCGTACATCACATTTTGGAGTAGCCAAATTTCTAGTGCTCAGTAGCCACATGTGGCTAGTGTTTACTATACTGAATAGTGCAACTCTAGGGGAGGAGCAGAGGGAGCAAATACATATGGAATGATGTGTACCATGAAGGAAATGTACATGGTACATTTAAAAACAGCATGGTGAAGTAAGGGAAGTAATGGGAGAGAAGTGGGGTAAGTAAGGAGAGGGAAGTAAGAGAAAAACCTCTCGGAGGACGTAACATCTAAGCTACGGCCTGAGTCTTGATGAGCTATCCAACAGCATAAAGAGGCCAATGTGGATTGAGCAGAGTATGCAAGGGGCAAAGCAAAAAAAAAAAAAAAAAAAAAAAAAAAAAAAAATTCTGGGCCATAGATGGGCAAAATAACTTTCCCAAATCCCCTAAGAAAAGAGCGGGGAAACAGACAAAACATAGGAAGATCTGTACTGTGAGTGACTTGGTGTAGGGTCTTGTTTGCCTATTCATTCTTAGCACCGGGAACAGTACCTAGCTAATAACAGATCTTTGGTGAATCTGTGTGAAATAAGGGCAAACTGAACCCCAGGCTTCTGAGACCTAGGAAAGGAGATAGCAATATACTGATAAAGACACCAGTAGGTAGTGGGGATAGTTTGTTTCTTGTTGTTCTTGTTTTTCATTTTAATTGCCAATGGTTTGTCATAAGCAACCTAAGGCAATCATGAATACAGGAAGATTAAAGGACCTCAGTGAGTAATATTATTGGCTTCAGTAACCAGCACCTACTCCAGAAAAACATCCAGGAAAGGTTTCAACTGTCCTGACTTGCGTCAAGTACCCATAAGTGAACCGATCAGTGTGGACAGGGAAATGGTGTGCCACGACTGGGTCAGCCCATGTCACGTACCCAACACTGTGGTCAGTAACAAGAAGGAGGACGTAGAGGACAATGGGCAAGAGACCCACAAGACTTCGTAAAGTCTGCTGTTTCCTTCTTAGAGTTTTTCTTTTATGGAGGTCAGTTACATATCCAATCTTCCTAACACCAGTTTCCTGGAATAGCAGAATGGCACATTATGTGTCTTTACAAATTGGGCTTCAGGCAAGAACACTCAGTATTTTAGTGGCCACACATCAGTGATGAAACAACTCCTTGTCCTGTGAAGATCACTGAGAATGGGTGGTCTAGTTCATGTCGTTCTGTGGTACTGCCTGCAGCATCACCTTCAATGAGGCCTGCACTTTAGCAAGCTTGTATGTCCAAACTGCCATGTGATTGCCATTGTTCATAGCAATGGACAGGGACAGGATAAATCACATGCTTCAGCTCCATCAACGCTGTTAAGTGCTGCAGAAGACTCGTGAGCACAGGCATTGTAATGGGGTTGAAGACAAAGCTAGGGACACAGAGGTGGGAACAGTGGCTCAGGGCTGGGATGACAACAGAGAAAGTAGAATCAGTTATCAGGCAGTTGTCTATCTCCAGATGCTGCAGGGTCCCTGAGACCGTCTCCAGCAGAGCCTGGAATGGCTCAGAAACTTCCCAGGATATCTGATTGTTACTCAGACTCAACAGTCTTAGGTGGGTAACCTCAGAGCTCTGGGATAGGACAGTGATGTCTCTCTGGTAGAAAGTCCACAGAAAGACACATACAGTGTGTACAAATGAGATGGCAGGGCTCTGTAGAGAGAAAAAAGGAAGGCATTTCTGAAGAATGAGGGTTGGATTAGAGCAAGCAGCCCTGAATTATAGATACTTATGACTCTAGAATAAAGTAATCTGTATATCCATTGCAACAGCAGTTAACACTGTGGACTTTACAGTCAGACTTAATAGATTTGTGACCCTAAGAAAGTTACTTTTCCACGCTGAGATACAGTTTTTTAATCTTTCAAATGTGCACAATAGCAATTATTATAGAGGGTTGTGGGACAGATTAAGGGAAAAAGAATTTAACTTAGTGCCTACAGTATAATTAGCAGTGTATCTAGTTCAGTTATTTGATGGGGATGGGTCTGGGAAAGCAGCCGACTGAGAATTCCCTTTGACGAATTTCCAAATGACAGGTTCTCCATTCAGGTCCTAAGCCTCGGGAAAACTACAGGAACAAAACGATCTGGCGGTATTACCTATTGTGACCAGCCCATGGGGATGTGCATCAGTGCTACAGCGTCAGTTATTTCTCCGACTGAATGCCTCCCCTTCCTCTCTAGAAGGCTACACACTCCAATAAAAGCAGGACTGTTGTCTTTTTCGCCAATATGTCGACAGACTTATCTTAGTGTCTGCACGTCTGCACATGGTTGATTGACTGACTGACTGACTGACTGACTGGGCACAGCTGACTTTTCTAATCCTGTCTTTCTCCTCAGCATGAGGGACCACACTCTCTAGCTTGGCCAGTTTAAAACACCCAGCAGTGCCCGTGCTGATGTGGAAGGAGAAATAGGTTACAAAGTGTTTAAGAATATCTAAGAATAGTCGCACTCTTTTGTTCGTAATGGGGCATTCAGGGAACCCAGGTCCCTCCCCAACCTCTCACCCGGAAATTTTGTCCAGCTGATCTGTGAGGCAGAAGCAAGACAAGCTGAGTTCCTGGAGGTTGTTCATCTGCTCATGATGAGTGAAAAAAGTTGAGAAGTTTCTCCCCTTACAGGATTTTAAAAGGATTTTAGATAGACTAAGTCTGTCCTGGTGGATCTTCTGTGCCAAAAGGGTGCTGACTTCACTCAAACAAGCCTGACCTACTTCCAGGTGATCAGTGCATCCCAGATCCAGAAACTACAGGACGCTTTTGTGGGCAGACACTTGATGAATTTGCAAATCTCTGCAGCAGAGATGCAAAGACCCAAGGCTCTGCTCAACTTTACTCGAAAGGAAAGAAAAGAGTTGCCTTGTTCTCAAGGTACCATCAAGGGAAATGTCCACTAACAATCCCATGCGTTCCCTGGATGGGCCGAGACTCAGACTCTAAATGTACAATTTCCAGGCACCTAACACTTCGCTTGGCTTCTTCTATTTTCAGGATAGAGTGCTGAGAGTAAACGCAAGACTGAAAACAAAATGGGAATGTGCTCCTGATCTCAGAGCATGTGGTTCTGCTGTCTGGGTCCTGCTTTAAATCCAGGACCCTCCGTTTTGGCCGTCTGCAGGAAGAGGAAGAGACAGAATATGAAAGGTGGCTGATTTTAATATAACCCAGCAACATCAATGAGGGGAAGGAGGGGCAAACCCTTTATCTTTGCTCTTCACTCTGTAAACAATCTACCAACAAATATTTTTTTGTACAAACTCAACATCTTTTATTGTTTTTCCCATCCTTCCTTCTCCTCCGATCCTCCCCAGTCTGGTGTCCATGTTGTTCTTCTATGTAATCATACCCAGTAGGTGAATCCATCAATAGTACTCTCAATCACCTCTATTCCATAATCACCTCTGTAAGACATTAGAGTCCTTAAGGTGACCCCAAGTGTTGGACCAACAACCTCACAGAGATCCTCAGCATTCACCGTCAACCACCTTTGGGAGACTGTTAGGCCACCCCCTGCCTCAGGCTGCAGCATACCCTCCTGATGACTCACTATGTCTCTAGTGTACATAGGGTTACCGAGGGGAAGAGCTCTGGGCAGGGAGGATCTGCAGGACCATCAATCGTGGCTCCCAAGATTTCATAGTGTGACTCCCTTACACTCAACGGTCCAACATGGAGACAACGGGAGGGCCAAATCCTCACCATGGCCTTTAGTTTCATCTTCTGCCCACCCAAGAAGGCAGTGATGAACAATGGAACAAAGAGGTCTCATGGGAGCTCCTCAAGAGCATGGATAGCTGCAGGCTCATCACTCAGCAGACTCCATGCAGCGAGCTCTAGCAGTGTGGCTGGCACCTTTTGGTCCATTGACATGAACCTGCTTTAGGGTGAGGAACATTAACAAATCCTGAGAAGATTTTCACAGTCTCTTGCCTGCCACCAAAGATAGCAATAAATGAAATATGTATTGAACAAATATATGGTAAATCAAACGACCACTTCAAGAGACCTCTACTATAGACATGGAATACAAATAGACTTGTATGTGTGTATAAATGTCTGTGTTGGTGTGTGTGTGTGTGTGTGTGTGTGTGTGTGTGTGTGTGTGGTGTCTGTCTGTCTGTGTGTGTATACACACACATATGTATTTAGATAAGATAAAATGCCATTTGAAATCAGCTGTAAGTCAGCATAAGGCAATGTCGACCACCCAGGCACCTGCCTCCCAATGTTTCATGTCAAAAGGATATAAACCAATCAGAAAGGAAGATGTAAATCTATACAGAAGCCACATCCTCATCGTTACTTAGAAACAGATAATGCCAAATCTTTAGTAGTGAGTAAAAGGAGAAAAGGCATGAAATCCCAGCACAAGATCTGTCATGCTCTCATCACTAGTCTTTGTGGCAAGCAAAGACAGACCAAGAAAAGCTGCAAGAGACACAGAGAAAGGAAGAGGCAAGGGACTTAAAGTTGGTCCGAAACTACAGTTAAAATGACTGAGCCCAGACTAAGTCTAAAAAAATACCAAAAAGGTGTCCCAGATAATAAGAGCAGGGACTACAGGGAAGGACCTCTAAAATACGTGTAATTTAAAGGGGTAGAGATGATCTTAGAATGTAGTCTTTGGGTTGGGTGCAGTGGCTCATGCCTGTAATCCCATCACTTTGGGAGGCCCGAGGCAGGAGGACCACTGAGCCCAGGAGTTTCAGACCAGCCTAGGCAATATAGTGAGACCTCGTCTCTACGAAAACTTAAAACAGTGGCCAAGTGTGGTGGTGTGCGCCTGTGGTCCCAGCTACTCGGGAGGCTGAGGTGGGAGGATCGCTGGAGCCCAGGAGGCAGAAGTTGCAGTGAGCCGAGATCACACCCCTGCACTCCAGCCTGGGAGACAGAGCGAGACTCTATCTCAAATTAAAATAAAATAAAATAAAAGTAGCCTTTGAAATCCACAGCTTCTGGGTAAGAGTAAGGGCAAACAGAAAGGGAGAAGCATGCTTTGCCACTTTGGTAATGATGGGGAAAAGAAACAAAAGGGGAAAATGAAGAATCTTGCAAGACATAAGAGAACCACAGAATCAGAGCACTCATAACTTCTTTGTCCGCTACCAAAACAAGCAAACGAAATCAGTAAATTTCAGGCCTGAATTTTTCTACACTGACAGAAAATAGCACCTGTAAAATAGGAATCTGGTAAAACAATCCAATATCATAAAAATGAACAAAAGGAAGGATAATTCCTTACAAAAACATTCCAGAAAGAGAAAAAGAGCAGAAGACAAAATTTCACACATATTAAACAACCATGAAACAGAAGGAAACTGTACGTCAACCCTGCAAACAGAATTAATTCCATTCAAACAAGCATTTGAGGATATAAAACCTGCCTTGAATTAGAATATTACTTAAAACTCTAAACTCAGAAATGGGCTGAGAAAAACGTCTGAAGTACTGATTTGATATCCAGCTCAGCCGATCCTTCACTAATATCACAGCTTATAGAAAAACAGACAGGAACTTAGGAAATTATGTACCCATCAGCCCTTCCTGAGGACTCCACTAGAGCAAGGGTCTGCAAACTATGGCCCACTGGTTGGAATATTTACCATATGGCTCTTTACAGAAAACGTTTGCTAACTTATATTCTAAAGGGTAAACTGGGATTGTGATTCCACAGGTAACGACAGGAAAATCTTCCCTACAACATCTGATGGCAAGCATTTGGTATCTAATACTAAAATGAAGGTGAAGCAAGGAAAATGACTAACGTGCATTTATTTTATATTGTGGAAAAAAAGAAATAGTGCAAGTAAAATAAGAGAAGTGAGAGAGATAGAAAGAAAAAGAGAATAAACTTTTTTTTTTTCATAAGGCAGTAGATGAGTGTTAAAAGGAGACTGGGGGTTAAAAACAAACTAGTGGACCAGATAGTAAAATGTTCAATAAGAAAGCAGGTGCTAAAAGTAATTTTTTTAATGACAAAGTTTACATGCTAACATTAAAATTGAAAATTCACAGTGAATATATAATACTTAGGAATACTTATGCACCAAATAACATAGGAACCACCTTTGTAATGCCAAAAGGTATGGAGACATTGAAGCACAGTAATAATAGGAGATTTAATACATGGCAAGTCTCAGTACAAGGCAAATCCAGTGGTACAATAAAGAGACCTATACCGAAAATGTAAACAACACAATAAGATACATTGTGTGTGTGTATACACACATAGGCATACATACACACACATAAATCTACACCTTGGAGATAAAGAATATACCACCTTGTCAAAAGCTGATGGCACGTTAACAAAACGTGATCATAATTACCTCACAGTGAAGGCCTCGCTAATTTCCATAAAGTAGAAATATTACAACCAACCCTCTGCAATCACGATGCAACAAAAGTAGAACTTACTAACACAAACTGAAAGCACAAAGGCTCTTCTACCTGGAAAAAATGTTCAGTCTTCTATTAAGCAAATGTCGAGATAAAGACGAGATACCAACTGAAGTTACAGAAATATTTAAGAAGAGTGATTATAAGAGCTTACATATGAGACTCTGTAGAAGATAGTTAAAGCAGTGATTGGAAGCAGATTCAGAGCGCTAAATACTCTCATCAATGAAAATGAACGAATAAAATTAGACAAATTAAAGCACTGCCTCAAAAATCTAATAAAAGAACAACCCGGGAAACCAAAAGAAACACAAATAAAGAAATAACATAAAAGCAGAAATTGCCGGGCTTGGTGGCTCACACCTGTAATCCAACCACTTTGAGAGGCTGAGGCGGGAGGATCACTTGAGGCCAGGCGTTTGAGACCAGCCTGGGCAACATAAGGAGACCCTGCCTCTACAGTAATAATAATAATAATAATGATTCTTTAGCAGGGCGTGATGGAACATGCCTGTAGTCCTACTTACTGAGGAGGCGGAGGTGGGAAGATTGCTTGAGCCCAGGAGCTCAAGGCTGCAGTGAGCTGTGATCACAACGCTGCACTCCAGACTGAGTGATCCAGGGAGATTCGGTCATTAAAATGAATGAATGAATGAATGAATGAATGAATACATAAGCAGATGTTAATAAGATACATAGTAGAAAAACAATGTGTGTATATTTATTAAATCAAAATCCTGGTTTTTTTTTTAATGGACAAACTCACTAGGCAGATTAATGAAGGAAGAAAGGGAGAGAGCACAAATATACAAAATAATAAACGACAAATGATAATCATTTAAACAGAAAAAATTAGGTTGCTTTTCAAACCTGTGTATAAAGAAATTAAAAATACACATGAAATAAATAATTTCCTAGGAAAATACAGATTATCAAGATTTTTACTCTAATGCTGGAAGGCTTAACTTGGCCAATTTTTACAGAAAAAAATGGAAAAAGTTATTAAGGAATAACTCCCAAGAAGCACCTGGCTCAGATGCTATTACAGGTCAATTCTACTAAACCTTCAAAGATCAGATAGTACCAGAGTGCCAATGCTCTATAAATTATTCAACAGCATTATAAAGGAAATTTTCATAACTTCCTTTATGAAGCAAGTGTGACATGGATAGATAAGTGTAGATGCAAAAATGCTAGATAAAATATTAGCAAACAACATATTTAAAAAATCATAATATACTTTGGCAAAGTGGGATTTATCCCATCAATACAGATTGGCTCAATATTAGAAAGTACCTTGATATCATCCACCATATTAATATACTTAAAGACAAATATCATATGGTTATCACCACAGATGTTGAAAAAGCCTTTGGAAAAATTCAACACCTCTTTATGTTAAAAAATAGAAAAGCCTTAAGAAAATAGGCACCACAGGATGCTTTCTTAACATGATAAAACATATATACCTAAGTCCTAATGCTAGTAACTTATTTAATGGGGTGGGGGGGCACTCGAAGCTTTCCCTTGGGATCAGGAACAAGGAAAGCATGCCTACTACCTCACACCTATTCAATCTTGCATTACAAGTATTAGTCAACTGAGCAGAGAAATAGATCATTTTCCTAGGAATGAATAAGAAGAACTAAAAAGCACAGCAAAGGGAACAATCAACAAAATGAAATGGCAACTTACACATTGAGAGCAAATACTTGCAAAACATATATATGAATAAGGGGTTAGCATCCAAATTTTGTAAGGAAATCATACAACTCCATAGCAGAAAAACAATCAAATTTAAACAACGGGCAAAGGACCTGAATAGACATTTCTCCAAAGAAGACATACACACTGACTAACAGGTGTATGAAAAAGTGCTCAACATCATTAATCATCAGGAAAATGCAGATAAAAGCTACTATGAGGCAACACCATACAACCATTAGGATAGCTATTATCAAAAAGCCAAGAGATGGCAAACATTGCCGAGTGTGTGGAGAAAAGGGAACCCTTGTACACTGTTGATGGGAATGTAGATAGGGACAATCATTATGGAAAACAGTATGGAGGTACCTAAAGAAATAGATTTTTTTTTCTGTTTTAGTAAATAAAATGGTAGTTCTACATTTTTCTATTTTAGAAAAAAATATGGTAGTGAAAAAGAGAACTATCATATGACCCAGCAACTGCTTTTCTGGGTATCTACTTAAAGGAAATAAAATAACCACCTTTTGAAAGTAGCTGATCTTTGAAAAGTATCTGAACTCCCATGTTCACTGCAGCATTAATCACAATAGCCAAGATATGGAAACAACCTAGGTGTCCATCAAGGGACAGATGGATACAGAAAATGTGTTGTATGTATACACTTTAAAAAGGAGATCTTGCCATTTGCCAAAACATGGATGAATCTGGAGGACATTATGCTATAACAATGAAATAATAGTGAAATAATCCAGATACAGAAAGAGAAATATTGCATGATCTCACTTATATGTGGAATCTTAAAAAAATAAAAGTAAAACAAAACTCAAATATACAGAGATACAGAATAAAGCAGTGGTTATCAGGGTCGGGGTGGGGAGGAGGGGATGGGAGGAGGAAAGCGGGAGATGTAGGTCAGAGGATGCAAAGTAGCAGATATGTAGGATGAAAGAGACTAGAGATCTAGTGCACAACATGCTGGAATACAGTTTGTACAATTGTACTATTAAGTATGATGCGGGATTTCTGCTAAATGAATAGATTTTAGCGCCTACTGCTACCAAAACCAAAAATGGGTCACTATGTGACATAATGGGTTATGTTAATTTGTTCCACTATAGTAACTATTTTACTATCCATACGTGTCCCATAACACCGTGTTGTATACCTTAGATATACACAATAAAACTTACTTTTTACAAAGAGAAGTAAAGCCATCTCTACATGCAGATGATATTATAGTATACCTGAAAAACCCTATAGAAACGATGATAAATCAACTGAACCAGTAAAAGAAGTCATTAAGGTAGCAAAATATAAAATTAACATACAAAAAATCAGCAGTCTTTTAATACACACACAAAAAATAAGCAGCTGGAGGATACATTCACAGACAAAGCCCCATATACACTAGCAACAAGGATTAAAGTTTAGGAATAAACTTGATAACAACATTTATACAAGAAAAATTTTTAAATATGCCTGAATGACACCACAGAAGACTTGAACAAATGGAAACACATACGCTATCTGAGATGGTCTGAATGTTTGTGTACCCCCAAAATTACTATCTTGAAATTTTTTATTTTTATTTTTATTTTATTTTATTTTATTATTATTACACTTCAAGTTTTAGGGTACATGTGCACAATGTGCAGGTTAGGAAATTTTACCCGCAAGGTGATGCCATTAGGAGGTGGGGCCTTTTGAGAGGCGACTAGGTCATAAGGGTGGAGCCCTTATGAATGGGATTAGTTCTCTCATAAAAGAGGCTTCAGAGAGCTGCCTTGTCCCTTCCACCATGTTGAGGATACAATTAGAAAGTACCATCGATGAGGAAGAGGGTCCTCACCAGACACCAAATCAGCCAGAATCTTTATCTTGGACTTGTCAGTCTCCAGAGCTGCGAGAAATAAATTTCTGTTGTTTATAAACTACCTAGTCTATGGTATTTTGTAATAGCAGCCCAAACAGACTACGTCACTGTCCTAGATGGAATAATCCAGCATTAAAAAGATGTCGGTTCTTCCTAAATTGGTGTATAAATTTAATTCAGTCGCAAAAACGCCAGCACACATTTTTATGCATTTAGGCAAATTGATAATAAAGTTAATATATTTGTGAAAACATGCAAGCATAGCCAGGAAACACGTGAAAAAGAAAATCTATGAGAGGGGACTTATGATATCAGCCAGAAAAGCACACTATAAAGCCTCTGTAATTACGACATTGTGGCACTGGTGCAAGAATAGACTAATAGCCCAGTGGACTAGAATAGAAAACTCAGAAATACAACCAAATCATATGACAGTTAGTACATGATAAAGATGGCACATAAACTCTTTAGGGCAAAGATGGACATTTAATAAATGGTCCTGGAACAACTGAGACGTCTGGAAAAATAAAGGTAGATCCATATAACACAGCATGCACAAGAATAAACTGCAAATGGGTTAGGGATCTAAACATAACAAATGAAACCATGTAAGTTCTTGAAGAAAACATGGCAGTGGCCGGGGGAGGGGGGTGGCTCACGCCTATAATCCCAGCACTTTGGGAGGCTGAAGCGGGTGGATCGCCTGAGGTCCGGAGTTTGAGACCAGCCTGGCCAAAATGGTGAAACCCCGTCTCTACTAAAAATACGAAAATGAGCCAGGCGAGGTGGCGGGCGGCTGTAATCCCAGCTACTCGAGAGGCTGAGACAGGAGAATTGCTTGAACCTGGGAGGCAGAGGTTGCAGTGAGCCGAGATCGCGCCACTGCACTCCAGCCTGGACGACAAAGCGAGACTCCATGTCAACCAAAGAAAAGAAAGAAAAAACAAAACAAAACATGGCAGAACCCCACTGTAGGGAAAAGCTTTCTAACTAGGATTCAAATTCCGGAGGCAATGAAAGAAAAAAATAATCAATCCATTTGACCACATAAGGATAAACGAAAGTGATGCAAATGCATCATAAATAAATCAAAAGGCAACTGACAAATTGATGTAAAGTACTTGCAGCACATATCGCAGACAACTGGATAATATTCCAAATATATAGAGAGCTCTTAAATATTGAGGGATGAAGGACCACAACAGCAATAGAAATATGGGGGAAAGATATGAACAGATAATTCCAACAAAAAGTATAAAAACAGTCCTCAAATATATGGTTAAGTGTCAAAACTTGCTCATAGTTAGACAAAGGTATATTACAGAAACAGCGAGACACCATTTCTCGCCTAACCCGTAGAAAAAAGTTTCAAAAGTAAGGCAACATGTTCTGTTAGTGAGGCTGTGGGGAAATTGTCATTCTCATATATTGCTAATGGAAATGAAAACCAGTACAATCCTTCTGGAGAGAAACTTGGAAACACCTAAGAAAACTACATGTGCACTTAACTTTTGGCCCAATAATCCTACTAGTGGGAATATACCTTGAAGGTACATTTCTACCAATACAAAAAAAAAAAAAAAATCATGTCCAGGGTTATTCGCGGGAGTAATGTCTGTAACTGCAAAATCTTGGAAGGAATTTAAAAGCCCATACAGGCCAGGCACCATGGCTCATGCCTGTAATCTCAGCACTTTGGAGACCAAGGCGGGAGGATCACTGGAGGCCAGGAGATCCAGACCAGTCTGGGCAACATAGCGAGGCCCCATATCGACAAAAAATAAAATAAAAAATAAAAAGTCTTTAATTAGCCAGGCATGGTGGCACACACCTGTAGTCCTAGCCACTTGGGAGGCTGAGGCAGTTGTGAATTGCTTGAGCCCAGGAGTTTGAGGTTACCATGAGCTATGATTGTGCCACTGCACTTCAGTCAGCCTGGGTTATAGAGCGAGACCTGGTTTCTGTATTAAAAACAAAATGCCCAAACATAGGCGAGTGGTTGAATAAACTATGTGTGGCGCAGCCACACAATGGAGTACAATGCAGCTGTAAAAACGAACGATGAAGATCTCTGTGAAACAATATGGAGTGATTTCCAAGAATGCTGTTAAGTAGGAAAGGCAAAGTGCAAAGGAACATGTATAGTATGCTATCCTTCGTGTAAGAAAGGAATATGAGAAAACATGTATGTATCTGCTCATTTGGGCAAAATAAATACAGGAAAGGTTAAACCAGAAACCAAAGGGGCTGATTACCCTACAGGGAGGGCCAGGGAAAGAAGTGGAAAGAAATGGGGAATGGGAACAGGGTAGAAGGGATGACGAAGGAGTGACATTTCTCCGAGTATAGGTTTTTGTATAACCCTGACTCTTTGGATCATAGTAATGATGCACATACCCAAAATATAAATAAAAAATTAAAATCAACCGGGATATTGGGGTGAGGGTACCCCAAATCAAACAGAAACAGGTTCAACTAACAATATTACAAATGAGTGTCTTAACCACGCTGAAGGAGAGAGGAAGAAAAGATCTAAGATACATAACTTTGGAGAGCAGTATTTTGACTATATCCTCTAAGGCCAAAGACAAAAACAACTGTACAAAAATATAAGTTATTAACATGTTTGCAACAGGGGCATTTGTTAGCAATTCAGGCGCTACTTTATGTATCTACTGACCAGAAATAAACAGGTATGTAAACTATTTGATAATGAAAGCCAGGTCGGAGAACGAATCTACAAATAAGTCTAGAATGATTGGAATTGAAAGTATCAATACAAGCTCCTGGCTTTTAATAGCTATGCATACAGATAGATACCAAAATAAATGTGGATGTGTCTATAGGCATGGGTGTATACATACATTATTTCCTAACCCTCTCCATAGAGAGAGCCTTAGCAGCAATGAAACGCCATTAATAATGAACACACACCGAGATACTGGTTGGTAAATATCATTCCCCAAGAAAGGGAACCGGGGCTCCTCGTAGAAGTTGTTTTAATCCAGGGCTATAAGGGGTGTGTGTGTGTGAGGGGAGGGGGGCACACACATGCTGAATCTGAACATCTTATTGTGCCAGAAAAAGGTACCAAAAAAGGATAGGGTCATATCAAAAGACCACAGAACCAACCAAAATGACTTCCCAATGGCCAAGGCTAGAACAGTTCAAAGAACAAAATAATGATATAATTAGATTAAATTTTTATTTTATTTTATTGCAAGTTCCAGGATACATGCGCAGGATGTGCAGGTTCATTACATAGGTAAACCTGCGCCCTGGTGGTTTGCTGCACCCATCAACCCATCACCTAGGTATTAAGCCTGGCATGTATAAC
Organism: Homo sapiens; assembly: GCF_000001405.40. NCBI lineage: Eukaryota > Metazoa > Chordata > Mammalia > Primates > Hominidae > Homo > Homo sapiens. Next base: position 102,437,527 of record NC_000023.11, read on the forward strand.
ATAATTATTCAAGAGCCCATACTGAGATAAATAAATTGAAGAAATAAATGAATGAGGGAGTAAAGATAGCTCTTCCTTACAGAGGAATTCCAATTAATAAATGTAGCAGAAATTAGGAAAACAGAAAATCACCATTAGGTAATATTTGCTGTAGGCAAGATCCCTAGACAGATTTTAACAGTAGTGGGTCAAAGTCTGCGAAGAAACAGGAATATAAGAGGATCTATTGTGTTTCTTCTTAAAGAACTTTTCACACTATATTTATTACTAACAAAGAGGAAAATAGTAGCATTACACTGGGGCAGCATAACTCCCACCACTTTAACCAAGTGATCAAGGTGAGCACCACCAGTAATACAACTTATGGATGTCATGTACCCCTGACATGATCCACATAGAAGGGAACGAAATCACGTTTGCGGTAATGTCGCATAAGACCTAAAATTAGAGGTCCAATTATATGGATGCCTTGACATCTGGGGTAGAACAGGAGGACCCTGAATGGCCTCACCACAAGTTATCTTCCCTATTGGGTTCCCAGGGAGAAAGGCCCCCTGGCCAAAGTACCCTCCTTATTATCATGTTGAACAGACACAGTGCCTGCTTATCTCTGGGTAGCATGTTTCAGGTCCCCACCAGCCTGCAGAATTATTCAAACAAGCCAATCGTCCTACCCTGAACCAACGGTCACTTCATCCTCTGGTTACTACAAAGACTTCCCCCTGAAAGCCCCTGCTTGTTCACTCTCTTCCAGAGTGTGACACTGTGTGGCTCTACCTGGCGTGAGGTGCCCTCCTCTCTCCAGTTGTGAGTAAATGTTACTGATAAATTGCTGTGGATTCCGTCTGTCCAGTATAGGGTACCATGTGTTCAGCCGCCCCCATAACACTAGGGTGGGAATCCCTCCCTCGCCACTGGGAAAGGGAGGAGAATAAAACAGGTGTGCTTGCTACAAATGCACAACTTCAATCTAATCATAAGAAAACATGAGACAAACACAAATTGAGAGACATTCCACAAAATTACCTGACTGGTATCTCCAAAAGTGTCAGGGCTGTGGAAGACCAATAAAGATTGAGGAAATGTCAGCCTGGAGGAGACTAAGGAGAAATGAAGACCAAATGCAATGAAGCGTCCTGGATAAGATCCTAGAATAGAAAAAGGACATCAGTGAGATATCTGGTGAAATTCACATAAAATCTGTAGATTAGTTAATAGTACTACATCAATGCTAACTGTTGGTAATTAACATCGATGTAGTAATGTCAATTAGTGCATCAATGTAATGTAGTAGTTAGTTTTGGTAATTTTTCTATGGTTATATAAGATGTTAACATTAAGGAAATCCAGGCGAGGGCTCTCTGTATAATCATTTTTGTAACTTTTCTGTAAGTCTAAAATTATTTCAGAGTAAAGAATTTTAAAAGACAAAATCAGTGGCTAAAGGGCTGGCAACCTATAAACCACACTGCTTAACAATAACCAATTGAAACATAGTTAGAAGGATGCATACAAAGAGGGATACATGCTCATACCACATGATTCATTAAAAAGATTATAAGAGATGAAAGCCCAGTCATCTTCAACACACAGGTGAATATGTATTTACTCTTCAGATGAGGAAAGCATTTTTAAGCATAAAAGGAATGAAATACAATAGAAAGAAAAATATCTATACAATCCAATATTTACAATTTAAAGCCCGCCATATCAAAATTAACCATAAACAAAACTAAGATGCAAAAGAGAAATATAACTTTCTGAAGAAGAAGAGAAAACCTGCCTGAGAAATTGCAAAGAGAGAACATGAAGTGATTAGCCATACAATTGAACCTAATCACACGTGAAGATAAGGGATACATAGAGAGTGGACTGGAGAGTGGACCACTGAGCAATCCAGCCGGATTTGCCTTTCCTATGAATCCCTAAACCTTGACCCTAGGTAATGTAGGCCAAAAAAGGCCTAGTTTATATAAAATTTATAGAAGGGCCGGGCACGGACGCTCACGCCTGTAATCCCAGCACTTTGGAAGGCCGAGGCGGTGGATCCCCTGAGGTCGGGAGTTGGAGACCAGCCTAACCAATATGGAGAAACCCCCTCTCTACTAAAAATACAAAAATTAGCCTGGCATGATGGCGCATGCCTGTAATCCCAGGTACTTGGGAGTGAGGCAGGAGAATCGCTTGAACCCGGGAGGTGGGGGTTGTGGTGAGCCGAGATCGCGACATTACGCCCCAGCCTGGGCAACAAGAGCCAAACTCCGTCTCAAAAAAAAAAAAAAAAAAAAAAAGGCAAAAAAGAAAAGAAAGGAAATTTATGGAAAAGATATTGTTGTAATTTACCTAATTGGAAGAAGACTTGGAACCAACCTGGGAGCTACACTTCCCCTCAGAATCTTGCCACAAACAAGACGCAATCTTGTGGGTGGGGCCCAGCGTCTTAACGGTTCCTTCTCAAAGCAGTGGGGAGAGGACTTCAATTGGCTCAGCTTGGTCAGGTGACCTCCTTTGACCAATCATCTCCATACTGGGAGGCGGAGCCAGATTCCTGCCCCTCCCCCTCCTGGGGCTCGGGGGACGGGGGGCAGGGAAGGAGAAGGGGTTTCGAGAAACCAAGGGTGGGAGAGCGGGAGGGGCAGGAAGGATTGTGGGACAGGCGGGTGGGAGTGTGTGAGGTGGAAAGGGAGGGGTGTTCTGATTATAAGCCTGCCCCACCCGCTGATTTCGTCTTAGGTGAAAAGTGAGGCACAATGCCATTGTGTATGGCCTGGGCACTGGCCAGCCAGGGTTTCTTTGCTTTCTTTCTTTCTTTTTTTTTCTTTTCTTTTCTTTTCTTTTTTTTTTTTTTTTTTTTTTTTTTTTTGAGACGGCGTCTCGCTCTGTTGCCCAGGCTGGAGTGCACTGGCGGGATCCCATCTCATGCAACCTCTGCCTCCCGGGTTCAAGCAATTCTCCTACCTCAGCCTCCCGAGTAGCTGGCATTACAGGCACCTGCCACCACGCCCGGCTGGTTTTTCTATTTTCAGTGGAGACGGGGTTTTACCATGTTAGCCAGGATGGTCTCCCTCTCTTGACCTCGTAATCCGCCCGACTCGGCCTCACAAAGTGCTGGGATTACAGGCGTGAGCCACCGCGCCTGGCCCCAGCGAGGGTTTCTACCAGGCCACGTCTCAACACAGACAGTTAAAAGCTCAAATTTAGTGGACGTGTAGCAGGGGATGCTTACTTAAAAAACGCATGGCCACTTGATGGCAAAAGGCTGTCAGATATTAGTGTCTCTGGTTCTCTGATATATTAAAGAAGGAACTGAGTCCTGACCAAAGATAGGAAAAATGTGTTGTCCTCTGCAGTGAAGCCAACAGAGCATTTACACTGATGCCTGGCAAAGGCGGCACAAAGGAGAAGACTTCCACCCATCTAATAATACTATCAATTGCAAAGCAGCCAATATTTGTTTGAATGTCCAACCCTCAGCCCACACTCCTGATTCCACTTCTTCCCTATTTGATTTTTCCCCCCCGCAGTCATCTTCTGGAATGCAATATATTTTAATCATATGCTGTTTTTGTTTTTTATTGTCTGTCTCCCATGGTGGAAAAATAAAAATTCCAGAAGGGCAAATATCTTTGTCTATTGCTCATTAATGTACCCTAAGTGCCTATAACAATGCCTGCTTCAGTGGATACTTTGAATGAATAAATGGATTTTTCTCCAGCCACACTAGCCTCCTTTTTGTTGCTCTAACACTAGCTCAGCAAGCATACTCCCATACCGTTGAGTGTTTTTCTGTAACAGCCTGGCTTTAGATATCCCTATAGCTACCTTCCTTACTTAGTGTACATCTCTGATCACCTTATCAGACATGTGGTACTTTTCTTCATGACAGTTAGCATGTCACTGTGTTGTTTTTGTTTTCTTTTGTTGTTTTCTTTTACTCTAATTACAGGTAAAGAAGCAGATCAGCTATGTCTGTTTTAATTTTTGCAGTACAGTGTCATCTTTCAGTAGATGGGGTAATGGGCATCAGGTATCTTAGGATTGAATCCGTGGCATTACCACTTTGTAGCTAAATAACCTTGGCCAGGTAAACTCTTCCAAGCTTTTATTATCCATCTTTAAACTGGGAATAGTAAAAAATTTAACCTCATAAGGCTGTGATGACATTTCATTAAGATAGTCCATATTCAGTCATGCACCACATAATGACTTTTTGTTCAATGATAGACCACATATATGATGGTGGTCCCATCATATCATAAGGTGATAAGTGCAGATTCCTGTTCTGATACCATCCTAGCAAACTAGATTGCTGGTTCACCTTGCCTCTTCACAGATGGCTGGGGGTGGGAGCTGAACTTCTACCCTAGCCCCCCTGAGAACATTTCCAATAAAAAAGGGGGCACCAATTCACCACACTTTGTTACCTCAGAGGTGGGGTCGGGGAGTATAGGCACAGTTCTTTGCTAGGCTTTAGGGAAAGGGGAACTGGATGGCTGACTCAAAGTTTTGTTGCTGCAGTGTGGTGGGGCAGAAGCCTAGGTCCCCACTGGTCTCTGAGAACATCAGGGGAAGGAGGGGGAAAGGAGACTGCCAACAAACCCTGCCTCCCACCACCTGATTCCATCTTGATGATGGGTGGATGAGGAGGCACAGCTCTCCATAGGGCCTAGCTTGCACAGAATGCCTGAGCGGGAAAGCAGAGTGTCGATTAGCCCCGCCTCACACCACTTCATTGAGTTTGGATGAGTGTAAAGGTTCAACTTTCCACTGGGCATCACTGACACCAGAGATGGGGATAAATGGAATGCTTACTAGTCCCAACTTGGACTGCCTTGTTCAGTGTTATTGATGTCAGGTGAAGGTGAAGGCTCATCTTGCTGCTGGACACCACTGACACTACCCTGACAGGTGAATTGGATCATCACCATCTGCCTCAGAGAGGCAGGATAGAAGACAAGTTTCCTTCTTGTTCCCTGAAACCTTGGGGGGTGGGGGAGATAAGGTTTTTCCATTGTTGTTTGTCTAGTGTAGGGGAGGGGAATTTGTCACAAAGGTTTTTCAGTTTTTAGATCACGTTTTTTATGGTCTTTTGGCAGAGGAAATAGGCTTTTCTTGGAGCTTTGTGTCTGCCATTGTTGGTGGTTCTGGACTGGGGGCTTCTGCGGTGCCCTGTCTGGGATATTGGGTGGAAATAGAAAAACCAAGGGAATGCGCTGCCTGTGTTCTTGCTCGAGTCCTGAGAGCACGAGTCGGTCTGCTTTCCCCTTTCCACGTTTCAGAGCTTTCTTTGCTGGTTTGCTGTTATATTCAGGGTGTTCTGATGTAGAGGGACCATCTGGGAGGAAAGGGCAAACTCCAGCTTGGCCAGAACTGGAGGTCTCTAGGATGTTTATTTTTGAGAATTTTATTTTGACATCTCTTGTGGGCCTACCAAGATCTGACCATCTCGTGATCATCTACTGGTTGCAGAGCAAGCAGTTCCTCGATTAGTAGGTGTAATCATAAACTTGCCTTTGTGATCTTTTTCTTCTTCCTGAACTTCCTGATTTCTGAACTCCTATGACTCATGATGCATTCTCAATAAAATCTGCCATATTAAATTCATTTTCCAAGCTTTCGTGTTTCCAAGTATGCCTATTTAACTCTCTGAGACATATTTATTTATTTTTTAATATTTGTTTCTCTCAGCAGTGACCAAACACTAGTTGCAAACTGGTAAGTTTTCCTTACACAAGACTTTTTTACAAGTCAGAGTCTGAAAGGTCTGGCCTGACTTGCCGATGGAATCTATATGAATGAAAAGGCCATCTCTATGGAAGATACTGGTAAACTTTTTTGTCAGCTTAGAGCCTGTTGCCCTGGCTTTGCTCACAAGGTTTGACACTGAAAGACTGTGAAACCTTCTGAATGTGAAATAGTGTATTGGAAATGTTTCTTGTTTAATTAATTCCATAGGTTGGGGGTCATGACATTCTAAAGTAAATAAGAAAGGAGACTATTTTCTGAAGAATAGAAAAGGCGCATATTAAAATCATTACACTGACCAAGTATCCACTCTCAGGCATCTTCTTACAGTGACTTCTTAATACAGGCCAATATCTCTGATGAATATCGATGCAAAAATCCTCCACTAAATACTAGCAAACCCAACTCAACAATACATCAGAAAGATCGTTCATCATGACCAAGTGGGATTTATCCCTGGGATGCGAGGATGGTTCAACATATGCAACTCAATCAATGTGACACATCACATCAACAGAATGAAAGATAAAAACCATATGATTATTTCAACTGATGCTGAAAAAGCATTTGATAAAAATCCAACATTCCTTCCTGATAAAATTCCTCAACAAACTGGGTATGGAAGGAACATACCTCAACATAATAAAAGTCATATACAACAGACTGACAGCTAGTATCATACTGAATGGGGAAAAAGTGAAAGCCTTTCCTCTAAGATCTGGAACATGACAAGGATGCCCACATTCACCACTGTTATTCAACATAGTACGGGAAGTCTTTGCTCAAGCAATCAGGTAAGAGAAAGAAGTAAAGAGCATCCACACTGGAAAGGAAGAAGCCGAATTACCTTTGTTTGCTGATGATACGATCTTATATTTAGAAAAACCTTAAGACTCCACCAGAAAACTATTAGAACTGATCAACCAATTTAGTAAAGTTGCAGGATACAAAATCAACCTACAAAAATCACTAGCATTTATATATGCCAATAGTGAACACCCTGAAAAAGAAATCAAAATTAATCTCACTTACAGTAGACACAAATAAAATTAAATACCTCGGAATTAACCAAAGAAGTGAAAGATCTCCACAATGAAAACTGGAAGACATTCATGAAATAAATCGAAGAGGACACAATAATGGAAAGTTATTCCATGTTCATGCGTTGGAAGAATCAATATTGTTTAAATGTCCATCATACCCAAAGCAATCCACAGATTTGATGCAATCCCTACAAAAACACCAGTGACATTCTTTACAGAAATAGGAAAAGCAATCCTAAAATGCATATAGTACCACAAAAGGCCCAGAATAGCCAAAGCTATCCTGAGCAAAAACGAACAACACTGGAGGAATCACATTACCTGACTTCAAATTATACTACAGAGCTATAGTAACCAAATCAGCAAGGTACTGACATTAAAACAGACCCATAGACCAATGGGACAGAATAGGCAACCCAGGAACAAATCCACACACCTACAGTGAACTCATTTTTGACAAAGGTGCCAAGAACATACACTGGAAAAAGGACAGTCTCTTCAATAAATGGCGCTGGTGCTGGGAAAACTGGGTATCCCTATGGAGAAGAATGAAACTTGACCCTTATCTCTCATCTTATATAAAAATCAAATCAGAATGGATTAAAGACGTAAATCTGAGATGTCAGCCTATGAAACTTCTACAAGAAAACACCGGGGAAACGCTCCAGGATACTGTTCTGGGCAAAAATTTCTCGAGTAATACCCGAGAAGCACTGGCATCCAAAGCAAAAATGGACAAATGGGATCATGCATGACTAGTTAAAAAGCTTCTGCACAGCAAAGGAAACAACCACTAAAGTGAAGACACAACCCACAAAATGGGAAAAAATATTTGCAAGCTACCCATCTGAGAAGGGATTAATAACCAGTAAAATATACAAGGAGCTCAAACAACTCTATTGGAGAAAATCTAATAATCCGGTTAGAGAATGGGCAAAAGATTTGAATACACATTTCTCAAAAGAAGACGTACAAATGGCAAACAGGCAGATGAAGAGGTGCTCAATATCACTGATCTTTAGAGCCACAATGAGATATCTTCTCACCCCAGTTAAAATGGCTTATATCCAAAAGACAGGCAATAACAAATGCTGATGAGGGTGTGGAGAAAAGGGAACCCTCGTACACTGTTGGTGGGAATGAAATTAGTACAACGATTATGGAGAACACTCTGCAGGTTCCTCAGAAAACTAAAATTTGAGCTACCACATGATCCACCAATCCAACTGCCAAGTATATACCCAAAAGAAAGGAAATCAGCATATGGAAGAGATATCTGCACTCCTGTTTGTTGCAGCACTGTTTACAATAGCAACATGTGGAAGCAACCTAAGTGTCCATCAACAGATGAGTGGATAAAGAAAATGTGCTACATATACCCAATGGAGTACTATTCAGTCGTAAAAAGAATGAGATCCAGTCATCTGCAACAACGTGGATAGAATTGGAGATCTTTATGTTGAGTGAAATAAGCCAGGCACAGATAGACAAACATCGCATGTTCTCACTGATTTGTAGGACCTGAGAATCAAAACGATTGATCTCGTGGACATAGAGAGTAGAAGGATGGTTACCAGAGGCTGGGAAGGGTAGTGTGGAGGCAGGGGGTAGGTGGGGATGGTTAATGGATGCAAAAAAATACAGAAAGAATGAATAAGGTGGGATATCACAGCATGTTGCCTAAAGTCAGTAATAGTTGAATTGTACATTTTAAAGTACCTAAGAGGATACAGATTGTTTGTAACACACATGACAAATGCTTGAGGGGATGTGATGTGATTAGTACACACCGCATGCCTGTTCCAACATATCTCATATACCCCATAAATATATACACCTACTATGTACCCACAAAAATGGAAAAATGAAAAAAATTAAAAGAACTTCAGGGTAATGAACTAGGATATCTGGCAGTAAAAATAACTAAACAGCAAAACATTCAAGGTACTGCGTGACTTTGTTCGGCCACTTAGACAAAAATGAGAGAAGAGAGAAATGCTTTAAAGATGGAATTTGTCAATTAAAAGATAGGAAGAAGGTAAATATGTTGAAAAATTTCACCCTAGCCATGTAAAGAATGAAAAAGCGTGTTTAGGAGTGCAAACTACAGACATGGCCAAGTGACCACTTTGCTAATGAGATTACCATGGCTAGAAGGGAAACAGGTGCTATTCAGTAAGACAAAGACCACTGGAGAAAGGCCCTGACGGCATTTCAGAGTTTTCCAGGCTGCTCCTCCAGTCACATGCCCAGTGCACAATGCGAAGGCAAAGTTTCCAGAGAGACGCCCACGGGACCTCAACATCTGCTGCCCCGTGATGCTTTTAAGTGTCTGCTGCCGGCACCTTCGTGCAGCACTCCTCGGCTGTCCCAGCCATAGTTCAAGGGGGGCCGGGTGCTGAACAGGCTGCCGGTCTGGAAGGCTCAAGCGGTGGACCTTGGCGGCATCCAAATGGTGCTGATTCTGCAGGTGCACAGCATTCACGAGCTATGGGTCTGTGACGGCCTCCACCTAGATTTCGCAGAATGTTGCAGACAGCCTGAGGACCCATGTAGAGACCTGCCACAGGGGCAGAGCTGCCAGAGAGAGTCCCCATCAGGCCAGTACCTGATGGGGCTGTGGGAACAAGTCAGTTGCAGAGAGTCCCAATTCGGGTAATGTCTAGTAGAGGTGTGGGAGCTGGACTGCTACTAAGATTCCAGAATTTCAGAGCTACTGGCATTTAATGATACCCTGGGAGAGCTGGAGGAACAAGACTCCAACCTGTGAGAGCTGCTGGGTGGACTGAGCCTAGCAAAGCCATAGAGGCATGGCTGCCTGAGAATCTGGGGGCCCAATCCCTGCCTCAGAAGGCAGAACTTGAACATTATTCTCAAGCCTCAAAATTTAATGTTGTTTGCTCTGATGGGTTTTGGACTTTCTTAGGATCAGTTATGCCTTTTCTGTTGCCTGTCTCTCCCTCTTGGAATGAGAATGTCTATCCTACGCCTGTCCCGCCACTGTATTTTGGGAATAGACAACTTGTTTTGATTTCACAGACTCAGAGCTAGAGGAAATTTTCCTCAGTCTGGATCCTGCCTTGAGTCTCACCCATCTCTAATTTAGATGAGACTCTGGACTTTGGGTGCTGGAGTGAGTTAAGACTTTGGGGCTACTGGGATGGAATTAATGTATTTTGCATGTGAGAAGGACATAAATTTGGGGGGCCAGGGGCAGGATGCAATGGTTGGTTTGAATGTGTCCCCAAAAAAGCATGTGTTGGAAACTTAATCCCCAGTGCAACCCTCCCTCCTAATGGGAGGTGTTTAGGTCATATGAGGGTTGCACCTTGAGGAATGGATTAATACCAATTATAAAAGGGCTTGAGTCTATGAGTTTGATCTCTTGCTTTCTCTCTCTTGTGCACTCTAGCCCTCCCACCTTCTGCCATTGGATGACACAGCAAGAAGGCTCTCATCAGATGCAAGCCCCCCCACCTTGCACTTCCCAGCCTCCAGAACTGTAAGATACAAATTGCTGTTCTTTATAAACCACCCAGTGATACAGTTTGGCTCTGTGTCCCCACCCAAGTCTCATGTTGAATTGTAATCCTCACGTGTGGAGGGAGGGACCTGGTGGGAGGTGACTGGATCATGGGGGCGGTTTTCCCCGTGCTGTTCTCACGATAGTGATGGAGTTCCCGCGAGAGCTGATGGTTTTAAAGTGTGGCGCTTCCTCGCTCTCTCTCTCGCCTGCCATCATGAAAGACAAGCCTTGCTTCCCCTTCGCCTTCTCCCATGATTGTAAGTTTCCTGAGCCCTCCCCAGCCATGTGGAACTGTGAGTCAATTGAACCTTTTCTGTTTATAAATTACCGAGTCTCAGGCAGTATTTTTACAGCAGTGTGAGAACAGACTAACACACCCAGTGTTGAGTGTTCTCTTATAACAGCACAAAATGGACTAAGACAGGTATCTCAGGGTTCACTTTGCCCTCATCCTCAGGACAATGGAAAACACTCAGCCTGGGCCCTTGCCACCTACCAGCTCTAACTGAAAGTGAGTCTGCTGGGTGTCCTGGGGGTTGGAGTGGGAGAGGGGGCCCAGAACCCTTCATGCCCTGTGAGATCCTGAGGCCAAGGATTGGCACTGACCAATTCACCCATGGTGTGGCATGTGGGTAGTGACCTGTCACCACTGTCTTCACATGGTGTTTGTGAGGAGAATCTGTGAGATCTGGAGCTGGGGTTCAGAGAAAATTGAGGGGATCTGTCAAACGAGGCAAGAGTAGGCCTCAGACCATTTTGTCAGGCTCACGTGAGCAAGGTGGAGTTTTCAAAATAAGTCCTTTCCCGAAGGGCATAGTGAGGAGAGCCCTGGGAGCCAGAAGAGACTCTACTTCCTGTTCTTAGTGCCCCCTGAGTTTGCCACCAACACCCAGGGAGCTGTTTCCAATTGAGTCACCCCTGCAGAGCAAGCTAACTATAGTCGGGAGACCCGGAACCCAGGTACTCGTAGCTACGGACATGGGGGAACTCTGAGGGCCTGCTGCATGCCATGCTCTGTGCTTGCTGCATTACATTACATTTTCTTCCTCCATGTGTTCCTCATAACGGGATTCTGGTAGGCAGAATTACCAGCTTCTTGGCCTGTCTTAGGTTGCTGAGACTTAATGAGTTGTAGAAGCTTGTCAGGGTTCATTCAGATGCTACATGAAATTGCCAGCATTAGAACTGAGCTCTACTGGATGGGCATGATTTCACCACACATAGTTTTAATAAACTCTTGCGCATCACATATTCTTAAGGAAGGACAAAGTTATCAAAAATATCTGAAAATAACTGAATGACAGAAAAAAAAAGTGCAGTCCATCTCAGAGAGGGCATATTAGAGACAGACATGGAAAGTATAAAGGAAATAGGAAAGATAATTTAGTGGCCACTGGAATGGGAGTAGAAAAAAAGAATCACACCTTTTCCTTTTAAAGTATTGAATGTACAAAGATGCTATTTGTTTGTCAGAGTCAGACTTATAACCCCAAAAGTCTCAGGACAGATCAGCTTGCAAGGGGAAGGGAGTGATAAAAGGGACTGATATGCAGTGCATCAACCAGAAATTTCTATAATTGTCCATCCCTTAACAGCAATCCCTTATTGTGTCTCTATGCCCTGAGAGAGGACATCCAACCCCTGAGAGAGCAGAAGATAAGTCTGCACATTGAGAGTTTGAACATTCTAAATGATGGAACTGTAATATACAAATCACACACCTACACAGATAGGGGTAACTCTCAAGTCAAGAGTTATTATAATCTTTCTTTTAAAAAAAAACAGCATAGCATGAACGCTTCTTAAAATAAAAATATTTATGTGTTTTCTTGTTAATTTGCTGTTACATATTTTCAAGTGTTTCTCTCAAGAAATTTTCCTAATTAAAAAATACTAAACATTATAAATGTATATTTAGAAGATGAAATCATTCTACATCTTCCATCTATATGATCCCATCACTGTGATGCATACATATTCAATGTAAAAAGATTGGTGTATATTTTTCAGATGTGTTTCTCTTTGGGTAATATGTCTACCTACCTGCCATAGTCTGTTTTCTACTGCTATAACAGAATGCACAGGCTAGGCAATTTATAAAGAAGACAATTTTATTTGGCTCACTGTTCTGGCGGCTGGGAAGTCTCAAGAGCATGGCACCAGTATCTGGCAGGGTACATTGAAGGTGTCACATGGTGATAGAGTGTGTGAGACAAAGAGAAAATGGGGTTTGGACTTAGCCTTTTATCAGGAGCCCACTGCCATGATAACTAACACAGTCTCACAATAACAGCATTAATCCATTCATGAGGGCAGAGCCCTCATGACCTAATCTGTTCTGAAAGGTCCTAACTCTCAACATTGTTACAACAGCAATTGAGTATCCAACACATGAACTTTGAAGGACATATTCAAAGCACAGCACTACCTTAAATTTTTTTTTAAGTATTCGTTCGTAGGTTCTTTTTAAAATTTGCAATCACATAAATAACTTTATTCAAATTGGCTTCATTACTTACTTGGACATCAGATTTTCATTTCTTCAATTAGGGTGGTTTTGTGGCAAGCCAAAGTCTCACTAACACAGGCCTCCGTACCAACTGTTTCAGTTCTGACTCAGTGGTGAAGTTAAATATTAAAAACTGGGTGGAGCCAAGATGGCCGAATAGGAACAGCTCCAGTCTACACCTCCCAGCGTGAGCGACGCAGAAGGCGGGTGATTTCTGCATTTCCAACTGAGGTACCGGGTTCATCTCACAGGGGAGTGTCGGACAGTGGGTGCAGGACAGTGGGTGCAGTGCACCGTGCATGAGCCAAAGCAGGGAGAGGCATCGCCTCACCCGGGAAGTGCAAGGGGTCAGGGAATTCCCTTTCCTAGTCAAAGAAAGGGGTGACAGAGGGCACCTGGAAAATAGGGTCACTCCCACCCTAATACTGCACTTTTCCAACAGGCTTCACAAACAGCACACCAGGAGATTATATCCCGCACCTGGCTCAGAGGGTCCTATGCCCACGGAGCCTCACTCATTGCTAGCACAGCAGTCTGAGATCAAACTGCAAGGCGGCAGCGAGGCTGGGGGAGGGGTGCCCGCCATTGCTCAGGCTTGAGTAGGTAAACAAAGCGGCCAGGAAGCTCGACTTGGGGGGAGCCCACCAGAGCTCCAGGAGGCCTGCCTGCCTCTGTAGGCTCCACCTCTGGGGGCAGGGCACAGACAAACAAAAGACAGCAATAACTTCTGCAGTCTTAAATGTCCCCGTCTGACAGCTTTGAAGAGAGTAGTGGTTCTCCCGGCACGCAGCTGGAGACCTGAGAACAGGCAGACTGCCTCCTCAAGTGGGTCCCTGACCCCCGAGTAGCCTAACTGGGAGGCACCCCCCAGTCGGGGCGGACTGACACCTCACATGGCCAGGTACTCCTCTGACACAAAACTTCCAGAGGTACGATCAGGCAGCAGCATCTGCAGTTCACCAATATCTGCTGTTCTGCAGCCACTGCTGCTGATACCCAGGCAAACAGGGTTTGGAGTGGACCTCCAGTAGACTCCAACACACCTGCAGCTGAGGGTCCTGGCTGTTAGAAGGAAAACTAACAAACAGAAAGGACATCCACACCAAAAACCCATCTGTACGTCACCATCATCAAAGACCAAAGGTAGATAAAACCACAAAGATGGGGAAAAAACAGAGCAGAAAAACTGGAAACTCGAAAAATCAGAGTGCCTCTCCTCCTCCAAAGGAACGCAGCTCCTCACCAGCAACAGAACAAAGCTGGACGGAGAATGACTTTGATGAGTTGAGAGAGGAAGGCTTCAGATGATCAAACTACTCCGAGCTGCAGGAGGAAGTTCAAACCACTGGCAAAGAAGTTAGAAACTTTGAAAAAAAATTAGACGAATGGATAACTAGAATAATCAATGCAGAGAAGTCCTTAAAGGACCTGATGGAGCTGAAAACCATGGCACGAGAACTACGTAACGAATGCACAAGGCTCAGTAACCGATGCAATCAACTGGAAGAAAGGGTATCAGCAATGGAAGATGAAATGAATCATATGAAGCGTGAAGAGAAGTTTAGAGAAAAAAGAAAAAAAAGAAACGAACAAAGCCTCCAAGAAACATGGGACTATGTGAAAAGACCAAATCTACATCTGATTGGTGCACCTGAAAGTGACGGGGAGAATGGAAACAAGTTGGAAAACACTCTGCAGGACTTATCCAGGAGAACTTCCCCAATCTAGCAAGGCAGACCAACATTCAAATTCAGGAAATACAGAGAATGCCACAAAGATATTCCTAGAGAAGAGCAACTCCAAGACACATAATTGTCAGATTCACCAACGTTGAAATGAAGGAAAAAATGTTAAGGGCAGCCAGAGAGAAAGGTCGGGTTACCCACAAAGGGAAGCCCATCAGACTAACAGCGGATCTCCCGGCAGAAACTCTACAAGCCAGAAGAGAGTGGGAGCCAATATTCAACATTCTTAAAGAAAAGAATTTTCAACCCAGAATGTCATATCCAGCCAAACTAAGCTTCATAAGTGAAGGAGAAATAAAATACTTTACAGACAACCAAATGCTGAGAGATTTTGTGAGCACCAGGCCTGCCCTAAAAGAGCTCCTGAAGGAAGCACTAAACATGGAAAGGAACAACCGGTACCAGCCACTGCAAAAACATGCCAAATTGTAAAGACCATCCAGGCTAGGAAGAAACTGCATCAACTGACGAGCAAAATAACCAGCTAACATCATAATGACAGGATCACATTCACACATAACAATACTAACCTTAAACGTAAATGGGCTAAATGCTCCAACTAAAAGGCACAGACTGGCAAACTGGATAAAGAGTCAAGACCCATCAGTGTGCTGTATTCAGGAAACCCATCTCACGTGCAGAGACACACATAGGCTCAAAATAAAAGGATGGAGGAAGATCTACCAAGCAAATGGAAAACAAAAAAAGGCAGGGGTTGCAATCCTAGTCTCTGATAAAACAGACTTTAAACCAACAAAGATCAAAAGAGACAAGGCCATTACATAATGGTAAAGGGATCAATTCAACAAGAAGAACTAACTATCCTAAATATATATGCACCCAATACAGGAGCACCCAGATTCATAAAGCAAGTCCTGAGTGACCTACAAAGAGAATTAGACTCCCACACAATAATAATGGGAGACTTTAACACCCCACTGTCAACATTAGACAGATCAACAAGACAGAAAGTTCACAAGGATATCCAGGAACTGAATTCAGCTCTGCACCAAGTGGACCTAACAGACATCTACAGAACTCTCCACCCCAAATCAACAGAATATACATTCTTCTCAGCACCACACCACACCTATTCCAAAATTGACCACACAGTTGGAAGTAAAGCACTCCTCAGCAAATGCAAAGGAACAGAAATTCTAACAAACTGTCTCTCAGACCACAGTGCAATCAAACTAGAACTCAGGATTAAGAAACTCACTCAAAACCGTTCAACTACGTGGAAACTGAACAACCTGCTCCTGAATGACTACTGGGTACATAACGAAATGAAGGCAGAAATAGAGATGTTCTTTGAAACCAATGAGAACAAAGACACAACATACCAGAATCTCTGGGACACATTCAAAGCAGTGTGTAGAGGCGAATTTATAGCACTAAATGCCCACAAGAGAAAGCAGGAAAGATCTAAAATTGACACCCTAACATCACAATTAAAAGAACTAGAAAAGCAAGAGCAAACACATTCAAAAGCTAGCAGAAGGCAAGAAATAACTAAGATCAGAGCAGAACTGAAGGAAATAGAGACACAAAAAAACCCTTCAAAAAATCAATGAATCCAGGAGCTGTTTTTTTGAAAGGATCAACAAAATTGATAGACCGCTAGCAAGACTAATAAAGAAGAAAAGAGAGAAGAATCAAATAGAAGCAATAAAAAATGACAAAGGGGATATCACCACCGATCCCACAGAAATACAAACTACCATCAGAGAATACTATAAACACCTCTACACAAATAAACTAGTAAATCTAGAAGAAATGGATAAATTCCTCGACACATACACCCTCCCGAGACTAAACCGGGAAGAAGTTGAATCTCTGAATAGACCAATAACAGGCTCTGAAATTGAGGCAGTAATCAATAGCTTACCAACCAAAAAAAGTCCAGGACCAGATGGATTCACAGCCGAATTCTACCAGAGGTAGAAGGAGGAGCTGGTACCATTCCTTCTGAAACTATCCCAATCAATAGAAAAAGAGGGAATCCTCCCTAGTTCATTTTATGAGGACAGCATCATCCTGATACCAAAGCCGGGCAGAGACACAGCCAAAAAAGAGAGTTTTAGACCAATATCCTTGATGAACATTGATGCAAAAATCCTCAATAAAATACTGGCAAACCGAATCCAGCAACACATCAAAAAGCTTATCCACCATGATCAAGTGGGCTTCATCCCTGGGATGCAAGGCTGGTTCAACATACACAAATCAATAAACGTAATCCAGCATATAAACAGAGCCAAAGACAAAAACCCCATGATTATCTCAATAGATGCAGAAAAGGCCTTTGACAAAATTCAACAACCCTTCAAGCTAAAAACTCTCAATAAATTAGGTATTGATGGGACGTATCTCAAAATAATAAGAGCTATCTATGACAAACCCACAGCCAATATCATACTGAATGGACAAAAACTGGAAGCATTCCCTTTGAAAACTGGCACAAGACAGGGATGCCCTCTCTCACCACTCCTATTCAACATAGTGTTGGAAGTTCTGGCCAGGGCAATCAGGCAGGAGAAGGGAATAAAGGGTATTCAATTAGGAAAAGAGGAAGTCAAATTGTCCCTGTTTGCAGATGACATGATTGTATATCTAGAAAACCCCATCGTCTCAGCCCAAAATCTCCTTAAACTGAGAAGCAACTTCAGCAAAGTCTCAGGATACAAAATCAATGTGCAAATATCACAAGCATTCTTATACACCAATAACAGACAAACAGAGAGCCAAATCATGAGTGAACTCCCATTCACAATTGCTTCAAAGAGAATAAAATACCTGGGAATCCAACTTACAAGGGACGTGAAGGACCTCTTCAAGGAGAACTACAAACTGCTGCTCAATGAAATAAAAGAGGATACAAACAAATGGAAGAACATTCCATGCTCATGGGTAGGAAGAATCAATATCGTGAAAATGGCCATACTGCCCAAGGTAATTTATAGATTCAATGCCATCCCCATCAAGCTACCAATGACTTTCTTCACAGAATTGGAAAAAACTACTTTAAAGTTCATATGGAACCAAAAAAGAGCCCGCATTGCCACGTCAGTCCTAAGCCAAAAGAACAAAGCTGGAGGCATCACTCTACCTGACTTCAAACTATACTACAAGGCTACAGTAACCAAAACAGCATGGTACCGGTACCAAAAAAAGGGATATAGACGAATGGAACCGAACAGAGCCCTCAGAAATAATGCCACATATCTACAACCATCTGATGTTTGACAAACCTGACAAAAACAAGAAATGGGGAAAGGATTCCCTATTTAATAAATGGTGCTGGGAAAACTGGCTAGCCCTATGCAGAAAGCTGAAACTGGATCCCTTCCTTACACCTTATACAAAAATTAATTCAAGATGGATTAAAGACTTAAATGTTAGACCTAAAACCATAAAAACCCTAGAAGAAAACCTAGGCATTACCATTCAGGACATAGGCATGGGCAAGGACTTCATGTCTAAAACACCAAAAGCAATGGCAACAAAAGCCAAAATTGACAAATGGGATCTAATCAAACTAAAGAGCTTCTGCACAGCAAAAGAAACCACCATCAGAGTGAACAGGCAACCTACAAAATGGGAGAAAATTTTCGCAACCTACTCATCTGACAAAGGGCTAATATCCAGAATCTACAATGAACTCAAACAAATTTACAAGAAAAAAACAAACGATCCCATCAAAAAGTGGGCGAAGGACATGAACAGGCACTTCTCAAAGGAAGACATTTATGCAGCCAAAAAACACGTGAAAAAATGCTCATCATCACTGGCCATCAGAGAAATGCAAATCAAAACCACAATGAGATACCATCTCACACCAGTTAGAATGGCGATCATTAAAAAGTCAGGAAACAACAGGTGCTGGAGAGGATGTGGAGAAATAGGAACACTTTTACACTGTTGGTGGGACTGTAAACTAGTTCAACCATTGTGGAAGTCAGTGTGGCGATTCCTCAGGGATCTAGAACTAGAAATACTATTTGACTCAGCCATCCCATTACTGGGTATATACCCAAAAGATTATAAATCATGCTGCTATAAAGACACATGCACACGTATGTTTATTGCGGCACTATTCACAATAGCAAAGACTTGGAACCAACCCAAACGTCCAACAATGATAGACTGGATTAAGAAAATGTGGCACATATACACCATAGAATACTATGCAGTCATAAAAAAGGATGAGTTCATGTCCTTTGTAGGGACATGGATGAAATCGGAAATCATCATTCTCAGTAAACTATCGCAAGAACAAAAAACCAAACACCGCATATTCTCGCTCATAGGTGGGAATTGAACAATGAGAACACATGGACACAGGAAGGGGAACATCACACTCTGGGGACTGTTGTGGGGTGGGGAAAGGGGGGAGGGGTAGCTGTAGGAGATATACCTAATGCTAAGTGACGAGTTAATGGGTGCAGCACACCAGCATGGCACATGTATGCATGTGTAACTAACCTGCACATTGTCCACATGTACCCTAAAACTTAAAGTATAATAATAGTAATAATAATAAAGTATTCTGCTGCAAACATGTATTACTCTTCAAAACAAAAACAAAAACAAGATAACTCTGAGGACAGAGCCTGGCTCTGTTCACTTAAAGGGTGGAGCCTCGGGCATAGAGGGCAGAGC
Organism: Homo sapiens; assembly: GCF_000001405.40. Lineage (NCBI taxonomy): Eukaryota > Metazoa > Chordata > Mammalia > Primates > Hominidae > Homo > Homo sapiens. The sequence goes on from NC_000023.11 coordinate 102,456,757, forward strand.
CTCTAGCCACGGAGGAATATTCCCAGGCCTTGAAACCTAAATGAGTTTACCTGATTGGATTTCAAGTTGGCTTGGAGCTGGTAACTTTTTGCTTGCTTTCATTTTTTCCCGTTGGGAGGGGGACTGTCTATAACCATTATCCTATGTCCATGTCACCACTGTAATAAAAAAGAGGTAACTTTATTTTCTAGTTCGCAGGGCCACTGATGAAAAGAAATTTAGCCTCAAGAAGGATCATACCCAGAGTCTGTCTCATACCTGGTTTAGATGATTTACAGATGAGATTTTCAACTCGCGTTGGTGTTAAGACTTTTGGGGATATTGAGGTGAGGCAAATATATTTTGCATGTAGAATGAACATGAATTTTGGGGAGTTAGAGGGTAGGCTGTGGTAAGCTAAATAATGGCCTCCAAAGATATCCATGTTGTAGTCTCTGGAACCCCTGACTGCCACCTTATATGGCAAAAGGGACTTTACAAATGTGACTAAGGATCTTGAGGTGGGGAGATTATCCTGCCTGGCCCTAAATGTAAGAGCGTTTCCTTATTAAGAGGGAAGGAGAGGGACATTTCACATAGAAGGAGGCAATGTGATGACTGACACAAGAAGCTATGATGCTGGCTTCGATGATAAAGGAATGGGAGCTCTGGAAGCTCCAGGGAAGAATCCATTGCCTTGCCAAGGAATAAAGAATACAGCTTCAGAAGCTAAAAATGGCAAGGCAATGGATTCTCCCTTAGAGCTTCCAGAGGGAGCCTGGCCCTACTGACTCCCTGATTTTCACCCACTGAAACTGATTTTGGTCTTCTGACAATCAGGATGATAAGAGAATACATGCATGTTATTTTAAGCCACAAAGTTCAGGGGGTAATTTGTTACAACAGCCATAAGAAAAGAAGAAAATAATACAGGAACCTTTAGAGATCATCTAGTCCAGTGGTTTTGAAACAGTCCTCAAAACTCCTTCTTCCAGCTCTACTTCAACTCAAGCTGCCTAGCTTTGATCTCTCTTATTCGTGATCTTCTGGAAAGATTTCGTTTTGTGAAAAATGACTCTATAAAATTGAACAAGAAAATCAGTAATTTAGTCAAGTATAGAATTTTATAGATGAAGACAAAGCCCAAGAAAGTGAAATGATTTTCCCTTACTCACTCAAAGAAGACCAGATAAATAAATATATAAACAAACAAACAAACACCGGTTCTTACCCTCAGTTAGAGCTTTCTGTACAACATTGTTCTAGAATTGGAAAAGTAGACTGGAGATAAATTGTTAAGGAATAATTGAAATAATATATGTAGAGTGCTTAAAAGAGTGCCTGGTGCATACACACTCACAAATATTTGTTATAATTATAATATGTACTTGCATATGCACAGAATATCTTTAGAAGTATGCACAAAAACCTGGATATAGTTTCCTCTAAGTAGGATAAATGAGATACAGGGGTGGCGAAAAAACCGAATTTTCTCTGTACTGCATGTCATTTTTAACCATGTGCATGTTCCACCTATCTATCTAACTGTGCATCCATCCATCCCTAAATGGTGAACAGAATTGAGTGAGCTATCTTTCCTTGTTTAGGATCAGGATTCCCATTTCCTCCACGTAGAAGCACAAGAGAATCAATAAACTCAAAATCTCCAAGAAATCAACACAAGTCAGATTTTAATTATAAAGTATAAAGCAAAGTTTCATTGCAGCCCAAAGTCAGTATCCGTCAACTACTCCGTCATCTTCACAGGGATCACTTCAGAACACACTTGTCTGTAAGATAATCTGGCTCCCAAAATTAATACTTTTTTAAAAAATTGTATTCGTATTGTCTAATCACATTAGAAAATTTAACTAGGCCAGGCTCACTGCCTATTTATTAATTATAAAACATTCATCTGCCATGGTCTCTGTCCTGAGACTATCTAGTCACAAGATTAGAACACGTGAATGATCCATTCCACAGCTTTTCTGTGTGCCTCATCTCCAGCCAAAGTAAAAGTAGCACTCTGTTTACCCAGCTATGTCACCCATCTGGTATCCACCCTCTAGGGAAATCAATCACGTGGTTCCCTGGGGAGTAATGGAACTCCAATCTCATCTGTTGTTTTTCTTGGGCTGAGTAAATTGTACTCAGCTCCTTCCATCCGCCGAAATAATGAGGACATGATTTTTTTCAACCAGTTTGGGTCTATCCCATAAGTAAGTTTCTATTGTCCCCTGTCCATTCTGAATCCAAACCTAGTCCAAATCCAAACCTAAATTTGTTCCTAATTTTCTAGATTGCTGCTTGTCTGCTGCAGTTGGCCTGGGAACGATGGGACGAACCTCTGCAGTCTCTAACAACAAGCCCAAGTCCTTGTGGACCAAGAACATCTATCATTTGTGTTGCCAAGTCAGCTGATATTCATAACTTGGCAGTTGGAGTCCCAGACTAGGAGTGGGAAAAAGCATGGCAGCTGCCCCACGCTTGAATACGCACATCGATTCTGTCAAGAAGAAGGAGATGTTCTAAGCCTAGAGATGTGGCCAGATAAGATTAATTCAGCTGTAGAAATAGGATCGGGGTGAACTTGATATGATACTCACTGACCTAATTGCTTCGGTTTACTGTCATTATCAGAGATTCCAAGCCTGACCCCTAGAATCACTTAAAAGAAAGAAATCCCTTGGAAGCTGAGACCTGTCCTTAGCTGAATGCCTGTTGGCACAAAGTTGATATTCACCATATCAACTTTCAACCAATCCCCAGTTTTCATACTGCTTCAAACCAGACACTAGAACGGGAGTTCGCAACTCTTGCTATTGCTGTATCCTTGAAAACTACAGGGAAATGTGGTGCTAGAAATGGAGTTCTATGTCTTCTCTTCATCTGCAATTCAGTGAATTTCTGACTTCCAGAAGCCCTTATAGTCATTCTCTGGATAATCTCACAAAGAGTTTTCAAAGCCCTCAAGGAAATGATTTTTCAATGGAGAAAATAATGCTAGTGACTGTAGGTTAATGAGTTCCCCCCTCCCCCACCAGATTACTTAAGGCTGTATGTCTGCTGCCTGAACCCTGAAGGCCAGGTGGTGGTCTAAGGCCATGCATGGTGCCCAGCTTAGGAGCCGAGGTGTCTGTGAGAACCAAAACATCCCAGAGTGTACTGGGAAACATACCAAGAGAAAGAGTCTCATTGCATACAGAAGGCAAAGAGCCAGAAAATTAGCTTAAAAGCAGCTTGCAGAGGAGTGTCAGGGCAGATCCCCAGAGCTGTCCTGCTGCCACCCAGGAATGCCCTATACGTAAGTCCCAAGAAATTCATCTGCTTATCAAGCCGGACTTGTCCGGGTCATTCTTTGGTCTCTTAGCTCCTTCCCAGTTTTCAGGGGGCATTATTCTATACAGTCCCAGGATTTTCCCTTATCAGTACCTGATGCCCAGATTCGGCTCAGGCAAGCATACTGAAGAATGATCAGCCAATGAAGGGAAAACAGAGGGCCCACTGGATTCTCACTCAGCTAGTTAGGGGATGAGGCTGCAGAACCTGACTTCAGCTAGAACACAGGAGGAACTGAAATTTTCTTGCAGCTCAGAGGTTTATTAGTGAAGGGGATTGGGCCAGTTGGTGCTTACATGCTTGACCCCTGCATCCCTGTGTCCTGGCTATAGCGAGGAAGAGGGCTGACTGTTCGACTAACCACAGGTGATGTCCTCCCAGAAACATGCTGACCTCTCTCTCCTGAGTCCCTGTTGCCATAGCTGGGGTCCAGCACTATCAGTTAGGCTCCACATCTGTTTCTTGTGCTTGAGCTGGATGGATGATGTGTTTTAGGATCTCAGCATAGTATGGGCCAAATACCTGCTGATTATGATGCATCAGATTGAGAAACTTCCAGCCCAGTTCTGCCAACTCCTTTTCAATGAGAATGAGGCCTCCAGGAAAGTGTAGCAGAGACTCCTGCATGCCATGAAGCAAACAGCATTTGAGAAAAAAACGGATCCACTGATCTGTGAGCAGGGAAAAACAATGACAAGAGGAACGAAGACGGTACAGAAGAAATTCACAATGCCTTTGCTCTATCTGCTCACCAAAGTTTTGCATTAACCGAGTTATTCACTGACCTCTCTGCTCATTTGGGTAAACCGTATACATGAGATTTTTGTTTGTTTGGGGGAATGGAATGCCATCAATCTCCCAAAGGACAATGCATGATCAAAAGATGCTGAGGTAGTAAATTTCTGGGGGTTCATAAGATTACTTTATGTAGCTGTATGTGAGATCCTAGGGCACGTTTAACTTAACAAGAGGACCGTAGACCCGGTACCTGAAAGTAACAACACATGTTGCAGCCAGTGCACCAAGTTCAGGCCCATACACCCAATCCAGGCTATGATCAGATGGTAAAGTTCAAAGCAAGCTGGCCAAGTTCACTGCTTCCATTCCAGCATGGAACATGTCCTACAGCCCAACTCAGCATCACTTCCATGGAGAGGCGTAGGGGCCCAAATGGTAGCTTAAAGCATAGGATAGAGAAAGGGTTCCTCCATATATCTTGGCCGACATTTAGAATATGACCAGGAATGGGCTGGGCGTGGTGGCTCACGTATGTAATCCCAGCACTTTGGGAGTCCGAGGCAGGCGGATCACGAGGTCAGGAGTTCGAGACCAGCCTGGCCAACATGGTGAAACCCCATCTCTACTAAAAATACAAAAAAAAATAGCCAGGCATGGTGGCGCGTGCCTGTAGTCCCAGCTACTCGGGAGGCTGAGGCAGTAGAATCGCTTGAACTCAGAAGGTGGAGGTTGCAGTGAGCCTAGATCGTGTCACTGCACTCCAACTTGGGCAACAGAGTGAGACTTTGTCTCAAAAAAAAGAAAAGAAAAGAAAAGAGAAAATACCAGGAATGACTTCATAGGGTTAGCGTGATAATATCCAACACCTGTGAATGACATATCTTGGGTACAGAGCTGTCTTCAAACCATACATGCATTCTCCAAATTGAGAAAGATCTATTTGAACAGTGCACATTATAGACGAGGAAACTAAAGCTAAAAAACTTCCCAAATGATCATGCCTTTTCATTTTTAAATGCTTAGGTAACTCACATTCAGGGTAAGGTCTACCCACCCATGCCCCACATTCTTGCCACTTTTCTGCACGACGACCATGGAGATTCTTACCAACAATGCTACGAATGCAGTTCTCTTTCTTGGTGATGTTCTGGAGTTGGCCTAGAAGAGATGCTGTGTTTTCACTGCTCAGAGTAGTGAGGCCCATGTCCTTAAGGCCTTGATGGACTTCCTGAGACACCTGTTCACTCACACTCAGCATAGTCTCTTCAGGCCTAGATAATAAGGGATAGAATGCAGAGTGGGCCTGGCAGAGGGGCAAAGCCCAGAGAGCCTCATACCACAAGCCAGGCCTATTCCAGGAAGAATTCTGGCTCTCTGCCACCAGAAGACAGCATTAGCCACTGGGCAGATGAAATACACTCATTGTTACCCGCAAGGTACCACCTGATCCAAACACACAGCACCATATGCCACTTCGATGAAAACAAAGTAAATTGGGCAAGGGTTCAGTTCCATCCTTGGATCTACTCGGCATTCTCCAGTCCCATCAACTGTATTTAAATGTTGTTTTAAGACTCTATTGGATATTTTTCATGGTTTTTCTCCTACCCCACCAATTAAATTGCTAATATATTAAGAGGCTTGGACTTCCTACTCCTCCTTGTACTTTGGTATAATATCCCTGCCCCCACATGCAGTGAATGGTCAATATCACTGACCAACCGATCAAC